>NC_000001.11:34553835-35178835 GCF_000001405.40 Homo sapiens
AATTAATAAACATGATTCATCACATAAACAAAAGTAAAGACAAAAACCACATGATTATCTCAATAGATGCAGAAAAGGCTTTCAACAAAATTCAACACATATTCATGTTAAAAACTCTCAACAAACTAGGTATTGAAGGAATATACCTCAAAATAACAAGAGCCATCTATGACAAACCCACAGCCAATATCATACTGAATGGGTGGAAGCTAGAATGGAAGCATTCCACTTGAAAACGGGCACCACTGGATGCCCTCTCTCACCACTCCAATTCAACGTAGTATTGGAAGTCATGGCTAGAGCAATCAGGCAAGAGAAAGAAATAAAGAGTTTCCAAATAGAAAGAGAGAAAGTCGAACTATCCCTGTTTGCCGATTACATGATTTTGTATCTAGAAAATCCCATAGTCTGTGCCCAAAAGCTCCCTGGGCTGATAAGTAACTTTAGCAAAGTTTCGAGATACAAAATCAATGTACAAAAATCACTAGCAGTCCTATACCAACAACAGGCAAGCCAAGAGACAAATCAGTAATACAATCCCATTCACAACTGCCACAAAAAGAATGAAATACCTAGGAATACAGTTAGTCAGGGAAGTGAAAGATCTCTACAATGAGAATTACAAAACACTGTTCAAAGAAATCAGAGATGACACAAACAAATGGAAAAACATTCCATGCTCATGGATAGGAATAATTAATATCATTAAAATGGCCATACTGCCCAAAGCAATTTAGAGATTCAATGCTATTGCTATCAAACTACCAATGACAGTCTTCACAGAACTAGAAAAAAACTATTTTAAAAATCATATGAAACAAAAAAGGATCTCGAATAGCCAAGTCAATTATAAGCAAAAAGAATAAAGCAGAAAGCATCATGCTACCTAATTTCAAACTTCACTACACGGCTACCAAAACAGCATGGTACTGGTACAAAAACAGACATATAGACCAATGGAACAGAATAAAGAGCTCAGAAATAAAGCTGCATACCTACAACCACCTGATCTTTGATAAAGCTGACAAAAACAAGCAATGGGGAAAGGGCTCCCTATTCAACAAATGATGCTGGTATAACTGGCTAACCATATGCAGAAGATAGAAACTGGACCCCTTCCTTATACCTAATACAAAAAAAATCAACTCAAGATGTATTAAAGACTTAAATGTAAAACCAAAAACTATAAAAACCCTGGAAAACAACCTGGTGAATACTATTGTGGACATAAGACCTGGCAAAGATTTCATGAAGAAGATGCCAAAAGCAATTGCAGCTAAAGCAAAAATTGACAAATAGGATCGAATCAAACTTAAGAGCTTCTACACAGCAAAAGAAACTATCGACAGAGTAAATAGACAACCTACAGAATGGGAGAAAATATTTGCAAATTATGCATCTGACAAAGGTCTAATATCCAGCATCTATTAAGACACAAACAAATTTATAAGAGAAAACAAATAACTACATTAACAAGTAGGTAAAGGGCACGAACAGACACTTTTCACACCAGTCAGAATGGCTGTAATTAAAAATTCAAAAAATAACAGATGTTAGTGAGGTTGCAGAGAAAAAGGGAATGTTTATACACTGTTGGTGGGAATGTAAATTGGTTCAACCATTGTGGAAAACAGTGTGGCAATTCTTCAAAGAGCTGAAAACAGAATGACCATTCGACCCAGCAAACCCATTACTGAGCATATACCCAAAGGAAAGGAATATATATTGTTCTTTCATAAAGACATATGCATGTGTATGTTTATCACAGCACTATTCTTAACAGCCAAGTCATAGAATCAACCTAAATGCCCATCAGTGGTAGACTGGATTAAGAAAATGTGGTACACTCTGCTCAAGCAAATAAGAAAGGACACAAACAAATGAAAAAACATTCCATGCTCATGGATAGGAAGAATCAATATCATGAAATTGGCTATACCGCCCAAAGTAATTTATAGATTCAATGCTATTCCCATCAAGCTACCATTGACTTTCTTCACAAAATTAGAAAAAACTACTTTAAATTTCATATGGACCCAAAAAAGAGCCTGTATAGACAAGACAATCCTAAGCAAAAAGAACGAAGCTGGAGGCATCACGCTACCCGACTTCAAACTATACTACAAGGCTACAGTAACCAAAACAGCATGGTACTGGTACCAAAACAGATATATAGACCAATGGAACAGAACAGAGCCCTCAGAAATAACACCACACATCTACAACCATCTGATCTTTGACAAACCTGACAAAAACAACCAATGGGGAAAGGATTTCCTATTTAATAAATGGTGTTGGGAAAACTGGCTAGCCATATGCAGAAAACTGAAACTGGACCCCTTCCTTACACCTTATACAAAAATTAACTCAAGATGGATTAAAGACTTAAATGTAAGACCTAAAACCATAAAAACCCTAGAAGAAAACCTAGAGAATACCATTCAGGACATAGGCATGGGCAAAGACTTCATGACTAAAACACCAAAAACAAGTGCAACAAAAGCCAAAATTGACAAATGGGATCTAATTAAACCAAAGAGCTTCTGCACAGCAAAAGAAACTACCATCAGAGTGAACAGACAACCTACAGAATGGGAGAAAATTTTTGCAATCTATCCATGTGACAAAGGTCTAATATCCAGAATCTACGAGGAACTTAAACAAATTTACAAGAAAAAAACAAACAACTCCATCAAAAAGTGGGCAAAGGATATGAACAGACCCTTCTCAAAAGAAGACATTTATGCAGCCAACAAACATATGAAAAACAGCTTATCATCACTGGTCATTAGAGAAATGCAAATCAAAACTGCAGTGAGATACCATCTCACACCAGTTAGAATGGTGATCAATAAAAAGTCAAAAAACAACAGATGCTGGCTAGGATGTGGAGAAATAGGAACGCTTTTACACTGTTGGTGGGAGTGTAAATTAATTTAACTATTGTGGAAGACACTGTGGTGATTCCTCAAGGATCTAGAACCAGAAATACCATTTGACCCAGCAATCCCATTACTGGGTGTATACCCAAAGGATTACAAATCATTCTACTATAAAGACATGCACACGTATGTTTATTGCAGCACTATTTACAATAGCAAAGGCTTGGAACCAACCCAAGGCCCCATCAATGATAGACTGGATAAAGAAAACGTGGCACATATACACCATGGACTACTATGCAGCCATAAAAAAGAATGAGTTCAGGTCCTTTGCAGGGACATGGATGAAGCTGGAAACCATCATTCTCAGCAAACTAACACAGGAACAGAAAACCAAACACCGCATGTTCTCACTCATAAGTGGGAGTTGAACAACAAGAATACATGGACACAGGGAGGGGAACATCACACACCAGGGCCTATCAGGGGGTAGGGGGCTAGGGGAGGGATAGCATTAGGAGAAATACCTAATGCATGTGGGGCTTAAAACCTAAATGACAGGTTGATGGGTGCAGCAAACCATCATGGCACATGTATACCTATGTAACAAATCTGCATGTTCTGCGCATGTATCCCAGAACGTAAAGTATAATAAAAAAAAAATGTGGAACGTATATACCATGGAATACTATGCAGCCAAAAAAAATGAGGTCATGTCCTTTGCAGGAACACAGATGGAGCTGGAGGCCATTATCCTTAGCAAACTAATGGAGGAACAAAAAACCAAAGACCACATGTTCTCACTTATAAGCAGGAGCTAAACAACAAGAACACAGAGACACAAAGAGGGGAACAACAGACACGGAGGCCTAATAGAGGGTGGAGGGTAGTAGTAGGGAAAGGAGCAGAAAAAATAACTATTGGGTACTAGGCTTAGCACCTGGGTCACAAAATAATCTGTACAATCCCCATGACGTGAGTTTACGTATATAACAAACCAGCATATGAACCCTTGAACATAAAATAAAAGTTTTAGAAAAATAAAAATAAATTAAGTACATGAAATTTAAACATGGGCTACATATTAGATGATGGCAATGAATTGATGTTAAATTTCTTAGTTTTGATAATGGTATTATGATTATATAGGAGAATGTCTTTCATTCTCAGGAGATACATGATAAAATGTTACAATGCAATATAATTTTAAATCATTAATCAAAAATAGATAAGTAGACAGATGAGAAAATAAAGCAAATGTGACAAAATGGTAACTGGAAAATCTAAATAAATGATATATAGATGTTCATTGCACCTTCCTTTTAACTTTTCTGTCGATTTTTTAAATTTTATTTTTTTCTTTCCAACTTTTATTTTAGGTTTGGGGTACGTGTGCAGATTTGTTACGTGGGTAAATTACGTGTTGCAGGTGTTTGGTGTACAGATTTTATCACCCAGGTAATGAGCATAGCACCTGATAGGTAGTTCTTCGATACCCTTCTCCTACCCTTCACCCTCATGAAGGCCCCAGTGTATATTGTTCACTTCTTTGTGTCCATATGTACTCAACGTTTAGCTTCCATTTACAACTCGGAACATGCAGTATTTGGTTTTCAGTTCCTATGTTAGTTTGCTTAGGATACTGGCCTACATCACCATCCATGTTGCTGCAAAGGACTTGATCTCATTCTTTTTTATGGCTGCATAGTATCCCATGGTGTATATGTACCACATTTTCTTTATCCAGTCTACCATTGTTGAGCATTTAGGTTGATCCCACATCTTGGCTATTGTGAATAGTGCTGTGATGAACATACAAGTGCATGTGTCTTTATGGTAGAATGTTTTATCTTTATTTGCGTATATATCCAATAATTGGATTCTGAGTGAAATGGTAGTTCTGTTTTAAGTTCTTTGAGAAATCTCCTAGCTGCTTTCCACGGTGGCTGAACTAATTTACATTCCCACCAGCAATGTATATGTGTTCCCTTTTCTCCACAACCTTACTAACATTTGTTATTTTTTTGCTTTTTAATAACAGCTAGTTCTGACTGGTGTAAGGTGGCATCTCATTGTAGTTTAAATTTGCATTTCAAAATAAAACATTTAGGGGGAAACTAGGTACATGTGTTATTCTGATAAAATTAAAATTTAAAAATAAAACACTTGACCCAATGCCTGGAGTATACATCACTTCAAAATGTTAGCTATCATTATTATTTGTGTTATCATCATTATTTGTATTTTGATTTGTATTATCATCACCATAATCATTATTTCTCAACGTGTATTTCAGTTGAATAGAAAAGACAGTGATAGATCACTGGTTGTTACTCCCAGATCATGATAGGAAAAGGTATCAACCAAAGAAAATTTTCTTCTGGCATGCTACTCACCCAGGGCCTAGGGCTTATGTAGAGCACTGGAAACGTAAGCAAAAATGTTCCTCCTTAGATAATGCTCATGGGCCACAGCTGGGTGACAGATCAAGTCACCTCTGGCTTGAGATGGTCAGAGAATGGCCAATGGTCTGGATAAAGAGATATAAAGGAAGTAGAATCACAAATTAGTTGAGGGTAAATCTCAGGTGTCCAACTTGGTAGATCTGGGTGGGTGATAGGATGCTGCCTAGACCAAGACCAGCCACCTTGATCTTCACAGCACATCACACCAGAATTGTTTAAGAATCTACATTGACTCCCACGTCCAGGACCATCCCAAGGCCTGGAACCTGTTATGACTTTTCCTTTCTAAATGTGATACATTCACAACAGGCCCTACTTCAGTGTTTTCTGTCTGATTGAGAAGACTTGAAAGGTCTTCCCAGAGTGAATCCTAAACAACTTAATATTGCAGGTCCCAACAAGCTCCATAGAACTGCAGATTTAGATACTTCAATGTGCACTGCCCCTACGATCCAGGGTCACTTATAGATGCTTAAAGAAATGCAGTATAGAGACCATCTCAGGTGAACTCATGTTCCCATGTCTCTGTTTTGAAGTCCCAGGTCACTTTGAATTGGTGTTTTCTGCCTCTGGGTGGAGCCTCTAGCCTCAGAGTAATAATACTCTGTTATAATACGCTGGTATAAGGACATACATATCTATACACATATATATCCAGTCTATCCTCATTATTCACAGATTCCATGTTTGTGAATTTGCTTACATGCTAAAATTTATTTGTAAACCCAAAATCAATTTCAATATTCACAGTGCTTTCACAGTCATTTGTGGACATGTGCAGAGGAGGAAAAAATTCAAGTCACCCAATGTACACACATTCCCAGCTAGGGTCAGACAGGTGACCTTCTGCCTTCTTGTTTCAGCTCTCACACTGTAAACAAGTGTCCTTTTCACAGTCTGATTAGCGTTCCTTTTTTTTTTTTTTTTTTTTGCATTTTTATGCTCTTTCTTGGTGATTTCACTATTTAAAATGGCCTCCAAGAATAGCACCAGAATGCTCTTTAGTGTTCCTAAGTATAAGAAGGCCGTGATGTGCCTTCCAGAGAAATTACATGTGTTAGCTAAGCTTCTTCCAGCCATGAGTTATAGTGCTATCGGCCATGAGTTCAATATTAATGAATCAACAATATATACTAAATAAACTATCTTTAAAGAGAAATCCACATAAAATAAGGTTACATATTAATCAGTTTACAGAAATGTTGAAACCATAAGCTTACAGAAACCTAACCTTGTATTTCTCCTAGGAGCAATGGTTCATTACTTGCTAATTCGGTAGCTGTGGCAACTTTGTAGAATGTAACTTTCATGAATAACAAATGTGAGTGGTATATTAATCTGTTCTCACGCTGGTATAAGGACATACCTGAGACCAGGTAATTTATAAAGGAAAGAGTTTTAATTGACTCACAGTTCCGCATGGCTGGGGAGGTCTCAGGAAACTTACAATCATTGTGGAAGGGAAAGCAAATACATCCTTCTTCACAAGGAGCGTATTTGCACAAGGCAGCAAGGAGAAGTGTCAAGCAAAAGGGAGAAAAGCCCCTTATAAAACCATCAGATCTCACTCACTATCACAAGAACAACATGAGGGTAACTGACCCCATGATTCAATTACCTCCCACTTGATCCCTCCTACAATACATGCGGATTATGAGAACTACAATTCAACGTGAGATTTGAGTGGGGACACGGCCAAACCATATCAAGCAGTATATGTATGTTTGTGTGTGTGTGGTATGTATATGGATATATGCACATGTATATATCTTACCTATGCCTTTTTGAAGGGTAATATGAACTGGTCCTCCTTCATTCATTTATTTTTTCAAAACAACCATCAAATGCACTACTTCTAAGGTAACAGAGTACAATTCAGGGTGTGGCTGAAAGAGAGAGGACTGATATAGAGTAAGTATGGAAATAATAATCAAGCTGGTTGACTAGATAAGCCAGGGAATTGTCTCCCATTGCAGAACTGTTCAGGTCTTCTCAGCTCCTTCCCGCATCTCTTGCCCTTGTCACAATCAGCACCACCCAGTATCCCATGGCTCCACTCTGCCATTGCTGCCTCTATTGTGATCCTCCATGGTTCCTCCTGAATGCACCCAGTTCTGATGGCTGGGCCCTGACAAATTGAGGGTGAAGATTTTTCCCCAGAAGAAAAAAAAAAGGACAAAGGTAAGACCCTCCCCACCCCTTCTGGCCTCAGCCAGGGAATCCTCCCTTGTAGAATGTAACAAATATCGAAATCTTTCCAGGTACTTTATCTTGGCCCCTGGCCCCCTATTTTAAGTGGGATAATTTATACAATGTCTAGCCACATAGTAGGCATTCAACAAATTTCAGCATAGTAGGTGTTCACCATATTTGTTGAACAAATAAACATCTTGACATAAATATTCTTTCTCTTGCAAATATGATTCTGAAAGATCTGACCCATTCCTAATGATGCTTTTATTATTCTTAAGAATATTCTCCTTTCTTCCCATCCAAGAAACACATCTTCAATTCTGCAACAAAAGTCTCTGGGTAAAGTCGACTTGATTCAGTGACCTTGATTTATTGAAATTGCTTGTGCCATAAACAGAAGCACATGCAGTAAGCCAGTAGCTGAGAGGAGTTCAGCCTCAACTTGACCCATGCTGGCACCCCCATTCTCATGGCTGGCACCCCAGCCTACACAGCTAGAACCCAGTTTACATCTCTGGCTGGTATCCAGTCCACACAGCTGGCACCCAGTCCCGACACCTGGCTGGCACCCCAGTGCACACAGCTGGCACTGCAGCCCACAGATGGTGGCCCAGTCCACACAGCTGGTTGGAATCCAGGTCCTCACAGCCGGCACCCACTCCACACAGCTGGCACCCCAGAATGGTTGCTGTACCAGCTGGAAGCTACTCACTGCTCTCTGCTGTGTCTACAGCAGTCTGCACTGGCCTCTGAACGCAACCCAAGTCACTCTTCTGTTCTCACCACACAAAAAAAGCCTAAGTTACACTGGGAGGGAACAAGGCAAGATGCCTAGGACAACTGCCTAGCCACAAGAGGTTCAGATACTCCCACAATAAACCTCTTCCTTTAAGAGTCTCAGAAAAGAAAGTACTAACAGGTTTCTCAGATGGTGTGAGTGCAGTTCTACTCCGAGACTTTTTGGAGCAACTTTGACCTTCAAGGTGCCAGTGCTGACCCAGGCACAGCAAAGTCAAAAGCATGCCTAGGCCGACCTCAAGAGCAAGGGCCCTGTGAAGGTCAGGCTGTGACCCTCGTGAAAGTGTAGTGACAGTGGTGAGGAGACTCCTCATTCCCAAAGCCCCTCCAGACAAACCCAGGCAAATATGAACACTGGAGTCAGAGCAGGTGGAGAGAAGCGTCACAGGAGTTAAGGATGCTGGACCAGACAGTCCACAGTGGATCCAGCAAAATGTCAGGAACAGTGTCCTGCTGAGATGGAACAGACTTTGAGGGACACACATGCATTCATACCTAAGTCTTTATGATCTTTAAACACCTCTGGTGATTTTTAAAGAGACACCTGAATGTAGCACTTGTTGAAACACCTGGGAGAGATGCAGCAGGTGCACCCCTAAGCCCAGGCCAGGAATATTCCTGAGAGAGCAATCGAAGGAGGACAGCTAACTTGAGCCCATGGCTCTTGGTCATTTAAGGCTCAGTGGCAGCTGGGCTCAGTAACTCATGCCTGTAATTCCAGCACTTTGGGAGGTGGGGGTGGGAGGATTGCTTGAGCCTGGGAGTTCAAGTCCAGCCTCGGCAGCATAGACCCCATCTCTACAGGAAAAAAAAAAAAAAAAAAATCTCAGAGGCATTGCCATTTGTTCTCTGTGTTACCTTGGGCATGCCTGCTTTACTCTCTCAGCCTCCATTTGCTCATCCTAAAAATGAGGATAGTGCTTAGCTTCCTTCTGCTGCTGCCTCAGTCTGAGCTGATCCAGTTAGATTCTCTCTCTCTAGGGCATTCGAAAGTATAATGGGCCAGGTACAATGGCTCATGCCTGTAATCCCAGCACTTTGAGAGGTCGAGGTGGGTGGATTACTTGAGTCCAGGAGTTCGAGACCAGCCTGGGCAACATGGTAAAACCTCATCTCAACAAAAAATACAAAAATTAGCCAGGCTTGGTGATGGGCATCTATAGTCCCAGCTACTAGGGAGGCTGAGATGGGAGGATCACTTGAGCCCTAGAGCTTGAGGCTACACGGAGCCAAGATTGCACCACTGCACTCCAGCCTGAGTGACAAAGCAAGATCTTGTCTAAAAAAGAAGTAGGATGGAGAGATCACATAAGGGAGCCATGGATATTGTCCATTTGCACCTCCACTTCCACCCACCATCCTTCGCTGCCCTGCTCTGTGCTCTGGGAGGCTGAACTCTATCTGTGGTTTCATCATTTGGCCTTCCTGACCTCCTGGATTCAAGTCAGATTTGGCCAACACAAGACACCAGCAGGACATGGATGAGTGGAAGGAGAGACAAGAAGAGGAATTTATTTCTACTGCTCCCTCCCTTCCAGGCCATGGTGTGACAGTGGCTGAGTTCCTCTACCTGAAGCCATGACTTCTCCATCCATACAGCCATTGCTAGGTTCAATAATGCCACTCCCTCCCCTCACTCTTCCAGGTCTCCAGAAGGAGATGGATTTTCCACGTTGCCAGCCCCAGGAAGCTATAGCATCTCTTGTAGATTTCCCTGAACCTTGCAGTGGTTAAATCATCCCTTCTCTAAGCTCTCTTTGACCACACTTTTGAGCAGGCCATTTGTGTCCTGCTGGACCCCTAACAATACAGGGAGCCAAGCTGGAAAGGCTCATAGATTTCACAGCTTGAGGTCACAATTTGGGGGCAGTTATGATGGCCCTTGTAGAAGAAGGACCATGTGACCCCAGAAAGAGTCATAGAGGGAGAATAGCTGCTTGAAGACTTTCTATGATGACAAGGCCTGGCCATGTAACCTACACTTAGAGTCTATGAGTTCCCTTACAACAACCCCCTGTGGCTGAGCTGACTTGAGTGGCTTCTGATTATTTCATTAATGGCCCACTGATTGAAACATAGGCCTGTCTTCATCCCCTTCTAGGAAGGCAGCTGACTGCCATTTCCTGCAAGAACTGGAATTTCTACTGGTGAAAATGTCCATACCCCCTTAGAAAGCAAGCACCAAGTGGACAGGTTCTGTATCTGGTCTTGTGTGCATGGTGTTCTCAGTACTCAGCCTAGCACCTAGCAGAGTAGTCACTCAATACATGGTACTGAACGAATTTTTAAAATACTTTCCAAGCAAATGCATTTGTTGGTTTCACAGGCACAAGATCATTACAGAGAAGATGCTCAGTTCAGAAAGACATTGGGCATTTGCTCTTTAGCTGAATACACACCAGAGTCCAATTTTCTCTCCCACCCAAACTGCCTTTGATTTATCAATGTTCTAAGAAGCCGGTTGCTCATGGCTGACCAGGAATTCCTTCCCGGGCTTGAAAGGGCACTAGAGGAGAAGGAACTTGCCTCTAAATACATAAGACTTGAGCACTTGCTTTCCAATTTTCAAATGTGAAGACAGGAGAGCAACAAAAAAAAGGTTGGAAAAAGAAACTTTGGCTGGATATAGACGATAAATATTCTTAGAACTATAGGTTCTCAGAATTGGAAGGAATGTTCCAAGTTGGCAAATGCAGTTTCCTAGAAATGGCAAAATAGCCCTCTATGAAGGCTGAAGACTCCTCTTGACCAGCTCAGAGTGGCTCAGTACCTCCACAGAGTCCTCTGTCTCTCAGCAAAGGCCTACCACCCCAAAGAAGGCAGGCAGGTGGGTGTGCAAGGCTCACCTGTAGATGTAGAAAATGGGGTGATGTTGTGCTCATGGCAGGTTTGACAGGACATGTGGCAACACAGGCATCCAATGGAAGTGGCAGAGACAGAGTCAGGAGTGGGAAGTCATAGGTACCCACATCACCCATGGCAGGGTGCTCCTCACGTAGCCCAGTGCTTCTTAAACACTGCCACATCTCTGTTTCAAGGCCTGCCATTGGCAAGTACAGCCCAGGAACCTGGGCTGGAGATGCTGCTGCTACCAAGAATGTACCACCTCCACCAGCTTGGCCCACAGGGTTGAGCCTACAGTGCTAGGTCCATCTCACAAAAGGCTACTAATGATCAGAACGGCTCTATCAGAAGCATGTTATATTATATTATATTATATTATATTATATTATATTATATTATATTAGACTCATTTTATGCATGAAGAAACTGAGGCCTGGAGGAGTTAAGCCACTTGTCAGTGGCCAAGAAGAGGTGAAGCAAGGACATGAATCACAGTTGGGATCAGAAGCTCATGATCATTCAAGAGAGGCAGGTGTCTGGTGGAGTGTGAAGGGGGAGAAGGTGGAGGGTGGAGGGAAAGATCAAAAGAGTAAGGAGAGGCTTTGAGGAAGGCACGGGCAGAGCCTTCAAGGTTAGGCAGGGATTCTCCTGGTCACCAGAGAAAGGGCATTCCAGCCAGGGGCACAAGAAAGCACCAGCTCAGAGATGCCAGGCATCCTGCTGAGTCAGGAACACTGCCATCTCTCTATAAATGCTGGTATATTAAATAGTAGGATTCGACTCTAAACTCATTCAACAAATGCCTCCGAGGTGCCAGACTCTGTTCTAGAAGCTGGGAATACAGCCTTCAACGAGATAGACAGAATTCCCTTCCTGAGAGAGCTTACATGCTAGTGAGAAAGACAGACAATAAAAAAATAGATAACTAACTCTACAGTGTGTTAGGTGATAAATGCTGTGCAGACAAATAAAGCAGAAAAGGGAATTAAGCAGAGAGTTCTGGAAGAAAAAGAAGGTCAGGGAAGATATATTTGAGTCTTTTTTTTTTTTTTTTTAATTTTTTTTTTTATTATACTCTAAGTTTTAGGGTACATGTGCACATTGTGCAGGTTAGTTACATATGTATACATGTGCCATGCTGGTGCGCTGCACCCACTAACGTGTCATCTAGCATTAGGTATATCTCCCAATGCTATCCCTCCCCCCTCCCCCGACCCCACCACAGTCCCCAGAGTGTGATATTCCACTTCCTGTGTCCATGTGATCTCATTGTTCAATTCCCACCTATGAGTGAGAATATGCGGTGTTTGGTTTTTTGTTCTTGCGATAGTTTACTGAGAATGATGGTTTCCAATTTCATCCATGTCCCTACAAAGGACATGAACTCATCATTTTTTATGGCTGCATAGTATTCCATGGTGTATATGTGCCACATTTTCTTAATCCAGTCTATCATTGTTGGACATTTGGGTTGGTTCCAAGTCTTTGCTATTGTGAATAGTGCCGCAATAAACATACGTGTGCATGTGTCTTTATAGCAGCATGATTTATAGTCCTTTGGGTATATACCCAGTAATGGGATGGCTGGGTCAAATGGTATTTCTAGTTCTAGATCCCTGAGGAATCGCCACACTGACTTCCACAATGGTTGAACTAGTTTACAGTCCCACCAACAGTGTAAAAGTGTTCCTATTTCTCCACATCCTCTCCAGCACCTGTTGTTTCCTGACTTTTTAATGATTGCCATTCTAACTGGTGTGAGATGATATCTCATAGTGGTTTTGATTTGCATTTCTCTGATGGCCAGTGATGATGAGCATTTCTTCATGTGTTTTTTGGCTGCATAAATGTCTTCTTTTGAGAAGTGTCTGTTCATGTCCTTCGCCCACTTTTTGATGGGGTTGTTTGTTTTTTTCTTGTAAATTTGTTTGAGTTCATTGTAGATTCTGGATATTAGCCCTTTGTCAGATGAGTAGGTTGCGAAAATTTTCTCCCATGTTGTAGGTTGCCTGTTCACTCTGATGGTAGTTTCTTTTGCTGTGCAGAAGCTCTTTAGTTTAATTAGATCCCATTTGTCAATTTTGGCTTTTGTTGCCATTGCTTTTGGTGTTTTGGACATGAAGTCCTTGCCCACGCCTATGTCCTGAATGGTAATGCCTAGGTTTTCTTCTAGGGTTTTTATGGTTTTAGGTCTAACGTTTAAATCTTTAATCCATCTTGAATTGATTTTTGTATAAGGTGTAAGGAAGGGATCCACTTTCAGCTTTCTACATATGGCTAGCCAGTTTTCCCACCACCATTTATTAAATAGGGAATCCTTTCCCCATTGCTTGTTTTTCTCAGGTTTGTCAAAGATCAGATGGTTGTAGATATGCGGCATTATTTCTGAGGGCTCTGTTCTGTTCCATTGATCTATATCTCTGTTTTGGTACCAGTACCATGCTGTTTTGGTTACTGTAGCCTTGTAGTATAGTTTGAAGTCAGGTAGTGTGATGCCTCCAGCTTTGTTCTTTTGGCTTAGGATTGACTTGGCGATGCGGGCTCTTTTTTGGTTCCATATGAACTTTAAAGTAGTTTTTTCCAATTCTGTGAAGAAAGTCATTGGTAGCTTGATGGGGATGGCATTGAATCTGTAAATTACCTTGGGCAGTATGGCCATTTTCACGATATTGATTCTTCCTACCCATGAGCATGGAATGTTCTTCCATTTGTTTGTGTCCTCTTTTATTTCCTTGAGCAGTGGTTTGTAGTTCTCCTTGAAGAGGTCCTTCACATCCCTTGTAAGTTGGATTCCTAGGTATTTTATTCTCTTTGAAGCAATTGTGAATGGGAGTTCACTCATGATTTGGCTCTCTGTTTGTCTGTTGTTGGTGTATAAGAATGCTTGTGATTTTTGCACATTGATTTTGTATCCTGAGACTTTGCTGAAGTTGCTTATCAGCTTAAGGAGATTTTGGGCTGAGACGATGGGGTTTTCTAGATAAACAGTCATGTCGTCTGCAAACAGGGACAATTTGACTTCCTGTTTTCCTAATTGAATACCCTTTATTTCCTTCTCCTGCCTGATTGCCCTGGCCAGAACTTCCAACACTATGTTGAATAGGAGCAGTGAGAGAGGGCATCCCTGTCTTGTGCCAGTTTTCAAAGGGAATGCTTCCAGTTTTTGCCCATTCAGTATGATATTGGCTGTGGGTTTGTCATAGATAGCTCTTATTATTTTGAAATACGTCCCATCAATACCTAATTTATTGAGAGTTTTTAGCATGAAGGGTTGTTGAATTTTGTCAAAGGTTTTTTCTGCACCTATTGAGATAATCATGTGGTTTTTGTCTTTGGCTCTGTTTATATGCTGGATTACATTTATTGATTTGCGTATATTGAACCAGACTTGCATCCCAGGGATGAAGCCCACTTGATCATGGTGGATAAGCTTTTTGATGTGCTGCTGGATTTGGTTTGCCAGTATTTTATTGAGGATTTTTGCATCAATGTTCATCAAGGATATTGGTCTAAAATTCTCTTTTTTGGTTGTGTCTCTGCCCGGCTTTGGTATCAGAATGATGCTGGCCTCATAAAATGAGTTAGGGAGGATTCCCTCTTTTTCTATTGATTGGAATAGTTTCAGAAGGAATGGTACCAGTTCCTCCTTGTACCTCTGGTAGAATTCGGCTGTGAATCCATCTGGTCCTGGACTCTTTTTGGTTGGTAAACTATTGATTATTGCCACAATTTCAGAGCCTGTTATTGGTCTATTCAGAGATTCAACTTCTTCCTGGTTTAGTCTTGGGAGAGTGTATGTGTCGAGGAATGTATCCATTTCTTCTAGATTTTCTAGTTTATTTGCGTAGAGGTGTTTGTAGTATTCTCTGATGGTAGTTTGTATTTCTGTGGGATCGGTGGTGATATCCCCTTTATCATTTTTTATTGTGTCTATTTGATTCTTCTCTCTTTTTTTTCTTTATTAGTCTTGCTAGCAGTCTATCTATTTTGTTGATCCTTTCAAAAAACCAGCTCCTGGATTCATTGATTTTTTGAAGGGTTTTTTGTGTCTCTATTTCCTTCAGTTCTGCTCTGATTTTAGTTATTTCTTGCCTTCTGCTAGCTTTTGAATGTGTTTGCTCTTGCTTTTCTAGTTCTTTTAATTGTGATGTTAGGGTGTCAATTTTGGATCTTTCCTGCTTTCTCTTGTAGGCATTTAGTGCTATAAATTTCCCTCTACACACTGCTTTGAATGCGTCCCAGAGATTCTGGTATGTGGTGTCTTTGTTCTCGTTGGTTTCAAAGAACATCTTTATTTCTGCCTTCATTTTGTTATGTACCCAGTAGTCATTCAGGAGCAGGTTGTTCAGTTTCCATGTAGTTGAGTGGCTTTGAGTGAGATTCTTAATCCTGAGTTCTAGTTTGATTGCACTGTGGTCTGAGAGATAGTTTGTTATAATTTCTGTTCTTTTACATTTGCTGAGGAGAGCTTTACTTCCAACTATGTGGTCAATTTTGGAATAGGTGTGGTGTGGTGCTGAAAAAAATGTATATTCTGTTGATTTGCGGTGGAGAGTTCTGTAGATGTCTATTAGGTCTGCTTGGTGCAGAGCTGAGTTCAATTCCTGGGTATCCTTGTTGACTTTCTGTCTCGTTGATCTGTCTAATGTTGACAGTGGGGTGTTAAAGTCTCCCATTATTAATGTGTGGGAGTCTAAGTCTCTTTGTAGGTCACTCAGGACTTGCTTTATGAATCTGGGTGCTCCTGTATTGGGTGCATAAATATTTAGGATAGTTAGCTCCTCTTGTTGAATTGATCCCTTTACCATTATGTAATGGCCTTCTTTGTCTCTTTTGATCTTTGTTGGTTTAAAGTCTGTTTTATCGGAGACTAGGATTGCAACCCCTGCCTTTTTTTGTTTTCCATTGGCTTGGTAGATCTTCCTCCATGCTTTTATTTTGAGCCTATGTGTGTCTCTGCACGTGAGATGGGTTTCCTGAATACAGCACACTGATGGGTCTTGACTCTTTATCCAACTTGCCAGTCTGTGTCTTTTAATTGCAGAATTTAGTCCATTTATATTTAAAGTTAATATTGTTATGTGTGAATTTGATCCTGTCATTATGATGTTAGCTGGTGATTTTGCTCATTAGTTGATGCAGTTTCTTCCTAGTCTCGATGGTCTTTACATTTTGGCATGATTTTGCAGCGGCTGGTACCGGTTGTTCCTTTCCATGTTTAGCGCTTCCTTCAGGAGCTCTTTTAGGGCAGGCCTGGTGGTGACAAAATCTCTCAGCATTTGCTTGTCTATAAAGTATTTTATTTCTCCTTCACTTATGAAGCTTAGTTTGGCTGGATATGAAATTCTGGGTTGAAAATTCTTTTCTTTAAGAATGTTGAATATTGGCCCCCACTCTCTTCTGGCTTGTAGGGTTTCTGCCGAGAGATCCGCTGTTAGTCTCATGGGCTTTCCTTTGAGGGTAACCCGACCTTTCTCTCTGGCTGCCCTTAACATTTTTTCCTTCATTTCAACTTTGGTGAATCTGACAATTATGTGTCTTGGAGTTGCTCTTCTCGAGGAGTATCTTTGTGGCGTTCTCTGTATTTCCTGAATCTGAACGTTGGCCTGCCTTGCTAGATTGGGGAAGTTCTCCTGGATAATATCCTGCAGAGTGTTTTCCAACTTGGTTCCATTCTCCACATCACTTTCAGGTACACCAATCAGACGTAGATTTGGTCTTTTCACATAGTCCCATATTTCTTGGAGGCTTTGCTCATTTCTTTTTATTCTTTTTTCTCTAAACTTCCCTTCTCGCTTCATTTCATTCATTTCATCTTCCATTGCTGATACCCTTTCTTCCAGTTGATCGCATCGGCTCCTGAGGCTTCTGCATTCTTCACGTAGTTCTCGAGCCTTGGTTTTCAGCTCCATCAGCTCCTTTAAGCACTTCTCTGTATTGGTTATTCTAGTTATACATTCTTCTAAATTTTTTTCAAAGTTTTCAACTTCTTTGCCTTTGGTTTGAATGTCCTCCCATAGCTCAGAGTAATTTGATCGTCTGAAGCCTTCTTCTCTCAGCTCGTCAAAATCATTCTCCATCCAGCTTTGTTCTGTTGCTGGTGAGGAACTGCGTTCCTTTGGAGGAGGAGAGGCGCTCTGCATTTTAGAGTTTCCAGTTTTTCTGTTCTGTTTTTTCCCCATCTTTGTGGTTTCATCTACTTTTGGTCTTTGATGATGGTGATGTACAGATGGGTTTTCGGTGTAGATGTCCTTTCTGGTTGTTAGTTTTCCTTCTAACAGACAGGACCCTCAGCTGCAGGTCTGTTGGAATACCCTGCCGTGTGAGGTGTCAGTGTGCCCCTGCTGGGGGGTGCCTCCCAGTTAGGCTGCTCGGGGGTCAGGGGTCAGGGACCCACTTGAGGAGGCAGTCTGCCCGTTCTCAGATCTCCAGTTGCGTGCTGGGAGAACCACTGCTCTCTTCAAAGCTGTCAGACAGGGACACTTAAGTCTGCAGAGGTTACTGCTGTCTTTTTGTTTGTCTGTGCCCTGCCCCCAGAGGTGGAGCCTACAGAGGCAGGCAGGCCTCCTTGAGCTGTGGTGGGCTCCACCCAGTTCGAGCTTCCCAGCTGCTTTGTTTACCTAAGCAAGCCTGGGCAATGGCGGGCGCCCCTCCCCCAGCCTCGTTGCCGCCTTGCAGTTTGATCTCAGACTGCTGTGCTAGCAATCAGCGAGATTCCGTGGGCGTAGGACCCTCTGAGCCAGGTGTGGGATATAGTCTCGTGGTGCGCCGTTTCTTAAGCCGGTCTGAAAAGCGCAATATTCGGGTGGGAGTGACCCGATTTTCCAGGTGCGTCCGTCACCCCTTTCTTTGACTCGGAAAGGGAACTCCCTGACCCCTTGCGCTTCCCAGGTGAGGCAATGCCTCGCCCTGCTTCGGCTTGCGCACGGTGCGTGCACACACTGGCCTGCGCCCACTGTCTGGCACTCCCTAGTGAGATGAACCCGGTACCTCAGATGGAAATGCAGAAATCACCCGTCTTCTGCGTCGCTCACGCTGGGAGCTGTAGACCGGAGCTGTTCCTATTCGGCCATCTTGGCTCCTCCCCCTGAGTCTTTACTCAACTATATTGAAGGATACTTGAGCAAAGACTTGAAAGGGTGAGAGAGCAAGAGATTCAGATATTTAGGCAACAGCACATGCAAAGGCCCTGAGGCAGAGGCATTCTGGGTGTTTGAGGAACATTGAGGATCCAGTGGAGGAAGTGAGAAAGAGGCAACTGGACTGACTGGGGCATCTTCCTACACCTCAGCCTCCTCACCTATATAAAGGGTGCAACTTTCCCAGGTGCCTGGGGACCAGGATACCTCATGAATACTTTCCACTGCCCTCTCCCCTGGGGTCTGAGTATTGCTCTGTCTGAGTAAAACAGATCTCACATAAAAGCCAAGGGGCGGCTTACTAGGAAGCCAAGGCAGGGCCTCGCGGGATAGAGGACAGAGCAGGCAGGGGAGTGAGAGGGTAGGGTGCGGTCTGGGGAAAGAGAAGCAAGGGACCATTCTTATATTCTCTGGACACGACTTGTGGGCCAGGAGGAAGAAGGGAAGGAGAGGATAAGCAGGAGGCCAAGTCAGCTTCCTCATTCCCCAGGGCTCCCATATTGGTTAGGGAAGGAAGAGACTGGATGAGGAAATCAGTGAGCAGAAGGAGTCTAACCCCTGAAAAGTGGGCACTTGTCCCTCCTCACCCCAACAGAAGAGGGGAGCCTGGATCCCTCAAAGACATGGCTGCTAATGGTGTCTCTCAAACTCCAACTAAGCCCCCAACTCTGAAATTGCACTATGGCTTTCTTCTGCCCGTGTCCACCCAGATGCCTCCACTGCCTGCCCACCAGTGGCCGAGGCATCTGCAAACTTCCAACCCAACCCCCACTCCCAAAGTGGGACCTGGTCAGCTGGGCCGGGGCACAGCCAGCTCTGGGCTGGAGAAACAGCTGTCATTTCCTGGGGCTTGACCCTCAGGGTGCAGCAAACCTCTGGCTTTTAGAGACACCCCAAGGGAGGGACTAAGAAGAGAATGGTGTCCCAACAGAAGGTGGGCAAGCACTGAGAATCATCTTAGCTCTGTTCCCCTCACTCTTCATAGTTCTCCAATAGAGAAACTAAGAGACTGGATTGTGTACAGAGGGGCAAGACATAGAAAGAGACAGGAGCAATGGACAAGTGACATGAGAATCAGAGGGAGAGAGAGGAGAGACAGCAAGGTGGGGACAGAAACAGAGCTGGAATAGGAAGAGAGCCCAAGACAGAGAGAGAGAGAGAGGCAGAAAAATAGACAGATACAGAGGCAGGGGGTGATACGAAGAGACAGAGAGGGAGTGACAGGCAGAGAGAGGAAGAGAGAAGGACAGGAAAAAGTGTTGAGCGAAGTAATGAGAAGGAGGCAGAGAACAGAGAGACACAGACAGGAATTCTGGGCCCAAAAAGGGCTGTCGGCCAGGCATGGTGGCTCACATCTGGAATCCCAGCACTTTGGGAGGCTGATGTGGGCAGATTGCTTGAGCCCAGGAGTTCAAGACCAGCTTAGGCAACATGTCAAAACCCCATCTCTACAAAAAAAAAAAAAAGAAAAAGAAAAAAATAGCCATGAACAGTGCTGCGCCCCTGTAGTCCCAGTTACTCAGGAGGCTGAGGTGGGAGGATCAATTGAGCCAAAGAGCTCAAGTATGTAGTGAGCCAAGATCACTCCACTGCACTCCAGCCTGGGCGACAGAGCAAGACCCTGTCTCAAAACAAAAACAGAGTGCTGTGTCTCTCTGCCATTGCACCCTGTCATCTGCTTGCTGAAGCTACAAAAGACATAGGACTGAGGTCCTCCCCCGCCAGTCTCCCAGCAGGGCCTCTTGGAGAAGACCTCCCAACCCAAACATTTGTCATCCCACAGCCCATCTAGGAAGATCCCATCAGCTACCCTCTCCCAAACCTCATCCCCACCATGCCTGCCCTGGACTTGCTCCCCAACCAGTGGGTGCCAGGGGAAGGGGGTGCACCCTGGGAGGCAGGCAATAGGGGATGTATTCTCTGCAGAGAATCTTAACACAGTAATAAAATGGAGTCTCTTGGATTTTTAACTCATAGATAACATTGAATGTTTTTATCATGTACACCATGATGTTTTAAAGAATATATACATCCTCCCGAGTAGCTGGGACTACCGGCGCCCGCCACCACGCCCGGCTAATTTTTTTGTATTTTTAGTAGAGAGGGGTTTCACTGTGTTAGCCAGGATGGTCTCGATCTCCTGACCTCGTGATCCGCCCGCCTCGGCCTCCCAAAGTGCTGGGATTACAGGCGTGAGCCACCACGCCAGGCCTACATTTTTCAAGAATACAACACATCATTATTAACTATAGTCACCCCACTGTACAATAGATGTCTTGAAATTTATTCCTCCTATCTAACCGTAATTATGTATCCTTTTACCGACATTTCCCCATCCTCCCTCCCTCTAACCACTCCAGCTCGGTAACCACCAGGCTCTTTTTATGATCACCAGGTACTGGCAATTCTAAACATTGTCAGTGATTAAAATACTCTTCCCCAAAAATATTCTTTTGTTGGTAAAATGCTTACAAGTGCTGTGATTAGATTACTGTTGAGTTTTAATACATATTTAATATATGTGTATATAATATATTTTTGAATTAGCCCTTTTTGATTCCTTATCCCTTAATGAACATTGAATTCTCCCAGGAGGTTAATACTGAGCCCTTTTGGTTGTACAGTTTGCCCCCACACATGGGGACTCAGCTACGTGTTCATTTCCAGAGTGTTCCAACATTCAGAATCGTTCAAGCTCTCTACAGGAGTGGTTTATGTCTCCAACTCCCGAGACACTACATATTCCTGTGTTTAAAGAGAAGCTTCTAAATAAACAGTGAGAGCACAGTGATGGTAAAGCAAAGAAACAGAACTTGAGTTCCTTCAATTCTGTCACTGTATGGGGCCACATGGAATTTTTACTTGTGTATAAATTTTTAAAACAGTAACGCAGAATGCAAACTGCAAGGTGAACCATCTTTTGTTTGGAAGTGCCAGTTTTAGCTCACACAAGAACTAGTTCACTGGACGTGAATCATATCTTTAACATTAAAATTAATTCTGTTTTTAATTGTTGCTTGTTATAAAATGAAAGAAGGAATCAAGGAAACAGAAATTGTAATGTTATCGTTTGTTATTGTGACAGACAAATAAGTAAGTATATGTTTCTCCCCTTTTCAAAACATACGTTGCTGTAATTACAAACTATTAATCCCTTACTTTCTAAATTTTGTATTATAATATTTTATTTATTTTTATTTATATTACTGGCATGGTTTATGTAGGAAGTTCAATAAAAAAACATTTTACTGAGTTTCTTTTCTGGTCATTATTATTATTGGTTTCATTTCATGATTAGTACTGAAAATAATTGTGTTAAATAGAAGAGGGAGACTGTTTAAAAGTTGATCCACTCCGTGCAAAGACATCAAAACGAGACAATGGACTTTGGGGACTCAGGGGGAATGGGTAGGAAGGGGGTGAGGGATAAAAGACTATAAATTGAGTGCAGTGTATACTGCTCAGGTGATGGGCGCACCAAAATCTCACAGATCACCACTAAAGAACTCACTCATGTAACCAAACACCACCTGTTCCCCGATAACCTATGGAAATTTTAAAAAATTTTAAAAATAAATAAAATAAATAAAAGACCTGGAGATAACTAGCTAGGCCCTTTGGCCCTTCCACTCTTTCGCCACATGAGGACACAGCCTTCCTTCCCTCCAGAGGGTGCAGCAACAAGGCACCAACTCGGAAGCAGATACTGGGCCCTCCAGACACCAAACTGCCAACATCTTGATCTTGGACTTCCAGCCTCCAGAATTGTGAGAAATAAATTCCTGTTCTTTACAAATTACCCATATCAGATATTTTATTATAGCAGCACTAATGGACTAATACAATAATTACCTGCTTTTTACAAATTAAAAAAAAAAGTTGATCCATTGCAGATGTCAAATGTACCATTGTCCCTGCCAACTTTTCCATTGAACCAAATGGACCCCCACCCCACACACCCCATTCCCCTTCCTCAGCAACAGGCTCTGCATCTCTCCCTTTCCTATGTTCTCCCTCCACTTCCGGGGTGGCTGAGACTGGCTCTCCTCCTGGCTTCACTCTCTAAAACCCCATGGATTACCAGGTAGGAGGAATGGGCAGCGCTGGAAGAGTCCTGTGCCCTCCTCAGCTCAGTCACCATCTCACATGGGAAGGCCTTCCTAGGAGTTCAGCCACAAGCTCCCTACCCACTGCTGCCACACCTGACCTCAAAGTCATACCTCTGCCTCCCTGGAGGCTCTGGCCCTGGCTCAGGGTCTTTCGCTCTGCTCTGCTTCAGCCAGCCAACTTAGCCATCCATGTGGGCTCAACAAACCCTATGCCTTTCCAGCACCTTGATATCCTCAGATGCAGTGAGGGTCTGCAGTGCATGCAGGGCATCCAGTGACTGCCACTCCCATTCACCCCTGCACCTCCCCCAGCAGCAAGTCCTGGCAGCACTACCCTCAAAGGCATCCCCAAGCCAGCTGGTCAGCTCCAGCCCACCTGACCCCCGCAACCCGTTCACCATCCCTTCTCCCCCAGATCCCGGTAGGAACATCCTCATTGGTTTGCCTTTCTCCATTCTTGCCTCTTCCAATCCATTCTCCACATGATAGTGAGGGTGACCTTTAAAAACATTTGTCAGACGAAAGCACTCCCCACCTAAAACCCACCGATGCTTTCTCATTGCAATTAGAGTAATTTCTGCGTCCTAAACATGGACAGAAAAGGGCTGACCTGATCTGCCCTGCCCACTTCTTCTTTTTGAAAAATTTATTTATTTATATTTTTAATTGACAAAAATCATACCTATTTACTGTGTACAACAATTACCTTTTGAAATATGTGTGCATTGTGAAATGGCTAAATTGAGCTAATTAACACATGCCTTACCTCACATTTTTATCGTTTTTGTGGTGAGAACACTAAAAATCTACTCTCTTGATGATTTTCAAGCATATATTGTTATTAACTATAGTCACCATGTTGTACAATAGATCCCTTGAATGTCTTTCTCCTAACTGAAATGTTGTATCCTTTGACCAACACCTCCCCAGCCCCACACCCCTCGCCCTCAGCCTTTGGTAACCAGCGTTCTACTTTCCACCTTTTTAGATTCCACATATGAATGAGATCATGTGGTATTTGTCTTTCTGTGACTGGCTTATTTCACTTAATATAATGACCTCCAGGTTCATCCATGTTGTCTCAAATGACAGAATTTCCTTCTTTTTCAAGGCTGAATAGCATCCCATTGTGTATGTATCCCACATTTTCTTTATCCGTGTACCCACTGACGGATGCTTAGGTTGAGTGCTTGTCTTGGCTACTGTGAACAGTGCTGTTAACAAACATGGAAGTGCACATATCTGTTCCACACACTGGTTTCCTTTTCTTTGGCTGTATCTATACCCAGTAATGGGATTGCTGGATCATATGGTAGTTCATTTTGAATATTTTGAGGAACCTCCATACTGTTTTCCATAATGGCTTTTCTAACTTACATTCCCACCAACAATGCTCAAGGGTTCCCTTTTCTCTACATCCTTGCCAACACTCACTATCTTTAATTTTATTGATAATGCTAGGCGCGGTGGCTCACACCTGTAATCCCAGGACTTTGGGAGGCTGAGGCAAGTGGATCACCTGAGCTCAGGAGTTTGAGGCCTGGCCAACATGGTGAAACCCCATCTGTACTAAAAATACAAAATTAGCCGGGCATGGTGGCACATGCCTGTAATCCCAGCTACTTGGGAGGCTGAGGCAGGAGAATCACTTGAACCTGGGAGGCAGAGGTTGTGGCGAGCTGAGATTGTGCCATTGCACTCCAGCCTGGGCGACAAGAGCAAAACTCCATCTCAAAGCAAAAAAAAAAAAAAAAAAAAAAAAAAGATAATAGCCATTCTCTCAGATATGGAGTGATATCTCACTGTGGTCTTAATTTGCATTTCCCTTGTGATTAGTGATGGAGAGCACCTTTTCCTATTCCTGCTCGCTGCCTACTTCTACCCTTTCTTCTGCAAGTGCTCCTGCCACTTCGTTTCTGCTATACCGGCTTTCTTGCTATTCCTTAAGCACATCAAGCTTTTCCCACCTCAGGGCTTTTGCACTCACTGTTTCCTCTACCAGGAATGCTCTTCCCATAGACCTGCCTGCAAATGGCTCCTTCTCATCTCATGAGTCTTCATCTGACTGTTACCTTCAGGAAGGCCTTTCTGACCACCCTGCCTAGATACACTCCACCCCGACTCCACCCTTTGTCCCTTTACTCTGCTTTGTTTTTCTTCATACCATCTGGAATTACAGATTTTTTTAATGTGGACAATAGTTCAATCTGACTCTCCTAGCTGAGGGCAAAGGCTTTGTTTGCCCTCGTAGGCTAGGACCATAGTCCAAATAGTGCCTGAAACATAACAGATGTTCAATAAATATTTTTCCAGTGAATTAATCCACCAAATCCCAAGGTTTTCCCCAGACATGGCTATCCCCTAGACCTGCCCCACCTTCCAAATCTTAAACTCCAGTATCTCAGCGCCTGGTGTAATCTGATTTTTACCAATCTCTCTGACCCTCTCCTTCCCTTACACATACTCCTCCAAAGTTCCATTTGAGCAAACGGACCGCCCTCCATTAGTTCCATAAGTCAGAAACCTAGGACTAATCCTTGACACCTCTTTCTCTATATGTACCTCTGTTACCAGAAAGGGGTCCCGATCCAGACCCTAAGAGAGGGCTCTTGAATCTCCCACAAGAAAGAATTTGAGTCAAGCTCATAAAGTGAGAGCAAGTTTATTAAGAAAGTAAAGGAATAAAGAATGCTACTCCAGAGACAGAGCAGTGGCTTTAGCTGCTCAGCTGCTTGTATTTATTATTACTTCTTGATTATATGCTAAACAAGAGGTGAATTATTCATGAGTTTTTGGGGAAAGAGGTGGGTAATTCCCAGAACTGAGGGTTCCTTCCCATTTTAGACTATATAGGGTAACTTCCTGATGTTGCCATGGCATTTGTAAACTGTCATGGTGTTGGTAGGAGTGTCTTTTAGCATGCTAATGTATTATAATTAGCATATAATGAGCAGTGAGAATGAGCAGAGGTCACTCTCTTCACCATCTTGGTTTTGGGGGGTTTTGGCCAGCTTCTTTACTGTATCCTGTTTAATCAGCAAGGTCTTTAACACCCATACCTCATGCCAACCTCCTATCTCATCCTGTGACTTAGAAAGCCTAATCTCCTGGGAATGCAGCCCAGTAGGTCTCAGTCTTATTTTATCCAGCCCCTATTCAAGATGGAGTCTTTCTGTTTCAAACACCTCTGACTCCTCCAAATCTAACTCCACATCCTACTGATTCTGCCTTATAAACATTATTTGCGTTCACCTTATTCTTCTCACCTCCACCATCATCACCCTAGTCCAAGGCACCATTATCCCCAGGCTGGAAAACTGCAATAGCCTCCTAACTGGTCTCCACCCCTCCACATTTCCCTACCCCTAACGATACAGTCTCTCCACCAAAGCCAAAAAAAGTCTTAAAATAGAAATTTAATTTCAATACTCCCATTTTTAAAACCTTCAGTGGCTTTCCATTGCTCATAGAATGGGCCCTAAACTCTAGAACAAAGTCCACACTATCCTGCAATGAGGACCCCACCTATCTGTCTCGCCTCCTTTCTTACTATCCTCCTTCTTTCTCATTAAAGTCCAGCCACGCTGGCCTTTCTCCCGTTCCTAGAAGTACCTTGTTTTAATCTTTTAATATATGTTTATTGAGGCAGACCATATACTGGACACTGGTATGGATATATAGAAATGAACAAAAGAGACAAAATTGTTGCCCTCATGAAGCCTATCTTGTAGTGAGGGAATACATCATAAACAAAGCACTTTGCAACACAAAATCAGGGGGTGAACAAGTGATGCCAAGAAGCATCAATCAGGGAAAGGGGATACGGAATGTTGAGGGGTGCTGTGCTCGCTAGAGTGCCGGAAAGGGATCTTTGAGCACAGAGTGAGCCATCGAATTATCCAGAGGAAGGGCTTTCTAGGCAAAGAAAACAGTCAATGCAAAGACCTAGGCAGGAAAGTGCTGAAGACGGGTCTGAAGAACAGCAAATAACCTCAGGGCTATTTTGTCCTGCGGTAACACTTTTCCCATCCCCAACTTTTGCCTATTAAACTTCCAAACCACCTTTAAATGTCAGATCAAAGTTCATTTCTTCCAAGCAGCCTTTTCTGAACCACTTCCCACACCCCCAGCCTAGATCAAATCCAAACTCTCATAGGCCCCTGTTCTCTTCCTTCATAGCCCTAAGCACTATTTAGCTTGTGTGTGTGGGTAACTGTTTAATTCACACTCTTTACTAGACTAGCTGGATCAACTGAACACCATGCTACCTTGAGCACTGGCCTCTCTCCCCTGGGCAAGAGCAAGAAGAGACACTGACATTTCTCGCTCTCTGATTGACCACTTGGAACATGGTTCAGTGTCATTGATCAGGCTACAGCTTTATTTAGTGTAATCTCACCTTCCTGAGACTACTGCCTCATTTCCTTAATTGAACTTGGGTGTCTTGTCATCACTCAAGGTGGGTCTCTACCTTCTCAAGATGCTGATTTATTCCATCAAATGTTAATTTTCCATAGTTTCACTCTCAGAGATTGTTATGAATTAGCAGTCTCCTTATATGCCCCACCCATACCCCTTTTTAAAAGAAATTACTTCACTCAGACTCCTGCTGCCCAGCTTCCATATTTTCTTATCTGACCATCCCTTTTATCTACCATATTTCATTGGTTCTGAGGGTGGACACCTGACCAAAACCCAGAACTATAATCTGGTTATGTCCAGAAGCAGCCACTGCTTCCCAGCCTTTTGGAGCTCCGCCCACTCCTTCTCCTGTTCATGGATTGACTTGAGGGTTCTCTTCTCTCTATGGGCATTCTTAAAATCCATGGCCCTAGCCGAAGACGGTGTGGCCTGGCTTTAAAAAGAAAAAAAAAAGGCTAGATCATCTTTTAATCTTTTTTCTTAAGAATATGACCCAAGGAAAAAAGAATTTTCCAGTTAGTAGCTAAGGAAGAATTTAAAAGGGTATCTTAAGTTAGGACAATGGCAAATCAAGGTCAAATGCAATAGAAAATTATAAGGAAAGAGAAGAAATAGATATGGGGTGGGAGTAGCTGATATACCTTAGAAGCAGAGCAGAAGGGGGGTTCTGCTGCTGGAAGAACCCAGAACCACCTTAAATCGAAAGCAGCCACTGCTTCCCATCCTGTGAAGCCCAGCCCAGCTACTCTTCCTGTTCTCAGATTGTCTTGGGAGTTCCCATCTCTCCATGTGCAGTCTTAAAATAACTACCTTTGCTTGAACCAATGTAAAGGAGTCTGTGTTCTTTCATTCAACACTATTTATTGAACACCTACACACAATTGTGTTGTTCTAGGTGCCAGGGATATAGCAATGAACAAATCAGCTGAAATCCCTGCTCTCCTGTGGCTTGCATTTTGGTGGGTAAGACATAAAATAAATAAATAAAGTAATGTGTCAGATTGTGATTAAGTGCTATTTTAAAAATTAAAACTAGATAAGGAACTCAAGATAGTGCAAAGATGCTTTGACTTCTGGAACTATGGCCAAGATATTTTGAGAAGCTCTTCTACTCAGGCAAAACTGTG
The DNA here is from genome assembly GCF_000001405.40 of Homo sapiens. NCBI lineage: Eukaryota > Metazoa > Chordata > Mammalia > Primates > Hominidae > Homo > Homo sapiens. Next base: position 34,581,815 of record NC_000001.11, read on the forward strand.
CACTGTACATAACACAATTTTAACCACATTATTAGGCTCCGGAGAGATGGGGTAAATCTCCAAGGGGCTGGAAGAAAGAGGCCATGAACCATGAGTAATAGTGAGCTGTGAGGCTTCAGGGAGAGATGCAACCTAGAAACAAGCCTTGAGCCAGCACAGCACAGTATGAGACCCAAGCCTGACTCTCACATTTAGCCAGGAATTCTAAAGAGGGCTAAAAAGATTTCCAGTTGACCATGCCCTATGGTGCCTGGCAGAGATAAATATAAATCTTCTCTGGAAGAAAGCATCCTCAATTTATTGACCCAGATTTTCCATACATTAAGATCAACCATATATAAACTCGCATCCAGTGATCACCAAACACACAAGGAAACAAAGCACCATGAATAAGTACAGAATCAACAAACAATAGATTTAATCTGCCCCTCACCCCAAGACTTCAGATACTAGAATTGTGAAACACAGAATAGAAAACAACTTTATATGAAATGCTTAAAGAAGTACAGGACAGAATCACAAAAATGAGCAACAATGAGACTACAAACAACAACCACCACCATCAGGCAGATTTTTAAGAATTGCTAGGGAGGGCAAAGAATCATCTTATAGAGTGGAGATCAAGGGAGCTTCTCTGATAAGTTAGTATTTGAGCAGAGATGGAAGGTGTGAGCAAATGACTGTGCAGACCTCTGGGGGTAGAGCGTTCCAGGCAGAAAGAATGACCAGTGCAAACAGGAGTGTGTTTAATGTGCTCAGTAAACAGAGGAGGGTGCTCTAAGGTCAACTGAGGGAAGGGAGGGATTTAGGCAAAGAGGTGACAGAAATGAAGAGGCCATGCCAGGCTTGTGGATGATGACAAGCGCTTTGTATTTTGTTGCAACTGAGATGAGGAGTCACTGGAGGAATTGAGCAGATGAATGACATGATTCACTCTTTGTTTTTAAAAGATCACACAGTCACCTGAGCTCAGGAGTTCAAGACCAGCCTGGCCAACATGATGAAACCAGATCTCTACTAAAATGCAAAAATTAGCTGGGCATGGTGGTGCGCACCTCTAATCCCAGCTACTTGGGAGGCTGAGACAGAAGAATCACTTGAACCCAGGAGGCAGAGGTGGCAGTGAGCCAAGATCATACCACTGCACTCCAGCCTGGTGACAGAGTGAGATTCCATCTAAAAAAAAAACAAAAAAAAAAAACAAAAAAAAAACTTTTTAAACTGTTGGTTACTAGAGCTTAGTACCTGCATGACGAAATAATCTGTACCACAGATTCCTGCAGCATGAGTTTACCTACATAATAACCCTGCACTTGTACCCCTGAACCTAAAATAAAAGTTTAAAAATTAAGTAAAAACCTAAAGTTTTGTTTATTGAAGAAGCTGGATTTAAAGCTTTGGTTTGAGTCTGAGTTCTACAAATATGTCAGCTCCTAATAAGGGCTTGGAGCTCACCAATAGAAATGGCATCATCCCCATGACAGTGAACTCACGGGCTAGGGATGGTTATGATTCAACCCACCGGGGCAGCAGGATACTAAGGGGTCACAGGGTGCTGTGGTGGGCCTGAGCAGAGCCACTCACCTCAGCAGGCGGGGCTTCTCCCAGGTGGTGATTAGTGAGGTCAAAGCAACATCAAGGCAGGAAGGAAGCATGCAGTGGACTATACTCAACTCACATGAAGCTCCTCCTCTTCCTAGCATGGTATTGCTAACAACAGTGTTCTGGGGCATCTAACACGCTCCTCTCTCAGGGTCTCAGCTTGCCCATATATTAATTGCCAGGGGCGATCATCTGATGTTGAGCTTGCTTTAAAATCCTAATCTTCTTTAAACTATAGTTTCAGATGAGAGAGGTGTTCCATGCAGGTTTCAGCATGATATGAAATGAACGCTGAGGCTGATCTGTAATGATGAGAAAGTGAGGGATCCAGCACGCTGGGAAGTCTGTGAAGGAGGCTTGAGTGTATTTATGTAACCCAGGTAGGGAGTAAGTGTAACAAAGGGAGTTGAAGATAAACAGCATTTCTTAGGGGGACTAGGAATATGCTCTTGGGAGGGTGGTTGATGAAAGTGATGAAGAAATGAATGGAGCTAAGGGTACATGATCAGGCACTAGGAGGGAGCATGAGAGAGCCAAACATTCACTTTCTGTTGAAAAACATGAGCATAAGAGGCATCTAAGAAGGATTTGTAGAAGTCTTCTATGTCATATTCCAGGTAAAAATCTGCAACAAAATCTACATTATTCTTCAAAAAAAAAAAAAAAAGAAAGAAATGAGAAGAGATCTCTGAGGTTGTGAGGATGAGATGAATCCAGAAGAGCCTGAAAAGGGGACACCAATGAAATAGAAAAGCAAGAGGGACTGATGACCCAGAAGCCAAGCCAAGAAAGTGTTTCAAGACAGAGGTGTGCTCAGCAGGAGCAAGTGCTGCTGAGAACCACCAGCCTCTGAGACTGGCCATGGGATGTAACAACACACAGCTCATCGGTGACCTTGACAAACGCTGTTTCAGTGGAGACTCCGGGACTGAAGTGAGCCACGAGAGAAAGAGAGTAGAGGAAGTACAGGTGACTCGTGAGGAGTTTTGCTGTGAAAAGAAGGAGGAAAATGGGATGAAAAATAAAGAAAGATATGAAGGTCAAAGTCTGTTCCTGGCAACCAAAAAGGGACTTGCCTTGAGTAGAAAGTAATTAATCTCCAAACCACGAGGCTCCCTGACTTGATAAGTGTGCACTGAGTGAAGGGCTCTAATTACCTTGTTGCCACCTTTGGGAACAGGGTGGAATGTGGTCACCAAGGCAATGAGAAGCTCCCTAATTCCCACCTCATGATTCCTAGCAGGACTCAAAAGTCCCAAGTTGCTGAAGTGACTTGGAAATCTAACTGGAGTACAGCTCTGCATTGGAATTACAGCAAGAGCAAGCCTCACCCCTCATTACCCTTTGTGATCAGGGCAGGGAAAAAGCTGCTCAAAAGACGTGTGTAATAGATAAAGTGAAGTAATGTGGGGGATTGCCATCTGGGGAGAGGAATAACTTTATTATTTCATAGCTCTCCTGGCAGTCCAGCGTGCAGACAGACAGGAGGTGTGTGGCGGCAAACACAATCCAAGCTACTCCCTCAAGGATTGACAAAGCAAAGGACCAACCTTGAAGATTTCTAGTAAATATTTGCAGCCACTGAAAACATCTGCTGATTTCTCTTCCACAGACCCAGGAAGAGGGAAACCAGGACAGACACGAGGATTGGGCACCCCTTAGGTACTGTGCTGGGGGTCATCACTATGCTGGGTACTCTTAAAACATTTTGCCATTTGGGCTGGGCACAGTGGCTCACACTGGTAATCCCAGCACCTTGGGAGGCCGAGGCAGGTGGATCACCTGAGGTCAGGAGTTCAAGACCAGCCTGGCCAACACGGTGAAACCCCATCTCTATAAAAATACAAAAATTAGCTGGGCATGATGGTGGGTGCCTGTAATCCAAGCTACTTAGGAGGCTGAGGTATGAGAATTGCTTGAACCCGGGAAGTGGAGGTTGCAGTGAGCCGAGATCACACCATTGCACTCCAGCCTGGGCAACAGAGCAAGACTCCATCTCCAAACAAACAAACAAACAAAAAAATTTTGCCATTTAACACATACCACCACCACCCAAACTCTATGCCAAGAGTTTAATTCTCATCTTAGATTTGGCTCATTAGTCAATGGCTGCCAATTATAGGTAGCAGTTATTGTGAACTCAGAACATGCAGGTGCTGGGTTAATGCCTTGCATTATTTTATTCATCCACACAAAAATTCAGAGGGGTAAGAAGTGTTATAATCTCCATTTTACAGATGAGCAAACGGAGGTACAAACAGGCTTGCCCAAAGTCACACAGGCAAAGAAGCTTCCTCAAAGTAACTTGGTATAGAGCAAAGTTTCCATGGCTCCTAAATAGCAGAGCTTGCATTTAAACCCAGAGAGCTCTGACTTCAAAACTTATGATCCCACACTGTGCTACCTCCTGCCATTTATCCCTGCCTGACTCTTTTCCCACAACTGGCTGACCCTGAGAGGCTTAACTCATGTGATAACTGAGCATGTGAACTGGTGTACAGCAAAGCCCTTGACCCCTGCCTTCTTCAGCCCTGAATTACATTTCTGGTGGGGCAGTAGGAGGATGTGGGAATCCGTGCCATCCCCAGGGAGCTGCAGCAAGCTCACCCTCTCAGTCTGCCAGCCCAAGGATGCCCTGAGCCTCTGCAGTCGCCCTTGTCTTCACTCCATCGTGTCTTTCCCAAGCAGCACACAAGACTGAGGATGACTCTGCTAGGCAAGAGAAGACTTTTTTGTTAAGTTTTCAGGAAATAACCTAGCAAAATGAACTTGACTTGCAGCTCAAGAACTTGGGGAAAAAATTCCCAGTTGCACCACTTACTTGAGGTTCTTGGATAAACTGCTTCACCTGTGTTGTTAACTTCTTTATCTTAAAATGAAGATAACAGCCCTAATATCATAGATGTTCAGATGGGATTAAGTAAGGTCAGCCCCTAGTTCCATACCTGGAATATGGATAGGACTCCACAGCAAACGTTAGCCCCTTGTCTCTTCCTCTAACATGAAAGTTGTTCTACATGCTTTGTAAGGCTAATGTGAGCATGAAATGATGCAATCCAAAGGGGCAAATTTTAGACACTCAGTAAGTGTTATTTAAAGTCAAATATCTGAAAATGATTGACTGTATGTTGCCACCATGAAGCCTCAGCCTGTGCACATGAATTGGGGTGACTGGAAGGAGAGAATCCAGCCCATGGTGTATGGCCAGGCCTCACCCAAGCCCGTGATCTTGGGTCCTGGCTGGACTTTGCTGCCTTTCATCATAGAGGCTGTAAAGGACTCTGGCTCTAAGGAAAGGACTCAGCATGCACAGTGAAGCCAAAGTGATCTTTCTAGAAAGCAAAGCTAAAAACTCTTCAATGGCTCCCTGTGGCCCTGAAGATCAAGTTCAAATCTTTGAACATATTTTACAACCCCTTGTGATCTGGCCTGTGTCCATTTCCAGACTCATCCACTGTTGCACTCCCTCTCCTTGTCTACACTCCAAGCACTCCTGAGTTTCTTTTAGGTCCTCAAGGCCTGGGTTCATCCCCTTATCCTACATGAGGGCAGAAAGGTCAGGTCCATGCTTCCTTTGCTCATTAGTATATTCCCAGTGCTTAGTACAGCACCTGGCACATAGTAGTGAGTGAGCATATTACTTTTACAAGCAAAAAAAAATATGTTATTATTTGGGCCACCAAATGCGAGAGAGTGAGAAACGTCACTTTCTCCAGGTACCCCACCATCCTGCTCAGTCTGGTAAGCCAGTGCAGGGTTCTGAACACCACTTCTACGAACAGAGCAGTTCTGACCCCAGCCAGGCCTCATGGCATGGGAGGAGGTAAAGGGAGAAGGCTTAATACAGACTAAATACAGATAGACTAGTGTCCATAAGGCTTAGAGCACAGCTGTCTCCAGTGCCAGAGAGCATGTGCGCACATGGGCATGTGCTCGCTCGCTCTCTCTGTCTCACACACACATACACACATAGAGATTTATTTACATGCCTATAGACAGCACCATGTCTGTATGTGGGCATACTTGTGTCTCTCTGTAACATCTCTGATACAGGGTAAATCTCTGTGTATGTGTAATGATGTGAGTAGGCCTGCTGCTTTTTAAAAATCGCCCTTAAATGCTTCCAACTTTTCCTCAAAGCCCCTTCTCTCTTGTGCCATCACTTGGCTCTTTTTCTTTCCTCTAGATCCACCAGTGTCCCTCTCCTCTATAGCTCAGAGTAATTCAGCCCCTTTCCTAGATTCACATCCCTCATTCAATCTCTTTGCTCAGCAAAAGTTCTGCAATTAATAGGACCTACCTTCTTTAGAAGGCAGTTTTGCTACAATCTATTTTACTTAAGGATAATCCCAGGAGTCTCACCCAATCCCCAGCTCAAGCCATTTATCAAAGTAGCACTTCCAAGAATACCTATCATTTGGTCCAAGAATCTTTCATTCCAGCTGCTTAGAGGATAACATGAAAGATAACACTTCCCCTTTAGAGTACAAACTCATGCATAAGATCAAAGCGGGGTCCTCCCTCATCCAGCAGTACTGTAGGTGATGCAGCTTACATGGGTCTGAGCATGGGAAGAGGAAGGAAATTCATGCTGAGTGAGCACGTATGTTTGCCCAGCTTAATCCTTGATGATTTATGACACTGTCTTATTTCATCCCCACAACATTATTCCTAGGCTTAGAGAAAGAGACTGAGGGTCAGAAAGGGTAAGTAACTTGTTCAAGGTCACAGAGCATGAGAGGCAGAGCCAGGACTTGAACCAGATCGGCTGACTCCTGGGACAACACTATTTTCCCTGCACCAGGATGCCTCCTGTCAGTATATCTAAATGCACTGAGGTCAGTATTGCATGAGGCGTCTTCAATGTGTATAAAATATGTAAGTCAGGCTGGGTGTGGTGGCTCACAGCTGTAATCCCAGCATTTTGGGAGGCTGAGGCAGGTGTATGACATGTGCTCAGGAGTTCAAGACCAGCCTGGGCAACATAGTAAAACCCCATCTCTACAAAAGCATACAAAAAATGGTGGTGCATGCCTGTGGTCCCAGCTACTGGGGAGGCTGAGACTGGAGAATCACTTGAACCCAGAAGGCAGAGTTTACAATGAGCCAAGATTGTGCCACTGCACTCCAGCCTAGGTGACACAGACCCTGTCTCAAATAAATAAATAAATATTTACATTTTTTAAAAAAATAAAATATGTAAGTCATATTTGGAGAGAGAGACAGGTAAAGAGAGGGAAGGTTTTGGGGTATGATCCATAAGGAGACAGATCACAGTATGTTGGAGCTGGGCAGGGCCTCAAATTATTCTAACTACCTCATTTTACATATAGGGAAACTGAGGTCCTAAGAAAAGTGGCTTGCCCATGGTCACACAGTGAATTACTGCCAAGTCAGACCAGATCTCTGGTCTGATAATAACCTGGCCTACCTCCTTTGACTACATTTCCCTGCTGTTCCTGCAAATAATTTCCATCTTATTCTAGTGTTGACTTGTGTTGAAGTCCCCAGTGCCTTCTAGAACTTGAGGTCAAAATTGTGTCTGTCCCAACCAGAAAAACTGCGGCAGGGGCTCTTTCCTGGCAGCCCCCACATTTCCTGCCTGCTGTGCTCATCCACTAAATGGCTGAAAGACCCACCTGAAAAGTCGTATCTGCTGCAGCCTCTGATCCGCTCAGCAGCTAAAGATCATGGCTGATGCTACGGATGATAAGTCTTGGTCAACGTCCTATTTTGAGATGCAGGTACCACTTTTCACTTTCCACTGAAAAAGCCTGGAGTGTTTCCCATCCTGGCATTCAAATCTTTCCCACAGGATGGGGCAGACCTAAGACTGCTCGTGGAAGGTCTGGGGATGGGATGGATCTTCCTACAGGCCAACTCTGGAGCCAGCCCAGACCTCTCCATCTCCAAGGCAGTGCAGCACTCCCGAAAACTCAAGACCAAGTGCAAAAAGATATGCCTTTGGCTCAATATGTAAAAACTCTCCAGCAATAAATTTAAGCAATTCCATTTGGGGCTCTCACAATTCCCTCCACTCAGACAAACTGCTTTTTATTTCAAACGTTCCTGAAGAAAATTGGCCAATTGCTTACTTCAACTGTCATGGCCATTATGCTGAGCCTGGCGGCAGGACACAAATACAACCTGGGGATTTCTTTAAGTTGGATCCTTGCCAAACTGATCACTAGAACAGGGGTCCAGCCAGAGGGTCTGTGGACATTGAACCCTTAGGAACGCATTAGAACTCCCACAGAAGAGAACAGGGTTAGCTGGGGCCAGAGCAGGGCTCTGGGGAACTAGGAATAAGGAAATGTAATGTGTAGTTTGATCCTTCAGATTGGCAATTACATCCTAAATCCAAGCGGGCAAGGTGACCTCCAGCTACCTTGAAATGACCTCAGCAGTCAAACAGACCTACTAGAGAAGGCGTAGGTGGGATCAGAGTCTGATAATGACAACATCTGATAATGACAATAGCAGCTCTATTTATTGAACACTTCTATATGCCAGGTGTTGTGCTGGGCATTTGACATGCCCCACTGAAGCCAATCCAAGCTCCTTACCATGTTCCTTGGATCAGCGCCTGGTACATGGTAAGCATTATACAAGGGCTAGCAACTGTTGTTGTCATTCTCATTGTTAACAAAGGGCACCCAGTGAACTCCCAAACCAATCCTCACCAGCCCAGAACAGACAAGCTGATCCTATAAGTTCCTAAGTCACCCCAGTATCAGAGATGTCCTTGGTTGCAGGCACTGACCATTTGAATTGTCTCCAGTCTGGACAAGGAGCTGATTGGTCCGCTGTGTGATCTCCAGTTCCCTGACTCTGACATACGATGCTTTCTGAGTACCTCACTCCCTGGGAGTCCAGGCAGGCTGGTTCAGAGATGACTCACATCCAGGCACCTGCTCCAACAGGGGGGCCTCCCCCACCCTCATCTCACAGCAGGAAAGGTTTCACCTGACACTTCAGGGAAAAGGAAGAAGGAATTTACTTTTTACAATCAAAGCAGAGTTGTGGTGAGCAACCCCTGACTCCGACATTGCCATGACAACACCTAGAAGGCATCCTTGGCTGAGAGCCAAGGCCCAGACAGCCCTTTGTTCGTGCTGTGAGGCTGAGTGGCTGTCTCAGGTGAACAGGTTCTGGGAAGCCTTCTCCAGGCTAAGGAGAAGGGAGCAAGCAAGGACACTGTAAACTACTCAATCCCCCTTCACAGGGTTGGCCTGGTGGGGGTTGGGAGGAGACACCTGAAGGTTAGAAGCAGGTCTCCTTTTTGAAACGTGCCTTAATCGGGAATTCTGAGCTCCATTTTACCCCTTTCCCTCCCAGAGAGCACCTGCTGCTGCTTTTCTGTCCAGACCCTGGCAGCCTCCAGAATGGGTCTTGAAATATTGATTTGACCCCTCAATACCAAAAAAGGATCATAGTCACAAGAGTACACTGAGTGCCTATTATTTCCTAGCACTTGGGCCAGACACTGGGAATACAACGATTGAAGAAATGGGGCCGGGCCCAGTGGCTCACACCTGTAATCCCAGCACTTTGGAAGGCCAAGGCGGGCAGATTACCTAAGGTCAGGAGTTCGAGACCAGCCTGGCCAACATGGTGAAACCCCATCTCTACAAAAAAAAAAAGAAAAAATTAGCTGGGCCTGGTGGCGTGTGCCTGTAATCTCAGCTACTTGGGAGGATGAGGCCGGAGAATCGCTTGAACTCAGGAGGCAGAGTTTGCAGTGAACTAAGATGGTGCCATTGTACTCCAGCCTGGATGACAGAGGGAGACTCTGTCTCAAAAATAAAAAAGAAAGAAAGAAAAGAAATGGAACATACCCAGGTTCCTTAGAAAACAGAGCTTGAGGCCAAAACTAACACCAGAGACTTCATCCTAGGAAAGAGTAGGGAAGAGTGAATAAAAGGGGGGATGGAGGCCGGGCGCGGTGGCTCAAGCTTGTAATCCCAGCATTTTGGAAGGCCGAGGCAGACTATCACAAGGTCAGGAGTTCGAGACCAGCCTGGCCAACATAGTGAAACCCCATTTCTACTAAAAATACAAAAAGTTAGCCAGGCATGATGGTGGGTGCCTGTAATCCTAGCTACTCAGGAGGCTGAGGCAGGAGAATAGCTTGAACCCGGGAGGCAGAGGTTGCAGTGAGCCAAGGTCGTGCCACTGCACTCCAGCCTGGGCGACAGTGCAAGACTCCATCAAAAAAAAAAAAAAAGGAATGGATTAATCAAATCTAGCCCAATGCATTAGAGACATAGAGATATTATTATATATGCAATGATATGGAGAAAATTATATTCACAGAACTCTTCTCAGGGAGAATATTCTCTCTGTGCTTGGAAAAGAAGACTCTGCTAAGCCAGTTGTGGAGGTAAAGCCTCAAAGCACATGCTTAAGAAATAATAGGTGGCCTGCTGCCTTGTAAGGAGGCTCAGTCTGGTTCACTGCAGTCCTTTTGTATTGCTCAGTGGGCTGTGCAAGTTTGGGGGAGAGCTGAACTGTTCAGGACAGAAGAGAAGAGACTGGAATGACTCAGCCTGTTCCATTCCTCCTCCACAAGGGGCCTTATCACTACAAGTTTCAGTACCACTCACATTTAATCTTTGTATTGCTTTAGATATGAAGGGTCTCAGGCAAAATCTAATTCCTTTTCTGAATTGGGATTCTGATTTGGTGCCTGATTCTCATACTTTCCACAGTTTCAGCTCAAGGCTAGTGCAATAACCCAACCACAAAGGGACCTGGTAAACTTGTCATTGTCAGCCTGGAGAAATGACAGACCACTACATGGAACAACTTTCTAAGTGTCAGAACCACCCCAAGAAAGAGTAGGCTGACTTTACAGGTGGTGAGCTCCCTGTCACTGGAAAGGTTCAAGCAAAAGCTGGATAACTACCTGGTGGAGAGGTTATAGAGGGAAGTCATCCTTGAAGATCTTTCCCAGTCCTGTGTCAGTGATTCTGCACTCTGTTTTAGCCTCTCTACTTAGGACGGGCTCCCCCTGCCGAAGCTTCGTGTGCCCTCACCACTCTGAGTATCCATTTCTCTGGCAGAAAATACTTTGCTAAATGGCAGCATAAGTCTGCTTTCTCTCTATTTTCCTGTGTGTTTTCCCTCCACAGTGGCAGGCAATACCTCCCTTGTTCTTTCTGCTCCAAACACAACTAGGGTTTAGTTTATTTATTTGTTTTTTTTCGAAAGCTTGTTGTCCTCCAAGAAATAAATAAAGATGTTGTAAGTAAACAGAAAAGGCAGGAATCCAGGCATCTGCAGTTCCCTCCTCAGGATTTTGTTTCCTGGGGAAATGCCCAGTGGGGATCACTCTAGGGCTGTCCCCAAAGATGTATTATAATAAACCACTGAGAGAATAAAGCTTCTGTGTCTCTGCCCTGGTAGCAAAGGCAGACCTACTGCTAAGAAGAGAGATCTTCCTGGCAGAGGACAGCAATGATATAGCCAGGCTACCCACTCAGAGGAGAACCAAGAGTCTTCAACCCTACTACTATAAGGGATTTAGAACATTTCAAAACTTGTGTAACTTCTCACAAGTTAGTTAGATGTATTATCTCCTCTAGATTTTCCAGTAGGGATTACTACTAAAATGTAAATGCCCTACTTACTTGTTTAAAGGGACTAGAAAGCAAAGAGCCAGGAAGGCAGTGTCTCACTTGAAGGCTAATCTTGGTGGAGAGAATCCCAAGGGACAGAGTGGCAGCTCAAAGACAAACCCTACAGAATGAACTTCAGCGTTCAAGACTCGGATTCCTGAATGCAGCATTTGTGAGGAGTGGAATCGCAGACACCTTCTGTTGTATCCACCAAGCCCTTCTTTTCTCTGAAGTGTTCATGACACACTGGGGGTGGCCCTCAGGCAGCTGTGTCTACACCCTGTAACTCCATCCCCTGGCCATAAATGATTGGACCAGAGAAGAACACTTGACCAGGATGGCCCAAGTCATTTGAACCAAGGGACAGGGCTGGGAGCTGATCACTGAGCCACGCTATTAGCAGTGCTCTTGGGCCAACTAACAGCAGGAGCAGCAGCAGCAGCAGGAAGAGCAGCAGCAGCAGCAGCAGGAGCAGCAGCAGCAGTATCACCTGGGAATGTGTTAGAAATGCAAATTCCTAGGCAGGGCATGGTGTCTCATGCCTGTAACCCCAGCACTTTGGGAGGCCGAGGCGGGTGGATCACGAGGTCAAGAGATCAAGACCATCTTGGCCAGCAAGGTGAAACCCCATCTCTACTAAAAATACAAATATTAGCTGGGCATGGTGGCACGTGCCTGTAGTCCCAGCTACTCAGGAAGCCAAGGCAGGAGAATCACTTGAACCCATGAGTTGGAGGTTGCAGTGAGCCGAGATCAACTGCACTTCGGCCTGGCGACAGAGCAAGACTCTGTCTCAAAAAAAAAAAAAAAAAAAAAAAAAAAGCAAATTCCTGCTAGAGGTGGGGCCCAGGAGTCCTCCTGGTGATTCTGATGCTACTGAAGTTAAAGAAGCTTTGCCCTAGAGGGAAGGAAGTCTATGAACTCCTACTGCTAAGTTCCTCCCTCAGCTAGGTTATTCAATTGTTTCTTTGAATTCCATGAGACACTAGAACATATTTCTAATAAATCAAATATAATATACCTTAAGCTACTTCCAATTGGTTTCTATTACTTGCATCCAAGAGAACCTTAACTAACACAGCTCGTTGAGCCTGAGATACCAGAAGTAGACTGCTCCATCCCCCAAGTCACCACCACCCTCTCTTCATGCTGGACCTCAAAGAAAGGAGGGCCACAGCCAGGTCACCTCTCGCTCCTCTGGTGAGAATCACCCTAATCCCTCCTTTCACTCCTTTCCCCACTACAGTTCTTTGGATTTGCCCTTGTATTAATTTGTTTTTCAGCTCACTTTTTAAATTGACAAATAATAATTGTTTCTATTTCTAGGGTACAACATGATGTTTCAATGCATGTATATATTGTGAAATTATCAAATCAGGCTAATTAACATATCCATCCCTTCACATACTCATTATTTCTTTGTGGTGAGAACACTTGAAATCCAGTCTTTTAGCAATTTTGAAATACATATTATTATTAACTCTAGCCATCATGCTGTACAATAGATCAGAGAACTTACTCCTCCTAAATGAAACTTTGTACCCTTTGATCAATATTTCCCCTCTCCCCAGATCCTTTACTTATCATATCAACCTATAAGCTAACAAGTTGCTATAATGCCTTGATTATTCCCCTTTTGGTCAGTGCTATAACTACCCTCTCTGTCTCCATAGCAGAGGTATCCACCCCCCTTTTTCCCAAGGATACATTTCTCCTCCATTTCCTTTGAGGGAGGTAGAAAGCTTCTCACAGTAGCAACCAGGATTATATGATTAGTATAGACAACATTCAGACACCAACCAAAGCTGCCTGGCTCTAAAACCCATACTCATTCCACTGTACCACTGTGTTTCACCTGCAAACCATCTCCTTAAGCCCACGTGCCCCTGAGTGAGGAGGGAGCAGCTGAGCTGAGAACCTCCCCGCCATCCCCCCATCCAAACTGAGTAAGTTATGCATCACTTAAGACCAGGATACATTTGAGAGACGGGTCATTTGGGCAATTTCGTTGTTGTGCAGACATCACAGAGAATATTTACACAAACCTAGATGATATAGCCTACTACACACCCAGGCTATATGGTATAACCTGTTGCTCCCAGGCTAAAACCTGCACAACATGTTAGTGCACTGAATACTGCAGGCAACTGTAACACAATGGCAAGTAAACATAGCAAAGGTACAGTAAAAAGATAGTATTATCATCTTTTGGGACACGTGATCCAACATTGACCAAAATGTCATTAAGTGAATTATGACTATATTGTGCTCTGCAAAGCAACAGATTTTACCCTTCATTTTACTACCTTGTTTTATGGGTATGTGTGTGTGCACGCATGTGTGTGTGTTAACAAGTTCAGTTCCAAACAGCTGTTTGTAAGTCTGCTTGTTTGCAACTGCAAAGAACCTCATGAAGGTTAAGCTTGTAATCCCCAGGCCCATTTCCACTAGATAGACGAGTGAGTTGATGCTTCACATAATATGTTTTGCTCTGATGTGTTTTTTTCCAAAACAGCCCTATATCTCCCACTTTTAAAATCTGTTAAGGCAAGTAAATCTCCTCCTTAAAGCTCTCTACAGAGAAAGTCTTAGCAGCTACAGTGTCAACATCTCTTTGACCTTGTATAGACTTTAGGGGCCCTGAGCCTGAAAAACCATTTATGGCTTGCAACAAGCAACAGTTCACCGTGGCCTTTAAGTTCTCAAACAGACTCCTACCCTTTCCTGAACTCATATTAGGCTAATGAGGCTCCACTGATACTTCTACTCTCTAGCCATACACTCAAAAGTTTTTCTCCTTTTTTGATTTTTGGCAATTGCTTCTCATTATGTTTTGCTGATTATTGTCAATAGCATGGGTGCAGCATTTTTTTACATGTTGCTTGATTTACTCTCTATCCTTCACAATCATGACACTGTAAAAAAAAAAAAAAGTATCCCATTTCACTTACAACATCCATTTTCTCACCACTTTCAATTTTTGAAATTATTATTCCACTTTGGATTCCATCATAACCATATGTCTCTTCTAACCAGCATTTTCAATAAGCTCACTCGCCACTTCTCCACTTCTCCACTTATTGTTGGTCATGACGATAACAACATTTGTAAAATAGCTTCAGTGTAACACAAACAGTGCAAACATTCCCCAACAAATCAGGTGATAACCAGTCACAATTGCTACCGCCATGTGTTGGTAGCAGGAAGAGCTAAAATGCTTTTGCCACGGAGCAGCGGTCAACAGGCTCTAGGTATCTGTAAATAAAGTTTTATTGAAACACATCCATGTCTATTTATTTAAGTATTGTCTATGTCAGCTTTTGAGCTACAGTGGCAGAGTGGAGTAGTTGTGACTGAAACCGTATGGTCCTCAACACCAAAAGTATTTATGATCTGGACCTTTACAGAAAGAATTTGCCAACCCCTGCTCTGGAGTGTTTATAAAAATTAATAAACATAAGTTTGCAAACAGAGAAATATACAGCTTGAGTCTACACATGTCTCAGTGTTGTGGGAGGGACCCAAGGGGAGGTAATTGAATCATGGGGGCCGGTCTTTCCTGTGCTACTGTCGTGATAGTGAATAAGTCTCATGAGATCTGATGGGTTTATCAGGGGTTTCTGCTTTTGCTTCTTCCTCATTTTTTCTCTTGTTGCCACAATGTAGGAAATACCTCTCACCCCTGCCATGATTCTGAGGCCTCCCCAGCCATGTGGAACTGTAATTCCAATTAAACCTCTTTTTCTTCCCAGGCTCGGATATGTCTTTATCAGCAGCATGAAAAGGGACTAATACACTCAGATAGATGGCCCTTGTGAAGCTCATTTGCATGAGACCTGAGAGCCTTTTGAGAGAATTTATCCTAAGTAAAGGAGGGATCAAACTCAAATAACCTGACCCAGCTGGATAGTTTAATCAATGAAAGGAAATTTCTCATTACTACCTGATGGCTTAAGTCCAACTCATCTTAGTCTATTTCCATAGACACGCGTCTGGATCTTAGAGTGGAGTGAGCTTACCTCAGTCAACTATGGCCTCAATAATGCTGCATAACAAACCATCCAAAACTTGGTGGCATACAACAGTCAGCATTTACTCCCTACTCTGGCATCTGCAGGTCTACTGGGGAGGCTCTGCCTCAAGCCATAGGCCTGCTGTATCTGGCTTTGTTCCCCAGGTTTCTCGATCTGGAGGGCATGTTCTTCTCCCAGCAATGGCAAAGGCCCAAGAAGGCAGCAAGTCCAACTGCGCAAGCACATTCCAAGCTTTTGCTTGCTTTGTAACTGCTAATGTCCCATTAGCCCAAGCAAGTCACGCGGCCAAGCTCAGCATTAATGGTTGGGAAGTACATTTCTCTCCTAGAGGTTTGGGGAGAGAAAATGAATATTTGCTGAACAATAAAATACCTAAGTAAAGACAGGAGGCTTTGGGAGGCCGAGGCGGGCAGATCACGAGGTCAGGAGATCGAGACCATCCTGGTTAACACGGTGAAACCCTGTCTCTACTAAAAATACAAAAAATTAGCCAGGCAAGGTGGCGGACGCCTGTAGTCCCAGCTACTCAGGAGGCTGAGGCAGGAGAATGGCGTGAACCCGGGGGCGGCAGAGCCTGCAGTGAGCCGAGATCGCGCCACTGCACTCCAGCCTGGGCAACAGCGAGACTCTGTTTCAAAAAAAAAAAAAAAAGACAGGAGGGCCTGTGTCATCCAACTTTATAGAAGTTTGGGATGGCTCCAAGATAGTGCAGCACAAGAGGCGAGAGGCTTCCTCCCTTCTTCTCCACCTACAACAGACCACTATTCAGCTTTGGCCCCCTGAACTGTGTCCCTTGAGAGATGGCAGCAATAACAGAGCCCAGTGAAGCAACAGTGGGGCAATAGTGGTGACTGGTGGACACTTCTGGGCCTGGCAGACCAGCAGCAGAGCTCAAAGGGTTGCCCAGGAGTGCAGAGGGAGAGGCTGCAGTGCCCAGCAGAGCAGCAACAGTGCCCGGAGTTCCCAGCACCTGCAGAGCAGCAATGATGTCTGCAGGGCCATGCCCAGTGGAGCAGCAGCACCCCCTAGAGGGCAACTTGGTGCTCACTGAAACAGCAGCATATGTGTCCAGAAGTGCCAGAGACGTCCCAGGGATTCTTGGGAAACTGCGAGATTTTTCAGAGGGTGGTAAGGTGGGGACACAAGACAGTGAAATTTGAGCCATTTCTGTTACCCATGATTTCATTGATACCCATGGACTAGTGGATCCTGGGGAAATTTCTATTATATAAAGTGGGATATCTAACCCTGAATCCCAGACCCCCTCAGAGCGGAGAACAGGTTCCCCAAAATACATACACACACACACACACACACACGAACACACACATACAGAGGGAGGGAGAGAGAGAGAGCACAAATACCCTTAGATCCCACCCATCAGAAAGAAACAGGAGCCTTAGCTTCTCCTAGCATCCCCTTCCTTCTTCCCATAGACTCATCAAATATAGATTTCTACCTATTCTAACCAAGACAGGCCAGTGATCTGTAACTAATCCTGTGCCTGGAGGGCAGAGCAGCCTCAATTCTGGGGTCTCAGGAGAAGAACATTGGAATGGCCTCTTTGTGGGGAAGCTCCTCCCTGCTCTCCATCTGTCCAGCCCCACCAAGCCCTGTAGCTGGTGATCATTAAGCAGTAAAGGCATCCCTAATGGTGGCTAATGGCGGGCTTAAGTACTAGTTACCTGAAAGAACCCCTGGGGTTGGCTCACTTACTGTATTGAGTGATCCTGCAGACCCACAGAGCCACTCTTTCTAATGAGGAGAGCGACTGAATGCTGAATTCAAGCCCAGAAAATGGCTGGGGAGAGAAGGGGAGCCTGCCAAGGCCCTCTATAAGGGTCCAATGTGAAAGCACAGCCCTCCTCTTGCTGTTCCTCTGTGGCTCCAGTTGCCCAGGCTGCCCTGAAGGGGTTGAATAGGGAATATGGCATTAATAGTTAGCAGCTGAGGCTTTCAGGCCAGCCCCAACTTTCACCTCCACTCTATCTCAGTCACCAATCCCATGACAACAGCCTGGAGCCCTTGCTTCCCCAGAGCTGCCCTGCTTCAAAAATCCATTCTGCATCTGGTTGCCTGCCTTCCAGGCTCCTCCCACCTGCCTCCCACCACTCCTGCCTTTCCTTGCATATTCTCTATACCAGTCATGACCACACATTTCTCCCAAGTGTTCAAGCCACAAACTTAGATATCCGTCCTCTCCTTTGAATCTATCACCAAATCCTACGATTCTTCCTTCTAAATGTCTCTTAATTCTACCCAGCCCTCTCTATCTTCCTTGGGCAACTTCCCATCATCTCTCACTTGGCCCACTTTGGTGGACCTCAATGGCAAGGACCCTGTTGTATCCATCTTTGTATCTCAAATGTTGGACCCAGGCCTGGCACAAGATAAGAAATCCTGAAATTCTTATCAAATGAATGGGCCAAAACATATTCATGGCATTGTTCTCAGTTTGCGTCCCTTCCCCAGTACTAGCTGTATGTACTTGGACTGGTCACTTGTCTGCTCTCAGCCTCTGAATCTCCACCTGATACGCAGAGAATTCAATCTCAAGTAGAATTGTTGTAGAGATAGAAGTAAATAATACTATAATAGAAGGAATTCGTTACGTTAATAACAAAATGAGAAACAATGACTTAAGCCAAGCAGGGCTTTTCTTTCTTCTCTGGTAAGAAGAAAGCCTCTAGAAGATGTTGTTGCTATGTTGGCCCAAAGGCACAGGGACATCTAGGCCAAGACTTCTACCACATTCTTAGCCTTTTCCTTATGATTAACTTGTGGTTGCAAAATGGCAGCTGTGCCTCCAACATCAGCCCACATTCCAGGTAGAAAGAAGGGGAAATGCCACGGGCAATGAACAAAAGGAGTTCATACTAACTGAATCTGCCATTTTTAAAGAACTCCATGCAGTTTCAATTTGGCCAAAAAATAAAGCTTTGGACCAGACATCAAATATCTGCCTCAATGGCTGTATCAGTCAAGGTTTTTGTTAAAGGTACTGGAAACATCTCTGGCTATATTAATTTTTAAGAGAATTTCTCTTGGGAGGCTGAGGCAGAAGATTCGCTTGAACCTGGGAGGCGGAGGTTGCAGTGAGCCGAGATCATGCCACTGCACTCCAGCCTGGGTGACACAGCGACACTCCATCTCAAAAAAAAAAATAGAATTTCTTAGAATGATATTGGAGGCTTACAAAATTATTAGGAGGCTAAGGTACAAGGGTTGGAAAATAAGCAAGAACCAAGGGCTCCCCCAAGGGCCAAAACACAGGAAATGATCTGGCTAGGATGCTATGGTCACTGCAGAAGAAGGACACTGACATTAGCCACAATTGCTGTTGCCACTGGGCACTACCATGGTTACCACAAATGAATTCCCAACCATTGGTGGGGGTTTTTGCATTACATGCTCCAGACTGAAAGTCCTGGGCAGCACAACCAATTGGCCAAGCTCAGTGTATCAATCAGGGTCCTGGCAGGAATTGGGAAGGGTTTGAGAAGAGTTTAATAAAGGGGCCATTTACAAAGGTGAGAGGAGGGTATAAGGAAACCAAAAGAATGGTTCAGCATTCTGGAGTTTGTAGTAGCAAAGTGCCATGATTGCCCACCCACAGGAGGCAAGGAACAGAGTGGTTACTGGAACCCAGAAAGAAAAGAAAGTTTTGCAGAGAGGGAGGGCCACCTACAGGAGCTGTAACTTTTCGTGGAGGGACACAGTCAGTCAGCCTAAGGTGACCTGCAGGGAAAGATCTAGGAAAATCAATGCCCTGACCTCACTCTTCCTTCTTTCTAACCTCCTACAACACTCCTCTTTGACCACACCCACCTGAAACCCAAAGGACAAGGAGCTCTTTGATCTAGTGGGGAAAGGCCAGCCCCTGGGGACACAGAACAGAGTGGAGAATGGTGGCAAAAGGATCTGAAGAAGCCAATAACAATATCTAGCACAAGCCACCCTTTTTACATCTCAGCATCTACTTTGGTCATTCCTCTGGGTAAAAAGCTCATGTCTTCAATACAGAGAACACACAAAGTCCATCTCTTCTGTATCATTACAAGGTAATGTCAATTCAGTCAAACTCTCTACTGAAACCTAAAAGAGGAATACCACCAGTATTCTTCATATAAGGTAGTAGAGGAGGAGAAAAAGAGAAAACTGCCGTAAAGCTTAGCTGCTACTCTCCATGCTTTTATAGCTGAACATGAGACATAAGTAGGTAATCCATAGTGCCCTCTTCTACTGCCAAATCTACGTACCCCTTGGCCTCTTGGAATGCCCGATGGGGTGACCTAATCCTTCATTCTTGTGAGATCTGAGTCCTCTGCAGTCTTGTCTTTATTGGGTTGCCACAGTTTTCCACTGGTCAGGACTATTGCACAGGTGAGTACTAACAGATGTTCCAGTGGCCCTGTGGTTCCAAGCAGGGTACTTCTTGCCCCTCTTGTGTGGCAACAAACCAATTTCCCCTGGCAGCCAGGATCAACTATCCTGGTCAGCACAGAGATGCCCCCTTCAGCCTGGTGGTTCAGCCACACAAGGATCCCAGAATGGCCAGGGGACTATCTCAGCTTCTAATTACTGGGAAGCCCAAGGTCAAGGAAACAGCAAGTGAAAGAATCTTCAAGTAGGTTACTGAGTGTAATTGTGAAAAAAACTACTTCCACCTCTTCCTTGGGGCCCAGATCCATTCACTTTGGCTATGGAACAGCACCAGACATTGACTACTGGTTTAAGACATACACCATACCCTGCAGAATCCAACCTCATCTTCGCAGATGCTATTCATCAATTGAGGCTATTCAGTTGTAACTGAACTTTCAGCAGACCTCTCCTTCACCTTATCAAGCCAGTTTCTTCTGGGTGATGGGGCATGTGGTTAGAATAGTGTGCGTGGTCTTTAGTTCAGTACCTTACTCCTTTGCCTTAAAAAGTTTGCCCTGGTTGGAAGTATTACTGTGTGGATATCAAGGGGATGATAAGTCCAGAAATGATGGTTCTGGACTTCAGCTGGTGCTGTAGGCAGGAAAAGAAAGCCTATATTTGATGTACAACCTACTCAGCCATGCCCAAACAATGTACCATGGGAGGGCTTTGTTTCACGGAAGTATTAGGAAATGCATTGGCAAGGAGGCAGAAGATTCATGGAAATCACTGGGCTTATCACCTGCCCCATTTCCCAGAAGGAGCTGGCCTGATAGGAAGGTAAAACAGTCTGCTGAAAGTTCAAAGCAAACGTCTCTGCTTGTGGATTATTATAGAAGTTCCACATTCCTTGTCTCTGATGGTTCGTCACCACCGTCTTGCCTCGACAGCACTGGGACCCCATTATACCACAGAGATCAAGGATCCTAGTTCCATCTCCAGCTTACAGATGACTCACTACAGAGCTCTTCAAGGATTCTGGTACCTATTGTCAATGCATTTTTCAACATCTTGGTGCACCCTCCACCCCCATGGTGTACCCAGGAAGATTTCACAGACTTTCTCCCTGCAGAACTCTTAGATCATCAGTACTAGCAGCCAGGGTGACTTCAAGTGGTCATCAAGCACAGACGTGCGTGCACTGCAGGCAAGTCTTACTAGTGTCCTAAGGGGCAAGCCACAGTTCAACACAATTCCCATCATCACCAATTCCCTCAGGTGAATTGGCCACCATGCCATTTTCCTAGATCACTAGGCAAAGCCACAGTCGGGAACTCAATGACACCCAAGAGAGATCTCCGACAGCACAGTTCACAGGGCACATTAACCAGCCCTCCAGGCCATTGGTAAACCACAGCCAATGGCAGCTGTAAATGACTTTGTGTACATACATATGTCACACTCAGCACATATAGCCTTTACACACCTCACCCTCATCACACCTGCACCCCTCAGAGGGGTTCCCCAGACAGCACATCATCAGCAATTCTACACACAGGCTTATACACAAATACACAGGCACTTGGATCTTTCTTTGAAATAGAGTTGTGCCACAGAAAACACTTTAAGCCGTCTGCTTAGAGAACTCAGAGATCTTGTGTGGGAGGCACGTCAGGGGCTGGGTGAGGGGAGGAATCTTGAAACCAGACATAAACGGAGTGGAGGCAGGCAGGTTTACCCTGAAGTTGTTTTATGTCTCTCACAATGGCTACCAACATCTCAGAAGTCAGGAAATTGAAAAGTGAGCATCTCATGCTATCCACTTAGCGGAGCGGCTATCTGGAATTGAATTCCGAGAGAGACAGAGAGAGAGAGAGAGAGAGAGAGAGAGAGAGAAAGAGGAATCATTTGTCCTCAGAGAAGGACTAAGAAGGATCTGTGCAATGAAGACAGCCCACATCCTAGAGATACCCAGATCTGGGTTACAGCTGCACTAATTAGCTGTGTGAGCTTGGGCAAGTTATCTCACCTCTCTGAGCTTCAGTTTCCCAGTTCTATAATAGGGTTACCGTGAGAGTTCAATAAGACAACTTTAGGCAGTACCTGGCATTCAGAAAGTGCCATTTCTCTTTTCTTCCCCCTTCTCATTAGGGAGAATGAGGAACGTGAAGCCTCCAGGGACACTGGGCCTCATACCCCACAATCAGGCACCAAATCCTAGCCACTCTATTGTAATTTTATTTCTGTCGCTAAAGTGCTTCACCCCTGAATACTGGATCTGAGTTTGACCCAGTATTTGGATATCTGCCAGTTTTTGGCTCCATGCTGGGATTTGGTTTTCTGCCTTCTCACATGAACTCTTTTTGCTGACTCTGCTTCCTGACTCAACTCCATTCTACCATTTTTCTATTTTTCTCTCTGTTTCTTCCTTCCTCCCTCCCCCCTTTCCTTCCTTCCTTCCCTCTTTTCTTCTTTCCTTCTTTTCTTTCCCTCCTCTCTCCTTCCTTCTCTCCCTGTCTCCCTCCTTCCTTCCTTCTCTCCTCTGTCCCTCCTTCCTGTCCAGAATAGCTCTGAAAAATCTGCAACATGTCCAATGCCGTGCTAGGCACGCAGCCTAACAGACAGTCCCAGAAACAAGACAGATGTAGTCCCAGATCTCAAGGGCCTTCGTTCAGATAGGGGAGACAGAACATGAACAAATATATAACAGAATGTTAAAATGCAATTGTTAGCCAGGGCACCAAAAGACAATAGCTCTCATATGTCAAAGGAGGTTGTAGACCATATGCACAATTTGCAAAGGAGGTTGTAAACATCAGTTTCACATCCAGTGTATGCGCAGGTCAAGAGTTGGATTTGGGGAAAAAAATATTTTAGCAGAGAATTTATTGGAGTAAGCTGTGCTACGAATCCTACCCCTACCCAGGGTGGAGGAGAGGGAGGCTGTGGAAGGCCATGGGAGGTACAGCTATACTGACAGGTGTTTGGTTTTTCTTCACTTCTGGGCATCAAAGAGATTGTACTTCATCTACCTTACCTTGAAGTCAGGGATGGCATAATTTGCTTTGGCCACTGAAATGTGCCACTTGCAGATGGAAGCATTCCATGACAGGATTCAGCCCTGCTGCCCTCTCTTCCTTTGCTGTGACAATTGTAGAAACACTTTTTTTATTATTTAATTCTATTAAAGTCATTTAGCCCATTAATATTTATAACAATTACTGAAAAGAAAGAGGGGGTCATCTTAGGTCCTATCAACAGCATCTGAGTGACTATCTAGCAGCTACTTAAGGTAAAAATTATTTTCTCATATGAAGCAAAAGTTAAGTTCACTAAAAATAGTTGTTTTTTCTCAGGCAACAGGGTTTTTTGTTGCTGTTGTTGTTGTTGTTGTTGTTGTTGTTGTTTTGTTATTGCTTTTGAGATGGAATCTCACTCTGTCGCCCAGGTTGGAGTGCAATGGCGCAATCTCAGCTCACTACAACCTCCGCCCCCCAGGTTCAAGCAATTCTCCTGCCTCAGCCTCCCAAGTAGCTAGGATTACAGGTGCCTGCCACTGAGCCCAGCTAATTTTTATATTTTTAGTAGAGTCGGGGTTTCACCATCTTGGCCAGGCTGGTCTTGAACTCCTGACCTCGTGATCTTTCCGCCTTGGCCTCCCAAAGTGCTGGGATTACAGGCGTGAGCCACCGCGCCCAGCCTACAACAGGGTTTTTTATTGTGGGCAAACATAAAATTTACAGTTTTGACAATTTGCAAGTATATAGTTCAGTGGCATTCAATACATTCACATTGTTGTGCAACCAACATGACTATCCACCTGCAGTACTTTTTTGTACAACCATTTTTTATATCCAGGTGCCATAGATTAAAGCATCCTGGAGCACTGAGTCAACGCTTGGAGGACAACTGCTCTTTTGTGTTATCTGGACCCACAGTGGATTGAAAGCAAGAAATAAATTTGTATAGTATTAAGCCACTTTGGTTGGGGTCTGTTTGTTAGCTCAGCATTATCTAGCCTAGCCTGATGAGTACACAGGTGCTACCTCCTCACCCCAAATCAAGAGACTATGGCTTTGTGATACCCCCTGGAGAACGTAATGTGGGAATCCTGTAATCTCACTTGAGAAATCCAAATGTCAAGAGGCTGGCTGCCACAGCCTGTGATGCAGAGCTGAGGGCTACAGTCTGGAAAGTGACGTTCTTCCAGAGTTTGCCAGAGCAAAGGAATAACAAGACTTTCACATGAATCTGATATAAGTCAAGTGCAAGAGAGAGCCAGGGTGGGTGTCATCTTAGGTCCTTTCAAGGAAGGCCACATGGAAGAGCAAACAGACCTCAGCAGAGAGAAGGCGGAGATGCTGCTGGATTCTCAGGAGAATGCAAACAGCCGAAATAGAGATGCATGTGGTCTAGACCAGGGACTGCAGGTGAGAAATCTTCAGTGAGAAGGTGGGCATCTCTGAAGTCTCCCAAAAGCACCCATGAGAGGAAGAAGTCACTTTAAACATGTGCCAAGTCCAAAGAGATTTGAAGCTGGTCACCACTATGATAACAGTCAAGTGAAGTCATCCTTGCTCCCCTAACCTCTTCTATGACTTCCTCATCCAGTCCTGGAGGCATCATGAACATGGCTAGCAAGATGAGAGAGGAGTAGAAGTACTACGTGAATGAAGAAAGAGAGAAAGCACCAACCATACATCTTCCTTCCCCTACAGCTTCCAGCATGCAGCGGGCTGAGTCGAGAAGTCTATCCTTCAAGGCAAGATTGTGGGGCTGCATATTTTAATTACTAAATTAGAAATATAGTAGAAACTTAAAGTATCTATAGGACTTTTTATTATATGGTGACAACCATAGATGTTAAGAGCCCAGTTGGGTTTTTATCCAGAGACAAGAGAAGAAGTAGGCCCATAGAATGTATTTTAACTGGGATCATGGGAGACAAAAATAAAATTGCTTTAGAACTGCATCTCACAAGCCATACTCCTTCAACATAATGGCACAAATAAATCTACACATATTTTCTGAGATCAGCAAAGTCATGTAAAAGATTTGACAGGAGTGTTATAAAGAAATTATTTGTGAATCAAAATGAGAAGTGGTCAGCCACAGGCACAGAACAAGTGGTACTTAGAGGACCACTGGACTGTCCATCCCAGCCCTGAGGATTCGGGTCACCATGGACCGTGGCCTTGACCCCTTCAGTTTCCTGTAACATACTTGTGGCATATGTACAGGTTGATTCTTTAGGGTATCATGGCTTCACGTTGTTCACCTTTCACATTGCGTAATTAAATCCTATTGTTCTAATTGCACATGTACTAGGAGTGATGGAAATTGTCAACTGGCTTTCAGCATCCACTCCCACCTCCTTCTACTGAGTATTCCTATACTGGAAAGATTTGATTTAGTCTACATTTCCAAGACTCCCTTGGAGATTGAGTGATTGAGTTCTCGATGAGAAATAGGTTTCATCATTCAAATGCACCTAGGTGAAATTTTGCAGGGAAAAGTGAGGCAGGGGCTGTCTTCCTTTTGACAAGCAAGGGAGTAGAGATATTAGTAGGCTTTCATCAGACTTCATGTTTCAGCATCCAGGCAATTGTGGTAGTGCCACAGGCAGACTCCTGAGCCCTAGATCACAGCTATAGCTTTGTACATTTGACCTCAATTATTTCAGGCTCAACCTCCTGATCTCCTGCTATCCAGATTACATCAAAGGTAACAGCTCCCCCAGTGGATCCATTCTACTAGGAATCAGTCCTGGAGGCCCCACTTAGAGTTTGTCCTCCAAGCCATCCAGCTATTTTGGAAGCACCTAATTCCTCATCATAAATAAATCTCTTTCTTCTTCAAATATCCAAAGTTCCTGTGTCCAGCATTAAAACCTGACTGATGCATGAAAACACCTTCTGATTGTAATTTAACTACGCGTTTGGCATGGCCAGAAAGAGAGAATGCTGTGTCCAGAGGACATGAGTAGCCATGCCATTCCCCCAAGTGGTAATATTTTTCAAGGAGGTCTGATGTCGCACGCCAGAACTTTATGAAATCCACTGGCCTAAGTACATTGGTATTCATTCCTGAGTTTGATCCGTTCTGGGGCATGGACCAAACTGTTTATGTAAGGCTAGACTGAAGCCTGGGCATGGTGAATTCACCAAGAAAAATAGCACCTTGTAAGGCCTGGGGGGAAACAGACCACCTGGTTTTCTCTGGTGGCACCTCAACTTTGTACACACTTCAACATTCAAACACCCCAGAAGTCCTTCTGTGTCTCCATATGGCCACTCCTGGTGAGATCAGACCTGCCAGGCTGTACTGCCCATGTAGCCGATCTGGACCACTTGTCTATGCCCTCCATCCCCAGTCCTCCTCCTGCTGCTCCCTCTTGTGACAAAATCACCATGCAGTGACATTGTCCAGTTAGCTGCTCTTTAGAAAACACTGCCACTTTGGCTGGAAAAGTCCAGCATTGACGCATTCCCACCCAGGCAAAATGCACCCAAGAAACAAAGCAAGTTGTGCCTCCCTCAACCACAGCAGGGAGTCATGCATCAAAGTCAGTGTGTTGGCAGGGACGGCAACCTCAACAATTTTCTCTTAACCCTTCCTTTGTTCTCCATTCCGTTTAAGCTCCTTGAACAACAGGTGCTTTTGAAGACAGAAACTGTGTCCCCTTGTCCTTACATTCTATACTCCTAGCTCTGGAGTATACAGAGTAGATGCTTAGTGATGGTTTGTTGGATGAATGACACTTCTAGTTGTTGCCTTTTTTCTTGCCCCTCTCCCCTTACACCATGCATACCAGCCACAGAGGGGAGATTTCATTCCATGCCTTCCCATACCCTCAGCCTTCGCACATTTTTTTCCTCACTACGTAACACACATCCACCTTCAAGTCACCATTTACACCTACACTTTCCAGGAAACTTTCCTGACTCGTTAGATTGGTTTCTCCCATTAGACATTCCCATAGCTCCCTGTACTTCCTCCTCATGGTACCCATCACCCCTACATGTAACTACTTGTCCAAGTGTCTGCCTTCCCCACTGAATGGTAAACTGCAAGGAGGCAGTGGGCCACACACTCTGTAAACATCTGTAGAATGAAAGAATGAATGAATTTCTCTGTGAAACACATGCATTAAGAGTTAGGACCTTTCTCTGAAGAACTCTCCGCCAGAATCTCTAACCACAGAATATCGAAGGGAACCCCAGTCTACAAGTTGGCCCTTCTAGAAGATAGCCCAGCTTCTCCCCCACCTGCCCCAGGTTTTTCACACTTAACTCACCCACCAGGACTCACTGGTCTCTTGAGGGTGGGTATTTATTTATTTTATATACTATATTTACTACAGCAATTTGCTTTTATCTTTTCTCTATTTTCCTTTCGTTGTGCCATTTTTAGCCCATTTTAGTTCTTTTTTATTATATTTTCCCGTTTTCCTTATTCCTATTCAAAAGAAAATTTCATTGTAAGAAGGCATAGCTCTAAGCAGCTGATTTTTCCTAAACTGGAAACATCAGGTGTCACTCCCATCTTCTCCTATTCCTCCCCACCAGCTAGCACTACAGAGCAATTTCTTCCATCCAGAGGAAGCCTTCTGGTCCTGTCCTGGGAGAGTCCCTAGACTTTAAAGACTTTTCACTGGGATGGTGAAGTGTTTCCCACCAAAAGTCACTGCGTCTAATCACGGAAGAGAGCAAAAGGCCAAGCTTCTCTGGCCCCAGAGAACAAATAAGTTCAGCCTCCAAATGCAACCTTATTGTGAGTGTAATTCATCTGTGTTTCCCCAGAGCCAGGTTCAGGAGCCTTCAACTATAAAGTGTCAGAAAATGTCTGAAAAGTGAATAAATTAACAATGATTGAATGAATGACCGAAAGAGTGAATGGATAGATGAATGAATGGGTGGGATGATGGTACAGGGATGGACTAATGAACAAATGAATAAACACGAGAAATGAATGAAACAGTGAATGAACCAATGGGTAAATAAATGACAGATGGATATGATGGTCAGAGGGATAAATGAGTGAGTGGGAGAGTGAATAAGTAAATTAGTGGATGAGTGATTGAGTGACTAGATGAATGAATGAATAAACGAGAATGAATGAATAAACGAGTGGATTAATAAATAAGTTTTAGTGAGCCCTATAACTCAGGCATAAACCAGACATGCTCCTGAGACTGGAAAATGAAACTAGATACTAAAAATACAATAAAGTAATTTTAAAAAAAACACTGTGATAATACAGAGCTCATTGATCAGGGCCCCAAGATCAATATTCTTCTGGACAAATCTTCAGTGTGGTTTCTCAGCCCCACCCGTTGACTGTCACTGGAGCTGTGGAAAAGACAGATTGAGAGACAGTGTGTGGGTGTTGAGAGGTTGTATGTGTGATCAGGACAGTGGTTCTTTTCTCTAGCTGTGCTTTAGAATCCTTTGGGGAGTTTTCAAAATGTAATTGTGATTTACTTGGATTCCAGGCAGAGGGCAGGGGGACAGGAGCAGAAAGGAGGGAGGCATGGCTTCGTTTCTATAAAGGCCCCCACAAAGTCTAATGTGCAGCCAGGGTTTGAGAATCGCTGGTTCCAAGGTGAACAACATTCTGATGTGGGTACTTGGACACAATCATTTAGATGCCAATGGCACCTTCACGTGACCAAACAAAAAAAATGGCCTTTCTTCTGTTCTTTTAACCAAGTAATGTGTGAAACTGACACACACACACACACACACACACACACACACGACTTATTTTATTGCCTACCCTGCCCACACCCTCTGGAAGGGGCAACCTCACCCCATGACTCCCCCTCCCTCACTCCACACCCTTGGCTGATTTTACAGGGTAGACAGTTGGCCTAGGGGCAGAGTTCAGGGGTAGAGGTCAGATCAGGTAAAAGTCAGGAAAGGAGCACAGTTCCCAGAAATGGGGAGACACATGGGCAGAGAGGCTCAAAGATATCTAAAATACACAATATTTTGACATTAAAAAAATGTTTACATAGCCACTATGACCCAGTAGCATTCAAAATCATCAACATAAAATGTCTCTTTTGTCAAAATATCTCTCTTAGGAGGCAAGATGGCTGGTGAGCTTTTGTTATACAAGGAAACAATAAGATCCCTGACAACCACCTGGCCAAAGGACAGGCAGGGAAATCAGGTGGAGAACAAGCCAGCCACTTGAAAAATAAGTATGGTGTTCTCAGTGCCTGGGAACCAGGGATCTGGGGAGGCACTTCTCTGCTTCAATGAAGGGGCTTAAGTTTGGGCCACCAGACAGTTCCAACAGTGTGTGTATGGTCTGCTTCTTTTCTGTCCAGGTTACCTTCATTTTTAGGAAGGTTCTTTTTGGAAGTTCATTCTACTGTCTTCACTGTACCAAGAAGAGATGAAAGGAAAAGTTTGAAGGAAAGTGAGAAGAGAGAAAACCACTAGGTTTCTTGGGATGGAGAATAGGTAGGTATAGAGTGGAGTAAAGCACAGGGAATTGCTCACCTATTCCCAGGTACTTGTTCCAGGGAAAGATAAAGGAAAGGGAGGGAAGGAAACTTGAAACTTGAAACTTGCAGGAGGTAAATTCAGGATCAATAAAAGGAAGTGCTCCTTCACACAGCAGGGAATGAATTTACAGAACTCATCACCCCAAGAGGAGATGCAGCTGAAAATATAAGATCCCAAAACCTATAGATACAAATTGGATGATTGAAAGAAAAATGATGACATTAAGTTGACATCTAGGAGAACAATCCTGTTCTCCCCCAATTTACTCTTTAGTGCCTAGTTTAAGACAAGATCCTGCACTATGGGTACCAAGGAGATGACCTAGTGTGATTATCCAACAATCTCATGTTTGATTGCCTAGGAAACTAACTTTTCTTCCTTCTTGCTTCCTTCCTTGTAAGCACCAGTGACAGGTTCCATCTGTTAAACACCTTCTATTTCCCAGGCACTGTTACTTTACACCCACTGTCTAATTCAAATCAAGAATCCAAAAAGCATTTATTGAGTACTTTCTTGTGTGCTCATCACTTTACAAGATTTTACAGGTAGTGGAGAATTAAAAGACTCTGTCTAGGTCTTTGAGAAGTCTATGATACATTTGAGAAGACAGAAAAAAATGTGCATAATTTATTAAACAATTGACAGGTATAGGAAACCACTGGAGTTGATTGATAAATACAGGAAATCACTGTATGTTTGAGGCATGTAAGATAAGAACTAGTGAGGGCTAAGGACTTAGCCAACGTGTTTATAGCGGGTGATTAAGAGTAGTGCCCTGGCTCCAGACTACGCGATTTCAAGTCCCAGCTCTTCCATTTTGAAGCTGTGGAATTTGGATAAGTTACTCAATCTCTCTGAACTTCAGTTTCCTTATCTGTAAAATGTGTATGCTAAGAATACCTTCCTCTTGGGGTTGTTGAAGGATTAAATGAATCAATGCATGCAAAGCATTCTCCTGCTGTCCTCGCCTTTGGTTAAACCCTTCTAGAAGCCAGACATAGGAGAACCCACTGATGTGGACCCTCTAGGTCTGCCCACCAGGGCAGAGACCAGTGTGGAGAAGGGACCTGGAGGAGCAGAACGGAGATGCCGGGCGCACCATCCAACCTAAAGCACATTCCCGCTGTCATCCTCACAGAACCTTATTCTTTTCTTTAATTGCAGTTAGAACAATTACTATTTATTTAATATAAATTTATTTAAAACAATGCCTGAAACATAGTAAGTGTTCAATAAGCATTAGTTATCAGTATTTTTATCTTTCGTAAGGGCCAGCATGAGGAGAGAGGTGACCCGGAGGGCAGGCCAACCACTTCCTCTGCTGTGTGCTGTGTGATCGGGATGAAATTCAGAAAATCTCATCTCGTGCTGTCTCTCCTGAGTGCTGCACTCTAGACACACTGCCCTTCTCTCTGTTCCTTGAACACAACAGTGAGCTCTTTCCACCTTGGAGTTTTCACACGCGACTTCCTCCTGCCTGGAGTGTCTCTCCTCCCCCGTTCTTCACATGGCTGGCTCCCGCTCATCCCGAAAGTCTAGCTTAAATGTCACTTCCTCAGAGAGGCTTTCTATTGCCATCTGTATCCATCAGGGTCCTGGCAGGAAACAATGGCACATTCACATTAGGATAATTCAAGGAGGTTTCTAAAAGGACTATGCATAAAGGCATGAAGTGAGACAAAGGGGTACCATCAGGGGGAGGACAGAACTGCCCCTAGCCAGGAAGGATGAAGGAACAAGACAAAGAATGTGGCCAGCCCAGGGTAACCAGCCAGGGAGAAAGCTAGGGGAATAAATATCCCAACCTCACTCTTCTCTCACCCTCTAATCTCTGGCTGACCACCCCCTTTGGCTGAACTCTATTAGAAGCCAGACATAAGAGAACCCACTGAGGTGGACCATCCAGGTCAGCCCACCAAGGCAGAGACCAGAGTGGAGGAAGGACCTGGAGGATCAGAATGGAGATGCCAGATGCACCATCTAACCTAAAGCACATCCCCCCTCAGAACCTTACTCTTTTCTTTAATGTCAGTTAGAACAATTTCTATTTATTTAATAGAAATGTATTTATTTATTTTATTTAAGAGCTATCTCTAGGCCGGGCGTGGTGGCTCACGCCTGTAATCCCAGCACTTTGGAAGGCCAAGGTAGGCGGATCACGAGGTCAGGAAATCGAGACCATCTTGGCTAACATGGTGAAACCCCGTCTCTACTAAAAATACAAAAAATTAGCCAGGCGTGGTGGCGGGCGCCTGTAGTCCCAGCTACTCAGGAGGCTGAGACAGGAGAATGGCATGAACCCAGGAGGCGGAGCTTGCAGTGAGCCGAGATTGCGCCACTGCACTCCAGTCTGGGCGACACAGCAAGACTCTGTCTCAAAAAAAAAAAAAAAAAAAAAAAAAAAAGAGCCATCTCTCACAATGCCATGAGCACTGAAACCATCTTGGCTTTGCTTACCACCAGGTACCCAGTACCTAGCACAGCGCTGGGGACATAGCAGATAATTGATAAATGTTTGAGACAAATAAGTGGATGAATAAGGTTGCCACTACACAAGAAGTGATAGCCAAAGCTCCAAACTGTATTGTTCCAAAGATATACAGCTGTCTCAAGCTTGGCCCAGACCAGTAGTCAAGTATATCAGAATGCAAGAGACCCAATCTATGTGGACATGTGTCCCCTCTATGCAGAGACTGTACCTGGAGTGACATGATCCTGGTTGGAGGTCACTTGTCCACTGTGAGCAGGACCTGAGTCAACAGCTGAGAATTAGGGACAGATCCAACCCTCAGGAGGGGACCTAGCAAGAACCACGCAAGGCAGTAGGGCCTCAGCTGGAGCTCAAGCTCAAGCAGGATCCCGGTTGCCTGGGGAAAGAACTGAAGCCGACTTTGTCATGGAGTCTCACAAACCAACCTCCCTCCATTCTCCACACTGCAGCCAGTGTGATTTTTCTAAATTATAAATCTAATCATGCCATTCCCCCACTGAAACTCCCACTCACTTTCTCATTTATTCCATGGCTGTGATGTGCAAGTCAAAACTCTTTCACATGGTTTGTAAGTCCCTGCATATCCTGGCCCCTGCCTGCCCCTCCCGCCTCATCTCACCTTCACCTCCAACAGGCACCCGTGCATACACTTGCACGGTGCATGGGCACACACACCACCTCACCCAACTTTCCACTATGCCATTCCCTCTCTCACCTCTGTGTCTTTATACACACAGTTTCCTCAACTAAAACACTCTTCACCAGCAATTCTCTTCCACTTGGCTAACATTTTTCTTATTCTTTGGGTCTCAGCTTAAACTTGCTTCCTTTGGATCGCTTCCAGGGATCTTCTAAGGCAGGGTTGCAGAGCTTCTCCTTAGGGTTTGCGGGTTATCTCAGCACCTTGTGCTTCCCTCATCAGAACACTGGCCCCTCTGTGTCATATTTGCCTATCTGAGTATCTTTCTCCCTACTGCACAATGACTTCATGAAGGTGGGGCAGAGTCTGCCTTTTCCTCCGTTGTATACCCAACACATAGCACAGTTCCTGGCACATAATAAGTGTTCAAAATATCGCTGAATGACTGAGTGGATGGATGGATGGTGGGTGGATGGGTGGTCCATGACTGATGTTAAGAGAAAGCTTTGATTCAGAGCAGTTCAATGGAGGCTCATCAATATGTACCAGACCAAAGAGAATCAGAAAGTGCTAGTCATTCCACACCCACCCATGGGGTCAGACATGCTGAAAGGACCTCTGCCCTGATTCGAGCTTCCAAGGGAGGTTTTATTGCCTGTGAGTGAGCAGGGTCAGGGAGGCCCAGGTTAATGTTACGCAGGAAAGACTTCCTGAGAGAAGTGAACACTGGGATTCAACAGAAGTGATGTGCGGGAGAAATAATACTGTCAAGCATGTTATTGAACACTTATTTTATGTCACGGTCTGAGCCAAGAGCTTATATATTTTATTTCATGTAAGTGACAGAGGCAGAATATGAACTCAAAGAGTCTGATTCCAGCGCTACACACTTAATGAATATACTGCAAAGTCTCTCAAAGCTTGGATGGAGATGAAACAGGAAGGTGTCCCAAGCACAGACACCCAACAAAGACAGTGCTGGAAATAAGCAGGTCCTGGACAGGATTTGGCACAGTGTCAGCTCCAGCAGATGTAGGCAAGCAGAGAGCAGAAGACAAAGAGTGAAAGATGAGACTGAACATCAGACTAAAGACTTTCGGGTTGAACCCACTGGCAATAGGATGTGTGTTGGAATCGTGATTACCTGGTGCCTGAGAGAGAGCTTCCCATGGCTGATGTAAAGGATGGGTGAGAAAGGAAGAAAAGACAGAAGATCAGCTGTGAGGCTCCAGGGTGACTCAGGTGACAGGTGACAAGTAACAACTTGGAAGGAGGCCCGGGAATAAAGGAGCCATGGCAGAGGAACACAGCGTAAGATCTGAGGAAGTCAGAGGCAGTGGGGAGCCCCCATTCAGCCCTATCATTCTTTTTTTATTCTCAGGGCAAACTAAAGTATTAACTCAGTTCTGGTTCCTACCCCAGACCCAAAAGCTGCTTCTGTTTCCAATTGTCAACACAAGCAGAAAGAAAGTCACCCACCTTGGTTAATTGCCGTTCTGCTGCATGGAGGGGCCCAGGGATCCCAAAGTCATTAAGCCAGGGATGGTTTTGGTGTCTCTAACCTCCAGTCTCTCCATGATACTGAGGAATATGCTTGATTTAATTGGCCTGCTTTAAAAAAAAAAAAAATCTTGTGATGACTTTCATGGAAATAGACTACTAGCTGAGAGACCTTGGTGATGAATAAAAGTTTAGTGCCTGGAGAGCTTCACCAGTCCACCACTCTGAACCTGACTTCCTCCGGCTGGCTAACTCTTCTCCCAAGTGTGTCTGTCTCCTTGACCAAGCAGAGACAGCCCACCTAGGGGCTGTCACTTGGAGTTAGAGGTGAAGAGCAGAGCTGGATGGAGGCACATGGGAATCTTGCCCTCTCTATCTCCCATCTGGCACCCAGCGTGTGCATTCTAAAACGCACACTCATTGATTCATTATACACCTTAAAACCTGCAGGAGCTTCTCAAGATCCTAGAGATGAATTCCAAATCTTTAACGTGGATTTAAGGCCCTTTGGCATCAAGCCTCAGGCCAACTCTCTAGCCTCATATAAGCTTATACTTTGTGTTTCCTGGCTGTGAATGGCTTTCAAGTGCCTCGGGGGCACCCTCTTGCCCCTCATTGCAACCGGGGGAGGAGGCCACAAATGTACCAGGCATCCCATCAATGCAGGCTGATGGAGCAGTAGCAAATTGCAATGACCTTATATTTAACTTTGGGAACCTGTATTGATTTCCTGGGGCTGCCATAACACATAAGCCACTTGGTGGCTTAAAACAACAGAAATTTATTTGTGCCCAGTTCCGGAGGCCAGAAGTCTGAGATTGAGCTGTCAGCAAGGCTATGCTCCCTTCAAATACCCTAGCGGAGAGTACTTCCTTGCCCTTTCCAGCTTCCAGTGACTGTCAGCATTCTTTGTGTTGTGGCTGCATCACTCCAATCTCTGCCTCCATCTTCATATGGCCTTTTCCTCTTCTCTCCCAGAATTCTCCTCTTTTGTCTCTTATGGAGTCACTTATCATTGGATTTAAGGCCCACCCAGATAATCTAAGATGATCTCATCTTGAGATCCTTAACTTAGTTACATCTGCAAAGACACTTTTTCCAAATAAAGTCACATTCACACGTTCTGGGTTAGGATGTGAAGGCATCTTTTCGGGACCTGACCAAAGAAGGGTGAGTTGGAGGTAACTCTTGGACCGAACAACTCTTTGGAAATAAAGTAACAGATGAGGAATGGCAGTGTGGCCCAGGGAGGTGTCAGGAAGGGCAAAGGTACCCGTCAATTTGCTCTTTAAGCTGTATCCCAGTTTTGCAGTGAAGCTGTGACCCCCAAGGAAACTCAGAAGGGACCAAAAGTAGACCAGAGCCTGAGGTATACTTCTGTCACCGCTTCCTCTGGAATTGGGATCCTGCCCATCAACAGCCCTTGACCTCAATGCACTGAGACCCACATCCTTAAGTCTATTTTATGAGCTTAAGGAAAGAAGCAGATACGGGAGAAAGACCATAAACTTTGGAGTCAGGAGACTGGGTTTGAATCCTGGCTCTGCAACTTTCTAGTTGCTTCGTCTTCCTTCACTGTAAAGGGGTAATGCTATTTCTCTCTCAGGGCTGTTTGGGTTAATGAAATATGAGCACTGTGCCTGGCCCATAACAGGGGTTCTAGACATGTTCTGCTTCCTGGCCACCTTCAAATGTCACCTATTCCTTCTGTGGATATCCAGAAAGGATGTCCCCACACCTCCCCAATTCTGCAGGCATCCAGCCCGAAAGGGAGGCTGAAAAAGACAGACAATCATGGGAAGAGGGGAGCTCTAATGGACTCTCTACTTACGCTGCACAAACAAGCTCGGACAGAAACTCCTCCTCCTTTGTTCTTTAGGACCCAGCAATGCTTCAGCCCCTGCCACCCTGCATTAAGCAATCTTTCAACTCTCTGTCCTTCTTTATCTAATAAGTGGGGCCACTGGGTGAAAGTTGGCACTCCCGTGGTACCTTAGCATGCCTTCCACTTTTCTCCTGGTTGTTATGTAGGATATGATACCATTCGCTTAATCTATTGTTGCTGGACCAAGACAGGGCTATTTAAGTCACACTCTTGTTGTTGAAAAGTCTAGCAAAGCTCATATCCTTTGAGTATAACAGGAGCCAAATATTCCAAGATTCTATAAGATATTTGTAAGCAAAAAGACAGAGGGGACCAGTGAGAAAAAGTATTGCCAAATTGGAGATGAAAGTCCTCTGATATCCCACCACCACAACCCCTTTCCTGCCCCCATTTGTCACTCTGTACTGGGAAATGTCACAGTATGAGGAGGTGGCTGATGTTAGGAGAGATTGTGCAATACTTGGCAGTGGTTGTAAAATATTTCCGGGGGGAGGAATTTCTTGCATTCTATATAAGTCTAGGGAAGAATCATTCCCCTTTAGACTTGAGGCTTCACATTGCCTCTCTCCATGTGACTGGCTCTTTGGCCCCACTGGGATAATAACATTTTCCAACTTACTGCAAGCTAGAGGGTCGTTGTCATCTTTAAGCTAACCCAGGGTGCCAGGGGCCACCGTGACTGAAAGGTGTCCTAGTCTAGCTATACCTTTATTGAAGGAAACTCTAGTTTGGGCCAGCAGTTCTCAACTGTGGACAATTTTGCTCCCCAACCCCTACCCTGGGGACATTTGGTAATGTTTGGAGAAATTTTTACTTGTTGCTATTAGGCAGGGGTTGCACTGGCATCTAGTGGGTAGATGCTAGGGATGCCACAAAACATCCTATAATGCACAGAACAGCTCCCACAACAAAGAAGTATCCAGCCCCAGATGTCCATAGGTTGAGAGTTTAAGAAGCCCTGAACTGGACCCTTCATACACAATGTGGAAACACCTCTTTGAGTTGCACTAAACTCACTCCAGCAGCATGGGTCATGCCTTGGCATTGAACACTTGCTAGTGGGCTGGTTTTCCCTCTAGCAATGGGCTCACCCAACTCTCTGCCTGCAACCCCGCCCCCTCAGGAAGAGCATTCTTGTGGCTAAGATGAAAGACTCATGCCGCAGGCCCCTATGCCAACTAGCCACTTGATTGCTTTTAATTAATTCTGCTTGATTACAGCACATGGGAGTCACATCGGACAGATAAGACAGGCTCTTTATATTCCATCTTCATTAAAAAGTTTGGATCTGGAAGTTTTTTCAAAGAGCTATGTGTCTCCTTTACTTTTGTGTCATTTTTAATTGAGGAGGGCACAGGGAGATGTGCTGAGCTGTGCTGAATGGAGACTTTGCAAATGCAAGATGGGGTGTCTGAGGCCCCTTCTGGGGGAAAAGGCAGCTAGACTGAGACCCAGTAATCTGAAGGAGATAGTCAGGACAGAGCCAGTCCACTGTGTCTGAAAGAGGTGTAGGGAGAGGAAGGGAACCACCAGCATCTCTTTTATTCCATTACCAATAGTGCATTAGCCCAGATCTACAGAACAACACGGTGCAGATTCTTTGCCAGGTGTGGATTCTAGGGTAGGAGCTTGAAGATTGTTCCATGGTAATAAGAGGAGAGGGAAAGGGAGGATGGATTACCACTAATTATCTGTAGCCTTCTTCTCTAGCTACAGGACCATACCCTCCTTGGGGACACCTTGCCCAACTTCTCCATGCAGATTTGATCACTCCTGCCTCTCTACCCCTACAGTGCATGGTTCATCTTTCCAGCAAAGCATCGTGTTGTATTAGTTATCTATTGCTGTGCAACAAATCACCGCAAAACTTAGTGTCTTAACACAACAAATATTTATTATCTCACAGTTTCTGTGTGTCAGGAATTCAGGTGTGACTTAGCTCAGAGCATCTGGCTCAAAGTCCCTCATGATGATGTAATCAAGGAGGGTAGGATCCACTTCCAAGCTCATTCACATGGCTGTTGGCGGGCCTCATGTCCTCACTATCACCTGGAGATATCAGTTTCTTGCCATATGGGCCTCTCCACATAAGAACTCACAACATGGCCACAGGCTTCCAACAAAACAAATGAGCCAGCGAGTAAGAGGGCAGCCCAGAACAGAAGCCAGAGAGTCTTTTTGTAACCTAATCTTGGAAGAGACATCTCACCACTTTCACAGTATTCTATTTGTTAGAAAACATTTGCTAGGTCCAGCTTACATGCAAGGGAAGGAAAACACACCAGGGCATGAATGCCAAGAGGTGGGGGCTACTGGGGGCTATCTTGGCGGCAACCTACCATACCTGTTGCATTGTAATAATCTGCCTCTTCTTCTAGAAAAGTCATTCCTTGAACTTGAGACCCCTGTTCATTTACCTCTTAACCTCTAACACCTGCCCCAGGGTCTGGGACATGCTGGGCACTCAAGAGGTGTTTGGTAGAATGAACAAACGCATAAATGCATGCATGCATGTATGAATGAATTAATGAATGAATGCATGAGTGAATGAAGTAATCATTTCTTAAACCTTAATTAGACTTGTCAAACCAGTCTTCAACAAAGAAAACATGTTTATCTCCAGAACTGCTGTGTCAGGAGCAAATATATCCAGATCATCTAAAAATTCAATTAGGTTATTAAGACATAAATTCAAAATAACAGCATGCGATCATATTTTATTCCATTTAACATGGGCCCATTACTATCCTCTCCTATTATAGTTTGGTCTGAGTCCATTTTTAAATATTTTCTCTGTGGAGACTAATGACTGGTAGTAAATCAATAATGCTGAAAAATAAAGCTTTTCATTATTTTAAACTGCATTCAGGTGACACTAAACAGTACAGTGATGATCAGGAGTGAAGCAGTTTTGTCTAAACCTAGTTAAATTTCATGCAAGATCAATCAAAAGAGGAGCCTGGAACTCAGGAGCAGAGGTTTAAGAGTGACCAGGAAATCCTAGAGCCTGAGGACCCAGCACACAAGCTGGGATGAGTCAAGGGCTGGAAGGTGAGCCCAGCTGAAGCTGATTGAAATAAATCAATCCATGTCAGTGTTGCCCCCAGGATCAAGACAAGCGTTAACAGGTAGTCAACAAATGAACAGTTGTCCAAGCAAGTTCAGCCACAAGAAAGTTTAGGAGACAATAGGTGTTTCTGCAGGTGAGTGAAATAGGCAGATGCAAAGAACATGGCAGGGAGTGAGGAAGCATAAGGTCCCAGGGCCCTGGGCTCACAGACAGAGCATCTCAAACGCACAGGAGTGGTCTGAGCCAAGTAAGGTCCCAAATTAGGAGGACTAAAGTACAAGGTCAGAGCATAAGGTGGGGAGGGAGGGACTGCAAAATTAGCCCCAGATATCAGGGGTACAAAGTTAGAACTTGGTTTCAGGATTAAGCAGGCTTCTATTCAAGATTGGACTGAGTCCTCGAGGTGCTAAATCTTAAAAAGAGGCTCCTTCAAATTCCCTTTCCCCAGAACTGAATTGGGCCCAGAGCCTGGAGATGACTGGAATGGGGACACTGGGTTCTAGGGAAAGAGCAAGGAACCTGAACCTTCCTATCCATCCTACCCCCAACTCCTGAAGGAGAGGTGCACTCTCCAGTACTCAAGTTCAGGGCCAGCATATTGGACCATGGTCTCACTGAATAGGATTCCAAAAGGGTCCAGCAAACATGGGTGTGGTCATTTTATGGATGTTCCGTCTTATCCCATGAGATTAGGTAAGAGAGCTCAAAGGAACTTTCTGGGAGTAAAAAATCTTGGTGGTTGATCTAAGCCAGCCCAGCTCTAAGCATCGAGGTAAAACCTCTTGGCCCTTCTTCTGGTTCTATTAACAAACATTGAAGCTTTGGGCTAATCTGTTCTCCCACTGAAATGGTACAAATTGAGACTTGGTTCCAAGCTTTTAGGGTGGAAGAAGATGAAACAGATCAAAACATTTTAGGCCATGGATGACCACACAGGTAACGCAAATATGGCCCCTCGTAACCAAGGCTGCTGATTCATGCACCACATTGAGTTCTGTGTATAGAACACCCCCAGGTTGTCTTGGGTTCCTAGCCTACAATCATGACATGAACATATCTCAGCTACACCCCAATATTACTTCCAGGAGTCAGTTAGACCAAACCTGCATTCCCAGGAATCAAGATGGGAGAGGAGGGCTCTGGGGTTCAGAGTCAACCGGGCCATTGCAGTTTCAATGGAGAGACCTGCACAGGCAGTTTATGGAGAAAACCAATGGTGTAGAAACCAGCATGACCATAATTTGCTGTAGATAAAGGGTGAGGCTTTTAGAAGATGGGAGAAACCACATATTGAATTCATCCTAAGGGAACTACTTCCAAGGAGTTAATCAGGATAAATCGTTCAGTGTGGGTTATTTCTTTATTTATTTAACAACGCTTTATTGATGCCTACCTGCAGTGTGGCAGGCACTGTGGGGAATACAAACATGCTGAAGGTATGGTCTCTGGCCTCAGAGGAGCTTGTAATCTGGTGGGTGAGACAGATGCCTACAGAGTTAACACAAGAGACGAAGGAAGTAGGGGAAGGGTTGAGCATGCAACTAGTCAGCCTCCAAGTTCCAGTTAGAACCCTTAGGCTCAGATGTCAGGCACCGATTTAGAATTCCAATGCCGTGGCAGAGTTGGAAAAGCCCTCCCAGGTCTGGGGGTAAAGGAGCATCCTTATGGACAGCTGGAAGGCAAAGTGACCCGTGGGTCCAATCTAAATCTGAGCATTCCTGGTAGTTATTCTAAGTCTTGTTGGCTGGTTGTGTACACTGTGGCTAAGCCTCATGTTAAACAAGAGGTGCTGGCTGTGGGTGAGCTGAATTATTGGACTGTCTCAAAAACTGAATATGGGGTAGACGTGCAGGAATGGGGAGCAAGGAAAAAGATATTTGACATGCATTCAAAAATATTTCCTGTTTTGCAAGATGAAAGAGCATTCTGGAAATTGGAGGGTGGTGCTGGTCGCACAAAAATGAATATATTTAATACCACTGAACCATACACTTAAGATGATACATTTTGTTCTGTGTATTTTACTACAATTTTTAAAAGTTGAAAAAAAATCTTTTTTTTTGAGACAGATTCTCTCTCTCTGTTGTGCAGGCTGGAGTGCAGTGGCACAATCTAGGCTCACTGCAACCTCAGCCTCCCGAGTAGCTAGGACTACAGGCATGTGCCAGCATACCCGGCTAATTTTTGTATTTTTAGTAGAGATGAGATTTTGCCATATTGGCCAGACTGGTCTCCAACTCCTGGCCTCAAGTTATCTGCCCACCTCGGCCTCCTAAAGTGCTAGGGTTTACAGGCATGAGCCCCCACACCCAGCCTGAAAAAAAATTCTTGAATTAACTAATACGTACCAAGCATTATGTTATATGCTAGCCCAGACAAAAATGTGAATAAGACAGAATCTTTGCCCTTCAGATGCTCACAGTTTGAGAGGGAAAGGCAAGAAATAAGTAAATTTCAGCTCAGACATCACCTCTCCCAGGAAGCCTTCCCTGATCCTCTCAGTTTGAGTTAGGGCTGCTTCAAGCTCCACCTTAACAGTCTGTGCTTGTTTGTTTCATAATTATCTTCATTTATTTAACAAACATTTATTAAGCCAGGCATTAGGGATATAAAACCAAATGAGGCTTTCAGTGTGAAGGAGGAAACAAATATACAGATGAACGAGTGCAAAAAAAAAAAAAAAATCATGACTGGGTACAGTGACTCACGCCTGTAATCCCAGCAGTTTGGGAGGCCAAGACAGGCAGATCACTTGAGGTCAGGAGTTCAAGACCAACCAGACCAACATGGCAAAACCATGTGTCTACTAAAAATACAAAAATTAGCCAGGCATGATGGGGCATGCCTGTAGTCCCAGCTACCCAGGAGGCTGAGGCAGAAGAATTGCTTGAAGTCAGAGACTGCAGTGAGCCAAGACCACATCACTGAACCCCAGCCTGGACAACAGAGTGAGATTCCATCTAAAAAATAAAATTAAAAAAAAAAAATCACTACTGCAACTCTCTGACCCCAAGGCTGAGCTTCTGAAGATTGGGTCCAGTAAATCTTGCTGAATGAATGAATGAAAAGGTGGATGTATGAATAAATGAGTGCTGTGGTGTAGATGAATGAGTTACAAACTATATGACCATGCATTTGAACAGAGGCCATTTAAACTGGGTTTCAAAAGTAGAATAGGAGTCTGCAGGGAGAAAGCAAATGTACCTCAGACAAGGGCATGGCTGTGGGAAGAAGCGTGCAGATGGGGGAGCTGTGGAGAGTTTGGTACTGAGGAATCTGGCAAAGAAGCAGAGGGAACCAGGTCTGGAAGGGCCACGTGGGTTCTAATGAGTTTGCAGTTTGCTGTGATGATGATTAAAAGCTACAAAAGGTTTATAAGATGAAGAATGTGGCTTTTTTTTTTTTTTTTTTGAGACAGAGTCTCACTCTATCACCCGGGCTGGAGTGCAGTGGCACGATCCTGGCTCACTGCAACCTTCACTTCCCGGGTTCAAGTGATTCTCCTGCCTCAGCCTCCTGAGTAGCTGGGACTATAGGTGCACGCCACCACACCCAGCTGATTTTTGTATTTTTAGTAGAGACGGGGTTTCACCACATTGGTCAGGCTAGTCTTGTACTCCTGATCTCGTGATCCGCCCACCTCAGCCTTCCAAAGTGCTGGGATTACAGGTGTGAGCCACCGTGCCAGGCCCTAACTTTTTATTTCAGCTTGCTCATTCTGCCATGGGTTGGAGGAAGTGCAATTGAGTCTGTAGAGGATGGTCCAAAGGGCCAGGTAAGAGATGATCTTTACTTATGTGGCAGAAACAGACAGAGAAAGACACTGAAATTAAGAAATACTTAGGAAGTATGGCAGACAGGATTTGGCAACAAATTGGCCTGGAAGGTGCATTCATTTATTCAACAAATATTTATGGAACCTTGACTGTGTATGAGGCACCATTCTAGACACTGAACAAGAGAGCCAATGTCTCCACGCCCATGAAACTTACACTGGGGGAGGGTGGAGGTTACATAAATAAACAAGCAAACAAAAATAAACATGATAAGAATGTGCCATGCCATGAAGTTGGGCAAGTTGTTTAATTTTTCTGTGGCTCAATTTCCTCATCTGTTAACTGGGGACATTAGTAGAACCCCCCTCATAGGGTGGTTGTAAGGGTTTAATGAGTTAATGTATGTTCAGAGCTTAGAACAACGCCTGTCCCATAGTAAGCACTCTGTAAGTATTAGCTATTATAACAAGAAAAACAACATATTAAAATGCACGGAGGTACTTCCATCCTAGAGCTAGGGAAAGGTGACTTTGGTTAGCAGGTGAAGGAAGGATTCTCTGGGTTGCTTACTCTTGAGCTGGAACTAAAAAATGGATAGAATAACCAAAAATGCAAAGTTCTAGGAAAAAGTGCTCCAGACAAGGGAAAGATCCTGAGGCTGGAATTAGGAGCATCCAAAAAATAGAGAGTCAGCATGGCCAGAGTGCAGTGAACAAAGACAGGGCTGAGAAATAAAACCAGAGGCGGGCCAAGGATAGATCCTGAGGGGCCTGCTGCAATAGTGGTGGGAAGGAAGCTGTTGGATGGCTTTACATAAAACAGTGATCTCCTTTGATTTCCATCTTTAAAACATCACTCCATAGGCTTACAGTAGGATGCAAAATATGGCTACTATTCTCTCCAATTCCTGTGAGCTCACCCCTTTGCCATGTGGTACAGCTGCTCCCCCATCAAGAGAAGGAGTCTATTTCTCTATCCACTTGGTTCTGAGCTGGCCTTAGGAAATTCCTTTGATCAAGA
The DNA here is from genome assembly GCF_000001405.40 of Homo sapiens. NCBI lineage: Eukaryota > Metazoa > Chordata > Mammalia > Primates > Hominidae > Homo > Homo sapiens. Next base: position 34,625,336 of record NC_000001.11, read on the forward strand.
GAAGGCAGCAGAAGTTATTTGGGGAGCTCAAAAGCCAGATCTCAAGTACAACACTGCACAGCTTCCACTCTTAGCCTCCTGCTGCCATGTATATTAATCATATTTTTTACTTTGTTTTATAATGTTTTGACATCTTTGGGGAGCTTTGCTGGCTGGGGAGAGACTACCCCTCTCTAGCTAATTCCTAGAGACAGTGAACAGCTTGTCGGTGAGCATGCCTCTCATATACAGACCAACCAACCCACATGCATGCCCCCAGCCACCTCCTTCCTCCAACTCTCACACATGAGGCAATCCCCTGCCCTAAATCAACCTAGGACCAAGTACCAGACAGCAAGCAACAGCCCTAATGCTCCAAAGCCCACTGGAATTATTCAAACTAGCCAATCCTAAACCGTTTGCCCTGCCCTGCCTTGCCTTCCTGCGGAAACCCAATAGAGGGCATGGCTTCCACTCCCTCCTTTCTGCCTCCTGACCACCACTGACGCTTCCCTCTGTGGCCCCGTGTGGCAAGCTGTTCCGTGCCTCTTATTTCTAGGGGAACTGGGAGTAACATTCAACTTTTCTTTCAATGGCACTGACTCATGTCATCACCTAGTCACCTTTATAATGTAAGACCCAAGCACAAATTGCCCTTTGAAGGAACTCAGGCTAGCCCACTGGAAGATGGGACCACAAAAAGCAGAGACAAACTGTCCCAGCTGAAGGTCCCTGGACCACCCAGCCCCGGCTGATTTGTCACTGACTGCAGCTCAGTGAGTGACCCCCAGAGAGACCCACAGAAAACCCACTGTGTGTCCAGGGTTCTGGGGTGGTCCTAGGTGACCAGCTTCCCCAGGGGTGACTTCTCCCTTTCGATCCAATTCACATCAAAGATGAGTCTCAGGCCTGGCACAGTGGCTCACAGTGCTCACTCCCAGCACTGTGGGAGGCCAAGGCGGGCGGATCACTTGAGGTCAGGAGTTTGTGACTAGCCTGGCCAACATAGTGAAACCCCACCTCTACTAAAAAATACAAAAATTAGCCAGGAGTGGTGGTGATGCATGCCTGCAATCCCAGCTACTTGGGAGGCTGAGGCAGGAGAATTGCTTGAACCCTGGAGGTAGAGGTTGCAGTGAGCCAAGTCGCACCACTGCACTCCTCCCTGGGTGACAGAGTGAGACTCTGTCTTAAAAAAAAAAAAAAAAAGTGAGCCTTAAACACCATGTGATGCCTAAGCAGTTTATTCTGGCCCTGCTCCAGTGAGACAGAAAGCGGGAGCAGCCCAGTGGTGGCATGAGCCAGATACAGTCAGAGGGTCAGACGATCAACTGACCAGGAGGATGGATGTCAGTGCAGAAACCATTCTCAGAATCTGGGGGATTCTTTCCCCTTTCTTATACCTGCCTATTAAACATCCAAATGGAAATGTTGAGCTCTAAGTTGGACATTCACACTGGAGCTCCAGGGAGATGTCTAGGCGGGAGACATAAAGCTGTGAGTCATTCAACTTATAGAAGATGTTGAAAGCTGTGGGTCTTAGGAGATCACCTATAAAAACATGGAAAGAGGAGAAAAAGAGGATCCAGAATCCACATGGGCTAGACATTGTGCAGAGGAGGAGGAGAGGGCAAGGAGGGCAAGTAGAATAGAAGTAGCAGTGAGGGAGGCCAGGGGGAAAGAATAATGCGTTTGCAGGATAAATGGGTCAGAAGAGAAAGGACTGTTACATCGGGCAAGGTATAGGTCATTGCTGGCCATGATAAGAGCAGTTTCAGTGGCATTGTGAAGACAAGGGCCAAGTTCTGGTATGTAGAGGGGAGAGTGAGAGATGTGGAAGTAAAGGCAGTGGATTCAAGCAAGTCCTTTGAGAAGTTTTATTGTGAAGGACACATAAAAAATGAACAACACTAGGGTGGGGCATGGGGTCAAGGGAAGGAACTTTTGTTTTACACTTTTATGATTGTGAAATGTAGCAGACATTCAAAAGAATAGCTGTAGTACATATATGCCGTTCAAAGGAATTTTTCTTTTCTTCTTTTTTAAAGATGAGAGGTGCTACAGCATTTTGTATGCTAATGGGATGATCCAGTTGAGACAGGAGAAACTGATGATGCAGGAAAGAGAAAGGATATTTACAGGAACAAAGTCCTTGAGAAGGGGAGAAAGAACAGGATCCAGGGCCCGAGTGGAGGGGTCGGCCTCTGTTAAGAGTAGGGACACGTCTTTCATTGTCATAGAAGGAGGTTTGTCAATTTCTTGATGGAAAGACACAGGAGTTCCTGTCTGATTGCTTCTAAGGCTCAGTGAAGTATAAGGCAAGGTCATCAGCTGACAGTGAGGGAGGGAGGGGCAGTGTTTGAGCAGAGAGAGACTGCCCGCCCTCTCAGAGTGGGGAAGGGGAGGTAGGAAGGAAAGGTTATGGCATTGCTGGGCAGCGTCAGATGCCCATCTGAGGTTTGTGGTCACAGATTCAAAGTGAGATCAGTCAGCAGGGTTACAAGGGTTTCTCCAGCAATACTCAGAGGCCTGGGTGCAGATTCCAGGAAGACCAATAGATAGGGTTAGCCAGGACAGAGGTTTTGCTGGAAGAGAGTTAAGGACATTTGTAAGGAAATGATTACAATCCATATGATATAGTTTGGCTCTGCGTCCCCACCCAAATCTCATCTCGAATGGTAATTGCCACGTTTGAGGGAGGGACCTGGTGGGAGGATCATGTGGGCGGTTTCCTCCACGCTGTTCTCATGATAGGGAGGGAGTTCTCATGAGATCTGATGGTTTATAAGCAGTGATTTCCCCTGTGAGTTATCTCTCTCCTGCTGCCATGCAAGATGTGCCTTGCTTCCCCTTTGCCTTCCACCATGATTGTAAGTTTACAAAGAACTCCCCAGCCATGTGGAACTGTGAGCCAATTAAAGCTCTTTCCTTTATAAATTACCCAGTCTCAGTGATTCTTTATAGCAGTGTGAGAATAGACTAATACACCATGCTTAGCTGGTTAAGGAAGGGGGAGATGACATGGTGGGAGGGGGTCAAGAAAGACTGAAGGCAGCTCCCAGGTTTTTGCCACCCACCTACAGGCACCATTTGCCAAGATGCCATTCCCATATAGGAGGAAGTCCAGGTTTGGGAGGAGGACTCTGAGTGGAGATGTTGATAGGTGTGTCTGTGGGGATGCAGGTAGACAGATATCACTCCCACCTTGCTGGACCCTCTGGCCTTCCCTTGTCCCCTAGCTGAAAAGGTGAAAGACAACCTCATTGGCCCCAGTGCCCAGTGTCCCGCACAGGCAACTGCAACCTCCCTCTTTCTTTAGGAATCTGTCAGGGCCTGTTTGCTGGTCTTTTCAGTTTAATACATTTTAATCAGAAAATTAATCAGGAAACACCAGTTCAGCAGATAATTGAACAATGAGGCGACATGATAATTGCTGTTTAGTCTAATTAACTTTGTTAAGTCTTTATTGGCAACAGACTTCCTGAATGAAACTTATTAAATGTCCTTCCCTGGAAAACTCAGTTCCTATTCAAAGGAAAAGTTGTAGGGTCTGTCTGTCTGTCTGCATTGTTTCCAGAAAAAGGATATTGGCCCTGCAGCAGTCCTGTGGGCCACGGAGATTTGTCAACCTTCCTTTTGGCCCTGCCCAGCTTCCTTTTCTCTAGAACTGCACGCATCCCAGCTCAGGGGCACAGGACTCACCGTCTCAGCCAGTCCTGAGAGCCACTGCACTAGGCCACCTCTTTTTCCAAACCACGTGACTTGCAGCCCATTAGTCTTGTTCTCCTCTTATGGTTTGGGGATCTTCTTGAATAGGGCCATTCAGAGTCCTGGAGCGGGCACTAAGCCCCCTCCAGGGGAAGGGACCATCTGTGAAAATCACCTACAGGTATGAGTTGGCACACATTATGTACCAAGAGGCATCTGGCCCCAAGTTGTGTAAAAGCAGGCTATCGACCTGAATTATCCAATAAAGAGCTGCTTGATCGGGGCAGGCCCTTTGCAAAGGTGATGCCGACTTCAATGGCTCCAAAGGTGTGCAAAGTGTTTGGTTCATGCACTAAATGTTTTTCTCCTTAGAGTCTCTTCTTGCTCTTTTCTCTGTGATCATTTCTTATCTAGGTCCTCTCAGAGGGGACTTGCTTCTAATCTGCTTCCTCACTACACACAGCTAGTTCCCTTCTGTGGGAACACACAGCTCCAAATTCCCCTGTGGAGATCATTCCTGGTACTAGCACCAGTAGACACAGAAGGGGCATCTAGCTCATGGAAGCCCCAGAGATTTTACTGAATGACCCATCATGGGATCTAGAAGACAGATGTTGCCTGCTGAGTTCAAAAGTGGACATTCAGAATATGCTTGGTGGAAAGAGAAACACCAGCTTCTGCCATTGCAACTTTGCACAATTACCTTTGGTTTCAAGTCCCTCTGGGCACCACAACAGCAATTACCAAGAGGGCCACCTGCCATCGTAACCATTGCCCCTTTTTCAGGGATACTTGTCCTGGGAGTCCCCTCCTACCTCCTTATTGTGAACTCTTGACATCTAGGATTTTCAGCACCTGCTCCTAAGTACCAAAGGGTTCGGTTATCCTGGACAAGTGGTATTATTTTAGTGTGCTCTGTCCTGTCCAATATCAATAGGCCAAACCGATATTAAATTTACACAGATCCCAAATGTCAACTGGTGGCAGAGGTGACAGTGAACTATTCTAAGATGAAAGGAAGTACAGATCATTACCAGGTGGTTTTGGCTTAACGGGCAAAGAAATGAAGAGTGACAAGTGGCTGTTTTTGCATACTCCATGAAACCATCTCCTCATTGCTGGAAATGTACCCCTCAACCTGTCCTCCAGCTAATTCTGAGAGTTTTCAAGGGTACGGCCTTGAATGCTCCAGAATGAGCCCCTTGGCTGGTCTGCTTGCTGCTGCTGTGGGCTCTGGTGAGGTCACCAGGTGATATGGTTTGGCTGTGTCCCAACTCAAATCTCATCTTGAATTGTAGCTCCCATAATTCCCATGTGTCTTGGGAGGGACCCAGTGGAAGGCAATTGAATCATGGGAGCAGGTCTTTCCAGTGCTGTTCTCATGATAGTGGATAAGTTTCACAACATCTGATGGTTTTATAAAGAGGAGTTACCCTGCACAAGCTCTCTTGCCTCCTGCCATGTAAGACGTGACTTTGTTCCTCATTCACCTTCTGCCATGATTGTGAGGCCTCCAAGCCACGTAGAAATGTGAGTCAATTAAACCTCTTTCCTTTATAAATTACCCAGTCTTGGGTATGTCTTTATTAGCAGTGTGAGAATAGACTAATACACCAGGCTACTGAGCCTAGCTGTCCTCTCCTGATCCACCACTGACATCCACTTCTGAGGCCCTCAATCGAAACTGGCTGTTCCTTCTAAACCCCAGATTATTATCTTCCCCAATCCACCACCCCCCAATCCCAAACTGAAGGTTTAGGACTCAAGAAAGGGAAGCACAACAGAAAGAATAATTTAGAACTGCTACTAGAAGAGGCCACTCTTTGAACCCACAGACCCAACTCCAACTTTAAAACCTCTTACTGGACTGGTTCCCTCCCTGGCTGCTGGCCAGCCTTCCCACTCTGGAGTCCAGACCTGCCTCCCAAATCCTCACATCCTATCCCCAAATGGGAACCCCTACTGAAACTGACCCCCACCCACCCACAAGGGAGACATCTGGCATCAAGTCCATAACAAGGCAGCCCCACAAGAATCCCCCGGTACACTTCCCAGAGTCTGGCTCTCCAAGATTACAACTAGGAACAACTGCCGCAGAAAAATCTCACCAACTAGATACAAATGTGGCAATTTACAGGCCTGGGGCAGTCTCGATCCAGAATTAGAAAGGAAACATTTCTCTAAAGGAAACATAATTTGCAGAGGCCTGATTCCGCTAAAATACCCACCTGATTTCCATTACTAAGCAGTACACCTAACATCTCAGTCTGAAGCAATGGCATTTAGGTCTTGGAGAACCAGGGAAAGCACTTGCTTCTCATTTACATAACTACAAGGGCCCACTCAAGAGGTTCTGCCAAGAACAAAGGGACAGTCTGCCCTAAAGGTAAATTTCAGTCTCCACCCTTAAAGACAGAAACTGCTCAAAATTTTTACAATACTGCTCAAAATTTTTTCAGCTACAAAAATTGTAAGGTCTGAGTCTCTACCAGGCATCCTATTACATAAGGAGTAGAAGGAGGACGATAAATGTGACGGCAGGGATGATGCTGTATTTATCTCCTGCCCTGGCTAATGCCCAGCTCAAGACTCTCTGCATATCTAATAGGTCCTCAACAAATCGTTGTTGAATGAGATGGCATAAACTGGAACAAGTGTGAGATCCTGTGTGGGGCAGCTGGAGATAAAAAACAGAGAGGCACTGCAGGCCCATCTATGCAAACTATTAATAGAAATTGCCGGTGGAGGTCTGGATGCTATAGGTTTAGAGAGGCCAAGTTCCTCCAGCAAGGCTGTGAAGTCAAGCCTTTGGCCCTGATTACAACCCCAGCTGAGGGCACATGGCTCTGGGCCAGTGGAGTTTGGCTGTGACTTGTATAATAATAATACTAATAGCCTACGTGGCACTGTATGTATCAGCACATTTAATCATCACTTTCATGTGCGTCCGTGTGAAGAGACAACCAAACAGGCTTCATGTGAGCAATAAAGCTGTTTATTTCACCTGGGTACAGGTGGGCTGAGTCCGAAAAGAGAGTCAGCCAAGGGTGGTGGATTATCATTAGTTCTTATAGGTTTTGGGATAGGCAGTGAAGTTAAGAGCAATGTTTTGCGGGCAGGGGTGGATCTCATAAAGTACATTCTCAAGGGTGGGGAGAATTACAAAGAATCTTCTTAAGGGTGGGGGAGATTACAAAGTACATTGATCAGTTAGGATGGGGCAGGAATAAATCACAATGGTGGAATGTCATCAGTTAAGGCTATTTTTACTTCTTTTGTGGATCTTCAGTTACTTCAGGCCATCTGGATGTATACGTGCAAGTCACAGGGGATGCGATGGCTTGGCTTGGGCTCAGAGGCCTGACATTCCTGCCTTCTTATATTAATAAGAAAAATAAAATAAAATCGTGTTGAAGTCTCGGGGCAGCGAAAATTTTTGGGGATGGTATGGAGAGAGAATGGGCGATGTTTCTCAGGGCTGCTTTGAGTGGGATTAGGGGCGGTGTGGGAACCTAGATCGGGAGAGATTAAGCTGAAGGGAGATCTTGTGGTAAGGGGTGATATTGTGGGGTTGTTAGAAGAAACATTTGTCGTGTAGAATTATTGGTGATGGCCTGGATACGGTTTTGTATGAATTGAAAAACTAGATGGAATAAGAAAAGGAGAAAAACAGGTACAAAAGGTCTAAGAATTGGGAGAACCTAGGACGTCTAATTAGAGAGTGCCTAAGGAGATTCAACATAGTCCTGCCAGCAAAGATTATTTATTTACTTCAAGAGTTAAGAGTGGCAGTTTGGGGATAGCACGAGGAGATATCAGCTGTGATGGCTTGGAGAAACAGTATAAACCAGCAGTGTAAACAAGAGCAGGGCATGTATGAGTAGTTGAGAACGGTGAATAGGAGTATGACTAGACAGAAGATAGTAGGGATGACAAGTTTTTTGGGGGCACAGTCTAAGTTGCTCTGGTGTCTGGAAGGAGACCAGGGCCTAATAAAAAGGAGCATTTATACAGGAGCTTAAATGAGCTGTACCTTGTAGCATTCTGAGGACAGGTCTGACTTCTGAGAAGGGAAAGTGGTAAAAGTATTGTCCAGTCCTTTTTAAGTTGGTGGCTGAGCTTGGTGAGGTGTGTTTTTAAAAGACCTTTAGTCCGTTCTACTTTTCTTGAAGACAGAGGACCGTAAGGGATATAAAGTTTTCACTGAATATTCAGAGCCTGAAAAACTGCTTGGCTGATTTGACTAATAAAGGCTGGTCTGTTAATCAGACTGTAGAGAGGTGGGAAAGCTAAACTGAGGAATTATGTCTGACAGAGGGGAAGAAATGACTGCATGGCCTTCTCAGACCCTATAGGAAAGGCCTCTACTTATCTAGTGAAAGTGTCTACTTAGACTAAGAGGTATTTTAGTTATCTGACTCGGGGCATGTTGAGTAAAGCTAATTTGCCAGTCCTGGGTGGGGGCAAATCTTCAAGCTTGATGTGTAGGGAAGGGAGGGGGCCTGAATAATCCCTAAGGAGTAGTAGAATAGCAGATGGAACACTGAGAAGTTATTTCCTTGAGGATAGATTTCCACAATGGAAAGGAAATGAGAGGTTCTAAGAGGCGGGCTAGTGGCTTGTGCTATAGCATAGCCTGCCTTTGCTGGTGTGTGGCGATTAGGCCTGGTGGAACTGCCATTAATAAATCAAGCGTGATCAGGGTGAGGAACAGGAAGGAAGGAAATATGGGGAAATGGAGTGAATGTCAGGTGGATCAGAGAGATACAGTCATGGGGGTCAGGTGTGGGATCAGGAATAATGTGGGAGGCCGGATTGAAGTCCGGGCCAGGAACAATGGTAATTGTGGGACTTAACAAAGAGTGAGTACAGCTGAAGGAGCCGGGGAGCAGAAAGTATATGCATCAGGTATGAGAAAGAAAATAGATTTTGGAAGTTATGAGAAATGTAGAGAGTGAGTTGAGCATAGTCTGTGATTTTTAGGGCCTCTAAAAGTATTAAAGCAGCGGCAGCTGCTGCACGCAGACATGAGAGCTAGGCTAAAACAGTAAGGTCAAGTTGTTTGGACAGAAAGGCTACAGGGTGCGGTCCTGGCTCTTGTGTAAGAATTCTGACCGCACTAACCATGCCTAGGAAGGAAAGGAGTTGTTGTTTTGTAAGGGATTAAGGTTTGGAAGATTAATCGGACACGATCAGCAGGGAGAGCACATGTATTTTTATGAGAATTATGCCGAGATAGGTAACAGATGAGGATGTAATTTGGGCTTGACTGAAGTAATGGGGGCTGTCTGTGAAGCCTTGCGGCAGTACAGCCCAGGTAATTTGCTGAGCCTAATGGGTGTCAGGGTCAGTCTAAGTGAAAGCAAAGAGAGGCTGGGATGAAGGGTGCAAAAGAATAGTAAAGAAAGCATGTTTGAGATCCAGAACAGAATAATGGGTAGTAGAGGGAGGTATTGAGGATAGGAGAGCATATGGGTTTGGCATCACGGGGTGGATAGGCAAAACAATTTGGTTGATAAGGGGCAGATTCTGAACTAACCAGTAAGCCTTGTCTGGTTTTTGGACAGGTAAAATGGGGGAATGGTAAGGAGAGTTCATAGGCTTTAAAAGGCCATGTTTTAGCAGGCAAGTGATAACAGGCTTTAATCCTTTTAAATCGTGCTGTGGGATGGGATCTTGGCATTAAGTGGGGTAAGGGTGGTTAGGTTTTAATGAGATGGTAAGGGGTGCATGATCGGTCGCTAAGGAGGGAGTAGAAGTATCTTATACTTGTGGGTTAAGGTGGGGGAATACAAGAGGAGGACGCAAAGGAGGCTTTGGATTGGGAAGAAGGGCGGCAACGAGATGCAGCTATAGTCCAGGAATAGTCAGGGAAGCAGATAATTTGGTTAAAATATCTCGGCCTAATAAGGGAACTGGGCAGGTGGGGATAACTAAAAAAGAGTGCATAAAAGAGTATTGTCTAAGTTGGCACCAGAGTTGGGGAGTTTTAAGAGGTTTAGAAGCCTGGCTGTCAATACCCACAACAGTTATGGAGTCAAGGGAAACAGGCCCTTGAAAAGAAGGTAATGTGGAGTAGGTAGCTTCCGTATTGATTAAGAAGCGGACGGACTTACCCTCCACTGTGAGAGTTACCTAAAGCTCAGCGTCCGTGATGGTCTGTGGGGCTTCCGAGGCGATAGGGCAGCATCAGTCTTCAGCTGCTAAGCCAAGAAGATCTGGGAAGCAGTCAGTCAGAGAGCCTTGGGCCAGAGTTCCAGGGGCTCTGGGAGTGGCTGCCAGGTGAGTTGAACAGTCCGATTTTCAGTGGGGTCCCACACAGATGGGACGCAGCTTAGGAGGAATCCTGGGCTGCGGGCATTCCTTGGCCCAGTAGCCAGATTTCCGGCACGTGTAGCAAGCTCCTGGGGGAAGAGGTTCTGGAGGAACACCTGGCTGCTGCAGTTCAGGCGTTTGGAAGTTCTTGTGTGCTGGAGATGTGGCTGGGGTTTGTCTCACAGTGGAGGCAAGGAATTGCAACTTTTTTCTGTTATTGTACACCTTGAAGGTGAGGTGAATTAAGTCCTGTTGTGGGGTTTGAGGGCCAGATTCCAATTTTTGGAGTTTTATTTAATGTTGGGAGCAGATTGGGTAATAAAATGTATATTGAGAATAAGACGGCCTTTTGACCTTTTAGGGTCTAGAGCTGTAAAACATCTCAGGGTTGCTGCCGAACGAGCCATGAACTGGGCTGGGCTTTTTATGTTTGACGAAAAAGAGACTAAACGCTATCTGATTTGGGATAAAGAAAAAGGAGCATTAACCTTGACTATGCCTTTAGCTCCAGCCACCTTTTTAAGAGTAAATTGCTGGGCAGGTGGGGGAGGGCTAGTCACGGAACGAAACTGTAAGTCGGACCAGGTGTGAAGAGGGGAGGTGATAAAAAGATTATAGGGTGGAGGAGCGGAGGCTGAGGAAGAATTGGGACCTAGCTCGGCCTGGTGAGAAGGGGAGAGGTCAAAAGGGTCTGTAGAAAAGGAAGATTAGAAAGACTCAGCAATGCTTGGGGTTGGGACTGAGGGGACAGGTGGGAGGGAAAGAAGGAAGATTTGAGATGAGTTGCATTGGGAACAGAGACTAGAGAGGGACTGATGTGTAAAAGAATGCCTGGATGTCAGGCACCTCAGACCGTTTGCCTATTTTACGAGAATTATTTAGATCTTGCAGGATGGAAAAATTCAAAGTGCCATTTTCTGGCTATTTGGAACGACTGTCGAATTTGTATTGGAGTCAAGCGGCATTGCAGAAGAAAATAAGGCATTTAGATTTTAGGTCAGGTGAGAGTTGAAGAGGTTTTAAGTTCTTAAGAACACAGGCTAAGGGAGAAGGAGGAATGGAAGGTGGAAGCTTACCCATAGTGAAGGAGGCAAGCCCAGAGAAAACAGTAGAGACACGGAGAAGGGGTGGGGGTTTCTTGCCCTCCAGAAAAGCAGAGAAGGGGTCGGGGCACAGAGATACGAGGTCAGGGCGTGGAAATAAGGGATCGGGGCACAGAGATACGAGGTTGGGGTACTTGCCCTTCCCCCAGAAAAGCAGAGAAGGGATAGAGACACGGAGAGAAGGGGTTGGGGTACTTGCCCCTCCCCCAGAAAAGCGGGACTTGCTGCCAAGGGTGAAGGACCAAGGCAGGCGTCCCTGCATGGTCTGACACCTTTGTGATGGCTTGGCTTGGGCTCAGAGGCCTGACAATCACCACACCCCCATAAGAAAGGTACCATCACCACCTCTAATTAATAAATGGGAAAGTAAGGTACAGAAAGGTCAAGATAGTTGCCAAGATCATAAAGTTAAGACAGGGGTCAGTGAACTTTTTTCCATAATGAACCAAATAGTAATTATTTTCAGCTTTGCAGGCCATATGGTTGATCTCTGATGCAAATATACAACTCTGTCTTTGCAGCATGTAAGCAATCATAGACAATATATAAATGAATGGGTGTAATTGTCTAAATAAGACTTTATTTACAAAAATCAGGCAGTGAGCCAAATATCACCCACAGACTGAGTTTGCTGATCCATAAGCTAGCAGGCAAGGGATATTGGAGTCCAAATTCTTAGCCATTATCCATATCAATTGAAGAACCACAAGATTCACAAATTTGGAAAGAAGAGCTTTATTTCTTATAAGGGTTGCAGCCTGTGGGCTGGCCATCCCACAGGTGGGAAAATGTAGCCTCCAGTAGAAACCAAAAGCAAGCACTACAAGGGAGGTAAGGGTGGAAGAGTAATTTATGCAAAATGGGTTGGATAAGTATACACATTTAGTGGGTTACAGGAGGAGCTATGACTATTCATGATAGTGGGGCATATGCATGCATAATAAACAAACATACATGGTACATACATCCATGTTCACTTTGTCTATTAACCTATTCTCATGCTGCTAATAAAGACATACCAGAGACTGGGTAATTTATAAAGGAAAGAGGTTTAATTGACTCACACTTCCACATGGCTGGGGAAGCCTCACAATCATGGTGGAAGCTGAAGGAGGAGCAAAGTCATGTCTTACATGTCAGCAGGCAAGAGAGCATGTGCAGGGGAACTCCCCTTTATAAAACCATCAGATCTCATGAGACTTATTCACCATCATGAGAGCAATATGGGAAAAATCCACCCCCACGATTCAATTACCCCCCACTGGGTCCCTCCCATGACAGGTGGGGATTATTACAATTCAAGGTGAGATTTGGGTGGGGACAAAGAGCCAAACCATATCACTTTGGGTGGAGACTTAACTTTTAAATGCAGTAAAGTTAGGCTCTGTATGTCAAAAGGTCAAAGAAAGGATGCAGAAGCATCCTGTGCACAGCCTCTGTAAACCGGCCAGAACCAGCCCATGGTCAGCAGTCTCTATTTTTTTTTTTTTTTTTTTTTGTGACAGAGTTTCACTCTTGTCCCCCAGGCTAGAGTGCAGTGGTGTGATCTCGGCTCACTGCAGCTTCCGCCTACCAGGTTCTAGTGATTCTCCTGCCTCAGCCTCCTTAGTAGCTGGGATTACAGGCACATGCCACCACGCCAAGCTAATTTTTGTATTTTTAGTAGAGACAGGGTTTCACCATGTTGGTCAGGCTGGTCTCAAACTCCTGACCTCAGGTGATCCACACGCCTCGGCCTCCCAAAGTGTTGGGATTACAGACATGAGCCACCATGCCCAGCCCAGTCAGTGGTCTCTTATCAGGAAGGAATGCTAGTCGGTTGTGTCAGAACTGCAAAAAGGGAGGCATCTGACAAGTCTTTCACAAGAGCTGGTTTCTGTTTCACCTTTAGGAAAGAGTCTAATGGTAGTCAGTGAGGGAGGGGATATAACAAGTTGTGTTTGCCTCCCCATCCCATTCTGTCTTGGATGGGTACTCAGTTTTTACAATTTCTCTGAGGTTCCTTTGGCCAAGAGGGGGTCTGTTCACTTAGTTGTGGGGCTTCAAATTTTATTTTTATTTCTCAGCCACATCTTTCTCTAGAGACTAAGGTAAGGGAGTCCCAGAGGATGACCATCACAGAAGCAGGAGACAGGCTTCAGTTATCAGCCAGGACCTAGGCTCAGACCAGCCCCCTTCACATGTGGTCCACACACCCAGTGATCTAAACCTTTGTCACAACATTCCCAGTGATCGTTTTCCATCTTGGGGATGAGGATTGAATTCTCAGGTCGGGGAAAACAGAAAATAGAGATTAGGGTGGGAAAGCACAGGCGAGAAAGCTCTGGGGAACAGACAGGATATTGAAGCTGAAACAGAGCACATTTCAGAAGGGGGCTGGAGATTAGGGATAGGATTATGGCAAGGACAATAATAATAACGTATAGCTCACTTATTCTGTGCCCTACTAAGTGTTTTGCATGTCATCTTTCTCTGTCATGGGTTAAAATGTATGTCACCATTTCCCAAAATTCCCAGCACCCAGGCTGGGAATTGACTGGGGATCTGACTGTGACCTTACCTGGAGATAGATATGTCTTTACAGAGATAATCAAGTTAAAATGAGGTATTTAGGGTGGGCCCTAATCCAAGATGATTAGGGTCCTTAGAAAAAGGGGAAATTTGGAGACAGACGTGCATATCAAGGGAATGCCACATGGCATGAACATAGCCATCTACAGACAAAAGAGAGGGGCCCAGAACACATCCTCCCTCACAGCCCTCCAAGGACACCCCCCTGCCAACACCTTGATCTCAAACTTCCAGCCTCCAGAACTGTGAGACACTAAAATCCTGTTTTTTTAAAAGCATAGTTTATAATACTTTGTTACAGCAGTCCTAGCAAACAAATACAAGTTCATCAAGCCACGGCTACCATTCTAGAAGGCCAACTCTGTTGTTATCTCCATTTTACAGAAACTCAGGTTTGCAGAGGCTGAGTAACTCGCCTACATCACACAGCTAGGAAGAAGAGGAGTTGGCATTTCAAACAAGGTTTGCCTGATTACCAAGAGATCTTAACCACTAATTTTAACCATGCTGCATGGGGTGCTGGGGGTTGGGGAGAGGTTGAATGGGGCACAGCACCTCTCATTACATCTGGTAACTTAAAGCACAGGCCCTGACTTTGCCCACCTCTCAAAGGACCTCCCCCTCTCCCACACATACATCCCTTTGCTCTGCCCAGGGTTGGTCCTGGGGAGTGGGGAGCTTGGCGACTGAGGACTGGGTGGACTGTAGGGTGGACACTATCCCCCTAGGAGGAATCTCATTTCCCCTCCAGCACTAAGGAAACAATGCGGCTGTCAGCCCGTCCCGGGAAAAGCCTGCTGGTCCCAATGGTGCCCCCGCCCCCCAGCAGGCACTGTGGTTGGCCTGACTCTTCTCATTAGGCCTGGGGTGACAGGACGTATCGCAGCCAGCAGCTTGCTGCAGCATCTCCTGCCTCGAGCACCAGAGCTCTGCTGGGGAGACGCAGTGGCTGCCAACCCTGACTCACCTTGTCTGCTCCTGGAGCCTCACCCTCCCTGGCTAATTATCCCCAAAACCTGCACTGTCCAGAGGCCTTCGGCACAGAGACATCCACACTCTTGGCCTTTTGTGGGCAGGAAAGGCCTGCTGAGGCTGTTTTAAGAAAGCAGAATTGTCAGAGCCCAAGAGGTAATTAGTATTTAAGAGGCACAAGTTGGCAAGGTTAAAAGCTGAGAAATAAACACACACACACACACACACACACACATACACTCCATTTCAAATAATTCTTAAAAGAGTAAACAGGAAGATATGGCCCCTGCCTGGGAAACCATTAAGAAAGAAAGATAGAATTCCACACCACAGATGACCTCAGGCACTGCTGTCTGGACAGAGGCTCTTCCGCAGTGCCAGGACAGGGCTACTTCTAGGCTGTGAAGCTCTCATCTGCCCCCAAAACCTCCTCTTCCTCCACTCCTCCTTGTCTCTGCCATCATCCTTCCTGCCACACCACTGAAAACCTCAGAATCTCCCACTGCTCTGTCCACTCCAACCCAATGTGCTGGGGATTTGTCCTTTGCCATGTAACTCTTATCCAGCCCTGCCTCTCCAGCCCACAGTCCCTGCCCTAGTTCCAGCCTGGACCACTATAACACCTCCTTTCTGGTCACCCCACATTGGATCCATCTTCCAAACAAAGGTTTGATTGTGTCATCTTTCTACTTAAAACTCTTTCCTGGCACCTCACCGCCAAGATGCCCCGTGGGAGAGTGCATTTTCCCTTGACCTCTGGCACTGGAGTGGAACTGCAGCTCCACCTTGCTTCCATATGGCCCTGGGTAAATTACTAAATCTCTCCAAACTCAGCTTCCTCATCTGTAAAATGGGTGTAACCATACTTACCTCAAGGAACTGTTGTGAGTGGTGAGCAATCAGCACCTTGAACCTGTTCATGACTCAGTAAAGTGTGGCTTTTATGATTATTAATCCAAGAAGGAGAACGGGATTGTCCATGGTTACCTGGTAGGTTAGTAGCAAGTCCAAGACCTCGAACCCTCAGGGCACTGCAGAGCAAAATATAGCAGGCCCTCGATAAGTATCTGTTGGGTGAGTGGCTGTCAATCAATCCATAAATCAATCACTTGATCCCAGCCGGCCCTAGGTAATAAGTTCCACGAGCCTATTAACCTCCTCTCAAGACAAAGGTAAGGAAACCCAGCTTCCTTTTGTGGCCCGTGCTTATTTCTCAAGACTCAAGGAAGCTC
Source organism: Homo sapiens (assembly GCF_000001405.40). Classification (NCBI taxonomy): domain Eukaryota; kingdom Metazoa; phylum Chordata; class Mammalia; order Primates; family Hominidae; genus Homo; species Homo sapiens. The sequence goes on from NC_000001.11 coordinate 34,641,216, forward strand.
CCTGGTGTTTACATCTGGGATTGTATGAACAAGCCTTAACTGGCTCTTTTCAGACGTCCTAATCCTGATGTGGACTCAGCTTTGCTTTTCAGACTGCGAAGGCACTGGCCCTCTGGTTTCCCACATGAGAGTGTCTTTCTCTGAGTGGCAGCCCAGAAAAGGCTTCCTGAGTTCCTGCAGCTGACCCAGCTGGGATTTCAGGTGGCCCAGACAGTTGGACCAGAATTTCTATCTGTAGTAGGATAAATTCTACCTGTTGAGGGTGACTCTGAAATTTTTTGTTTGTTTGTTTGTTTGTTTGGTAGGAAGTTGAGGTCTGGCTATATTGCCCAGGCTAATCTCAAACTCCTGTGCTAAAGTAATCCTCCCCCTCAGCCTCCAGAGTAGCTGGAATTACAGACATAAGCTACCATGCCCAGCTCAGAACCCCTTTAAAATGTGTGAAGTCAGGAGCCCTGTGGGAACTGGCTTCAACCCTGCCACTGTGAATGAGCCCAGACCAACAACCGTCCACTCAAAACTACAGGCTTACTGCTTTGTTGCCTTAGTTAGAAACCCAAGCCTCTTCCTGACACCTTTTCTGGTTTTTTGTTTTTTGTTTTTGTTTTTTGTTTGTTTGTTTTGAGATGGAGTCTTGCTCTTGTCACCCAGACTGGAGTGCAATGGTATGATCTCGGCTCACTGCAACCTCTGCCCCTCAGGTTCAAGAAATTCTCCTGCCTCAGCCTCCCGAGGAGCTGGATTACAGGCACCAGCCACCACACCTGGCTAATTTTTTGTATTTTTAATAGAGACAGGGTTTTGCCATGTTGGCCAGTCTGGTCTTGAACTCCTCACTACAGGTGATCCACCTGCCTCAGCCTCTCAAAATGCTGGGATTGCAGGAATGAGCCACGGTGCCCAGCCAATCTTTCTTAACCCACCTTCTACACCAAGCCCTACCCATCCCATCATCCAAATGTGTCATTTCCCTCCCACACCACTAACAGCAACCATCGATGTTTACGCCACCCTCGTCTCCCTCCTGGGCTGTTCCAAGAGCCTCCTTCCTGACCTCCCTGCTTCCAGCTTCACCCCTTGCTCCAACCAAAACAATCTTGCTAACACACAAATCTACCTCATCACTCCCCTGCTTAAAACCTTGCAAAGGCTTCTCATTGCACCCAGGAGGAAGTCCAAAAGCCTTAACTGGATTTATAACATCTTAACGATCTGCCCCTCCCTTTCCAGTCCAATCTGATCAGACTCAACATGCTTGCTTTTAGAGTGCCAGATTCGTTCCGTCCTCTGGGCCTTGACAAGTGCTATTCCCTCTGCCTAAAACACTTTTCCCCCTCTTCTTCACTTGCTGAGTTTATTCAACAAATTCATTCAAGAACTACCTACAGAATGCCAGGGTTGTATCAGGCGATCTCCTTATGAGGTTCGGAGTCTCATGGAAGAGTCATAGTTACCTCAAGGGACAAATCAAATAACACAGATTAATCAATCATTACAAATTGAGATCAGTGCCATGGAGGGGAATGACAGAGAGGCCTAACCTTGGCATCTTGGAAGGCTTCCCTGAAGAAGGAATCTTTAAGCTGAGAGGTGAAGTGGTTGTTCAGTACTGGCAATAGGAACCGGGGACTGTGTGGCCCCATTCTCCACCAAGTGGAACATGACTGCCCACTATGGGAGTAAAGGAGGCTAGCAGGCAAGAGTGAGTGTGTCCATGGCTCCTGGCCTGAGGCTCCTGCAACTGCAGTTTTGCCTCTTATTTTCCCAGTCACTCCATTTTTCTCTCATGGGCTAGTCATGAGCAAACCCTGACTAATAAAATGACAAGGCTTCCAGCAGATGGTAGCATGGCCTTTGAAATCATAGAGACTTGGCCTCGATTCCTGGACCCTCCACTTGTCACCGTGTGGCCCTGGGCCAGTTACTTCCCCTGTGTAAGCATGAGTTACCTCATCTGTAAAATGGGACAAAAATTCCTCCCTTTGCAAGGTTCTCCTAAGGAGGAAATGAGATGGAAGGTGTGTCCTTTCAAAAATGAACTGCAAAAGAATTGAAAGCCTCGTGCCATTTGCAGTTCAAGTAGGGGTAAATGGGTGATGGGGTCCCTCATGCTTTGGGCCAAAATCTACCAGGCTGGCTGGGCTCAAAGAGACCAAACTAGAGAATTCAAAATTTCTCACTGCAGAAAAAAGCCAGCACTACCATTTAAACTGTTGATGTATTCTTTTAAAATTGACTTTCTGTCAGAGACAAGTATAATTGAATCCCCGGACCCTTCGATATTAAAGAGGTTTCTGGACTCATTTCCCCCACCCCTAGCCCACCAACAATAAAAGAAAAACAGAGTTGTATTAAAAATATTTAATATTCGGCACTTGATCCTACCTCCAAACAGAAACACCTAACTATGGGCCAGAGAGTGGAGAAAGAGCAGATGGCTGATAAGGTCTCGCATGGTCTGGCCCCTTCCCATAGGGCCCAATAGATGACACCCCTTTCTTACCCTGCCTTAATATAGAACTTATGAAGTCCTGCAGATGGAGATCAAGACATCAGCTGCGTTGTTGAAAGTATATTGTTGTGGACTGTGGCTTAAGTGTCAACACTGGGTTTCCTAAGTCCACCTCATCATCAAGCATCCTCACACGTCCAGCCTCAAGGAACGGTAGGACTGTAGACTTCACCCTGCAGGGGCAGAATGTTTACTGCCAAGAGACCCCTAACGGAGTCCAGAATACCCAGCACCTCGTCTCAAACTCACTAGTCAGAATAATCACTTGTCTTCCCTGGGAGGAGAGAGGGAAGGAGCAGAGAGAGAGAGGCCAGGAAAGACCAGAAAAAGAAAATAAGCCGTTATCCCTAACTTCATTCACTCTATCTGTGCCCTGTCCAAACTGGTCTTCTTTTCAGCTCTGCAAAAATGCCATGCTTCTTTGCAGCCAGGGCCTATGTACATGCTTTACTTTTTTTTTTTTTTTTTTTTTGTATATTTGGAACACTCTCTTCTATTCTCGTTTTGTCTGGTGACCCTTATTCATCTTACAAGTTTCTGCTTAAACATTATTTCCCTAGGAAAGCCTTCCTGATCTCCCACACAAGGTCATGTCCCCCTGTTAAATGCTCTCCTAGCTTCTGTATTCCCTCTATGTCACATTTGTCGCATTTGTCATGATTTTAAGTACATAATTATTTGTGTGATTATCTGTCCAATGTCGGCTTGCTCAAGAAGACTCGAGGGCAGAGCTGTGCTTGTGAGGATGACCACTGTATGTATCCTGGCATCAGTCTCACTACCACCACACAGTAGAGGCTCAAGATATTAATTAAAGGAAGTAAGTAACAGTAACACACAAAGCCATTTTAAGCACTTTGCATACATTAATCTTTTTAATGTTTAAAGTACTTCTGTTTTACAAGTGGGGAAACCAAGGCACAAAGAGGTTAGATAATTAGCTCAAGGTCATACAGCTAACGAGCAGAGCTGGGATTTGAACACAGGCAGTCAGACTCCAGCAGCAGTGCTACTCACAACTGCACTGAAGTGCATCTTGAGGAGGAGAGATGGGAGAAGTGTGTGCCATGCACGAGAGATTGGGGAGGGTCCTGATGCACAGACGGGCTTTTCTTGCACAAGAGTCTAGCCAGAGGAAAACAAAGATGGGAGAAAAGACAGAAAAGAACGTTCCATCTGCCACATTGAGGTAAGAAGTCAGGGATGCCTAAGGGGATGTCCGGGGTGAAATGCAGGGGCAGAGAAAGCCCCAAAGCTCACTGCTGCCTCTGGAACATTAAGTTAAGCCATCAACTCCCGCCCTGGTCCTGGGAGTCGGTATATGAGTTTGGCCAGTTGCCATGACAATTGGCTCTCTTGGCCCTTCAGGGTGGTCCAGCTATGGGGACCCCTGCCTCCCTGGGGTTCTCAGCACACCTGACAGATAATTTCCACCTCATGTCATGATCTACATGAAACACATCACAGTGCCTGATAGAGTAAAAGTGTGATACATGTTTTTAAAACCTCTCAGAAGAGCCTGCATGGGAGTCACAGCCCTGACCATGGGTGCCTCTCCCTGGAGGCAATGTCCCTTGGGGGGCTAATTGTTCATTAACTCCACCAGTGAAGTCCTACAGAGATGGAATGCTGCCACCCCACGTGCCCACACCTGCGTAGTCAGCATCTGGCAGGCTCATTGTTTTAAGTGATGAGCAATTGTCATTTTCTGTCGCCTCCATGATAAATCACTTTAAGAACTCCTTTCTCTCGACAGCATAAGTAATTACAGCCCTGGTATCTGGGGCCCTGGCACCGATTAGAAGGGAAGCAAACTACACCGGAACTGATGCTGACTCATTTTTCTTTCTCAAAAGGGCCTAGAGGCCACAGGTTCAGAACCATTTGGCTGGACCCTTCCCGGGCTGAAAGCTGACTCCCTCCACCCCACAGCACTGCCAGAGCTGAAGCCTGGAGACAGAGCCCTCCACTCCCACCCTGCAAAGCCCCTCACCTCCTTTTCTCTAGCTGTCTTTAAGACATGATTCCCAAGTGAACCAATGATTAGGAGGAAAATGTATTGTGCTATAACAGAGAGAAATAATTAGGTTAGATAATAAGAAAGGGAAGTGTACCTTGTAAGAGGTTCTGCTGTGGTTATGCATTCTTGGGAATATTTGATCTATTATGTTTTTTTCTTGGTAGACATGGGATGTATTGAATCAGTAGAATAAATAAACCTCTTGGTAAGCAAGAAAAAACATACCTCAGATGGTAAGAATCTTGGTGACCCAGAAATGACAATGAGGAAAAGATCGGATGATCCTGACATTCTCATAACCTGAGAAGGAGATCCTGGAACAGTACTTGGGAGAGCATTGCACTTAGGATTAAAGAATTAAAGCACACGGGGGCAGACTTGAGTGGTAGAAAGGATATATGAAACCCATGTGCTCAAGAATGTCCTGGGTACGGTACCTGCTGTCACTTCTACCACCAATGGTTGCCACCATCATAAGCAGTTGTCAGTGAATTCACATCATGCACCTGTCTGCCTATCTGCTGGTGTCACCACATGAGAGAAACCTCTGGCCAAGAGTTAAGGAAGGCCATTCTCCTGGCAGCTTCTGTGAACCAGCCTGGGTGCCAGCTAGCCTGACAGCCTCCTGTCTTGATTACTCTCCCTGCCCCTTTACCAATAGCCTGAGAGTCATGCGCTTTTGCAGAAGTTATTGGCTAGGGAGTCAGCAAACAATCCTGGGCAATGACACCAAAAATAAAAGGATGGAAGATGTTCATGATTAAATAAATTTTGGAAATGCTGCATACTTTAGCCTTCTCTGGGAGATTCACAGTGCACATTAGCATTCTAAATGCTCTGAGAAGCCCTGCAAGAAATAACCAGGCTAGCTTTATTTAACCCATTGTTTCCTGCACTGCTCTGATCAAGGTACCTTTTTCGTGGATACCTACAAACATCCCCAAGAACATTCTTTAAGGAAATGTTTGTTGGCACAGCCAAGACTTTCAGCTGCAAGTAAGAGAAGAGACTGGAGTCTGACTCAACCCAGGACCACAGTGACCTGACCAGAAAAAAAGATGCTGAAACCAGCTGTGTTCACCTGAGGAGATGACCGTGTCTGAGAATAACAGTAGCTCATATTTGCTGGGTATTCACCTTGTACAGTACTTCATGATCTCCAGTTTTCAGATACGGAAACTTAAAGGAATGAAATGCAATGTACCCAGTAATATATAATAGGTGGTCAAGCCAAGGTCTCTCGGTGGCCTGCCTGACTTGGGTATATCCCATAAACCCTCTAGGTTCTAACTTTTTATTTATAACATGAGGCTTATCATATTATATTTTACCCACCCTTATGAAGTTGTGATGAGGATTAGATGAGATGATAAAGGACTTAATGCAGGGCTTAGAACATAGTAAGCTCTTAAGAAGTGTCAGCACAACAAATCCCACACAAGCTGTACTTAACTTCTCCAGTGATGGGCAGCTCATTGCCTTACAAAGACCCTGACATGACCCGCTCTAGTTACGAGAACAGTCACCCTGTTATTGAGCCAAAACTTGTCTCCTCTTCCCCTTGGGTCCTAGCTGTGCCCTGGAAGCAGCCCCTAACCCTCCTCCCCTGACATCTCTGCAGAGACCCAGACAAGGATGTCATCCCCAAGTCTGCTGGTCTTTTCTCCTTATCCTCCTTCCCCAGTTCATTGAGCTTGGGAGCAGGCACTTTGCCACCAAGTTAAGACCTCCAATCATTTCTTCTTCCTTTACCCCATCCCTGGGCAGGGCCCCTGGTGTTTCTACGCTCCTCCCTTGAACAGCACACTTCTAAAGGGTTTCTCTCTATCTGCAAAAGCCAGCATCTGCCACAGAGCACCCAGACCGTGAAAGTTGATGGAGGGCACGGACATCCTGCATGCCAGCCAGCCCAACTTGCCTGGGTGGCCAAGAAGGGGACAGGTCAGCCTCACACCTAACTCAGCTCCCTGGGGAAACCAAGTGAGGAGAAGGGATGTGCTGGCCCAGATGTCACTGGATGCAAGACCAGGTGCACAACCCAGCAGCCTCTTGAAGGCGGGAAGTCCCCAGAGGACACAGAACACAGAGGAAGAGAGCAACGTTGTTATGGTTTAACCCTTAGATGGCACATACCATTTACCAGCACAGTTCTATGTACTTTACCTGCAGATTAACTCATTTATCCTCACAAGACCCTATCTGCTCCCATTTGAGAGAGGAGCAAACCAGGCCAAAGAGAGGTTAAGTTATTTTCCCAAGATCACACAGCAAATATGCAATACAGCTGGTGTTTGAGGCCAGACAATCTGGCTCCAGAGCTTGCATCCTGACTCTCTGTCCTACGTTGTCTCCCAGCACTATACCATCTAGAGCAATCCAGGGAAGAAAAGGCTACAGGAAGGAATGGTAAAACTGAGACTAAAAGGGTAGGAAGGATTCAGAGACTTAAAAACAGAGAGAAAGGGCATTGTCTGGGAGAACAGCATGGAGCAAATGGTAAAGGTGTACCATAGGCAGGGAGGAGGTCGGCTGGCTGGGGCAGAGGCCTTGGGGAAGGTAAAGGGTTAGTTTTGTTCTTCCTCTCAAACAGAATCATCATTACAGGGACAGGACAAGGTGAATGGCAGAGTCCCACCTAATGCCTTGTCTGGAACAGAGACAGTGAATAAAATAAAATCCCCACCCCAAGGAGCTCACAATCTTGTAGGCAAAAGCCATTGTAGCAGCCGCTGCCATGGATGGGCTTGAGAGGGTGCCTTCCCCAGGCGTGGTCCCTGTGACTCTGAAAGACAGCATCTCCCTTGCAAGGGAAGTTGGTAGCTGCTCAGCTGCATCCATAAAGCAAGTCAGATTCCACTGGGAAAGCTTCTGGAGTCTCCATTAGTGCTAAAACGGCCCAATGCTGCCTCCCTCCACACTGGCAATGAATTACTCCGAGACAGAGATGGAGAAGATGCCAAAGTCTCCCATCGTCTTTCCTAACCTTGGGACAAATTAAATCAAATTCCACTGCACAGCCTGAAGGCATAAACTTCGTTAGCTGCACCAATATATTCTGCCAGGCAGGCAGGCTCCCAGGTACTAATTACTTTATTCAGCAAGTTAAACAAATGATATGATATCTAAATTTGAGGGAGAGGCACCCGAGAGTTATGGAGCACATAGCATTGGGATCTGCCAATGAACAAAGCAAAACGGAATTGGTAAACTAACAGCTCAAAGTATTTTATCTGCATAGCCTTCAAGATTCAGCTCAGGGCCTCTGTCCCCTCCTCCTCTAGGAAGCCATCCCTAATGACATCATCTCCATAGACCTTTCCTTCCAGAAGGCTGTATACCCTAGTGGTTAGGAGCATGGTTTTGGTCATGCCTAGTAAAATTTGGGTTCTACCTCAGACTAATTGTGTGACTTGGGCACATTGCTTAATAGCCAGATTACTCTAAACTCCCAGTTCCTCAACAGTAAAGTAGAGAAATAATAGCTTCTACTTCCTAAGATTGTTGCAAGTGGTTCTTGAGATAATCCATGTAAGGCTATTAGCACATAGTAAAATCTCCATGAACAGGCATTGTTTCTATTATGATTGTTAGTATTATTTATATTGTTAACCATTGCAATATTGTTGGGGTCTCCAGGGGGTTCTCAATAAGTGGCAGCCTTCTTGACTCAGTCTGCAGAATTTTTAAATATAAAACAGATAGAGATCAAAATATTGATATTATTACTGACAGAGGCTGAGTTGGAGGATGTAGCTTAGTGATGACAGTTAGGACAATGAATTCCAAGTTTAAGTTTCTCACACACACACAGAACAGGGCAGACTTCTTTGCAGGAACCCTGCCCAGTCAAGACACACAGCAAGGTAGAGCCCTCATGGTCTCATCCAGGCCAGATCACCCCCAAGGGAGACAAGGTACCACAGAGACATGACTGTTATTCTTCTTAAATTTGCCAGTCAGATAAGTCATTCCATCTCCCCAGGGTAGCAAAAACAAGTGGGGTAGAAAAGGACTCAGTTACACTAATTAAGCCACCTTCACCGAAGAAACATCTGGAGTAGGAGGAAAGCCTTTCCCACTAACACAGGAGACAATGGAATGTGGTGGAATCCAACAGGATGGATTCGAATCTATTCTCCCTCCATTTACTGCTATGTGATTTGGGGGAAGAAAATCTCTTTGATTATGGACCCAGTAAAATCTTGCTTAAACAGCATACAAACCATTCAGAAGAGGTCACTGGCCAGGCATGGTGGCTCATGCCTGTAATCTCAGCACTTTGGGAGCTAAAGTGGGAGGATCACTTCAGGCCAGGAGGTCAAGGATGCAGTGAGCCATGGTCGTACCACAGCACACCAGCCTACATGACAAAGCGAGACTCTGTCTCTGAAAAAAAAAAATTAAAGGTAAGAAAGAGAGAGAGAATAAAAGAAAGAAAGAAGGAAAGAAAGAAAGAAAGAGAAAGAAAAAGAAAAGAAAAGGAGGGAGGGAGGAAGGAAGGAGGGAAGGAAGGAAAGAAGGGAGGGAGGGAAAGAAAGAGAAAGAGAAGAAAGAAAGAGAGAAAGAGAAAGAGGGAGGGAAAGAAAGAAAGAGAAAGAGAGAAAAAGAAGGAGGGAGGGAGGAAGGAAGGAAGGAAGGAAGAAAGGAAGGGAGGGAGGGAGGGAAAAAGAAGAGGTCATCTACACTTCCCTGATCCTTGATCCTCTGTTCTTTGTTCCCCAAATCCAGACATGTCATGGCTCCTGAACTTTGGCTTTCTGGCCTTCCTCCCCTCATCTTCCCGGTGCTGACCCTGCCGCCCTCTTCTACAGCTTCTAAGACCGAGACAAAGCCGCACTGACCCAAGCAGTCCACGACCAGCCAGCTGCCCCCAGACACAGTTCCCTCACTCCTGGTCGGAAGACACTTGAATACAGATTCTGCGCTGGCAGAGGAGTGCCGGCGCCTCCAGCTCCCTCAGCTCAGGACCTCTCCCCTGGCAGGAGCAGGGGGTGGAAAGCGTGCGAGCACGCTGGAGCTGAGGAAGCAGCAGGAAGGAGGGGTGTGTGCCAGTGCCATAGACTCGACCAGGGCCTTCCACGTGCCTTCGCTCCTGTCACGGTCACGTAACCTTCTGAGGTGAGCACTGTCATCCCACTTTCCAGAAGAGATGCCTAAGGCTCAAGCCCTACCTGGAAGATTAGGAAGCCCCCGCCGGACCCCCTTCCTGGTTGACGATGACATTCATTCCAGTAACTGGCTTCGCCCCCTGGCTACAGTTGTTTGGATAGTGGAGAGCACATGACTCAAGATGAACCAATCAGAGTTGTCCTCCCACTAATGTGTGCAATTCATAATCAGCCGCACTGGGGAAGTTGGAGACTGGACTATCATCTGATGACATGTGCCAAAAGACAGATAAAAACAAGAGACAGGACCAGGCATGGTGGCTCACGCCTGTAATCCTAACACTTTGGGAGCCTGAGGTGGGTGGATTGCTTGAGGCCAGGAGTTCAAGACCAGCCTGAGCAACGTGGCAAAACCTCGTCTCTACTAAAAATACAAAAATTAGCCGGGCGTGGTGGTGCACACCTGTAATCCCAGCTACTGGGGAGGTTGAGACACAAGAATCACTTCAGCCTAGGTGGCAGAGAGTGCAGTGAGCCGATATCACACCACTGCACTCCAGCCTATGGACAGAGTGAGACCCTGTCTCAAAAAAATAAATAAATAAAAATTTTTGAAAAAATAAAATAAAACAAACAAGCAAACTAACAAAAACAAGTGAGAGAAAGAGAGACGATTAAGCACAAGCCCAGAGAAATCCAAACATGAAAGACTGTCTGGCTCCAGGGAGCGTGAGACTGAGATAGGGTGACTGCTTTGATTCTTGGTGGCCTCCCAGTCCCTTGTGAGAGCTACTGCTTTCCTGCGATGGCCTCTGCCTCCCTGCAAAAAAAAATTCTCTGTTTTTGTTTTTATTTATTTATTTTTTGAGACAGAGTCTCGCTCTGTCACCCAGGCTGGAGTGCCATAGCGCAATCTCGGCTCACTGCAACCTCCCCTTCCCGGATTCAAGCAATTCTCTTGCCTCAGCCTCCTGAGTAGCTGAGATTACAGGCACACGCCACCATGCCCAGCTAATTTTTGTATTTTTTTTAGTAGAGACAGGGTTTCACCATGTTGGTCAGGCTGGTCTCAAACCCCCACCTCATGATCCACCCGCCTTGGCCTCCCAAAGTACTGGGATTACAGGCGTGAGCCACCACACCTGCCCAAAATTCTCTATTTTTGTTTAAGCCAACTTAGTCTCTGATACTTGCAAATAAAATAATCTTAATTAAAATACTCAGAATGGTTAAGAGTCTTAACCAAGCAGTCAAGCCTAGAGCACAGACCAATCTCCTCTAACTTCAAACCGCACCCTCTTGGCTGGCTGTGGGGAAAGTGGGGATCTGAAGGGACCTATGGCTCCTTCCTGTCCCCTTCCTAGGAGTGAGGAGTGGAGTCCTAAAAGCAGAGCCTGCAATGAGATGTGCAGACCAACACCTGCTCTCTGTGTCCTAGACCCATTTGAATCTGAAATCCCAAACCAGAGTCAAGTTTCATTCCATGAATACCTATTTCAGCCACTCTCAGAGTGCCAGCCCCACTCCACAATGGGACAGTGATTCCCAGCTTCCCTGTGGAATTGTCTTCTAACCAGTTTTGTTTGGATTGGGTTTACCGGTAGAGATATGATTCTAAACTTTTCATTGGCATGCCTGGAACAACCCAGCACTCACACACACCCACACTCCCAGATCTGAAGACCTTCTTCATCTGCCATAAAACAGAACATCACCTTTTCCTTGGCTGAATGCAGCATCCAACACACTGGAGGTCCAGCTGATAGCAGGGAGGCAACATTGTTCCCCAGGTTGTCCACCAAAGGGTGGGTATGGGAGGTCCTCAGAGCTGTTAGTGGAATCAGAGGCTACGGGAGAATTCTGCCCCTGGTTGGGAGACCTGGAATTCCTGAGCAGTCCCTAATAAATGTATACCAATAAATGTTTGATCAATAAATTAATCCCAAGAGTCCCTCAGGCCCTCATCCCCACAACCAGCCTCCATTCATCCTATTTAACCTGCTTTATCTAAATGTCCCTCAGATCCAGTCTTGCCTCCATCAGAACTGCCCCTGCTCTTGGTCAGGTTCTTACTCCCTCTCCCAGAGGCTAGCAAAAAGTAAATCTCTGGGCTCCCATCAACCCTCGCTCTCTGTCCCAATCTAGTTTCCATACCAGCAGCTGCCCAGTGGTCTTCCTAGAGCAGCCCCATTACTCCCCAGATTAATGCTCTGCAAGAGATCCCACTAAGGTCCTGAGACCTGGTCTCTGCCTATCTCTGTAACTTCATCTCTAACCTTACTCTTTGCACTGGAGGGGAACTGTGCTGTGGACTTCACGATGCTCTTTCAAGACTTCACGACTTTGCACATGCAGTCTCCTTTGCCTGGATTGCCTTTCTCTTCTCTACCACCGTTTCCAGTCTAACCTCTACCTCCTACTTAGCCTTTCCGACTCTCCTCTGGTGCACGTCCTCTGAGAAGCTTTGGCAGGCTCTGCCCCACTGCTCCCACCATGTGTTCCCCAGGGCCCCCAATTATCTTACTTAGTCCTCTCTCCTGCACACTGCTCACCTCATAAGGTAACTGATGGCTTACTTTTCTATATTCACCATCCAGCCGTGAGCACTTTGAGGTTAAGGATGCAGCTTATTCATCGTGGATATCAGGAAGAAACAATGATTGCCCTTCAGAATAAGAACTGACTGTAGTTGCTTTTACATGCTAGGGGGATAGGAAAATTCCTATCAGAGGAGATGGCTGTTTATTTAGGAAAATATGTTGCAGCGCCTCTTTGGGATGAAATGTGATGCTCTCCTAGGCATAATCTAGAAAGAGCAGTCATATGAAGGAGGGACCAAACTGCATAGTAAGATGAAGAAAGGTTTCCAAAAAAAAAGGAAAAAACAAGAAACGTTTCCATTCTTCTGGACAGCCCCAGTGGGAAGGTAAGCATTTCTTGAGAAAACAAAGGGACGTGGGGAGTATGCGAGAAGCTATGTAGGGGAGGGTGGACACAGCAAGAAGGCTTAGGGTCTAAAGAGGAAAGGTGGACGGTGGGACATCTCTGGGACAGTGTGGGCTGAGGAACCTGAAGAAACAGATGTCAGAAATTCAGGTTTAAAGTGTTTCCTGCACTGTGCTATTCTATGCTGTCACACACACACACACACACACACACACACACATACACACACAGTCCTGCCCCTCTCCCCACAATACCCCAAACCTTCAGGCAAATGCTAGCGATCAACATTGCTGGGGTGATGCTCAAGAGGAATAAAGGCAAAGAAACCTCGTCTTGCAGGGACCATGCACAGAGGGACAGCAGAGGAGCGGAGCTGGCAAGCAGATGACTGAGAAGTCGAGAAAGCAAGTCAGAAGGGAAAGGTAAGCATGAGAACCAAAACCATCCCAGGAATTTGCTGAAACCTTGGGGAAGGCATTAAAACCATTGGGAAGGAGTGGGCTCAAGTCATTTACTTTAAATATTAAAGTAAAGGTTTACTGCTGAATGCATGCTCAAATGAATTGAAATTCTGATCACTTTGGGGACCTCTGAGACTGGCCTGCACACGTTTCGGGGCGCGCTCTTCCACAATGCACGGGAAAGAAGAGGAATGTCAAAAATGCTTGGCAATCCCATGGTTGTAATAGAGGGTGTAAGAGGTTGGAGGTTTTTGAGAGTGCTGAGAGCTGACAAGGTTTCCTTAGAGAGGCTGGGGAGAACAGCAGAGGAAACAAAATCTTTACTTGCCAGAGCAAGAGGGAACCTTCGGAACACCTGTTGCTCGGACAGCAAATAGACTTCTACCTCAGTGCCAACTCTGATCAACTGCTAGTGGGGGCCTGGAGCACTGCCTTAGGAAGAATTCTAAGGCTCTGTCCAGATTCCACAAGAAAGAATTCAATGATCAATTAATAATGTCTGCCATGGGTGCAGGAACAGGAATGATAGCCTGTGTGCCATAGAGTTGCCCTCTCTTATCTAGCCAAATTTCTCTTTATATAGATGGAAAAAAAGAAGCAACTTACCTAAGTCACATGGTTAGTGGCTACAGTCAAATCTAACATCAAATTCTGGGCTCTTCTCTGCACTGTGCTCCCTTACACAAAACACAAGGTAGAGAAGCAGGATGGTTAATATCTTGGCTAGTTGTCTGGTGAAATTAAGCAAGGCACAAGGACGGACCATGCCAGATGAAGGCAGGAAGGAAAACTGTATTAGGTTTATGTCAGGAGCAGGTGTTGGCCAGAAAATCTCTTTGTTCACTTTAAGAACACACAGCTTCCAGGTGCATCAGAAGTCCTGCAGAATGGGTTAGCATACCAGTGTGACCAGGGCCCAAGCTCAAGGTGGGAGGGATAGGAATTTTCATGATAGGAAAGGAAGAAGACATTGACCCAGGCAGTCCTGGCTAGTGTCTTTTTTTGTTGTTTCTCTGGCTAGTGTCTTTATATTATGCATTCATTGAACAAATATTATTTAAGCATCTTAGAGTAAATTAGCGAACTAGGAGCTGGGGCTAGAGTTCTTGAGGCATTTGCAACAAAGACAGGGAGGAGACAGGCATGAAACTGCTAATTACGCAATTAGTTATATAATTATAAATGGAGATAAATGCCATGAAAGGGTACAGGGAGCTCCGACAGCAAACAACCCTGGGGATCTGATGTAATCCAGAGAAGGAGAGAAAGCATTCCTGAGGAAGTGACATTTAAACTGAGACTCAAAGGATTTAAACAGGAGGTAATGATAGATTGAGGGTAGAGAGAGGCAGGAGAAGAAGAAAGACAGGAAGACAGAGGGCAGAGGAAAGAAGCTGTTAAAGGCCTAATGGAGGAAAGAAACATGACATATTTGAGGAACTGAAAGACCAAAAGGCCAGAAGGGCTGGAACACAAAATAGGCATGTTTTTCAGGTTGTTGTCAGGGGGCATGAAGTTAGAAACCAACAAAGGATATATCCACGACAGTAACCCCACCCCTCCCCACACCTGTAGCCTATGTGGAACCAAGGCATGAGTTTTTAGAAGACATCCCCTCTGGATTGACAGCCCACCTGAACAGCTGGGCAAATGGAGCCCCCACTTAGCCCCTCAGCCAGGCACATGTGTGCAGTGCATAGCCTGCACAGCTGTACGTGTCAGTCCTGTCCTCACCTCCCTCATCCCAGCCCCCAGCAAGTAAGTTAGACCAGTATCCATAGAAATCAACTGGTCATCCCATTAAAATACAGATTCCAATTTGGTAGCCCAGGGTGACGCCTGAGATTTTTCATTTCTAATGCAATTCCTAGTGCTTACTGCTGCTCCTCTGTGGACCACATTGAATGACAAAGAACTCGCAGACAAACTGCGAAGGACTTAAGCATCAACATCCCAGGGAAAACTGAAAAGAGAAAAAGTCCATGGAAAATGATGTTTGATTAAATGCAATTCTTTTGGATTATTTCCCACTGTGCGCCAGGGCTTGTCATGCTGGAGACAGGTAAACACGATACAGCCCTTGTCAACAAGGAGATGGCACTCAAAACCTGGTGGGAGAGATGAGCAGAAGCACAGACCCAGGGCAGTAATTAGTCCCATAGAGAGAGAAGCGAAGAGCCCTGGATCCCAGAAGGAATGACTAGTGCTAATTAGGAAAATCAGGGAGGACTCCCTGGGAGAGGTGACATTTGTGGAATGAGCAGGATTTCGACATGAGGAATATAGAAAAGGTAAGCAAAAGAATTGGGATATACCTCAACCAATCAACCAAGCAATATATAAATAGATCAATTTTTTAATAAGAAGAAATAAAATATGAAGGAGCATGAAGATCCCAAGGCATATGGACCTTAAGGAGGGTTTGTGGGAGGCAGTGCTAGAAAACTCATTCAACATCAGACTCTCCTGGATTTTAAATGCCAAGTTAAGAGAAGAGAAACTTAGGAAATCTGTATGTTTTACCAAAAAGAAAAAGCAAAGCCCTATTAGGCAGAGTCTGGGCCAACTGCCCAAGCTCCAGTTCTGCGAGGCCTCCTTCGGCAGCGCCCAGTACTGAGGAGGACCCGGCAGGATCAATACACAACAGCTTTCAGGTGTCCGGACTTGTGTTGTCAACACAAGAAGGTCGAGGATAACAATGCCTGAGGGCAAACATCAAACCCTACCTACTGGGGCAGCAGGCTGGGGGGAAGCAGCTGGAGAGAAAAGGTTTTCAGAAACAGAAAAGGAGGCCTCTGAAAAGGACTCAATGAAGGAGACACGAAAGATAAAATCCAACCTCCTTAAAAAGAAAACCCGTAAAATTGTGTTTACAATATCAAAGCCGATGAAAGAAATGGATGGTTTGAGAGGGAGGAGATTTAGAAAGCCCTTTAAGAGGCTGCAAGAAATAAAAAAGCCAGGACAAAAGCTGAACACCCCCAGAATCCCTGCATCCACATCCCCCAGTACATCCACCTCTCCCCACCTTCACCATGCTGAAATCAGACCCATACCTGCAGCCCTGGCCAAACATAGACTCCAATACCAACCCTGCCCCAACAGAAGGAGCCCAACAGGGTTTAGCCCATGCCCAAGGGAACACAGCCTCAATCCAGCCTGGCTGTCTACCCTGCTCTGGCCTTATGCCCACTTCTGCAGTGGCCTCAGTCTTGCCTCAGAAATGAAATCTCTGCCTTAAATTGTAGATCAGTGGATTTGAGTCCCTGCATGGCCTGCCTGAGTCTACTCAGGCTGAGACCCCACCAAGTCCTCCTTCACTCTGGGAATCCATCCACTGGGATCCCATCAACTGCAGTTATTCCTGTAGATAGATAAACTGAGCCATCTGAACCAGTCCTGCCCAGAGTGCAGAGGCTGAAGGGAGGCAAGGACTTTTTCTAAAGGCAACAAGAATCAGACAACTCAGAGCTAAGTCATAGAAACAGAATCTGCCTGGCTTTTTCCTCCTTCCCACATCCTTGGGTGTTTCTTGTGCACTCATTCATTTCTTAAACATTTTCAAATGTTTTCCCAGAGTGAAGCTTTACACTGATGATACAAAGGTGATGCAGGTGTAGCCCTGAAGAAAACCTTCCTACTGGCATGGACATGGCATTCTCCCAGGCTCCTGACTCCAGGCATTCCTTTCTCTGCCTTCTGGGTGGCATCCCTCTGCGGGGTGCACTGTCCCTCCCAGTTGCAGCCAGGGTGCTCCATAGCTCCTGGTGGATGACAGTGCCAGCCCTGTGGCCTCCCTACATAAGGCTGCAGTGGGAGGGACTGAGGGACAATGTGGGGTGGATGGCTTGCTGCATTTAGCTCTGAGCAGGGGAGAGCTCAAATGCTTTCTCCCCAAACAGATTCCTACTGATGAACCATAAATAAATTCACATTTCTTCACCGCAGATGGATGGAATGCTGGGGGGCTTCCTGAGCAATCCCACTAGCAGCAGACCTCGTTCCCAGACTCTCTCGTTCCGAGTCTGAAACAGAGGGTCTGGTCTCAGGACCAGCTCGCAGGTGTCACATTGTCTTCTTCCAGATCCCACGGTGGGTGTAAGGTCCCCCATGCTGTTCACAACCACAGTCCTTTCTAGCAGCTCAGACTGCATCCCCTGACAGTCTCTAAGTATGTGTGTATAAAAATACATGTATCTGGGCCAGGCGCGGTGGCTCACGCCTGTAATCCCAGCACTTTGGGAGGCCAAGGCAGGTGGATCACCTGAGGTCAGGAGTTTGAGACCAGCCTGGCCAACATGTCTCTACCAAAAATACAAAAATTAGCTGGGTGTGGTGGTGGGCACCTGTAACCCCAGTTACTTGAGAGGCTGAGGCAGGAGAATCACTTGAACCTGGGAGGCAGAGGTTGCAGTGAGCCGAGATTGCACCATTGCACTCCAGCCTGGGCAACAAGAGTGAAGAAAAAAAACAAACAAACATGTATTTATCTCCCAGCTCTGTCTGCTGAGAGGGCCAAGATGCAAAGAAATCCCCGTAGCAACAAGCACACCTAACACCTAGGTCTTGGTTTTTAAATACTATTCTCCACTAAAAGGAGCCAGGGCTCCTTGAAGAAATGACCAATCCCAGGACTTCAGCAGGGAAAACATGAGGCGAGAGAAACCTCGGACATCTTGCCTTTGCCCAGCCTATTCCCTCTTCCTGGGCTGCCTTCCCACCAGTTAATTCTTCTCACTCCCTTCTCTGACAGTCCACAGTAAGCAGCATCATTCTATCATTCTGTGCACCAGTCAGCGCTCAATCTTCTGTTGCTGGACAGACTTAAGAAAGCACCGTGGGCAAGTGTAGCCCCTTTGGAAATCCAACTGACAGGTGCAAACTCTGGTTCTGCTCAGCACTCATTGCTTAACCTCTCTGAGGCTCAGTTTCTTCCTCTGTGAAATGGGGGTACTGATGCCTACCTCCTGGGGTGCTTTGAGGCCTCGGGCAGGCATCCATGCTGATCCGACAGGCTCAGTACTCATCCAGAGCAAACACTAAACAGCAGTATTTTCTCCATGGTGATGTGTTCGCCTGCCCTATTAGAGTCTGAGCCTTCCTCATCTGTCTCTTTCCATTCCCCAGCACCCAGCACCATACCTGGCACCCCAGGAGCGTTGCCTCCGTGTTTCTCACGTTGTTTGTGTTGCTAGCTGATATCTGCTCACTGGCCCTTGTTGACTGAATGGGCTGATGGGCACATAGCCACACTTGTTGACTGAGCTTTTCCTACTGATACCCACTGCCTGGAACCTGCCCAGGGCAATCCCTCATAGTATCTGCCAGGGCCCCCAACCCCCTGGATAAAGGCAAACAGGAAAAATAGCCCTCTTGTTTCCTCAGCCCTGCCTCTGGCCGGTTCTACCTGCCTCTTTCTTGTGCTCTCTAGAACACCCCCATTTCTCTGCACCTCTATCTCACCTCATCACTGTCTCTGCACCTTGTCAGTGTTGGGGTTCAGAAAGCACCCCAAAAGGAAGGCCTCAGAAGCAGACTCAGAAGCAGTTCTTCTCTGACCTTCTTTTGCCCTCTTGTCTCTCAGTCTCATTCTCCCCTGAGGTTAGCCATACAAACTAGAATCTCTCTTCCCTGAGGCGGGTCATGGAAACCAGAACCTCCTTTACCCAAAGCCAGCCATAAAACCCAAAAATATTACTCTAACTTTCCCTCTGCCTTTCTGTGTAAAAACTGGCTATAAAGAAATTATCTAGCCTGGGGTGCTGGCTCACACCTGTAATCCCAGCATTTTGGGAGTCTGAGGCAGGAGGATCACTTGAGCCCAGGAGTTTGAGACCAGCCTAGGTAACACAGTGAGACCTTGTCTATTTAAAAAAAAAAAAAAATTAGGCAGGCATGATGGTGTGCTCCTATGGTCCCAGCTACTTGGGAGGCTGAGATGGGAGGATCACTTGAGCCCAGGAGGTCAAGGCTGCAATGAACCGTGATTGAGTCACTGTACTCCAGCCTGGGTGACAGAGGAAGACCCTGTTTCAAAAAAAAAAAAAAAAGGAAAAGAAAAAGAAAAAGAAATTATCTGAACTACCTTGTTTGACTGTAGGTTATAAGACTCCCATTCCAGTGAAGGTCCTGCTCCCTGCCCAGAAGGAAGGAATGCGTGCTCACAGATGCCAAGAAGAATCTAAGCAGACAGGCCCTGCTGGGTTTCCCCTCTCAGTCTATTAGCATTCGATCATAGCCTTTTGTCCAATCATATCTCTACACGACTGTTCATACTTTGTTGAACCCAAGCACAAAAGTGGACATTTTCTCCTGCATCTTTGGGCCTTCATTCTGAAGCCTCTCATGTATACGCACCAAATAAATGTGTATGCCTTTTCTCCTATTAATCTATCTTTTGTGAATTGATTTTTCAGTGAAACTTCAGGTGGCCAAGGGCCTTGGCCCCTGCATCAGCATTGCCATGCCTGAGTTTCTCTGTGTGTCTGTGGCTCTGCTCGGTCACCATGTCTCTGCCCACCTTTGCTGACTCCCTCTCTGTGGCTTCTTCTCCCTGCCACCATCTTTCCCTCCCACAGAACGGCTGCGCTTCCCCTTGCCGATGGCCTCGTTGTCCGCACTCAAGGATATGGGCCTCAATAGCACCTGCACGCATTTGTTGCTACCTCTTCATTGTTTTCCTGGTGGCAGACCAGCTTTTCCTCTCTACTCCTCAGGGATTTATTGCAGATGGGTTTTTTTTATCTCCTCTATCTGGGGTGTCTGCCCTTCCCTTCGTGTCCCTTCCCCCAATCCTAGAACCTCCAGTGGTGGTGACTTCTAGAGATCAGGGGGAAAAGCTCAAGATCAGGGCAGGAGAAAAACCTCCAAAGTCCCAAGATAGGATCTTCAGAAGCAGCCTGAGGATCCTCCTTCTGTGAAGTGTGGTGCATGCAGGGAGGGGATGGATATGTTAACACATGCCACACATACAGGGTGACATGCTACATGGGAAGAACATGTGCTCAGCCTCCGAAGTCATCAGGAAAGTTCATACACCCTGCGTTGGGGACACGTGAACACCATGAGGGCCATTTATTTGAGAGCATACAGGTCCCACCTGTGCAAGGCAAATCCCAGCCTCCCAAAGTGCTGGGATTACAGGTGTGAGCCACTGCACGAAACAGCTGATCTATGCATTGGAGGACATGGTGTTTGAGGATGCAGATGTAAATGTTGCGGGAGAGGGGAATGTACAGAGTATTCAGCCATTTGTTCTGACTAAATGAACTCTTCACTGCCTCCTTGCCTGTTCCATGTGACTTGCAGGGCCTCCCTGCAGGAAGGGATATCATTTCCCACCCCAATGACATCAGGCATGGCCATGGAACATCAGGCTTCAGCCAAGGGAGTGTGCACAGAAGTGACACATGCCACATCTGAACAGAAGCTTCTAGGGTCATATTGCTCTGCCTTTGCTCCTTTTCCTCTGCCCCAGGAACCGCATGCTCTAGACAGGGCCTCCTCCTTCAGCCCAGCTACCAGAATGAAAAGACATGAGGAACAGACCTGGGATCTGACTTGCAGATAATAGGTAAAGTAAGAGTAACATAAACGTGTGTTGTTTGTAAGCCACTGGCACTTGTGGAATTTGGGGGTCATTTGCTAGTGCAGCATGACCTAGTGAAAGCTGAGTGAAACATTCCATGTAGCCGCATGGCCCTAAGTACTCTCCACATGCTGATGGCTTTTTTTTTTTTTTTTTTTTTTTTGAGACAGAGTCTCGCTCTGTCACCCAGGCTGTAGTGCAGAGGCACAGTCTCGGCTCACTACAACCTCCACCTCCCAGGTTCAAGCAAGTCTCCTGCCTCAGTCTCCTGAGTAGCTGGGACAACAGGCATCCACCACCATGCCCGGCTAATTTTTGTATTTCTAGTAGAGGCAGGGTTTCACCATGTTGGCCAGGCTGGTCTCGAGCTCCTGACCTCAAATGATCCACCCACCTCAGCCTCCCAAAGTGCTGGGATTACAGGCGTGAGCCACAGCACCCGGCCTGATGGGTCTTTTATATCTATCTCCAGGCACATCTTTTTCTCTGAGCTTCAGACCCATCTATCCAACTGTCAGTTCCAGTCTTCACTTGGGTATCTAACAGGCAGATCAAACATAACTTTGGCACATAACTCTTGATTTTACTACCAACCATCCTCGTAAATCTGCTCCTCCTCAAATCTTCTCCAAATGACCTGTCAGATTTACCTCCAAAACCTCTAGTCAAAGCCCCATTATTGTCTATCTAGCCTACTGCAACAGCCCCCTAACAGGTCTCTCTACCTCACATACAGCTGCCACAGTTGTCCTTCTGTACAGTGTAAATCAGATCACATCATCGAGGCTTTCCATGGCAATTAAAATTAAAAAAAAAAAATTCTCACCAAGGCCAACGGTGTTTGATCTGATCTGCTACTAAATAGGTATTTAATGATGATGATAATAATAATTGCTTAATTTTATGTCATTTTGACTGGGCCACTGGGTGCACAGATATTTTGTTAAATGTTATTCTGGGTGTGTCTGTGAAGAAGTTCCTGGATGAGATTAACATTCGAATCAGTAAACTGAGTAAAGCAGATTGCCCTCTCCAATTTGTTCATCTGGGCTTCATCCAATCTGTTGGAGGTCTGAATAGGACAAAAAGGCTGAGTTAAAGAGAATTCACACTCTTTCTGCCCTACTGTCTTCAAGCTGGGACACTGGTCTTCGCTGCTGCCTTAAGATTCAGACTGGAAATTAACCATCAGCAATCCTGACTGTCTCTCTGTGGCTTCTCCTTTCTGCTATCTTCTTTTCCTCCTACAGAAAAGCTGCCTTTCCCCTTGCTGATGGCCTCAAGGACATGGGCCCTCAATAGCACTCAACAGTCTCTGACCTTTGGACTCAGGCCAAAACTACACTATCAGCTCTCCTGGGTCTCCAGCTTGTCAACTGAAGATCATGGGACCTCTCAGCCTTCATAACCATGTGAGCCAATTCCTTATCATATAGAAGACATGTATATTTATGTGATAAGGAATATATTATACATAAACATATGCTATTGGTTCTCTTTATCTGGAGAACTCAGGCTAATATGATGAGGAGGAGGAGGAAGAAAGAGAAGCAGAAGAAGGAATGAGTGTGAGTGCTCAGGCCTGTTGGGGATGCTCTGTTGAGCAGACTCAGCTCGGATCTGACAGTAAATACCTGTACCATGACTAGTCTAAAACTTAAACCACCTAGTTTGCCACCAGCTCCTCGAAATTGGCCAAGAGAGGGCCCCATGTTCACAAGCCAAGTTTGCCATGTTCACCGCCTCTCTCTTCCTTTCCCAGTCCATGTCCTCCCCATCCTGCATGGTCCTCCCAGATGCCAGCCCCTTCTGCTGTATTTCCCAGAGTATAGCTGAGCTCTGGAGTGGTAAGGGAATCCTTCAACACAGACTATGGGTTTTAAGATTCAAGATATTTTTGAGCCATGATGTCACCAGAACAGTGTCCAGAGGCCCTGAGAATTGAAACCAGGAATCCAGGATCCAAGCCCAGACTTAGATGGGGACACTGGGTTCATGTTTAACGAGAGGAGATCCTATGGTTTGAATGTGGCCTCTCCATTATCCAGACATTGAAACTAATCACCAATGTAACAATATTAAGAGGTAGGGCCTTCAGGGGGTGATTAAGTCTTGAGGGTGGAGCCCTCATGAATGGAATTAAGTGCCCCTACAAAAGGACTTGATGGATGAAATTTGCTCCTCTTGACCTCTGCCTTCTGCCATGTGAGGACACAGCATCTCTCTCTTCTGGAGAATGCAGCATTCCAGGTTCCATCTTAGAAGCAGAGACCAGGCCCTCATCAGAAAACTGAACCTGCTGGAACTTTGATCTTGGAATTCCCAGCCTCTAGAGCTGTGAGAAAATACATTCCTGTTCTTTATAAATCATGCAGTCTGTGGGATTTTAACTTTACTTTAGGTTCACAGTACATTTGCAGGTTTGTTATATAGGTAAACTCGTGTCAAAAGGGTTTGGTTTACAGATAATTTCATCACTCGGGTACTAAACTTAGTACCCAATAGTTAATTTTTCTGACCATCTCTCTCCTCCTACCCTCCACCCTCAAGTAGTAGGTCCCAGTGTCTATTGTTCCCCTTTTTGTGCCCATGAGTTCTCATTATTTAGCTCCCACTTATAAGTGAGAACATGCAGTATTTGGTTTTCTGTTCCTGTGTTAGTTTGCTAAGGATAATGGCCTACAGATCCATCCATGCTCTGTGGTGTTTTGTGATAGCAGTATGAAATGGCTAAGACAGGAAAGCAAAGTCACTCGATTGCATTCAGACAACATCACCCTCTGCATCAATCCCTATTCTGGGCATTGCGGGGAGACACACAGAAAACCAAAGACTTCCCTCACTTAGAAGGGAGAGGGTAGAGACACAAGCCTAGCCTCAGTTGCTCTTGGTGTGATGCTGGAGACACTGCTGCCTTCAGAGAGCTCCCAATATGCAAGAGCCTCACAGTTCACAATGGAGGCATTGGTCCAGACCCCTTCCCTCTGACTCATCCATCCCTCAGTCCTTGCTCTTTGCTCCAAGCCTATCTGTGTCGGGCTGCCAATCTAAGGTGACTCAGGAATATCTCAGGTTGAAGACACACTCCCTCTTCTTCCCATCCCATGGGGCTTTCTGACTCCAGGCTTTGGGGAAACAATGCTCACTGGGACCTCATCTTCTCTGTCCCATGTAATTCCTGAGATATCTGCTCATCAGGCTAGTGTCCAAGCTAGTTCTGCTCCATGGAGAAGCCTGACTTTTACTCATGATTGTAGAGAAGCATCGAGAGCTCATTCCCATGGCCTACCCTACAAAGAGAAGGAACAATAATGAGAGAACACAAGTAATCAATCAGCATGAGAGCAGATTTCTTGTTGGCATTTATGTTGTCGTTATGTTTTCTTCATGGCAGCAAGGTTCTACAGTGGCATTTCTAAGGCTAATGGAAGAACATGGGGTTGAAACAAAAATACTAGTCTTTGGGGCTCTGAGGCTCCAGGGATTACTGTCGTTTTATTCAGAGTAGCTCCCCTCTTATCAGTTTTATATATTGTGGTTCCATGTGAAATGTTATTTAAAAGTGGTTCTTCCAACTAGACAAAGATTTGAGAACCACTGCTGCTCTGCTTGCTACCATATACAAGTCCTGTGCCATCACTTAAAGTGCATTATGTGACATTATAGATGTCCGTTGTCAACTTGGTGTCACCATCACATACATCATGCCACATGCCCTAGTATCTAAGTGAGCATGTCTTTTGATTTTATATTCAGTTTGTTTATAGCATGTTTTTCAAATTACAAAAGTAACACATGTTTGATTATAACAACTGAAACATACAATAAAAAGATGGTAAATTGTAGCGCCAGTCCCCACCCATGACCTCTCCTCTGATGTAAGCAGTGTTAATATCCCGTTATGTAACCTTCAAGTGGACATCTATCATGAACAATTTCAGCTGTCTCTAAAATTACTGATGCAAGAATCTGTCACCTACGATAGCAATTGGTATGAGCAAGGCAAGATATGAATATATATTTCTTGTTTTCATCCACAAGTTAACTAATTTCCAGAGGCTGTCTGGGTTTCCAACAAGGAAGAGCAACCATAGTTGACCAGTGACCATGCAGTCTAAGTGGACCAACAGATGGAAAACCCTGTCTCTGAGAGGGGTGCCCACGGTCACAATTAATGTGGGGCTATAGTTCTGGGATCGAGCAAACATTATATGTATGAGGCTGTGAGCAGTGTTCATGCACCTGGATCTCCAGGTGCTTTTTCAGAGATGGTGAAGGCTTGTGATTACGGTCTGGGTGTAAATCCCACTCTGCCATTTTTTGTGAGTGGTCAATTCACCTCTCTAAACCTCAGTTCACTCGTCTAAAAACTGGAAAGAAGAATAATACCCTATGTATCAGTCAGAGTCCAGTCAGAAACACTGAAGCCAATTCCACATAGTCCAAGTAGGAAGGGCTTTAATGAAGGGAATTAGAAGCTTCTACAGCTGTTAGAAGACCTGGGAAAGAATAGCTGGGGAAGCCACCACTGAGCACCCAAGGACACCAGTACAGCAGGCATCCAAGGTCTTACCCAAAACCCCTGGGAAGCTCTGCTGGCCTTCTCAGGCTGCAGCAATGAAGCAGGTAAAACTCAAGTGGAAGGTGCTTCAAACCTCATGTCTGCCTATTTATCTACCTACCTGCAACTAATTCTGGAGAATCACAGCCTCGCCACCTTTCCTACTTTCCAAACCTTCCCTAAGCACCTCTTTTGGCAGACTCAAACCAGGAGCCATATGGCAAAAGGCATTCTGGGAAATGTAGGTCTCATCTCCTCTTCCACAAAGCAAGGGACACCTGATGACAGGTGGTGGTGATGCCAGATGAACAATCAACAACCTAGCACAACCTACTGCATAGGCTTTTTATGAGATTAAATGCAATAATGCAGAGACAAAGTCTTAACAAAGTGCTTGGTGCACAGTTAATGCTTAATAACTGGCAGTTATTATAATTCTTTTTATAATTTTGATTGCAGAAATGGTGGCTTTCCACCTCGCCCAGCACACTCACTCCATTTCATGCTACAGAAAATCCTAGGCATTGGGGTTCCTGTCAAAAGATACATTTCCCATTGTCTCACACCACTCAGCAGGTCCCATCACTTCTTTTTCCGATCCGATTATAATGGCAACATTTGTAAATTGCTGAACCTCTAATTCCCCATAAGCATGTAGCCTGACTCAATGTATTCAAATCAATTACACAGAAAGGCATGAACTAAATTCTCTACTTCTGTATCCTGGTTTTACATTTCATAGTGATTGTACTTGAAATCACCACCAAAAAAAGAGCATTATGCTACAGGTGTGTCTTCTTCATCATAAATCAATCAAGGCATGAGGAGATCCAATAATAACCCTATTTATGAACAAGCAGTTCTAGCCTCACAATTACTATCACCAAACATTTCAGAATAATGAAACGTTTCCAATGAGAATTAATTTAAAAAGACCAAAATGCATGCAAACTTACTTCCATGAAACTTAAATTCAAACCATCCCATGGGTAACCAAATTATACTTGTAAAGAACTCAAATTGATTGGACTTCAAAATTCAAAATTCAATTGTAGAAAATAAAATAGGTTATAAACCGCAAAGGCCTTTGCCAAGCCATCCCCTGCTCTGAAGCACAATCCAAACATCACATGGTCACACGTCAGTGCTGCCTGCAAAGAAATCCATTTTACAAACAAACTTAGGGTAATAGGACCCAGATCTGTAATGCCTTATCCTGATTAATGACGGACCCACACACTGTTATATCCATGGTCACCAAGAGAAAAGCTAACATTCTTGGAAGCAGCATTACTCTTAAAATTGCAATAATCTCCAGGGAAAATAACCCAATTTAAACTTATTCCCTCTTTAGCTAGAATGTGTTTAACTCTTTTAAACTTGTTCTTTGCTGTTACCTGTGTCCTTCAAAGACATGCCCCTTGTTATTCTACGTAACTCCCTTCACTCAGACCTTCAATAATTGCAAAAGCAATTTAACCCCCAGTTTACCATGATACTATTAAAGAGTAAAATAGTCAGTAGCCCAAAGAAATTCTTAGGAAGCCAACACTTTCAATTGGCATGCTTTTTTTAGACCCTAAATTCATATGCATAAATATGCATTCGTTCAGTCTGTCAACCCACGTCTAGGTAATGGTTGAATAAGTTAGAGGAGCTCTCTGACGTCAGGGAACTTACATTCTAGTCAGAAGAGGCAGATACATGAATCAACAAACAAGACCATTCAGGATGCATACGCATTGATCTGAAAGTCTCTTCACTTCACTTGCCTGAGCTGAGGTGGGACCACAATCTTTGAAGAACCAAAGAAGGAGAGTTCTCAGAAGAGGTTATAGCAAGTGCAAAGGTCCTGTGGCAGGAAAGAGCTTGCCAGGCTCAGGAGGTGGAAACATACATTGCCAAATACAAATACACACACAACATATACACCAACACACACCAAAGACTTTCTACAAGGTTTCATTAAATACTGAGTGGGTACAAAAGATATTTATAAAACATGTCTGCTGTACAAAGAATAACAATAAAGGGAACATTCGTGTATCCCACCATCCAGTTTAGAAATGAAAGCGTGACCATCAAGCATGACCTCTTTGATCTGATTGCCTCTCTTCGTAACCCAGAGAAATGCTAATCTGAATTCATTCTCCAATGTTTTTTTTCTTTATCACCTTATATCCTGAACAATATATTGTTTAATACG
Organism: Homo sapiens; assembly: GCF_000001405.40. Classification (NCBI taxonomy): domain Eukaryota; kingdom Metazoa; phylum Chordata; class Mammalia; order Primates; family Hominidae; genus Homo; species Homo sapiens. The sequence continues at coordinate 34,668,618 of NC_000001.11, forward strand.
TTTTTGATCTCTAAGACTAGAATCTTGCAGTTATGTAGGTTTGTATGGCTTGGGGTTTTTGTAGCCAAGTCAAAGCTATGATAAATTTGTTTCTGAAATTTTTGAGTGAAAGAGTTAATAATTTTTAATTAGAATTTGTTATTGAGATAATTATAAATTCATATGCAATTCTGTGTACCATTTATCCAGTTTCCCCCAGTGGTAACTGATATGGTCTGGCTGTGTCCCCACCCAAATCTCATCTTGAGTTGTAGCTCCCATAATTCCCACGTGTTGTGGGAGGGACCCAGGGGGAGATTATTGAATCACGGGGGTGGTTTCCCCCATACTGTTCTCATGGTAGTGAATAAGTCTCACAAGGTCTGATGGTTTTATAAGGGGAAACCCCTTTCACTTGGTTCTCATTTCTCTCATATCTGCCACCATGTAAGACGTGCCTTTCACCTTCTGCCATGATTGTGAGGCCTCCTCAGCCATGTGAAACTGTAAACCCATTAAACCTCTTTTCCTTTATAAACTACCCAGTCTCAGGTATGTCTTTATCAGCAGCATGAGAAGAGACTAATACAATAACATTTTTAAAACACTAGTACAATATCATAACCAGGATATTGACATGATACAGCTCACCAGTCTTACCCAGATTTCTCCAATTTACTTGTATCATTTGTGGTCTGTGTGTGTGTGTGTGTGTCCATCACTAAAGTCAAGACATCAGCCAGTCCATCACCATGAGGATCCTTCATGTTGTGCCTTTATAACCACCTCCCTCCACCTCACCACATTCTTAACCCTCAACAACCACTAATCCCTTCTCTATCTGTAACATTTGTCATTTCAAAATGTTATATAAATGTAATCATACATATGTAGCCTTTGGCATTGACTTTTTTCACTCATAATAATTCCCCAAAGATTCATCCAAGTTGTTTGTAATCAATAGCTTGTTGCTTGTTTATTGCTGAGTAGTATTCCATCCTGTGTATATACCACAGTTTGTCTAACCAGTCACCTGTTGAAAGGCATCTTCAACCAACAGGCAAAAGGTTAAACAAACTGTGGTATATTTGAATGGTTAAACAAACTGTAGTATATTCGACTATTACAAATAAAGCTGCTGTGAACACTTGGCTATTGCAAATAAAGCTCCCCAGGTTTTTGTGTGGACATAAGTTTTTATTTCCCTGGGATAAACACCTGAGGGCGCTACTGCTGGGTCATAGGCATGCTGGGTTTTATAATTAGCTGCCCTCTGTTTTCTAGGCTAGATCTACAATTTTACATCCCATCAACAATATATGAACAAGCCTATTTCTCTACATCCTTGCCAATGTTGGGTGTTCTCATTTTTTTTTTATTTTAGCAATTCTGATAGATGCATAGTGATATGTTATCATGGTTTTAATTTGCATTACCCTTATGTTGAACATATTTCATGGATTTTTTTTGCCATTTGAATAACTTACACTATGGAATATCTATTCATGTGTTTTGCCCATGTTCTAGTAGATTACTTGTTTTCTTTTTACCATTGAGTTTTGAGAGCTCTTATATAATCAAGATTCTAGTCCTTTTCAGGTGTGTGATTTGAAAATATCTTCTCCTACTCAGCAACTTGTCTATAGCTTGCTTTTTTACCCAAGATTATTGTCCTCAGTTTTATCTATGCAGATGGATTTTTTTGGTTTTGTTGCTGTATCATTCTACTATTGTTTTGTATTTTGCTGTATCATTATACTATTGATGGACATTGCTTATTGTTCTGCTTTCACAAGCCATGTTACCATGGGCTTTCTTGATGTGTCCACTGCTGCACCTATATAAGTTCTCTAAGGTATAGACCTAGTAACATTTCTGGATCACAGGGTATGTGCATTATTAATGTTATTAGATAATGCTGAATTTATGCCAAAGAAATTTCATCACTTAGAACTGCCACCAGCAGTGTAAAAGTTCCTATTACTCCATGCCTTTGCTAGCACTTGATCTTATCAGACTTTTTTTCAATTTTAACAATGTAATGGGCATATAATGATATCTATTTCATTTGTATTTCCCAAGTTACAAATAATCATACAAATAAATACAAATAGTTCCTTTACTTCCCTGGTGAAACTGAATATTCAGTCTAGACATTCAGATTTCCTGTTTCATTAAGTGTCTATTTAAGTTACTTTGCCCATTTTCGTATTGAGTTGTGTATTAGTCTGTTTTCACACTGCTATAAAGATACTACCTGAGACTGAGTAATTTATAAAGAAAGGGGTTTAATGGACTCACAGGGAAAGCCTCAGGAAACTTATAATCATGGCAGAAGGCAAAAGGGAAACAAGGCACATCTTCAAAAGGCAGTAGGAGAGGGAGAGAGAAAGAAGGAGAAAGAGCCACTTATCAAACAACCAGATCTCATGAGAATTCACTCACTACCACGAGAACAGCACGGGGGAAACTGGCCCCCTTGATCCAATCACCTCCCACCAGGTTCCTCCCTCTGTTGGCAGTGGCCGCTGCCATCATGCAGGCTGCAGCAGGGAGGCACCACCCCAGGGCTGCACACTCCGTGAGGCAGGCAGGAGCTGGTGACAAGTGGGAGCCCCACCCCTTTTGAGTTGGCAAGGCGGGAGTTCCCTAGGTGCAGCTGTGGCCACCCTCCCAAGCGCAGGACCCGAGAGTCTCTGCAGTCTTCACTCTTGGGGGCCTCAGAAGTCCCCCCCAACCCCCTGGCCCCACAGGCTCTAGAGTGTCTGCTCCTGCTGCCTGGCCTCTCCACTCCTGGCACCCTACTCCAATCTTGGAGCCAGGTTGGGGCCTATCCTGGGCACTGGCACAGCCTGGCCAGGTGTGCACATGCTTGGGGCAGTGCTGACATGCCAGTACCCTGCTACCTCGGCCTCCTCCAGAATTTGGGCAAAATGAGCATGAGAGGAGAAACTGAGGGGGAGGGCTGAGGGTGGCTTGGCACTGGCCTGCAGGTGCCTTTTGGTGCAAGCAGCCTGGGCACCATAGGCACCATGGATGGCAGCAGGAGGCAGACAGGCTCCTGGATTGAAGGGAGTGGATCCCTAGTAAGGCCCTACCTTTAGGCCAGGGATGGCCTGAAGGCTGGGGGCTGAGCAGTAAGTCCCGCAGATCAAAGTGGGGACTTGCAGTGCCTTTCAGGCCTGCCCATGGCCACCCATGGACCAACTGACACACACTTCCTCCCCTCTGACATCCGTAAAAGCCCCAGGCTCAGCTAAAGCAGGGTAGAGGATGGAGAGATGATGGGATGACCAACTTCAGAGAGGAGCTATCCTCTCTGCTGAGAGCTGGGAAGAAGAGAGGAAGACTTGCCTGTAGAGAGGAGCAACTTTCTCCAGAGCCTCCTCTCTGTTGAAAGCAGCAGACATCAGGATGACTGGCTGCAGAGAGGAGCTACCCTCTCCAGGGCCTCCTCTCTGTTGAAAGCAGCAGACATTGGGATGACCACCTGCAGAGAGGAACTACCATCTCCAGGGCCTCCTCTCTGTTGAGAGCTGAACCCCTGACAGGACAAGGATGACCAGCTGCAGAGAGGAGTTACCCTCTCTAGAGCCTCCTCTCTCTTGAGAGCTGAACCCTTAATGGGACAACCTGCCAGCAGAGAGGAGCCACAGACCCCAGGGCCTCCTCTCTGCTGAAAGCTGAACACTCAACGAGATGACCTGCCTGCAGAGAGGAGCTATCCACCACAGGTCTCTTCTGAGCATTCTAACACTCAATAAACCTCCTCTTCATCGTGTTTACCCTACACTTGTCTGTGTACCTCATTCTTCCTGGACACAGGACAAGACCTCAGCAAAGGTGCCACCAGCCACAGAGGTTTCTGGCCAATTGATACCCCAAAGATCCCTTAACACCTCAACACATAGGGATTACAATTCAGCTTACATTCAATATGAGATTTGGGTGGGGACACAGCCAAACCATATATCAGGTTGTCATTTTCTCATTGGCTTGCAGGAGGTTTTTTGTTTTTTGTTTTTAACATATTCTCAATGCTAATCTTTCCCACTTATTTGTGTTACAAATCTTTTCTTATAGCGTGTGCTTTTTCTTTTTATTTCTGTTAGAGTGTCTTTTGACAAACAAAAGTTTGTAACATAGTCACATTTTTCATACCTGTTTGTGTGGCTCCTACTTTTGGATTTTAAGAAATCCTTACCTATCCTGAGGTCATAAATGCACCCTGCCTCTCTATTTACAGTATTTAAGAACATAAACTCCCAAGCCAAACTGCCTAGGTTCAAATCCTAGTGATGAAAACTTGATCAACTTATTTAACCTCTTTGTGGCTCAATTTACTCAAATGCAAAGTGGAAACGATATTAGTACCTACATCATATACATGCTCTGTTGGACTAAATAACCTCTGTTGAAAATAGTCTGGAACATAGTATTATGTGCTATCATCATAATCATCATCACCAAGCTTTAGAATATTGACATTTACATTTAAAGTTTTAGCAATCTACAATTTATTTTTATATATGGTTTGAGGCATTATCCCAACATTTTTATGGCAAATTATCAATTTACCCAATACAGTTTTGTAAATTGAGTCTTTCCTTACTGAACTGTAGTACCAGCTCTGTCATAAATCAAGTTTCCCTTTGTATTAGGTATTAGGAGCTGTTCTGAGATTTCTATTTTCTTCCATTGGTCTGTCTATTCCTAAGACAGTGCCACTCTGTTTTAATTTCTATAGTGTTGTAATGCTTTTTGATAAACTAGTTCTCCACCCTCTTCTTCTTTAGCAGATTTTGACTATTCTTTACCCCTTATTCTTTCATACATATTTTAGAATCAGTTTTTCAGAATCTTTGATAAAGAAACCTATTGAATTCTAACTGAAATTGCATTGAATCTATGTTTGAATCAATTTGGAAAAAAAGAAATTTTTACATTATTGTCTTTCAATCTATGAACTCAGCCTTTTTCTTATTTATTTATTTATTTATTTATTTATTTATTTATTTATTTTTGGCAGAGTCTTGCTCTTGTTGCCCAGGCTGGAGTGCAATGGCACAATTTTGGCTCACTGCAACTTTTGCCTCCTGGGTTCAAGCAATTCTCCTGCCTCAGCCTCCAGAGTAACTGGCATTACAGGCACCTGCCACTATGCCCAGCTAATTTTTGTATTTTTAGTAGAGATGGGGTTTCAGCATGTTGGCCAGGCTGGTCTTGAACTCCTGAACTCAGGTGATCCACCCGCCTTGGCCTCCCAAAGTGCTGGGATTACAGGATGAGCCACTGCACCCAGCCAGCCTACTATTACTTTATCATTTTTTAATGTTTTCAATATTTTTTATATGTTCTCCATAAAGTTTTCATACATATTTTTTAGATTTACTCCTAGATATTTTATTGGAGATACTGTAAATGGTATCTATTCTTTGCCTCTTATTTCTTCATATATATTTTAGAATCAGTTTTTCAGAATCTCTGAAAAAGAAACCTATTGAATTTTAACTGAAATTGCATCAAATCTATGTTTGAGTCAATTTGGGAAAACAGAAATTTTTACATTATTGCCTTTCAATCCATGAAACTAGCCCACTATTATTTTATCACTTTCTAATGTTTTCAATAGTTTTTATATTTTCTCCATAAAGTTCCTGTACATATTTTTTTAGATTTACTCCTAGATATTTCATTTCATTGGAGGTACTGTAAATGGTATCTATTTTGAAGTAAAATTTGGACTGCTTATTGCTGATGTAGAAAATGCAGTTAACTTTTTGCACTGGTTTTATATCCAGAGACCTTTTATTAATTTAATAATGTATCTGCATATTCATGGAGGGTTTCTATGTTTATAAGCTAACATTTTAAAGTGATAACAATATGATTTTTCTTCGTGATCTGTATTTCCTCTGTGTGTTTGTGTGTGTGTGTTATTTGCCTTGTTTCATTGGCTAGGGCCTTTAGCATATTGCTGAAGAGATGTGGTGATAGCAGACGGCTTTGTATTGTTTCTTATCTTAAAGGGAATGATTTCAGTGCTTCGCCTTTAAATAAGATATTTGGGGTTGGGCGCGGTGGCTCACACCTGTAATCCCAGCACTCTGGGAGGCCGAGGCGGGCAGATCACGAGGTCAGGAGATCGAGACCATCCTGGCTAACACAGTGAAACCCCGTCTCTTCTAAAAATTACAGAAAATTAGCCAGGTGTAGTGGCGGGCGCCCGTAGTCCCAGCTACTCAGGAGGCTGAGGCAGGAGAATGGCGTGAACCTGGGAGGCGGAGCTTGCAGTGAGCTGAGATCGCGCCACTGCACTCCAGCCTGGGTGACAAAGCGAGACTCCGTCTCAAAAAAAAAAAAAAAAAAGATATTTGGTATAGGTTTTTTGTAAGTGTCCTTTATCAGGTGAGAACATTTTCTTCTATCCCTGGATTACAAAGACTTCTTTAAAAGATCATAAGTGAATATTAAATTTTATTATATTTTTGTATCTATTAAAATGATTGATATGGTTTAGATTTATGTCCCCACTCAAATCTCGTGTCAAATCAGAGGAGAGGCCTGGTGGAAGATGATTGGATCATAGGTGCAAATTTCCTTCTTGCTGTTCTTGCGATAGTGAATGAGTTCTCACTAAAATTGTGTGGCACTTCCCCCTTCGCTCGCTCTCTCTTCTGCCACCATGTGAACAAGGTTGCTTGCTTCCCCTTTGCCTTCTACCATGATTGTAAGTTTCCTGAGGCCTCTCAGTCATGCTTTCTGTTAACCCTGCAGGACTGTGAGTCAATTAAACCTCTTTTTTTTCATAAATTATCCAGTTTCAAGTAATTCTTTATAGCAGTGTGAAAACAGACTAATACAATGCTCACATTGCTTTTCTTCTTTATCTTGTTAATGTAAGGAATCACATTGATTTTTTATGCTTTAATGCTTCCCCAATCTTACATGCCTTAGGTAAACTAGCTTAGGGCATATTATCATTTTTCTACATTGTAGGATTTTGTTTACCAACATTCGGTTTAGAATTATGTGTCAATGTTCTTAAGTAAAATTTGCCTGCAATTTTCTTCTCACACTATCATTGTCAAGATTTAGTGTTAAAATTATACTGGCTTTATAAAATGGGTTGGGGCATATTTGTATTTCCTCTTTATCTATATTATAGACTAGCTTGTGTAAGATTGAAAATATCTATCTCCTGAATGTTTGGTAAAACTCACAAGTAAAATCATTTGGGAGGATCTGATTTTTCTTTAGGGTACATTTGTAAACTAATCGTTCCATTTATTTAATAATTATAGTGCTGTTTGTTTCATATTTCTTCTTGAAACCATTTCTGTAGCTTATATTTCTTTAGAAATTTTTCCATTTCATCTAAGTTTTCCAAAATATTAGCTTAAAGTTGTTAATTATCTTTTAAATATCTGCAGCATCAGTAAATATGTTTGCTTTTTTTATTCCTTACATTGCTTTGTCTGTCTTCTTTCTTTTTCCTTGCTCAATCTTGTCAGAAATTTTTCAACTTTATTAGTTTCTCAGAGAAAGAACTTTTGGCTGCATTAAGCCTCTTCATTGTGCATTTGATTTTTATCTCATAAGTGTTTCTTTTTAAAAAAAAATGTTTCCTATGTTCTGCTTTTTTGGATTATTCTTATGTTATTCCTTTTTAAATTCTTCAGTTGAATATTTAGTTCAGTGGTTCTCAATCAGGGACAATTTTGGCCCCTATGGGACATTGAGCAATGTCTGAAGATATTATTTGGTTGTCACAACTGGGGGAAGAATGATATTGGTATCTAGTGAGTAGTCACCAAGGATGCTGCTAAACATCCTACAGTGAGCAACACAGCCCCAGAAACAAAGAATTATCCAGCCCAAATGTCAAGAGTGCTGAAGTTGAGAAGCCCTGGTCTAGCTTATTAATCTTCAGCTTTTATTCTTTTCTAATGAGACCACTCAATGCTAAAAATTTCCTGTTGAGTACTGCTTTAGCTTCTTACCATAACTTTTTTTTTTAAATACAGTAAAATTTGCTTTCTTTTTGGTGGACTCTTGTATGAGCTTCAATATGCATTCACCACACTCAAGATATAACACGGGTTCATCACCCCAGAAAATGCTCTCATGCTGCCCCTTTGTGTCAAACTCTTCCCCTACCACTGATCCACTCTCCATACCTATAGCTTTCTAGAATTTCATGTCAATGTAATAATAGAATATGTTTGTTTTGAGACAGGGTCTCACTCTGTTGCCCAGTCTGGAATACAGTGGTGCAATCACAGCTCACTACAGTCTCAGACCCCTAACTCAACTGATCCTCCCGCCTCAACCTCCAGAGTAGCTGGGACTACAGGTGCACCCTACCACACCTGGCTAATTTTTTTTATTTTTTGTGGAATCAGAGTCTTACTGTGTTACCCAGGCTGGTCTTGAAAGTCTTTCAGAATATACATAACTCTGGAAATGTCTTCTTTAACTCAGCATAAAGCCCTTGAGATGCATTCACACTATTGCATAAATCAATAGCTCATTCATTTTTTATTGCTGTGTAGTATTCTATTGTACGGATGTACTATGGTCTGATTATCCACTTACACATTAAAGGACTTTGGGCTTGTTTCCATTCTTTTGGTGTATCGAACTGCTATTTGTGAACAGATCTTTTTATGTAAACACTGTTTTCATTTCCTCAAGTACTCAGGAATAGGATAACTGGATCATATCATAAGTATATGTTTATAAGAAATTGTCAAACTGTTTTCCAGAGTGGCTGTACCATTTTCATTCCCAGCAGCAATGTATGAGAATTCCAGTTGCTCCACATACTCATCAGCATTTGATATTATTAGGTTTGGGTTTTTTAATATAATTTTGTCCATTTGATAGATATGTAGTCATTTTGGTTTTAATTTTCATTTCTCCAATAGCTAATAATCTTGAGCATCTTTCCCTGTGTTGATATGCCATTGATATTGTTTCTTTAGTGAGATGTCTGTTCAAATCTTTGGGTTTTTAATTTGATTATTTGTTTTCTTGCTACTGAGTGTTTTAGCAATTTTACTGAGGTCTAACTGAATACAATAAACTTCAGATAGAAAATGAACAATTTGGTAAGTTTTACCCACTCATGAAACTATTATCAAAATCAAAACCAATAGTTATAGTGAACATAACTATTAACCTAAAATTTCTTTGGAATCTCTCCTTCTCTTCTCCCCTTCCCCAATTCCAAGCAACCATTGAGCTTTCATTTTCTAGAAATTTTCTAAGCTTGCATTTTCTAGAAATTTATAAAAATGAAATCATGGTATAATTCTTTTTGCTTGGCTTCTTTCATTTAGCAAAATCATTTTTGAAGTTCCTTCATGTAGTTGTGTGTATGAGTAGTTCGTTCCTTTTTATTTCTTAGAATTATTCTATCTATGGGCTTACTTCAATTTACTTTTCCATTCACTAGTTAATGGACACTCAGGTTTTTTGTAGTTTAGGACTACTATTTGAAAATAAGTGCTATAAGCTGATATAAATGTTTATGTAAAACTCTCTGTATGAACATAAACTTTCTTTTGTGCAAATCGGAGTAAAATGCAAGCTTATATAGAAGGTACATGCTTAAGTTTTTAAGAAACTGCCCAACTATTTTCCAAAGTGGTTTCCATTTTACATTGCCATTTAGAAGTGTATGAGAGTTCCAGTTCCTTCACGTCCTGGCCAACACTTGGTATGGTTAGTCTTTTTAATTTTAGCCATCCCAATGGGTGTGTGGAAAATCTCATTAGGTTTTAATGTGTATTTTCCCAATAATTAATGATTTTGTACACCTTTCATATGCTTATCTTCCATGACATATCTTTTTTGGTGAAGTGTCTGCTTATATCTGTTGCCTATTTTCTATTGGGTTGTGTTCTTGTTATCAAGTTTTGAAAGTTCTTTATATATTCTGGATACACGTCTTTTATCAGATATATGCGGTGCAAATATTTTCTCCTAGTTTTTGTCTGTCTTTTGATTCACTTAGCAGTATCTTTTGAAGAGCAGAAGTTTTTAATGTTGATGAGTTCCAATTGAGCAATTTTCTCCTTTACAGGTTATGCTTTGGGCAACCTATCTAGATATCTTTGTCTAATTCAAGGTCACAAAAATTTGTCTTTGTCATAGCATGTGTCTTCCTTTTAGTTATGCAAATTTCTACCTCTGGCTTGAATTCCTCCCCAGAAAATGGGTTTTTCTTTTATACCACATGGCCAAGCCGCAAATTTTCCAATCTTTTATGCTCTGCTTCCCTTTTAAATATAAGTTCCAGTTTCATGTCTTTTATTTGCTCAATCCATTTTGCTCACACATATGGACATAAGCTGTTATAAGCAGCCAAGTCACATCTTGAGCACTTTGCTGCTTAGAAATTTTTTCCACCAGATCCCCTAAATCATCACTCTCAAGCTCAACATTCCACAGATCCCTGGAGCAGGGGCACAATATTTTAAACAACCAGATCTTGTGAGGACTTCATCACAAGAACAGCACTATGGGGATGTTGCTATGCCATTAGAAACTGCCTCCCATGATCCAATTACCTCCCACTAGGCTCCACCTCCAGCACTGGGGATTACATCATTTCAACATGAGATTTGAGTGAGGACACAGATCCAAACCACATCATTCCACCCCGGCCCCTTCCAAATCTCATGTCCTTCTCACATTTCAAAATCCAGTCATGCCTTTCCAACAGCCCCCAAGTCTTAACTCATTCCAGCATTAACTCAAAAGCCCATAGTCCAAAGTCTCATCTGAGACAAGATTAGTCCTGTCTGTCTATGAGCCTGTAAAATAAAAGACAACTTAGTTACTTCCAAGATACAATGGGAGAATAAGCAGTGGGTAAGTACGTCCATTTGAAACAGGAGAAAGTGGCCAAAAGAAAGGGTCTACAGGCCCCATGCAAGTCTTAAACCCAGCAGGGCAATCATTAAATCTTAAAGCTCCAAAATGATCTCTTTTGACTCCATGTCACACATCCAGGACATGCTGATGTAAGGAGTGGGCTCCCAAGGCATTGGGCAGCTCTATACCTGTGGCTTCTCTCAAGGGCTGGTGTTGAGTGTCTATGGCTTTTCCAGAAGCACAGTGCAAACTGTGAGTGAATCTACCATTCTGGGATCTGGAGGACAGTGGCCTTTCTCTCACAGCTCCACTGGGCAGTGCCCCAGTGAGAACTCTGTTGGGGGGAGCTCCAACCCCACATTTCCCCTCTACACTGCCCTAGTAGAGGTTCTCCAAGAGGGCTCTGCCCCTGCAGTAGGCTTCTGCCTGGACATCCAGGCTTTTCCATGCATCCTCTGAAATCTAGGCAGAGGCTCCCAAGCTTCAACTCTGCACTTTGTGAACCTGCAAGCTAACACCACTTGAAAGCCATGAAGGCTTATGGTTTGCACCCTCTGAAGCAGTAGCCCGAGCTGTACCTGGGCCCCTTTGATCCAAGGCTGGAGCTGGAACAGCTGGGATGCAGAAGACAGTGTCCTAGGGCTGCACAGGGTGGAGGGGCCCTGGGCATGGCCCACAAAACCATTCTTCCCTCCTAGGCTTCTGGGCCTGTGATGAGAAGGGCTGCCGTGAATGTCTCTGAAATGTCTTGAAGGCCTTTTCCCATTGTCTTGGCTATCAGCACTTGTCTTCCTTTTAGCTATGCAAATTGCTGCAGCTGGCTTGAATTCCTCCCCAGAAAATGGGTTTTTCTTTTCTATCACATGGCCAAGCTGCAAACTTTCCAATATTTTATGTTCTGCTTCCCTTTTAAATATAAGTTCCAGTTTCATGTCACTTATTTGCCCACAAATATGGACATAGGCTGTTAGAAGTAGCCAGGCCACATCTTGAGCACTTTGCTGCTTAGAAATTTCTTCCACTAGATACCCTAAATCATCACTCTCAAGCTCAAAGTTCCACAGATCCCTAGAGCAGGAGCACAACACAGCCAGGCTGTTTGCTGATAGTGATATGGGGAGGCCGCAGGAAATTTTCAATCATGGTGGAAGGTAAAGGGGAAAGCAGGCACATCTTACATGACCAGAGCAGGAGGAATAGAAAGATGGGGGAGGTGATACATACTTTTAAACAACCAGATCTTGTGAGAACCCTGTCATGAGAACAGCATTAGGGGAATGGTGCTAAACCTTTAGAAACGGTCCCCATGATCCAATCACCTCCCACCAGGCCCCACCTCCAGCATTGGGGGTTACATTTCAACATGAGATTTGGGTGGGGACAACGATCCAACTCACTAAGTTACAGGTTTCTTGGGGGAGAAACTTGTACCTCACATTCCTCATCTGAAAAATCAGTCTAAGAGATCCTTCCTTGTATGAGTTCTTGGAAGATTGAATGTGATAATGTATGTAAAAAAGCCAGGCACACTGTCTGGCACATGCAAAGTATAAACAATAACATCCACAGTAATTTTTCACTGTTGTATCTTCAGTACCTAACCCAGTGCTCAACAAATATAATTTAAATAATCGATAAACTCTGTCTGTGAAAGTATTTGTAGTGTGTAAACCCCCACACAGGTCAGACGTGTCGTTTGTGTTGCTTTTGTTGTCACGTGTATAGTACGGCCCTTCCCCTCCCCTGGTTCTGACCCTGTGCTCTCCACTTTCTTCGCATTTGCCATTTGTGGCCTGCTGATCTATTTGTAATCTCCCTCCTCCCTATAGTATGAGCACCTTAGGGGAAAGGACCAGCTGTGTCTTGTACATCTCTGTATTCTCCTTTCCAGCACAGTTACTGACACACAGCAATCCTCAAAACATGGTGAAACATAGTAATAAAGGGTGAGCAAAAGGAGGAGGAAAAAACTATTCTTTTTTTTTTTTTTGCCACATGCCTAAGGAAATGTGAAGCAATTCTCCAAGCCCAAACATAAGAAATGTCAAAGTTCTAATCATCCCATGATGTCTAATTTTACTTCTTCTCTTCCATTCATCCCATTTACCTGCAGAGCAACAGTGCAGGGCCCTGTATACCCTGCTGGGTTCCCCAAGCATGAGACTTTACCCACCTTCAAGCCTGACACCCAGTGGTAAAAGTGGGGAATGCAGGCTACTTTTCCAAACCACTGCAAGGCATAAGGTCTCAAAATGCTTTACCACAGTCCCTCAGGTGTCGTCAAAGACCCATGGCTTCCCTCTCTACCTGGTCCCACTTTTCAAAGGGAGAGGGAGATTTGGGAAGAGCTGTGATATCAAAAAACTGGTAAGAAACAAAACAATGATTTGTGAATTGCACAATCACAAATGAGTGGATGAATTCTGTGGTATGTGGATTCTATCTCAATAAAGATTTTTTTTTACAAAAAATTTAAGTAAAAGAACCAAGGTGGCTATCATGATTCATCACCTAATTGATCTGGTGGATTTTTACTATAAATATATTTTTAATAGTGATTTTTGGTGATCTTTAATAACATACTCAGTAAGCAACCCTTTGTGCTATATAAAAACAAACATTTGCAGATTGCACAGCATTTGTCTGTTTAAAAAAAAAAAAAGATGAAAAACAAAACAAGAACTTTGATTTTTTTAATCTGTTTATAGCCCATCAGGGGGCCCTGTGTGGGCCAAGGACCATGCCTGGAAAATCCTCAGCCTGAGTACCTAGAAAGATCTTAAGTGTCTCTAAGTACATAGCCAGAGTTTGAGTGTCTCTAAGTATTGTGGAAAGAGTTTGAATGTCACACTGGGAAAGATGACCTCAGCTCTACCTTCTCATCTAGATAATTCATAAGAATCATTGTGACAAAGTGAGAAAAATTGCCGTTAATTATTATTGAACATTTCCTACTGGTCAGGAAAAGTAAGGTAAAGGACTGCCTGGAGCCTTACACATATTATTTAATTATCATGCCGCCACCATGACCTGGACACTATTGGTATTTCTTCTTTAACATTAAGGAAACAGGCTTATTTGTTCAAAGTCACACAATCAGTAGTGGCAGAAGCTGATCTGACTTGCCTCTGCCGCACCCTGCCTTCCGGCACATCCATTTGATATCAAATTTATGGTGGAGTTGCGCCATTTTCCTTCATGCCCGCTTTATAGTACATGAGGGTATGCTGTATAATTAATGTACATAGGCTCATTTTCTAGAACTCAGCACTTGTTTTCTTGTTTTAAGATTATTGTCAAGGTTTATGGTTATTGCACCTTGACTTTATGTTCCTATGTTGCTTATATCTGTGGTTATCTGAGAGTACTGCAGAGGAAGCATGCCTCTCTTTACAGAAAACTCATCACAGCAGTGGCATCACCTGGAAAGAACAGCCATCAAAATATGGGGTGAGCCATGATTAGCTCTGCCAGAGGAAAGGAGAGACTTGGGAAACTTAGGGCTTGGAATCACAGGAATGCAGCAAGGAGTGGGCCAAGCAGGGTGGGTCTGATCAGAAAGGCTTTATATGACAGGCCAAAGGGCCTGCCTGGACTTTATCCTACAAACAAGGGATTTTTTATAGAGGGGAGTACCATAACTAGATCTGTGTTTTGAAAACATCCATCTAGACTGGGTGCAGTGGCTCATGCCTATAGTCCCAGCACTTTGGGAGGCCAAAGCAGAAGGATCTTTTGAGGCCAGGAGTTTGAGACCAGCCTGGGCAACATAGGGAGATCCTGTCTCTAAAAAAAATAATTTTAAAAAATTAGCCAGGCATGGTAGTACACGTGTGTAGTCCCAGCTACTTGGGAAGCTGAAGTAGGAGGATTGCTTGAGCCTAGGAGCTCAAGGTTGCAGTGACCTGTGATGGTGCCACTGCACTCCAGCCTGGGTGACAGAGAAAGACCCTGTGTCTAAAAATAATTAATAGTAACAATAAAAACACCCATCTTGTTTCAGGACTGGCCAGGAACTACTCTGAGGAGGGGACCGCTCTGGGTGCTGGAGTCTGACAGGCTAAAACATGTCCATAATCAGGTTTAATCATGGCTCAGGAAAGTGTCTCTGACCCAGCACTGTCGGAGATCTCGTCTCTCTTGCCCTCTGTCCTGCTTCTCCAGCTAATCCTCCTCTGTGTCCCATGCTGGCCCACACTAGCTCACATCAGCCAAGACACCCCAGGTCTGAATTCTGGCTCTGGCCTCCCCAGCTGTACACCTGTGGCCAGTTTTCTCTGTGCCTAGTGTCTTCATCCGCACAAGGAGACAACAACAGAACATACCTCATGTGATTGCTGTGAGGACTGACACGAGCAGGTGTCCAGGAAGCCCTTAGAAGGGAGCCTGGCACAAGGTAAGCATGATATCAGCTGTTGCTCTGATCCCAATTACTCAGACCAGACAGCCTAGAATCACTGCTGATACAAATTCTCAGACTTCCTACCAGCTCTTGATCAAAGATTGGACTTTCAGATGAAGACTTCGCCCCTGGTATTTCTGTAGCTCTCTTTCCATTTATTCTTCCTGCTACTGAAAGGTGTTCATGTAAATGCCAGGACTATACCTCTGCTCAGATTTCTGCACTTAAATCTGTGCAGCTGTCTGGAAACTCCTGGGGATACCTTCCTCTGAGTTATTGTCTCTTTATGCTGCAGAAGGAGAGAACTTGGAAGGCTTCTAAGCTTGCAGTGGAAAGAGAACAACTTCCTTCCTAACCAGGAGGCTTCTCAGAAGCCAGCCATTCTATGCTACTTCTCTGATATCTCTGGTGTCAGCAGTCCCTCCCAAAACCTTGGCATGTTGATTAAAAGAAAGCAAAAACCCTGTCCCTCTACAGCTTCACCGGATGGCTGCTTTTTAACTGCTTCCTGCCCACTTTTGGATGAGTCACACGGGCCCCCCAGCTGCTCCCTTCTCTGCACTTAGGCTCCTTCCAATCAGAGAGCAGTTGCCAAGGGAACCACAGGTACCAGTCTCTCTCCGTACCCTGAATCAAGGCCTAATCTACATTGAAAGAAATTTCCATTCCGGAGCTCAGCAGATTTCAACATTTTACAACCTGCTTCAACCCTGGTTGCAGTCACTTCTTCCTTAAAGGGGCCGGTCTTCCTCCACAGTAGTTAAAACCTGTTCTTTAGCCTGAGACATTCACGGTGCAACTGAGATTTGCTTATAGGATTAATTTGGTTAATTAATCCTACTGAGATGTGAATGATAGAGTAGAAAGACAATAAAACCTGTTGGGCAGAGTCATTGCAAGGTTTAAACGAGATAATGTAGGTAAAGTGCTTGGCACAGTGTAGGAACTCAATAAAAACCCGTTCTGAGGGTGAGTGAAGACAGCTCAATGGAAGTGCTGCTAACAGGGAAAGACAGAGGGGAGCAGAGGAAGTGTTTGGGGCTCAGGCTGGGGATGCCTCTCCAATAATGCCATTTACAGGCCAGCCACTCTGCCTACCAGCAAGAAGGTCCTCCCATCCCCTGATCCTTCAGAGTCTGGATTAAATGGTTTCCTAGGAGGAACGAGAACAAGCCCTAACCACAGTAGCCTTCCCAGAACTCTCATCTGGAAATGGCATTGTGTCTAATTAATTTGTAAGTGGATTTAACTGGGCTTCCAACAAGTAAGAGCCCTTTCTTACCTTCAGGGTCCTCCATGTTACCACCTGGCGGAGGCTGCTTCCTCAGCTCTTACCCGCTGTCCATAGTGATCCAACTGCCTTCTATACACTCTACAACCACAGGAGGCTGGGAAGGCATGCTGCGTGCATAGAGACTGAAGGCTTCAAGAGCAAGCAGCCCAACCAGCCAGGAAGAAGCTTTATCTCCTTTTATGACCTAGCCTTGGAAGTCACAGACAGGCAGCTCTGCAGTTTACTCTACCTGTGTACACAGTCACAAAAGCCACTCAATTTCAAGAGGAGGGGACACAGACCTCATCTCTAAGTGAGAGTGGTGTAAAGGTCACTTCAAAGTACTATGAACTAGGTGGCTGAAACAAACAGAAATGTATTGTCTCACAGTTCCAGAGGCTAAAGTCCAAGATCAAAATGGTGACAGGGTTGGTTTCTTCTGAGGGCTGTGAGGAGAAATCCGTTCCATGCCTCTCTCCTAGCTTCTGCTGGTTTGCTGACAGTCCTTGGAGTTTCTTGGTTTATAGAAGCATCACCCAGTCTCTGCCTTCACCTTCACATGGTGTTAATTTTCTATGTCCAAATTTACCCTGTTTTATAAAAACATCAGTCATATTAGATTACATGCCAAGTCCAGCCTCTCAGAGAGGCCCAAGGACTCCCTAGCACCCCATCTTCTGTTCTGGAAAGAATGAGCTCCACTGTCTACAAAGCAGTCTCCAAAGTTCCATCTCCTCCCACCCCTGACACCAAAACCAAGCAAACAGAAAAAAGTGGGAATTAATGTGGGGTTAATGATCCCATTCCAGTATTGTATGATTCCCCTTATATGAAGTACCTAGAATAGGCCAGTTAATAGGAGCAGAAAGTAGAATAGAGGTAACCAGGGAACAGAGGGTGAGGGGAAGGGGGAATGAAGAGTTAGTGTTTAATGGGACAGAATCTGTGTTCGGGATGATTAAAAAGTTCTGGAAATGGAAAGTGATGGTGGTGCACCACGTTGCAAATGTACCTAATGCCATTAAGCTACACACTTAAAAAGAGTTAAAATAATAAATATTATATACCTTACCACAATTTTTAAAAAATTGACCTTATTTAGGGCAAACGACAAACTATGAAATACCAAGACAAACAAAGTTTGTTTTTTTTTTAGGGTTCATCATTGTCCAAAGCACTTTTATATCCCTTAATTTATTGAACCCTTTTTAAGACCCTAGAAGTTAGGTCTAATTATCGCCGTCCTACAGATGAGGAAATAGAGGCCCAGAGAGTTGAACTGCTCAAGGTCACCGGGAAGGTAAATGGCAGGACCAGGTCTATTTCTAAAATGCAGGCAAGGGCATCCACTTAGGTATTTCATTTCACACACTCCTTGGAGACCAGAACTGGAGGGAGCCTTAGAATGGATCTGCTTCCATCCCTTTGGAGAAGAAATTTGTTGCCCTGGCCAGCCTGTTCTTGGACCCTGACCAAAGGCCTTGGAAATCACTTGGGCTCAGCTTGCTGCTCCTTCACCTCTCTTCTGAAGGAGGTGCTGGTTGTGTAAGTGGTGAAGGAGGGGGGCCATCCTTCTCCCACGCCCCACCCATGTGACCTTGAGTATGTCACTTAACTCCACACCACTGCATTAAATGGGCATAATCAAACAGGACCTTCCTGAGAAAATTAAGGAATGGGAAGAGTAAACAATGTGAAGTACCAAGCACTTTACCCACAATAGGGTGATGTGACGATCTACCTTGTGCAGACCCAGAGCCAGCCCTGCTCTCTAATACACAGCTGGAAAATAGAACAGTGAGTAAATTAGAGTTCCAGCACAGAGACAGACTGCAGCCTGGGTTCTGTTTATTATTATTATTATTAACAGCCTTTATTAAGTCATAATTGTCATACAACAAATTGTGCAAGTCTAAACTACACAATTTGACAAGTCTAGACATATGTATACACCCTTGAATACATCATTACAATCAAGATATTGAACACCTCCATCCCTCCAACAAGGGTCTCCTTGTGTCCTTTGAATCCCTTCCTCCTGCCCCTTCCATTCCTCACTCCCCCATCTTCAGGCGACTACTGATCTGCTTCTTGTCAATACAGATTAGCTTGTATTTTCTAGGATTTTATATAAATGGAAGCATGCAGTATGTACTCTTTTATGTCTTGCTTCTTGAACTCAGCATAATTCTTGTGAGATATACCCACATGGTTGCATATATCAATAGTTCTTTTTCATTGCTTAGTATTATTCCATTGTATGGATTTGCCACTATTTGTTTATCAATTCACCTGCTGATGGGCATTTAGGTTGTTTCCAGTTTGGGGCTATTACAAATAAAGCTGCTAAAAACAATCATGTACGAGTTCTTCTTGTGTCAACAAAGACTTTCTTTTCTCAGGTAAAAACCTAGGAGTGGAATGGCAGATGCTATGATAGGTATAGGTTTACCTTTTTAAGAAATTGACAAACTGTTTTCCAAAGTGGCTTTACCATTTTCCATTCCCACCTACAGTGTGTTAGAGTTCCAGCTCCTCCACATTCTTGCCAACACTTGATACAGTTTTGGGTATTTTAACATTAGCCATTCTAGTGGGACTAGTGGATGTGTGGTGGCATCTCATTGTGGCCTCAATATGCATTTCCCTGGTGAGTAATAATGTAGAGCATCTTTTCATGGGCTTATTTTCCATCATTTCTTCTTTGGTGAAGTGTCTGTTCAAATTTCATCCATATTACTTACCAACTGTAACTTCAAGCAAGTGACTCAACCTCTCCATGCCTCAGATTCTGTAAAACAGAGTGACAGTCCCTACCTCATGGGGTTGGTGTGAGAATCTCTCCAATCCAGATTCCCTGTTTTCCTGCTTCCCCTTGACCCCATACAGCCTCACACCACATAGAAGCTTTATCCCAGCTCCTTAGCTTCCTCTTTTATGGAAGATACCACTCTCCATGCATACACACACACTCACACACTCTCATGATTTGATTCCCCTTCCAGCTGTGGAATTAAGAGACTGGCGTCAGGAGCAGAGCAGAGCAGAGCAGAGGCATATTGGTCTGGGTACCCAGAGACTGCATCTGACAGCCTGTCTCTTGGGCGCTTTAAACCACTGCTGAAAGACATTGATACATTAAGTTATTTTTCTTTCTGCTTGGATTTCCAACCTGTCTGTCTCCAAGGGAAAGGCTGTCTGAACCCAGCAGGGAGAGGAGAGGAGCCCCTGAGTTGCTGCAGAGGCCATTCGAATCCCTGAGTCAGCATGCCCCACGCCCCATGCACCTGCTCTTAGAGGGAGAGAACAGATGAAGCCATTGTCCTCCAGCCCGCTTCAGCTCTGAGGTCCTGCTTCCCCTCCCTCCAGTCCCTCAGATCTCAGCACTGTTGATGTGCAGTCTCGCCACAGAAAGTATGCATGTTCCCATAAGGGAGAAGGGAGGGCCCGGACACCAGACCAAGCCAGGGCCAGACAGACCTGGGCAGCTGGTCAGGAAGACAGGGACAGCACCCAGCACCCAGCCTGAGAGGATAGTAAATCAAAGCCCCACCCAGTCTGTGTCCTTGGCTGTGGAAGTATAGCAGAGCACAGCATGGGGTTCAGAGACAATGCCTAGGTGACCTAGCAAGTTAGATGAGCCTAGTACAGTGCTCTCAACTGCTGTCTTCAGAGGAGCTACTCTGCTCACCTGAGGATTTGTTAGATATGCACATTTTTCAGACTCTACCTGGAAACTCTGCCGGTGGGAACCCAACCATCTGCTTTAACAAACCCTCCGGGTGATTCTAACACTGCTCAATACAAGAACCCCTAGCCTTGCAGAGGGGACTTACAGGCCAAAGGATGGATCTAAGAACCCCTCCATCTTTTTCAAGGATGAAGGTAGAAACCAAAGTGGTTATAAGCACAGGTTTGAGAGATGGCTGAATCCTCGTTCACATTTCACCTCAGCCACTTCCTAGATGCATGACCTTGGGTAAGTCACCAACCTCTAAGCCTTTCTAAGCCTCTCTTCTTTGATGAAAACTGGAACAAGGCTGACTTTGTCGGGTTGTTTTAAGGATCTGAAGAGGTAATATGCATAAAGGACCCATACTAAGTACTCAAAAAAGGGCAGAGCTATTTACCTGCCACAAGCCCAAATGATGACTTTGGGCAAATTAGAAAAGAGAGTCCCTTCCTTATGCTGCTTTATTGCCATTACAGGGAAGTACTCGTGCTAACTTTTCAAATCTATGTGGATGACTTTAAGAAGGGCACCTATATGTGCAAAGAGTGCCTTGGAGATGTGCAAGTGATAGTTGTAAAAGATCATGGCCATGCTCATTATGAAGTACACGGCCTTAAGTTGCAGAACAGCCCAGGTTGGGCAGCATGTGGATCACTCCCTGGGAGCCAGCTCCCCAGATGGCCATGTGTGCTGCCTTCTGAACTGTCCATTCCTCTGTCATCCATGAAAAGCAATCTCAGCCTCCATCTAAGCTACTTGTGGGAAGAGCCCCTCGCATGTTGCACTTCCCACGCCTGCTGTCCTGTTCCCTACAATTGCTCCTTCTCAGGAACCCATTCCATCCACCTTCCTGCACTAAGGTGTCACTAACCCAAGCCTGCCTGCTCTCTGTAGCTGACTACGTTAAGGGTGAAGGAGGGTATAAAATAGCACACAGCTGAAAACATTTAAAATTGTCACCATCAAAGAGTTCTTTAACCACCTCAACAAAGGATACTTCCCATAGTATTCTTTATTACTATGACTGTGTACCCATCTGTCTTATCACTCTTCTGGAGCCCCAGACTGCTGCCCTGTTCAGAGGCACTTAATTTCTCTACCATGAACATTATTTAATCTCCTCTTTTCCTGACTGTTACAAGACCCTGAAAACTCCCTCCCTTTTGAGCTGCCAGTGAACTGTTCGGGAATTCCTGCTAGCTTGTTCTGTAGAGCAATTTAGTTTAGAGCCTCCCCTTTCCAGACAATTCGAGGTGGAGGTAGGGAGTGAGCCTTCCCTTGAATAATCCAAAAAGCCTGACTATAGTGTTTTTGTTTTTTTTTTTAAACAAAAGAGCAGCCTTCCTTCTGTTGGGCACCTCCTCGCCCCACACCTGGAGTTTAAAAGTGGCTGTAGGCATTTCTATTTTTAAATAGCATTTTTCCCTGGCTAATACACATATGCAATACACAGAAACCCCTGGAAATTCCTTGAGTTTTTATTAAAAATTCCAGATGGTGCAGCAGAGATTTCAGACACTAAAGCTTCTGTTAACAACAGGAAATTAATAACCAAGCTGACTCAAAGTCAACATCGTCTGGTTTGATGACAATAACGTGAAAAAAAAGGAAGCAGGTAACACAGCATTTGAGGTGACACAGTGTCAGAGGCACAAGCTGCAGAATGAGCAAGGCCTGGGCTTGAATCTCACATCTCCCATTTATTAGTGGGGAAACCTCGGGGAAGTCACTTAACCACTCTGTGCCTGTTTCGTCATGTGCAAAACAGAAAAATAACAGGATAGCTCTGCTGTCATGCCTCGTAAGTGTTCCTAAAAGTCACCCGCTATGGATAAACAAAGTGTAGTATATACACACAATGGAAGATTATTCAGCCTTAAAAAAGAAGGAAATTCTGACCCATGCTACAACATGCGTGAACTTTGAGGACATTATGCTAAGTGAAATAAAACAGTCACAAAAGGACATATACCGTATGATTCCACTTATAGAGTAGTCAAATTTCTAGAGACTGGAAGTAGAATGGTGGTTGCCAGGAGCAGGGGAGAAGAGAAGTGGGGAGTTGTGAACTGGGTATAGAAGTTCAGTTTTTTTAAGATGAAAATAATTCTGTGGATGGATGGTGGTGACAGTAGCACCACAATATGAATGTCCTTAGTACCACTGAGCTGTATATTTTAAAATGGACACATTGGGCTGGGCATGGTGGCTCATGCCTATAATCCCAGCACTTTGGGAGGCCAAGGCAAGTGGATCACCTGAGGTCAAGAGTTCGGGACCAGCCTGGCCAACATGGTAAAACCCCATCTCTACTAAAAATGCAAAAATTAGCCGGGCACAGTGGCACATGCCTGTAATCCCAGCCACCCAGGAGGATGAGGCAGGATAATTGCTTGAACCGAAGAGGCTGAAGTTGCAGTGAGCTGAGATCATGCCAATGCACTCCAGCTTGGGCGACAGAGCAAGACTCTGTCAAAAAAAAAAAAAAAAAATCACAGTGAAAATTTTTATGCTGTGTCTTTTTATCACAATTTAGAAAAAAATAAAATAAAATAAAACAAAGAATCACCACACTGTGCAAAAACCACAGGGTTCATGAGAACAATGGAGTTGGGGTACAATGCTCATAAACTTCCTTCGGCGACACACGAAAAATAAAAGAAACCTAATAAAAAGGGTAACACGGTTTTACACATGTTAAATGCCATAAAAGACATACATAGACACTACAATAAGCATGACGCTACACACACTTCACTCTGTATGTGGAAGCGAGCTTCAGAATTACTGTCAGGTGGTGGGAGGAGGTAGATCTGGAGTCAGAAGGAAGGTTGTAGCATCCTGTGAGTGGCCATAACACACAGGAACTGAGAATGCTGGGAGATGTTTGAAGTGTGTCCATGTGTGTGTTATGTATATTCCTACACAGCTCAGTTCAACTGGGTGCAATTTTCTGCACTCACCTTGTGTTTCTCACACACCAAATCAGACATAAGCAAATGCAAAACTAACATGATGCTCAAATAGTTTCCTGACACATGGATCGCATTGAAACAAATTTGCATTTTCAAAATAAGCACCGTAGCCAAACAGACTGTATCTACCTGATGGAATTGTTACAAGGATTATGCGATTTAATGCAGATGAAGCTTTCAATAGTGCCCACCCCATGGTAACTGCTCAAAAATAATGCTAGTGACTGTGGTGTGTGGAACAATGGCAGTGGTTATTGTGGGGCCATAGCTATTTTTCATGTTACTACTCCAAAGGGAGTAGCCCAGAGATGGACGAAGGGAGACTGCATGCCCATTTTACAGATGACAGAACTAAGGCTCAAAGAATCTGAGAAATTTCTCAAGATCATACAAGAGTCTGGTACAAAGTGCACAGAAGTCTGGACCGCTGCACCCTTCTAGGTCAACAGAGGTGACCAGATGGTTTCTGCGAACTCCTGCAGGGGACATGGTCAAGTACCCAAATGTCTGCTTACACCCCAGAAAATAAGCTGGCATATAGAAAGGGGCAAGGAACCACAGCTGGAGAGCTCCTAGGCTTTAGGGAGCCTTTAATTAAAAACAAAAATGAAAAAACAGATATAGAACTTGTTTCGTGTTCCCTGGGTGCCTGGTGGTTTAATCACTTTGCTCAGGTCAACAGGCCTATCAGGAAAAGTCTCTCCACCTTCAGGGAATTTGAGCCCTTTTTAAAAGGCAAAGAAAATGGGTAAAACTTTCAGTTCTGTCTGAAAAAACAAGACTGACTTTTCTGGTGGTTCCTATTGACTTGGAAAGAGCACATCTGCCCGTCAAATGGCATTTTACCAGCTGATCAATTTGGTGTCATTCTCATTGAATTAAATCAAATTGAAATGTAATTCCCTTCCCGGAACAAATCCCCCTGCAGGGATTCGCTGCACAGAAGTGTTTGACCTTGTACTGGCTGCCTAGAGGGCTTTCCAGAAATCTAGGGGCATATGAGAGGTCTGCAGAGCTCACGGAGTGCTGGGCACAACCCACTCAGCTGACTTTCAGGCTGGACTTTGCAGGAATTAGAAAAAGCCTCCCCCACAAGGTGGTAAAATTACAAAATGCTGCCTCGTCTGGAAGGGAGAAGCTGCTCCTTCTTCTAGGCTTTGGCAGCCCCAAACCAGGCTGCAAAGGTTGGAGAGTATAAGTGAGCTGGTTTTTAACCCCAATCACCCCCCAGACTCAACTTACCCAACCACAGGCAGCAGCACTAGTCAGCTCCCATTGCGGCCACCATAGTAGGCTCAGCTCTGAGAGATCCCTGGAGCACAGGCTCAGCTCCGGCCAACACAGATGTGGCTCCAAGGATCCAGTGGCTCTTGGCTGAACTGGCTACAACTGTCTCTACCAAGCCTTGGGAGACCCTAAGTACAAGATCACAAAGCAATCTATGCCCAGAACTCCCCATGGAACCTGAGGCTGTGCACCTCTGACCTGTGACCCTCCTGTCCTTTATCCATCCCTTCACTCTGCCTTGGAAGTCAGAGGACCTGCCACCAAATCTCAGCTCTCCTGGGCCAGTGACTTAACCTCTCTGAGCTTCAGCCCCTCACTGTCAAAGCTACAGAAGCAATACCTGACAGCCACATGTGGAAGTGAGCGTGGGACCGAGAAGCAAGGCTGCCCTCTGAGAAAGAGGTTAGTAAAATCCACGCAGAATGATGAAATATGTTGTCTGTTGGCACAAACCAAGAGATGACCTGAAAATGTGACTGAACAGAGTTTGGGAAGACCCCAAAAGCCAATCATGGTGGCCTGGGTATGGTCACGGGGAGGCAAGACTTTGGGAGGGGGTGATGGTAATTGAGTAAGCAGAAACCTAATTAACTAAATCAGTTGACAAAAGACTGCGTGAACAGAGAGAACATGCCTAGCCTGGAGCAGAGACAAGGGGAGCCCAAGGAGCCAGAAGTTGGCCATATTTATTCTGCAATAAATTCACAAAGTTGATGCCAGGCTCAAAGGCCTCTTAGCAGCCAACCTATCAGCCTCCTCTTAGAAATGCCCAACCTCTCATCAACCCTTTTCAAGCTGCAACAATCCTTAGTCCCAGGGTTGTCATAAGGATTAAACAGGGAAGTGCCTGGGACATAGCAGGTGGCAAATGAACTAACATTCCCCTCTCACTCGGTTCCCTTTTTTCCTACAATAATAACCAATGTCAAGTCATTCTAGCCACACAAGCATTTTCTCCTAGATTTTCCTGAGGTCCCTGCTCTTCCATTCCCTGGTCCAACTATCTTCTCCGCATATATCCACCCATCCCACCTCCTTCCTCTATGCCCTGTGGGTTGACGCTTTTACTGTCAAGGAACTCCTCTCTGCTCTAAATCTAGTGGGAAACGAAAATTAGTGAACTAATCACAGAAATATCTACTTACAACTGGCGCCAAGTGTTCTGAAGGAAAGGTGGGAGCATAGGTAGTGGGTGCTGTGGTGTGCCCCCCAATCCTCCCTTCAGGGCTGAGACACTTATTCCCAACTGCCAAGGGTATTGGATGCTGGCAGCTCTCACTTGAGTCTTCCTCAAGAATTGCCCTCAGCCCTTAACAGCCACCTTGCAAAGACCAAGCCCCATCCCTGGGGTATGTCATTGCCAATGACCAGTAAATGCAGTCACGGGAAAGCTACTGGGTGGTCCCAGCTCCACAGCTCCTTAAGGAATTGATGTTGGCCTTGATTATGACATTATCACAGCTCTACCACTCCACCTGCTCATTCTCACTCCCACCTCATACCCTGTGGGTGTCGGTTCCATGCACACAGGTCCCTGTCCTGGAATCTGTCCCAGAAGGAACAACAAAGACAACATGTCAAAGAAGGATTGCTCTAGTTGGTGGCCGGGGATGAGGGGAATGTTTGATGGTCACAGAAAGCTTCCCTAATAAAAAATGGGTACATTTGAGTGGAAATCCAAAGAATAAGGAGTTATCTAGACGAAAAAAAGAGAGGAAAGATGTTCTAGGCAGAGGGAACAGAATGTGGGAAGACCCTGAGACAAGAAGGACATTTCAAGGCAGTGTGGCTGGAACACTGAGCATGAGAGAAGTCAGGGGAGCAAGGACAGTGAGGATGGAAAGGTTGGCATGGGCTGGATCAGGCAGGGCTGAGCAGGCTGAGTTAGGACACAGTCTGACCCAAGGAAAACGTTCTGATCCGTGATTGTATTAGTTTGCCGGTGCTGCCATAACAAAATGCCACAGACTAAGTGGCTTAAACAACAAGAATTTACTCCTCACAGTTCTGGAGGCTGGAAGTCCAAGATCAAGGTGTCGGCAGGGTTGGTCTCCTCCAAGGCCTCTCTCACTGGTTGCAGATGGCCACCCTCTTGCCGCCCTTTTCATATACACGGTCATCCATCTGTGCACGCCACCCCTGGTGTCTCTTTGCCTCCAAATTTCTTTTTATGAGGACGTCAAGTAGATGGGATTAGGGCCTGCTCTAATGGCCTCATTTTAACTTAATCTCCTCTTTAAAGGTCCTATCCCCAAATACTGTTACATTCTGAGTACTGAGGGTTAGGATTTCAGCATATGAATTTGGTGGGGTGGGCACAGCTCAGCTCATGACAGTGATGTTATCTGTCAGCAAGATCTTATACATGTATAAAACTGAAACCTCAATGAATTAAAACTGTAAATAACCACCTTTGTTGAAAATTAATTAACATTTTATTGCGCCTGTCCTAGAAAACACCAAAACATATGCTTGCGCATGTGTATATGTCATTTCCACCACATCCCCACCAGCACCCTCCACTGCCCCTGAACCTGCGGTCCCAATCCCCACCTTTATTCACAGATCCCTCCTTCCTCTCTGCCCCTGTCCCAGGCTGGCTGCCTGCCAAGTACTGCTGGAGAAAATCAAATAACTGTGCTGATCCACTCCATTACAGATTCGCGGTCTCCAGCTTTGGCTAGGCTCTCCTCTGCCCTCCAATCCTCCTGTTCACTCCCGGACTTGTCCATTTCCCATTCTGCTCCACAGTTGTGCCAACCCTTTCCACCCTCTGCCAGTCTCACTGACCCACCGCTGCCCCTCCCTCTCTGAAGACCATCTGTCCTACTTTACAGAGGAAGGACAGGTCATGAGGCTGCTGCCCACTTTCTTTCCTTGCCCCCTCCTAATTTTTTCACAGCTAACTAGAGGAAGAAAGATGTGGAAGAAAGAAAGCAAGGATTGGTTCCAGAGAGTCCCACCATGCACGACCTTCCTTCTTGGGCAAGTTATCTCCACCTCCTTGTGACTCAGTTTCTTTATCTGTGAAAAGTCAGTGCTCCAAGATGAAAGATTATCACGCTTAGAACAAAATCCAAACTCTTTACCATGGCCAGCAAAGGGGACACCATGCAACCCGGCCCTGTCTACTCTCACCCCATCAGCCACTCCTCTCCCCCGGCTCACACTGCTCCAGTCACCTTGACTTTTGTCTATTCCTGAAACATGCCAAGCTCATTTCTGCCTCAGGGGTTTTGCACATGTGGTTCCCTCTGCCAGATCTTGGCATGACTCATTCCCCTACAGGCAGTTCATGACCAGTGCAGCCTCCTCAGCACAGCAAGGCCTTCCCTGATGACCCCAACAAAACCAGCACCTCCCTCCATTTTTTTCTAATCTCTTTACATTATTTCTCTTTGTTTTACTTATAACTTAAGACCTGAAATTATGTTACTTCATCTACTTGTTTATTCCTTGTCTCCCTCACAAATGTATAAGCTCCAAGAGAGCAGGGGCTGAGTATTGGTCCTAGTAAGCTGCCATGGCAAAACCATGCCTAGCACATAGTTGGTATTCATCAGATTTTGTTAAATGAATTTTTTAATGACTCTCTGGAGACATTTCTGTGCTACCACCACCACCACTTCCCCTAGAAATGACTACTTCTAACCTCGCACCCCAGTTCCAGCACCGGGTCCAATGGGAGCTACCAGCCACCTTCTGACATGCCCTTCTTCTTGGCCACTGCGACCAACTCAAAGGCCCACCTGATGTGGTCTGAACCAGTGAGAGTCCTTCCCGGGGATATTTCAAACTGCAGCCAGGGAAAGAGCAAAATGTCCCCTGCCTGAGAGACAAAATGGGGAGGCTGGGAACAGCTGGTGGCCTTTTCCCACATGGTATGAAAAAGTGACTCCTCAGACTCTGTCAACACGGCCCTTACTAGATTTTGGGCACCTGAGCCAGTAATCATCTCTTCATCTCAGCCAGTTTGCACTGTGGTTCCGTTACTCACAACCAAAAGAATTCTGTTGTGATAAATGAATCCATGTACACCAAATGCCTGGCACGGTGCCTGGATCGAAGCAGATGCGTGATTGTTGTTAGCTCCCCTCACAGCACTCCTATAGTCTCATCCTTCTTTGCCTCCTCTCCTCCCATCTCAGATGAGAGTGTCCCTCCTCCCTTCCCAGGTCACCTCCACATCCCATTTCTTTCCCCCTCAGAAACTTGCTTCTGAAATTTTCTCATCTCTTTTCCATTTTTTTATTTTATTTTTTGAGACAGGGTCTCACTGTGTCACCCAGGCTGGACTGCAGTGGCTGGATCTCAGCTCACTGCAGTCTTGACCTCCTGGGCTCAAGTGATCCTCCCGCCTTGGCCTCCCAAGTAGCTGGGACCACCATGCCCAGCTAATTTTTATTTTTATTTTTGTAGAGGTTGGTCTTGAGCTTCTGACCTCAAATAAGCCTCCCATCTCAGCCTCCAAAAATTCTGGCATTACAGACATGAGCCACTGTACCTGGCCTGAGCTTGTCTGCATGGGATTAGGAGCTGCTACGAGGCAAGGGCTCTGTGGGGCTTATCCCGCACCTCTCTGTGCCCAGCACATAGAATGTGCCCCAAAATGCCTGTCACAGTGGAAGTCAGCACTGAACAGAATGAAGCCTCAGGATCCTTATAAACTGAAGAGGGCTCCATAAAATGTGTAAAAAGGGAAGGGCCGTCTGTATGGAAGGGACTGTAATTGCAGTTTTCTTAGCCAAATAAATAACCCTCACCATGAAAGGAGGCCTTCTGAGTGATAGATGGCTCTGAGGCCCTGGAGGGGACATGGGTATTTCTCAAGGCCGCCAGTCAAACAACTTAACCACATAACATTTCTCTCTCCATAGCAACCAGCCCGGCCTCCTCTGCCAGGCCCCAGCACCTGTGCCCCTCAAAGGCCCTCAGCTCTCGTGGCTGCTGCCTTCTGCAGCCCACCACTGGCTGGGCACACTCATCCTCAACTCACACTTGTAAGAAAGGACCAGGCTGAGGGGAGGGGCATGTGGTAGGGATCCAGAGTCCAGAAATGGGCCAGGCTGAGGGCCATCGGCCCCTCTGGCTCTGATCTCATGGGCCATTACGCTCAGCATGGCCTGCCTCTATTATCCTCTAGCCATCCCCCAGGGGAGTGGGTACCCCCAGGGAGTTGGAGGGGCAGGAACAGGAGAGGAGAGGAAGCCTTCTAGATACAGGTGTCAGAGACAGGGCATCACATCCCCATTGTACAGATGAGAAAACTGAGAGGGTCGCAGGTGAAGGAACCAACCCAAGGTTACTCATCTAGCAAGTGGCAGAGTCGCCCCCAGATCTGCCTGAGTCCTCATCCTGCATTCTCTTCTCTGTATGATCCTGTTCCCCTCTCAGATCCTCACATCATCCGTGTGCTTAGCTGGACTAGAAACAAGTTTCAGGGGTCTGGGGGAGCCCCACAAGGAGGAAGGTCTCAGCGGGCAGATTCTTCTGAAGGTTTCCATGCCACTCCCACCACTCCCAGGTCCCATCCAGAGAGTGGCTTTCAGAGCCTGGGAAGATGGACACCCTCACCCCCTTGGGTGCTAGCACAGGGAGGCAGTGGAGACAGTGAGTATACAGAACTCCTTCAAGAAACCCGTCAATGAACAGAGAGGGAGGTTTTACAGAACAGGCAAGCAACCTGGACCAGAGAAAGGGGTTCATGGAGGTGGAGAGGAGCAACTCACCTGGGTGTAGGGGAGGCAGGGAGGCATGGCACCTAGAGCAGGGATCGGAAATTTTCTCTGTAAGGGGCCAGAGAGTAAATGTTTTCAGCTTTGCAGGCCATACAATCTCTTTTGCAATCACCCAACTGCCATCATAGCACAAAAGCAGCCAAAGACCACGTGTCAACACATAAGCATGGCCATATCTTAATAAAACTTTATTTACAAAAATCGATACCATAATGCATTTGGCCCACGGGCTGTAAGTTTACACCACCTAATCTAGAGCACAGGAAGCTGCAGGTACTTCTGGAGGAGCAGTTGGGGGTAATAAACTTTGGAGAGAAGGGGAACCTTGTCTGCTGAGTGCTGTCCACAGTGCCAACATATAGTAGGTGCTCTCTGAACACTGACAGGAACTCCTGGATGCTGAGGCAGGAAGGAAGAACAAGGCACTGGGTAAATGTACAGAGAAATGTTGAGCTTAAGCCTGATGGTCTTCACCTTCTGAAGAGAGAAAAGGGAATAAATCAGGAGGTGGAGAATTGGTGGTTTCACGAAAGTGGGAAAGGCTTGCATGGCAGGCAGGCATCAGAGCCTAGCCACTCCAACAGCTGTGCCCAACAGGGTTCATTAACACCCCCACCCCCATCAGATGAGAGGAAGGAGGTCTCCAGTGGAGACCAGAGTGCAGAGGGGAAGCAGCTTTGAAATCTGCTGATAGCACACAGACGAGTTTGTTACAAACTTATACAACAGGCCAGAGCACTGGGCCAAAAACTTGTAGACAGAAGCCAGCTGGTTTACTAGCCCAGCACTTTGAAATCACTGGATAGGCATAAGGGATGATCATCTATACCCACCACTGCCCGGAGAGTTCCGTACTGGGCTGCTCTGTGGCACCAGGAAGTTTTTAGTCTTAAAGTAAAATAGCTCTGGTCTCCAAGCTGCTTGCCACCTGTGGCCTGGTGAGGCTGCACCCTTTTCTAAGAATTCTTTGCTCCTCTGAGGCCCACAGGGGCCCGTTCTGGTTTCTCAGGGAAATCCATGTTGAAGAGCCCTGATACTCTGAAGACACGAGGAGGAAGCATAGGGAAAGACCTGACTGACGTCTTAGGCCCACGGGGACCCTTGCAGCAAAGCAGACAGAAGAGATTGAAGGCACAGTAACACAGGAATAGGGTGCCTCTTCTATGACAGATGACATTTTCCCCAGTAGCTGCATTTCGTGATCTATAGTGAATGTCACCTGGGACATCCCTTTGCCCTACGATGGCTCCCATGACCTCTTGTAATTGAGGGAGGTGGCGAGGCCATGAGGCAGGTGCTGTGCCTGCTGCTGCTCTGCACTTTGGCTTTCCCTTGGCTGCCACCAGTTTCCAAGGTTGGTCTCCCAGCCGAGGCCACCATGGGTGGCCGTGCAGTCTGCACAACTCCACAGGGCACCAGCTAAGAGGTGCAACAGACACAATTTTTGTAACAACCCATTCTTAATGCCAGTTTTATGGAAGAGGAATTTGAGGCACTGAGAGGTCACACAAGGGCTAAGCAACCCAATCTTGAGCCAGTGCTCATCCACATTGCACCAGGGGTGATGAACCCATCTCTGCAGGATCCAGGCCTGTGAAGTAAGCAGGTCAAGCAGGCTGGGCATACATGCCTAGGCATATGCTGCGTGAGTGGAGGAGACCACAGCAAAAGCTAACGGAAAGGATGCCCGTCCAAGGGGAACAGTCATGAATGGCCTGCCATATTGCTGCATGTGCGGGAAGCTAGGAATGTGAGACTGATGTTGCTATATCTTCTAATGTTTCAAGAGAAACCAGGACTCAGAGTATAAAGTAAAATAGCCTGATTTTTGAAAACCGCCTCAATTTTTTTTAATGCTATCAGTCCAAACAAAACACATTTGCTGGCCAAATCAAGTCCATTAGCCACTGTTTTGCCCCCACTGTACCATATATATTGTCTCTACCTTATCTCATTAAATGCACATGCCAGCCCCTAAAAGGTATATAATATTCATCCCCATCCAACAGATGAGGACACTGAGACTCAAAGAAGAAAAGGGACTTGCCCACAGCCACACAGCTAAGTACTGAAACTGGAGTCTGTACTTTCTGCAGGGCCCTGAACCACCCTATCAACACCAGGTTGCTCCCCAATGGTGAAAGCCTAGGATGTGTGGTTCCCCATGTCCACGGCCCAGTGCTGCATGTGGGGTCAAGACTGACATTCTGATGAAGCACTCAGAGGTTCCCCTCCCTGGCTGGGTTCCTTCAGTATTGGACTTCCCTCTTACTTAGGCTCAGCTGGTATTATCAGCCATTTCCCCTAGGCTGTCACTGACTGATGATGGGGACAGTAACCCCAGGGAGCCCTCAGCCTGGGTCACTAAGGAGGCAGTGAGTAGACCAGGTGGCCAAGTGCCCCAGTTAAAATAGAAACAATGGGAGCCCAACTCTCCATCCAGAACCTGAGCTTCTGCATCTGAAGATGGTTCCCCTTGACTGAGCCTGGGTATTGAGACCATCTGGTCCAACTTTGTTTTATGAACTTTATTATAAACTTATAGGAGGAGGTGAGCTGAATGCTGGTTCAATTAGGAGAATTTGTAACTTGCTGAACCCAGCGAGGGCTGATCAAACCTGAAGAAGGTCTCTGGAAGCCTGCCACAGGGCTCTGGCCTCAACTTTGACCTGTACAACATTTTTATTAATGACTTAGTTGAAAACATAAAAGACTTGTTTACGAAATTTGTAGTTAATTTTTAAAAAGAATAAAAGGAGAGGCAGCCTACAAAAACATTGACAGGATCCAGATGGCTCTAGACAGGCTGGACTGATGGGCTGAATCTAATAAGATAAAATAAAACAGGGTTTAAATGTCATGTCCGAACTTGGCTTCAAAATAATAACTGCTCAAGGACAGGATTGAGGTGGGTGGGACAGTAATGGAACTTAGCAACAGCAGGTTTTAATAAGACTTAGAGGTTCAGTGAACACAGTCAACATGGCTACGACACTAAAAAAAAATCCAGATGTTCATACAACATTGCTTATAATAACTCGACACTGGAAGCAATCTAAGTGTCCACTAGACATGGTTCATCTGTGAAGTTGACAACTATATAGCCATTAAAAATAATAATGGCATAAGAATATATTAAACAACATCAGGAAATATTATGAAGGGAAAAACATTCGGTTACAAAGCAATAGTTCAAGCCCATTTTTATTTTTTAAGAAAAAGAATTGAAAAAAGTTATGGAAAGACACAGACCAAAATGTGAACTTCCCAGTTTCTGGGTGGTATTCGGGGTGACTTGTAGATGGTGGGGGAGGTCTCAGTAAATGCATAAAGCTTTTGAAGGTATTCAAAAACTAATGCAATTCCCAGACATAGAATGCTAGTGTCTAAAAAGTTGGAGAAAAAAATTCTACTGTACTTTGGCATGACCAAGCCTGGGGTCTTGAGTCTAGTTCCGGTGCCTCCCTTTACAACTTAGTGATAGACGGTGAAGCAAACATTTTGAGTGCTTACAGTGTACCTGGTAATGGGGCATATTCTTTTTTTTGTTTTTGGAAACAGAGTCTTGCTCTGTTGCCCAGGCTGGAGTGCAGTGGCATGATCTTGGCTCACTGCAACCTCCGCCTCCCAGGTTCAAGCAATTCTCCTCCCTCAGCCTCCTGAGTAGCTGGAACTACAGGCGCACGCCACCACACCCAGCTACTTTTTTGTATTTTAGTAGAGACGGGGTTTCACCTTGTTGCCCAGGCTGGTCTCAAACCCCTGAGCTCAGGCAATCCACCCGCCCTGGCTTTCCAAAGTGCTAGGATTACAGGCGTGAGCCACCACCCCCGGCCGGGCATATTCTTTTAATCAGTTATCTCATTCAGTTCCAATATCTCATGGCTCCCTACGAAATAGATACCAGGGCTTTCTCCATTTTACAAGACAAGGTTCAGAGAGACCAAGGAGCTTGCCCAAGACCAGACAGTTAGTGAACAGCAGCATCAAGATTTCCTGAAGACATTAGACCCTGAGAAAGGAACCTGGAAAGAGACAGCTTCCCAAATACTGTGAGTGCTGCTGAGCATGAAGCATTCCTGACAGCCCCACACTGGGAATCCTCTACGGCTGGCTGCCAAGGGTTCTGATTGACTAAGGGTCCCTAGTCTTCTTGGGAGAAATTGGGAAGGTGCCATTGGGATTGAATATTGGGGCCATTGGGACTGAATTTCTGGATCCTGAACTTTGAAATTAAGACCCCCTCTCGCAGAAAAGGAAGAAAGTTCTGATTCTTGGGTTTGAGGAAGTCAAAGAACATAAGACTGGAGTCAGGGGAGGAGAAACAGGAGTGTGAAGTCAAAAAACTAGTCACATCCTTACCCACCTCAACCCAGTGTAGCCTCTAAAGGACTTCGTTAAAGCTCTTTCTTGTTAAAAACTGAACAGCCTAAAAGATCTGTAGCTCCTTGGATGCCAGCCCATATTAGGACAACTGAGGAGTCCACATACTTAGAAAGGTCTCCACTGAGGAAGAAAGCCCATCATGGTGGGCCTAGGGAGCAGATCAGCAGAGCCAGGCCATCTACAGTCCTGGGAGAGGGCACAGCAGCTCTGGGCACACCATTCCCCCTGGGTATGACCACAGCCAAGCACCCCAGGGTTGGGACTTTTGAATACCTTCTCCCGTCTTGAAAACACATGGGCTTAGTCTAGAGGAGAAAGAGACCTTTTCAGTGTGACCCCAAAGAGCAGCTTCAGCTCTAATGTGGAAGGAATAAGAGAGCCACACTTCAGCTCCCAGCAAGTGATGTCCTACAGTGGAGGAGCACTGATCTCAAAAAGAAGTGGTGTCCAGCAGATGGTCTCCCACAGGTATTCCAGCAGATATCAGATGACCACTGTTTATGAGAAGCAATGTAGAAGGGATCGTACATTGAAACATTGAAGACCTAAGCCTTAAAGACCCTAAACCTTGAAGACCATGAGGGTCAGGACTCTGGGTTTGCTCAACATTTTTCCCCAGGTCCTTTGCACATGACCTAGATTGTGGTAGATGCTTGACCGTAGATGCTGTTGAATTGAGTGAGATGAAAGGTTAGACCAAATTACACCTAAGGGCCCTGTTAGAACTTGGTCTGTGATCTTGGTGAATTTTATAGTTAATGTCGATGAACTCTCTTTTTTATCACGACTCTTTTTAAATACAGAAGTGAATGTTTATTTAGAAGGAGGAGAGGCAGGAATCACAGCAAATTGCAGATGCCTTATGGACTCAGGTTACTTTCTTTCTTTCTTTCTTGAAGGTACAATAAGCATGGTTTTACTAACAACAAAACAGTACACACATAAATAAATCCGCTCTTCCTACTTGATTCCGTCTGCTTTGTGCATCTATTCACTTACAATGCATCATGTCTCATCTCATGTCTGTGCCTGCATTTAACCCAGTTACAGTCCCAGTGGGCAAATGACTCTGTGTCCCTTTCAGCCCATAACATCTCACCCTAGTTGCTTCACCCTGAGCCCCCACATAGCACCCCATGATCCCACTATGCCACTTAACCAAGCCCCAGAAGTGGCACATTTGATTGTTTCCAATATTTTGCACCTACAAAAGTATGCAGCTAAAAACATGGGTATTGCAAATATTTGTTTTCCCTCTTGGTTATTTCCTTGGAGTCAGCTTTGCAAAAGGAGATTGTGGGATGTCTTCCTCCAGTTGTTGACTATCTCCTCTGGCAGATTTGGGCCCTTAAACTCAAGTTTTTCCAGCTGCTAGGGATTGTAATGATGTCTCGGTCCCACTGCAAGAGGACAAGAGACCAAGAGCCTTCTTACTCAGATGCTTAGTTGTACTAAAACATCCCAACGACTTCTGAGGATGGGAAATCCATAGGCTTGTCTTCAGCTCATTTATGTCATCCATGAGTCACAAAAAGCCAGAATAAATGTCCTCCCCCTTCACACACCCTTCCTGAAACTCCCCTGCTACAATTCCACAGTCTTGGAGATGGGTCCCAGGTGAGGGTCTCCTGGCACAAAATGATTCTCCTGGAATTCATTGTTTATTTCCTTTCTTCTTATAGCTTATGCTGGCAGGAGGATGTGGGAAGACTGCGAAATAAGACACTCAGGCATTTGGGCTTCTGTGAGGGTGCTCACTTCAGATAGTAAGGTTTACCGCAGACACATCATCATGAAAAGCAAGCAGAAAACTGTCATGTTTGGGATTCCTAACCCAGCACAAATGGTCACATCTGACTCTGCTCAGCAGAGTAACCTGGCCAAAAATCTAAATGGTTTTCCAGCACTTACTGCCCATAGATAAGAGCCTTCTGGCAAGATGGAACACTTTCCAGTGCCACCAGCAGAGTACAAATGTGTGTCCCTCCCTCCACACCATCCCAAAATTAGCACTTAGCCTGGCTGTCCTTTCTTGCTGGTTTAATGGCTGCATAATAGGACTCACAGGTGCTGGAATGCGCTGTGCATGTGTCTGTGTGGTGACGAGTTGTATGTCTTTCCCGGTGGATAGGATCAGTACCCCTGGGGACTGAGTCCCCTGTGGTGAAGCAGAGAGTGCTGGATGTGCTGCCTGTCCCCTGAACTCCTTGTTATGACACCTTCCTCAGATATTAGCTTCATTACAATTTGTTGCACAAAAGGTTTTTCTTGCAGTGTATTCCGGGCTAATTTTAGAAATTTGTTTTCACCTTCCGACATTGATTCCTGGGGCAGCTTGCAAGCTGCCTGGAACGAAAAATCAATGGTGACAGCAGTGGAGTGGGCTCCAGTTCTTCATTAACCCAGAGCTCCCAGCAGTCCCACTCGTGTCTCTTCCCTCAGGGCTAGCCCTAGACAAAAATGGACAGTCAGGAAGTTTTCCTTTGGTGCCCTCAGCCTTTCTGTTCTGAGCCCTTTCCATCTCCCTGTTCTCTTCATCTCCTTTACCAAACTTACTCTTCACCCAGTGTGGAGATGGATTTCGGGAGAGGAAGTGAAGTCAGATCCACTGAGGGTCTGCACATATGCCAGGCTAGGCAGTTTATATGCATGCCCTCTTAAAGCCTATCAATAATTCTCACAGCTTTGTATTGCTCCCATTTCACAGAAGAGGAAACCGAGATGCAAAAAGATCAACAAACAAGCCTAGTGTTGCAGAGCTTGTAAGGTGGAGCTGGGATCAGAACCTCTAGCTCCAAAGCCTGTGTTTGCACCATTGTTCGCTGTTACACTGATAATTACCACAGTGCAGAAATCCAGGAGCAGGTGTTTGGAGAAGTAGCATCCCCCAGGGTCACAGAAAGTGTATACTTTGCCCTGCACCCGGCTGCCCCTGCTCAGCCAAAGGCTCTGCTGAGTTCCACACACAGGAACTGGCCCTAATGAAGTCTCTAGGGACATCAGGCTGTGCTCCTGAGTCTCAATTCCACCCACAGGAGGTGGCAGAATGGACCAAAGAAGTTCTAAATGAGAATTCACAGGTGCCAGAGCAGAACTGTGCAGAACGTCTGGCCACAGGTCTTTCACAAGACGTTCGGGGCAAAAAGTGGATGTTGGAGATCTTCCAAAGGAGTTAAGGAGAGCAAAGCAGAACATAGAGGCAGTGAATCCAGAGGCAAGAAGGAGGTAGGGCTGGAGGAAGTCTAGATCAGCCCTGTTAGAAATACATAGAAATATAATACAAGCCACATATATCATGTTGTACATTTTCTTTTTTTTTTTTTTTTTGAGATGGAGTCTTGCTCTGTCGCCCAGGCTAGAGTGCAGTGGCACAATCTTGGCTCTCTGCAAACCTGCCTCCCGGGTTCAAGCAATTCTCCTGCCTCAGCCTCCCAAGTAGCTGGGATTACAGGAGCCTGCCACCATGCCCAGCTAATTTTTGTATTTTTTAGTAGAGACGGGGTTTCACCGTCTTGGCCAGGCTGGTCTGGAACTCCTAACCTCAGGATCCACCCGCCTCGGCCTCCCAAAGTGCTGGGATTACAGGCGTGAGCCACTGCGCCCAGCCTATGTTGTACATTTTCTAGTAGCCGCATTTAAAAAGGTAAAAAGGAACAGGTAAAATTAATATTAATAATATATTTATTTAACTCAATATATATCAAACATTATTTCAACAGGTAATTAATATGAAAACATATTAATGAGATTTTACATTCCTTTTTTGTACTAAGTCTTCAGAGTCTCATGTGTATTGTACATTTACAGCACCTCTCAGTTTGGGCTGGCCAATGTCAGTCGCCCAATAGCCACACATAGCTAGTATTGTACTGTGCAGGGCTAGATCCACGGCTTTTAAATTATGTCCCATGGAACACAGCCTTCCTCAGAAATGTTTCAAGAGGTCCCTAAACATTTGGTTTGAATTTCATTTTTAGGAATTTTTAACTACTTAAAAAGTAATGGTGGGGCGCGGTGGCTCAGGCCTATAATCCCAGCACTTTGGGAGGCCGAGGTTGGTGGATCACTTGAGCTCAGGAGTTCGATACCAGCCTGGGCAACATGGTGAAACCCCATCTCTACTAAAAATACAAAAAAATTAGCTGAGTGTGGTGGCACACGCCTGTAGTCCCAGCTACTCGGGAGGCTGAACCCAGGAGAATTGCTTGAACCTGGGAGGCAGAAGTTGCAGTGAGCCGAGATCAAGCCATTGCACTCCAGCCTGGGCAACAGAGTGAGACTCTGTCTCAAAAAAAAAAAAAAAAAAAAAAATTCAAAAACTTTAAAAATTAAAAAGTAATGTAAAAATATTCGCACTTAAAGACATCCCACTCCAAATTTTAATGCAGTGAAGAAAATCAATAGAAAAATTTGTGTTCATGTGTGAAAGGAAATATTATGTAATTCATCCTCTTATAGGAGAAGTTTGTACTAATAAAACGTCTCTTAATCGTTTTAAATATTAGTACAACCATGTGTCACCTAACGATGGGGATACATTCTGAGAAATGTGTCGTTAGGCAATTTTGTCATTGCGTGAACATCATAGAGTGTACTTACACAAACCTAGAGGGTATATATATTTTTATTTATATGTATATTTATCATATGGAAAACTAAATGTCCCAGCACCATTACAGAATATCAATCATTTCCCCCTACTTGATCTGCAATGCCAATATCAAGTGCCATATATCAAGTTTCTGTATAAACTCCATTATCATCTTATGAGACCACTGTCATATATATGGTCCGACATTGACCAAAATATCATTATATGGAGCATGTCTACAATTTATGTTACGTTTCAATTAAGAAATAACAATAACAACCAACATTAATTGCATATTCACCACATACTGAGTGCTTTTTGAGAATCACCTCAGCAAATTCTCACAAGAAATCTTGGATTTGGGTAATAGTATTCTCTTCATTTGCAGAGAAAATGAAGATGCTGATGCTGGAGAGTTCAACAACTTGCCCAAGGTGGCAGTGAATGACGTCAGGATTCAAACCCAACCCCAGCTGCGTAACTTCTAAACCAAAGCTCCTAAGCACCACACTACAATTAAAAACAAACAGACCAACCTACCATGCCAGTATGAATTCTGAGCTTTGTCAAACTTCAGGCTACCTCGTGTCAACTCTCCCTTCATGCCAATCACTCACTCTCTCATCAGGCCCTTGTACACACATGTACACACCACGCAGCATTCTGTTTAGTGCAACAAATATTTACTGACATTACTATGCATCAGGATTAGCTGTGCTGCTTTTGTAGCCAAGATAAATCATTTTAATTCCTACTTACCCCCCAGCTACCTAGGGAGAGGTCAGATTTTATCGTGTAAATGATATGAAGCCAATGAAGGGTATAAGCAAAGGGTTGACAAAAAGGATCATATTTGTATTTTCAAAAGCTCATTCTAGAAGCAGCAGGGAGAGTAGATTGAAAATTACTGGGATTGAAGAAAGAACACCAATTAAAAAGCTGTTAGATTGGGGAGAGCAGATAGAAGAGGGGGCTACAAATGAGAAAAATACTGAATAACTGAGTAATCATTGAGAGGGTCAAAAAGAAAACTTCAAGGCTGACTCTAGTTTCTGGTTAAAGTAGCTGAGTTCATGGTGGGAGCATGTGCTGAAATAGAAGAGACAAGAGGAGGTCTGGGTTGTGGGGAATGAGCATACAGGATGAATTTAGATTTTGATATTGACATTGACATTGTAATCAATGCACAACATCCATTCAGGCCTTCTGCCACCTGTCCCAGAAATGCGATGTGAGGAATCACTCCAGATCCAGGATGGGCCTTGACCCGTGTAACCCAATCATGACAACCCATCCCGTAATAATCCCCCTTGCTTATAACTGGTTGGAGTAGAAGTCTAAGCCAATAAGCACATATTATTCCCTTGTGTCTTTATTGGTGTTGGGGCCATAAGTTGATTCATTCAGACCAAAGAAAAGCATCTGTCTTCAATAACTGTGGGAGAGGAGCTCTCTGCTGAGAACAGAAAACAAACAGTCCTGATTAGGACTGACAGTGATCTTCCAATTCAAGAGATAAGGCCATTCTAGAAGAAGAATATAATGGAAAGATAGAAAAACTTGGACCCTCAATGAATTCATTGAACCATTGGATCAAGCCATCCAGAAGGTCAACCTGTCCCCTTCTTTTATATGAGCCAATAAATTTCCTTATTGTTTAAGACATTTTGAGTGGGGTTTTCTGCCATGTACAGCCACGAGCATCCTAACTGACACAGATATGTTGAATGGAGCTGAGGTGACCCAAGAAGTCAAGTGGGAGAAACAGGTCTGATGTCATCAGGCAGAATTTAAACTGAGAAAGTAGATGAGACTGACTCAAGAAAGCACGTACAGCGTGGAGGGGAAAGCAGTGCAGGGCCAAGGCCAGGACCCTGGAGAGCGCTAGTGTTGGTAGGCATAAATTGCTCTACAGAAGAAACGGAATAGGAAAGAGAAGATGGTCTAGATGTGGGGTGGAGACTCAAAGAATATTGCCATGGAAGTGGGGAGAGAAGAGAAAGAAGGGAAGAAATGAGAGAGGGGGATGGGTCGACTGCTGAATGAAGGAGAACACTATAGAAAGAGATGTTGACAGGGAGAGGGGTAGGAGGAATATTAATTAAGGTGCAGGACAAGCTGCTGTACCAATGAGACCCATAAATCCAGTGGTTTGAATAAAATAGAAGTTTATTTCTCTCCCACACAACAGGCCAGAGGGAGAGAGTGTCAAGAGCAGTTGCGGGCAGTTCTTTTCCTCAAGGTCTCAAGAGTTCTTCTGTCTGGTTGCTTGGCCATCCCATAGGATCTTGCCTTTGTCCATACAGCCACAGCAGCTCATCTCCAGCACTTCCAGTTCCACCTCATTGAAAGGAGGAAACAGACAATGTTCACTGCAAATAACTTCCATATAAGGATGTGCTCTGGAAATTGCACACATCGTTTTAGCAAGAACTGAGTAGACATCCACATCCAGCTGCAGGGAGTCTGGGAACTGTGGTCCTGAGCTAAATGATCATGTTCTTCCCTAAAATTCATGGCTCCTTGACTAAAAGGAAGGAGAGAATGGGCATTTGGGGACACTTAACAAGCTCGGCCACTAGGTTCTAGGAAGTTGTGGTAGGTGTTGTGCAGGTGACAGCACCCTCTACTCAGGTTGATCAACTAGGCTTATCCACATTAATTCCATGACCCAATCAAATGGATAATCTTAGAAGATCCTGAAGAATTTCAGGCTCTCGATTCACAATACTTCAGCTGCCACCTGCTTGCCCACTCAGGATCCGGCCTCGCAGCCCAGTTAATGCTGCGTGATTTGCTGGCTGTGTCCAACCCCCTTTGCTCCCTGCTTCCTGGCCAGTCAGCTTAGCCCTGGAAATGCACACCAGAACCAAGCCTAAAGGAGGAAATCATCACATTCAGATGCCTTGCATTATGTAGGTCATGATTCCCTTTCTTATTTTTAACCTCTCCCTAACCACTGATTTCCTTCTCAAAATGCTTTCCTTTGGCCTGGCTTCCACTTAAAGCTATCTCTCTTTTTTTCCTCTCTCCTTCCCTTAACC
Organism: Homo sapiens; assembly: GCF_000001405.40. Classification (NCBI taxonomy): domain Eukaryota; kingdom Metazoa; phylum Chordata; class Mammalia; order Primates; family Hominidae; genus Homo; species Homo sapiens. The sequence goes on from NC_000001.11 coordinate 34,710,910, forward strand.
AACATAATCACTGACTTGTTCCCAAACCTTCTGCAAGCTGGCATCTGCCCCATCACTCAGATAAAACTGTCACTGAGGTCATTAAATTTAATGGGCTCTTCCCAGCCCTCTTCCTCCTCCACCTGGCTGGATCTCATTAGACACAATTGACCACCCCTTCCTAGAACCTTTACCTCCCTTTGCTGCTATGATGCACCACTACACACCTGCCCCCCAGCTGCTCCCTCCTTCCCTACCTCCCAGTCCTGGTCTGTGTCTTTCTTTCTGTGACTCCTCAAGAAACAAAGACCAAGGCAATACCTAAGCAGGAACAATCATCCTGTTAGCCTGGGTTAGTGGAAAAGACATAACCTGAGCTCAAATCTGGATTTGCCACTTACTTGCTGTGTGACTTTAGCAAGTTACTTAGTATCTCTGAGCCCATTTCCCCCAGGGAAAAATAGGGATAAGAATGCCCTTCTTTCAGGCTTGTGTTATCAGGCTAGACAACTGCCTAATAAACAACCCCCAAAACCTTAGTGGCTTAACAAATGTAACATTACCATCCAATGAAGTTGAGCAGGGGCAGGGAAATACCACACAAGATTATAGGGCAATTGGGTCCAGTGGCCCTACATTCCCTAGGGATCAGAATCCTCCACTAGATTTCTGTTTCCACGGCCTACAAAAAAAAAAAGAGTAAATGAGTATGTGTAGAAGATTGTTCGTGATATTTAGGGGGGGCCGGGCAGCCACAAAAGTGGCATATATTACTCCTACCCACATTCCATTGACCAGCACTCAGTCACATGATTCAACCTTACAGCAAGGCATGCTGGGAAATGTAGTTCCAGGAAGAAAAAAGATTTGATGAACACATAGTATCCTGTCTACCATATGGTTGCTGTGAAAATGGAAATAATAGAACTAAATCCTGTGGCATTTCTGGAACAGAGTAGGTGTTGAATGAATAGTCGCCATTAATAAGAAAAAAATTAGAATTTTTTTTTTTAATGTTTGCCAACTTTCCCAAGTGCAGACATCAGCTGAGATAAATAAGAAGACAAAGGGAGCAGAGACAAAGAGAGAAACAACTGTTGTAAACAGGAATGAAAGTGCAGGCCAGGTTTGGGGAAGCAGGGATAAGCACAGAAGCAGGCAGAGAGTGGGCAGAGGGCTCACCGGGAATTGAGCACCATGGTACTCAGCACAGCCTCTGCTTTCCCGGCCAGCCCTGGCTCCCACCTGAGCCAGAAGGGGCTTAGAAAGATCTGAGTTTCCTTGGAAACCATTTTTCTGGCCCTCTCTGCACGTTATCAGCCAAGTTGGTTGTAATCAAACCCCCACGGGGCAGAGAATGAGCTCTCAAACTGCAGTCCTGGGGTTCTATCCAAATTGCTTGCATTTCCTATTTAAATTGGTAATTTCCCCATGAGTGTACCCCCTGCCCATCCACAGATTTGTTGGGAAGGGGAAGCTCTGGACGTACTACCCACCCCCCACCATCACCTCCTGCCCCTGACACAGCACAGGGGCCTTGGGAGTGCCTCCAAACAGCCCGGAGTCCTCTGCCAAAGCTGAAGGCCTCTGGCAAGCCCAGGCCTCCAGAACAGCCAGGTCAGAAGCTCCTCCCTCAGGCCCCCCTGTCCCACTAAAGACAATGGCCTGGACATGAGCAGGAGAGGAGGAGGACCTACACAGGCCACAGTAGGCGAGTCCTGAATAGTTGGCATCATTGCCAGACTAAATGTGGGGGTGTGGACTTCCTCTTGTACCTTTTGCAGGTACACCCTTTCCAAAGTGAAGGGTGGGGACTGGGCCAAGGCACCAGATAATCTTTTTCTTTTCTTTTTTTTTTTTTTTTTTTGTTTGTTTGTTGTTTGTTCGTTTGTTTTTGAGACCAAGTGTCACTCTGTCACCCAGGCTGGAGTGCAGTGGTGCAATCTCGACTCACTTCAGCCTCTGTCTCCTGGATTCAAGTGATTCTCCTGCCTCAGCCTCCCAAGTAGCTGGGATTACAGGCACGTGCCAGTACACCTGGCTAATTTTTTTATTTTTAGTAGAGATGGGGTCTCACCATGTTGGCCTGGTCTCAAACTCCTGACTTCAAATGATCTGCCCGCCTCGGCCTCCCAAAATGCTGGGATTACAGGCATGAGCCACCACGCCTGGCCAGATAATCTTGAAGTACTGACAGCCAAGGCTGCAGGACTAGGGAACAGCTGGGGAAGTCTCAGAATGTTAGGCAGAAAGATCCCAGAAGTTCAGAGGGGCACTCACCTTGACTCCCTCTGTCACAAGCCAGCCCTGACCACAGTGTAACTACAAAAAGGGAGAGTGGGCCCATGTCCCCTTTCCTTTCAGAATGGGCAGAAGATTCACATCAGACATGGTCAAATACTCCCAGACACACACTTAGCCATATTATACACATGTACACGTGCATACATACATATTAGAGAGGTTTGTGCGTGTGCGTAGACACATACCTGTGTACTTGAGGACATGCAATGTCATTCATACTGATCCCCCTCCTAGCATCCCAGCAATGTTCATGATGTATCTGGGCATATTCACAAACACGCTTCAGAACTGGGCTGAGAACTCAGTGCACGCCTGCACGGGACAGCCTCAAGGAACATATGTGCATGCTGACACAAGTCCAGCTGGCCGTCCTGGCATGATCACTGACTGACACATGTACTCAGACACACACATATAAGACTGAGGAAAAGGCAGAACCAGGCTGGGAGATGGACCCTGCTTTGCAGGTGGCTAAGTAGGGAGCAGCGTGTATTCCAAATTACTAGACAGCTCCAAGGAGATGAGGCCAAATTGGGTCTAATCCGAGGCTGCATCTGGAGTCCAGTCTGGACAGTAATTCATGTAGTGTCTTCATGGGTGGGGTTAGGGCCTTCATGGGGGAAGTAGGCTCCCAGACTGCAGTGGAAAACACAGACCAGGAGCAGCCCGTGGAAGAGGCCTTACTCCCAAAGGGGAAGCTGGATGTCAGGTTCTTATCCCAGTGCAGAAGACTAGGTAAAATCAGGAACCAGCCACTGGCCTGGGAACCTACAGTGAGGGGAGAGACCAGGCTGATGGGCTCTGGGTGTCCATAGCTCCCCAGCTCTCAGATCCTGTATTCAGGGAGACACAACTGGTACCAGGCCCACCCTCTGCCATGCTGGCTCCCCTCTCAGAGCCAGGCTAGGTCAGGAAGAGCTCAGGGACTTGGTAGGCAGAGCCTGGTGGCAGAGGACTATCAGTATCTATAGCAGAAGGGACTGAGGAAAGACAGGTCAGACACCCCAACTCCTGAGCCAGCCAGAACCTAGAATCTATTGTTCCCGCTGTTGCCAGGAAAACAACTGGAAGACTCAATCTCCACCTCCAGAACCTGCCTTCAGCCCCCTACCTCCACCCCAGCTGTAAGGGTCTTGGTCAGTCATATTCTGAGTTCAAGAGTCCTTCATCTCCCTTCCCACTGCAGTGAAGCCAGGAGCTGGGCTGTGCAACTGAGAGGAGTGGGGAGCAGGTATTCGGTTCTGATGCCCAGAGTGGCTGTCCCCACCATTTCTCCTTCTGCCCCAGCACTGAAAAGAATCCTGCAGAGCTTCACAGCCTGTCTGCTCCTTTCTAAACAGACAGGTGTAAGAGAGCTGAGAACTCCAGTGAAGCAGGCACAGCCAGCTGTCTGCAGCTGCAGCTTTCCACATTTCCTAGCAGAGTCAGCTGCGGAAGGAGAGACAGGAAGGGTGAAATTTCTAATCACTTGGAGTTTCCCTACCACCCAGCAGCTCTCTCTCTCTCTCTCCTTCCCTCCCTCCCTTCGTGTATGCTGCTCTGTATGTCTGGTGTCCTTCTACCTCCTTGTCTCCTGGAAGACTCTTATTTAACTTTCAAAACCCTGTTCAGGTATCCCCACTGCTTTGAAATCTTTCCCTAGCACTCCCTCTGTTTGACTAATTATTTACTCCTTTCTCCAGGCTACCTGCATTTATAGCTTGTGTTGTGATTATCTGTTCATACCAGGATAATCAGGGATGCCTGGGATGCCGGGATGCCTGACTTCTCCACTTGACTGTGAGCTCCTTGAAGGTAGGAGCTTGGTGACACTTGTCTCTGTACCCCAGCACCACTACAGGGTTTCAGAGAACACGTCGAGGAGAAGGAGTGTGATATAGCAGTTAAAAGCATGGGCTCTGGAATAAGCCAGACCTGAGTTTGAACCCCAGGTCTGCCTCTTCTAGCTGTGGGAGTTGGACATATTGTTTCAGCTCTCTAAGCCTCAGTTGTTCCAAATATGACATGGGAAGAATAGTAATGACTGTCTCATGGATTGTCATGAGTAATCAATGATACAATGAATATGGAGAGGTTAGCCCAGTACTGGGCACATTAATAGCCTTTCTTATCATCCCACCAGCATCTGGGCTGTCGATTCTATGTTGAGTCATCATAGTGACTCCATATAGCCCGTACCCCTGGAAATCTCACCAGCAAATGAATAATGACAATCAACAATGATGAGTTCCATGACAAAACTCTGGGGCCCTGGGAGCCTAGAGAAGGAACCACTAACTTCAGTGGCCATGCGATCTAGTGGTTAAGTGTATTGGCTTTGGTGTCAGGAAGTTCCAAGTTCAAATCCTAGCTGAGACTCTAACTAGCTGTGTGAACTTAGGTTAAGTTATTTAAACACTCAGAAACTCTGAAATGTGATGGAAATTTAATAACACAAAGATATAAATAATACAAATTTGACAAAAAATCAAATTTGTCAGGGGATAAGCAAGGAAGACTTCCCAGAAAACGTGACGTCAGGCCTTAATGAATGAATAGAAGTTTTCTAGGTGAAGAGTGGAAGCGAGGGCTTTTCCAGCAGGAGCAGCACTTTCAAAAGCTGGTGAATCCAAAGGACAATGAGATGTTTAATGATCCCAGATCCCGTGTATGAGGGGGAAGTGTCTGAAGAAGGCCCACAAAGAGAGACAAGGGCCTTGCTCAGTGGTTCCTGGCATACACTTCCAACGACCTCTGAGTCCCTCTTCTGGAATGTGCCTGGTACATACTTAGAGGCTCAATAAATATTTGTAGGAAAAACAAATAAATAAGTGGCAGTGTCTCCTGCACCCTGTTCTCCTTGCTCTACCCGCCCACCCAGTCACTCGTCTCCCATTGATCCCTGGGACTCTAAGGAGCACAGGCCAAAATGATTGCAATTCACTTCCTCCTAGTTAAGCTCCATGGCCAAGAAACTTGCACCAAAGCTAAACCCACCAATGGGCCTGATATCAGAACGACTCCTGAGCTCTGCAGCTCGCAGAATAGAAATGTATTCCTTCTGATCCCTATCCAGTCTCCCGATAAGCCCAGCATGCCACATCTTAATATTCCTCCTGCTAAGGTGCCCGAAGTTCTCTCAGATGTCTGCTTCTAGCCTGCTAGTCTTTGAACTTGAGACATTCTAAACACCCAGTAGTTGACTTCATAATTCGGTGAGACTTGAAAGCAGCCCAGGCAGCGGTCAGCCAGGTCTCCCATGCAGAAAATCCGGATGGCCTGGGTTTGCTCCTCTCCAGGGATCCTCTCCAGGGATGGCTGCTGGAATCAAAGAGTTTGGGATCACAGCAAATTCATTTGCAGCCACAGCAGAATCCTGTTAGGAGGCTGTCCTGGGGATAGGAGGCAGGGGATGGGAGAGAACTCACCTATGTCTCTATCAGAAGAGGAGTCCTTGGATATTTAATAATCAGCTCTGCTTGGCTTAGCACTATCAGAGCCTGGAATCAGGCTTCTATCACAAGGTCCCATGGCCTCAGTACAATACTAGAGATAGGCCAACTCTCCTGCCCTCTGGCAGAGAACAAATTCCTGCTGTTCAAGCTTTCATCAGTCCCTACTGCCCCTGTGCCCTGCCATGACCCTGCTTTGGCTCCTGGAAAGATGGAGGTGCTACAGGAGGGCCCCAGTTTCCCTCCTCTCCACAACTCCCCACATCCTCACCTCCATCTCAGAGAGAGGAAGGGCCCCTCCTTTCATCCAAGCCCAAGCCTACAGCTGAGTTCCCACGCCCTCTGCATCCTCGAGGATCTGCACATAAAACCTCTCCCTTGACCTCCAGCAACAAACAGGCTCCAGGTGCCTCCAGGCTAAAGGTGGCCTTCCCAGGATGGAATTAGATCTGGATTCAAGTTCAGGCTCCATCACCTACCAGCTGTATTCACCTTGAGCCAGTCATTCCATCTCTGTATTTCAGCCTCTACATCTGTGAAGTGGAAATAACAGCCACTAACTCAGACGAAGGGTCACTGTGAAATGAGATGCTGATGCCTGGCAAGGCTTAGCACGCTGCCTGCCCCTTCATCACTCAAGGAAATTTAGTCATTAGTATAAATATGCGCTCACTGTCCCATCAAGCTAGTGGCCTACCTCTCTTTCCTACACTACCAGGCTTCTTTATTTTTTTAATTTTACTTTAAGTTCTGGGATACATGTGCTGAACGTGCAGGTTTGTTACATACGTATACATGTGCCATGGTGGTTTGCTGTACCCGTCATCAACCCATCATCTAGGTTTTAAGTCCCACATGCATTACGTATTTGTCCTAATGCTCTCCCTTCCCTTCTCCCCACCCCCCGACAGGCCCCAGTATGTGATGTTCCCCTCCCTGTGTCCATTTGTTCTCATTGTTCACCTCCCACTTATGAGTGAGAACACGCAGTGTTTGGTTTTCTGTTCCTGTGTTAGTTTGCTGAGAATGATGGTTTCCAGCTTCATCCATGTCCCTGCAAAGGACATGAACTCATTCTTTTTTATGGCTGCATAGTATTCCAAGTTGTATATGTGCCACATTTTCTTTATCCAGTGTATCATTGATGGGCTACCAGGCTTCTTATGAAGCACTCACCCCTCCTTAGCCCATTTCAAACTGGACCCTGACCTCATGCCTCTCACCCAGTCACCAGTGAGCTCAATAACCTAATTCCATGGCTTCCCCCCTCCCCAGCTTCCAACTAAGGCATTCAGTGCTGATGCCCGCCTGTTTTTTAACTCAAATTCCCTCCTCAGGCCTTCACAGCTCACTCTCCTGGTTCTTCTCTCTTTAGGAACATGCCCTCTTCACATCCTTTTCAGTCCTAGATCAATTCCTACACACTAGAATCACCTAGGGAGCTTCAAACGACAAATGTGCAGCCACGCCCTCCAGCAAGTCTCAATGTGTTGGTCTTTGGGAGGCCCGAGCATTCTGAAGTGCGGCTGGGTTTGAGAACTGCAGCCCTGAATGGAAAAGATGCCCTTGGCCTTTGTGTTCCTTAAGATTATGTTCTGCCATACAGGAAAAAAAAAACAAACAAAAAAAGTAATAGTGGCTTACATAAGACAGATGTTCATGTGTCTTGCAGGTATGGAATCTGGAGGTCCAGATTAGTTCGGCAGCTCCACAGTCATCAGGAACCCAGGTTTCTACTGCCTCGTGGCACAAAACGGCTGCTGGAGCCTCACAGCCTCATTCCAGCCTGCAGGAAGGAAAAGGGAGCACGGAGGGACAAAGGTAGGTGAGAACCACTCTCCCACACTTCCCACTACTCACAACTTAACACATAGCCACACCCAGCTCTGTGGGTGGATGAGAAGCAGAATCTTCATTCCAATGGCTGTGTCTAGCTAAAACTCAGGTATTCTGAACACTGAGGAAGAAGAAGAGAGCAGTCTCTGCCGTGGCCTCTTCTCTCTTTGCACTCTACCACGTGGGACTTCTAAGACCTCAACCACTCCACCTGAGTATTTCCCCTCCCCACCCCACTCCACAGGCTCCTCAAATGCATTATTTCCCAAACTGAACTCATCTGACTAGGTCCCATGAGGCAGCAAGGATTTTGAGATTACTGATCTAGACGGAGTCCTGGCTTTAACACTCAAGCAACCATGGGTACTTGATGCCTTGATGGACTTCAGTTTCCTTATCTGTGAAATAAGATAAGAACTATATTTTATTCTTGGGAAGATGAAATGATTGGCTTACATATAAACATCTGGTAGAGTGCCTTGTGTATAGCAGGAGCTCAATACATATTGGTTTCCTTTTCTTCCTTTTTTCTTTCCTAGTCTAGAGAAACCATTTCCTTTCTTTATGCTGTGCCACCCCCTCTCCCAAACTGATTATATATTGCCATCAGGCCTTGTGGACAAGACTCCCAGATGTGGCACTAACCATATATTTCTTTGTTAAGAACATATGTAAAATGCGGGGATGGAGAGTGAGAAAAGAAGAGGGAGAAATTACCTTTACAAAAAAGGAGCTAACCAACCCGGATAGTACGGGAATCTTTCCCCCATGTGCTCTGCACCTCCTCTTTCAGGGGAAATATCTTTTCTCTCCTTCACTCTTGTGTGATTTTTTTATTATGACTCGTGGCTATAGGTTGGAGGACAGATGCAGTGTTGGTCAAAACCAAAAGTATGGTCAATCACACAATTCTCCAGTTTTGGACTGATGCAATTCCCCAATTGTAGACTGACCCTAGGCCCTGGTCACACATCAGCCTAGACCCCAGTCACAGGAAGATGGAACCTTCCTACAGCTTTGCTACCCAAAGTGCAGGACCCAGCAGCATCTGAATCACCTGGAAGCTTGTTAGACATGAAGAATCCCAGGCCCCACCTGAGAAGCAGTACATTGAAGTCTGCACTAATGTCTTTAAAAAGACATTGTGTGTCTTGTGTATAGATAGAACCATGCCCCATTTGCACCTCCAGATTTTATCTCCTCTTCCTCCAGGAGAGAAATAATTCGACACAAATGGAGGATTTTTTTCATTGCATCTCTCTTTTCCTCTCCCTTGCTTTCCCCAGGAACTGAGCATTTATTATACAAGGTAACCCCTGGTGTCCTCAGCAGCACTCCAAGATCCTATCCTCTCCTTACTCCAGCCATAACTTACTCCATCACTGAGCCAGTTTCCTGCAATGGTCCTGCCTGGCAATGGGCACAGTTGTGGAATCTTTTAATGCTATATCCTTACTTGAATGATATGTTGCAAGTGTATTGAGCACGTTGGAAAGGAAGTGTGTAAAACACCTAGAAGAGGACCTAAAACATAGAAGACAGCCAATAAGTGGCAGCTGTTATTACCAGCTGTGTGACCTTGACCATCACTACATGTATCAGAGCCTCAGCTTCATCACCAGTTCCCGACACCTACCATGACGCAGAGCTGGTCTCATGTTGTGACTTCAATCTGATTCTCAGTTCAGTGGAAGGAGAAATCATCAAACAGGATTGGCCCGTGAAAAGAGGAGATTACAGGCAGGGAGATGAGCCCAGATACAAGAACAGGTAAATCCAGAATATATTTGAGCAGTTAGGAGGAAACCAGTTGGCAGCATCAGGACACATGCAGGAGAGAAATGGATGAGGCAGACAGAAGGATGCTGGAGACCAATGGTGGGCCTTGAAGGCCAAACTAAGAAGTTTGGATTTTATGCTGAAAGTGAAAGGGAACCGATGGGGGTTTTAGATGTGAAGTTGAAGGATGGCACAAAGTGCAGAAAGAGGACTACGCTAGGGCACTGGAGTGGTGATAGAATAAACATGGCCAATTGGATGAGAGAAGGAGGAAGATGGAGAATGAATCTGACAATGACTATGATGACATCAGTGACAGACAAAGCAGCCCAGAGATGGAACTGTTTGCAAGTGGAAAGTTAACATTTTTGTATTAGAACTCCATTCCTTCATCCAATCAATATGTCTTGAGTATCTGTGTTAAGCACTGCATGGGACTCTGGTTATATTATGGTTTGCCAAACAGACATAGTTCTTGCCCTTATGGGAGGTATGCCTTGGTGAGAGGAAGATACCAAGAGACATCCAGGAGACAATTCAGAGAATAGTCAGGGCTGGATACGGCTTGGGGGCCATCTCCCAAATGCCCCAGACACATTTCAGAAAGTGTCAAGAGCTGGAAAAATTATGAGAAGCTTTCTTCAAGGCTCAGACTTCAACCCTTCGTTTCCCACAATACCCAGCCAAGGCCAAGGTCCCTCTGCAGGGCTTTTTTCCAAGGTGACCGTGGGAGGGACAGCTCCCTTGGAGATGGATACCTGGCCCAATGTTCAGGGGCTCTGGCTTCTTGATTACCTGCTGGAGGGGAGTCTTGTGATTGCAGTCATCTGATTAGGGATTCCTGCATTCATCGGAGCTGAGCAGAGACACACGCCAAAGAATCTGGGCCAGGTGGAGTAGTTCTTAGCTATCTGGTGATACAGGTGAGGTGTTTCTTCAGCACTGCCCCACGGATTCCCAGGCCTTCACGCCCATGCATCCCTCTTTCCACTGCACTTTCTGTTCCCCTAAATGCCTCGGGAGCTCCCACTGTGCCAACTGACAGCAACTTTCTTCACCCTCCTAAACTCAGACTTTTATCTCCTCTCTACACTCCCTCTAGCCTCTGCCTTCCAGCTGCCCAGACTCACTGCACACATACACACACTCCTGGCCCCTGTAAGCCCAATTAAGCAAACGAATCCACAGTTAATTTAATACTGAGCACTTAGCAGAAGGATACATCACTGGTGGTAGATTGCGTGAGTGATACTGTGGAATTACATTTTTGTGTGCTTCAATTGTGTGGGTACACTTTAAAATTCACTGTGGCTTTTCCGTGGTCAATGGGTAATAGATATAAAATTCAAAGAATAATATAACTAGTATAAATGACACAGAAGTTTGAGGCTGTAGCTCTCTTTTTCTGAGATAGGGTTGTTAGAACTGCTGTCTCCTGGTACTCATTCCTTGGGCAGGAAGCAATTCCCAGGTAACAGCACCCCAGCGTAGAAAGATGATCTTCTCCATTACCATCTGCTCTGTGATGTGGTTTCCAGGAATACACTGTGTGGGGTGGTGGGGGGACTCCCTTTCTTCCAAAACCTACTCACTGGTGATTTTGTCAGCCTGGACCAAAAGCCTTAAAAATATGCATTTTCTTTGACTCTACAATTCTACTTTCGGAAACAAGTTCTAAGGAAAACGTATGTGCAAGGATGTTTGTGAAGCACCATTTAAAATAGCTACACATAAAAATGGAAAGAACCGAGATGCAATATACACACAGTGCAATTCTATGCAGGTTATTTACCCAATGTCTCTCAGCTCACATCTACCCTTTTGTATTCTGCTCTTGCTGAGGCCAGGACTCTGAACACAACCCTTCCCAGACTCCAGGACCAGCTGGCTTCCTGTTAGGTTCCCACAACGAAAGGCACTCGAGGAAGATTGGAAGGCAAGATGAGGAGAGAAGGGACTTGGTTCCTGTTTCTTCCTTTCCTGCCAGCATCACTCCAGCAGCAGCAGTTGGCTCCAGCCCCTACTTTCTTGATGTACTCCCAAACCCAGCCTCACCACAATCCTTCCATATACCAATAGCAGCCACATACCATTCCTAGGTCTCAGCACCAGCTCTGCAGGACCGCAGGACCCATACTCTGAGCTCCTAGGTCCTGGTTCCCAAACTTCTTTTATTCCTCTAGCCCTCAGGTTGGTACCTGCTTCCTGCAGTTATTATCTCTGAGTTACCTCTGTGTTCCCTTTTGGCCCTATCAGCTCTCCAACATCTATGTAGGCAATTTCCTGTATTAAAGTCACTCTGTTTGAAATACCTTGTGTGGTGTCTGGTTTTCTGAGTTCTGGCTAATATAGATGTCATTTCACCCCAATTGGGTGGAAAAAATTTATAAATGTAACAATATCAAAGTTTGGTTGAGACTCAAAGAAATTGGAAATTTTATACATTTCTGATGGGATTGTAAATTTACAACCATTTTAGAAAACAACTGGGCAGGCAATAACTAGTAAAATCAAATTGCATACCCTGCAGTTCTGGTCCTGTGTATGAACACTAAAGAAACCCTTACAGATTACTGAGAAAGAGAGCATCATTCCTTATTTTTTCTAACGAAGGAAATGAATGATTCAATTGTGGTACACTCATATAAGGGAATACTACTACATCGTGGTTAAAAATGAATAAATGAAAGTTACCTACAGCAACATGGATAAAACCGAGAAGCATAATTTTGAGTAAAGAAAGTATCCTGCAAAAGGTTGTGTACAGTATGGTGTCGTTTACATATACGTTTAAACATACAAAGCAATACTATATATTGTTAATGAATATACTTGAATATAGTAAAAGTGCACACCATAAATGGCAAGTTAAATTATTTAGAAGCACTAGCTCTAGATGATGGTGACTCAGGAGTCAGGAAAGAAAATGGAATCAGATAAGGAGGAATCAAAGGAAGCCTCTTTCTTTCCTTTCTTCCTTCCTTCCTTCCTTCCTTCTTTCTTTCTTTCTTTCCTTCCTTCCCTCCCTTCCCCTTCCTTCCTTCCTTCCTTCCTTCCTTTCTTTCTTTCTTTCTTTCTTCTTTCTTTCTTTCTTTCTTTCTTGACAGAGTCTTGCTCTGTCACCCAGGCTGGAGTACAGTGGCATGATCTTGGCTCACTGCAACCTCCACCTCCTGGGTTCAAGCGATTCTCCTGTCTCCTGTCTCCTGAGTAGCTGGGATTACAGGTGCCTGCCACCATGCCCAGCCTGGCTTTATTTCTTAAGCTTGGTGGTAAGTACTATTAAAATGAGGGTCTGGAAAGCAAGGGCTTAGAGAAAGGAAGAAAGAAATAAGAATCTATGTTTAAAAGAATGGAAAAAGTGGGAGCCAGTTGGCATATCATGCCTAGATGTCTAATAAAATTATTATGTAAAAATATGATTTATCGACATGAAGAGGTGTTAACAATATATTAAGTAAAAATTAAGGATACAACATAGTATGTATTTCATTACCCCTTTTTTATAAGATACAACGTGTGTGTGTTGTGTGTGTGTGTGTGAGTGTGTGTGTGGGGGAAAAAATGGCTGGAAAAGAATATACCAAAATGGTAAGAGCATTTACCTCTGGGTAAGAGGGTTACAGGGGATTTTTATTTACTTCTTTATAGTTATCTGTATTTTCTATTGTTTCTAAAACAAATATGAACTTCTTATATAATGAATTCTTAAAGGAATTTTAAGAATTTACTTTGAGAATTTCTTCCCTTATCTGAGGCTATTATCTCAACATCCCACTGAGAGGTTTCCTAAAGTGTGGTACATAAGATGATTTTAGGTGGTTTAATGCAGATTAAACATGTTTTATTTTCACAAATACATGTGTACTTTAATGTATTTTACAAAAATAATTTAGCACATCAAACTCACCATTCAAAATGATAGTCAGTTTTTTTTAATGGAATGACTGAAGTGCAGGGGAAAGAGATTGTCTTCTCAATAAATGGTGCTGGGTCTGTGGGATATCTGTATGGAAAAAATGAAAATCAGACCCCTACCTTAACATACACAAAAGTCTGTTCCAAGTATCCTCACGTTAAAGATAGAACAAAAAAGCTTCTAGATCATAAACATAAGAGGATCTTACGCCTTTGGGGTTAGAGTTACTTAAATGGAACAAAAAATTATTAATTATATAGAAAAAGATGGATAAACCAGACTATTTAAAAATTAAGAACTTCTGTTTATCAAAGGACACCACTGAGAGAGTAAAATAAAAACCACAAAATAGAAGACTATTGCAATATTTGTAATCAACATTAGACACACAACTAGAACGTATAAAGAAGCCCTACAAACCAGTTGTAAAAAGGCAGATATAATGCAAATGAAAAATTACCCAAAGACATAGGAACTCCAAAAAAGAAGATGCCCAAACATCTAATAAAAATGTAACCCATGCAGGATGTTTGTGGAGAACTGGGAATACTTTTTTTCTTAATCTGAGAGGTGATCAGATGGATACATTCACTTTTAGAGTTTCCAACTTTCAACTCATGGAACTGTACACTTAAGATATGTGTATTTTTCTGTATATGCATTATACCACAATTACACTACAATAAAAAGATTTTTAATTTGGACAAGTAAAAGCAAATAACATTTTGGCCCTTTTACCGATCTATAGACAGTTAAGGAAAATAACAATGCATTATATAACTTGCCAAAAGAAACAATAGAAAGATAAACCAAAAACAAATAAAAACAATTCTCTTTGGGAGTAAGAGCAAGAACAGGGGAAAGGGACTACGAATAAAAATTAGACTTAGCTGCATGTGTGTTTTTAAATAATCCGGATTCAAAACCATGTAAACAATCAATATAATGTCAAAGTAAGTCAATTTTTAAGATATATTAATTTTTTAATTAAGTCAGTTGAGGTGGTATATAGATAGAGCAAAAATTGTGACGATGTTAACCTGAGTGACTAGAGTCATGCCGTGTGAACATAAGGTTTCCATATGATGGGGCATTAACGAGACAGGCCACTGCCCAAGTCACAACCAGGGCAGGCATTGCTAATCTATCAGAGCCCTTTCCCACTGAGCCCAGATTCCACTTCAGAATCCAACACAGCACACACTCCAAGCAGCAGTGGCACAGAAGTTAAAACACGCCTGCCATTCCTACTGTATGATAGCAGGACTCCAAGAAACAGGATGAAGCAGTCACAAACCTACCCAGGTCTCCTAACCCCTTATTCTACTAATGGGAAAACTGAGGCCAAGAGAGGAGGAGCGGCTTACTCAAGGACACAGCAGGAGTTTAATTTTCCCTCTGCTACACCACCACCCAGGCCTTGGCATTCCAGCCCAAAGAATGGAGTCCTTTGCTCTTCCATCAACCATACATGCCCGGGCAGGGGAGGTATAGAAGCAGTCAGCTGCTACCAGCTCTTCCAAAACTCCCAGGAAGGAATATCACAGTTTGCCTTTGCACTGAGCCTGTTCCTGAATCCAGGGTTCTTCCCTTGCCTTAACAACCAGGCCACCATCCTGCCTCAACCAGCATCACAGAGATGCCTTGCTGAATCGCAGTGGTGATCCTGCCACTTTCTTGCTCAGAGGTTTGCCTTGCCTCCCTACTTCCTCACTCCCTAACCTGACATTCTAAATACTGGTAATCAGACTCTAAACTACCTCTTTCTCTGAATATCAGCTTGCTGCCACCTGTGGACTCCAGCTCAATCCCACCTCCAGATCTTTGTCCATGCTGTTCCAACCACCTTATACTTTCACTGAGTCCCAGAAAGTGAAACTAGGACACATGAAAGTCATTCTTCCATGCTCTGGGATGAAGCCAACCCCATGGGTATGGTCAAGAGACTTCAGTTAGAAGGAAAAGGGGCTCTTGGGGCTGGAGCCAGGTCAAACAGCAGAAACTTTCTCTTGAGCATTCTCAACTTTCTTTAGATATAGGACTCTTTGAGAATCTGATTAAAACTATGGGCCCCATTCCTACTTAAATACACCCAAACCAACATTTTCTATTTAATATCAAAGCACAGGGAGGAATCCCTTAAGAATCCTTGCCCCATGAAGCTACAATGTCAAACACTATTTCCTTGTATTCATTATGTGTCAGGACTATGATAAGGACCACATGCATTATCTCATCTAACCCTTCAATACCACCATGAAGTAGGAAATATGACTGCCTGCACTCTACAGATGAGGAACAAAGGCACAGCGAGATGGTAGCCACGGAACCAGAATTCAGATCCAAGTCTTTCTGGCTCCTTAGCTTTTGCTCTTACATGATTCACCAAAGTTTTCGATTGGTTACCCAGTGTCAGAATTTTCCAGGGTGCTCATTTTAAAATGCAGATTTCTCAGCCCCACCCTAAGTCCTGTGAGTCAGAACCTCTAGAGGTGGAACCCAGGAATCTGCATCATTCATGAGAGCTCCACTTGATTCTCAGGTATCCCAAGGTTGAAAACTGCTGCATTTCACTGGACTGTCTTCCCCAGTGAGCAGTAGCTAAATGTTCCAGGTATTATGGTTGTGTAATAGATGACCCCCAAAATGTAGAATGACCACCATTTTATTTTACTCCCAAATTCGTGGTTCTGGAATTCAAGAAGGGCATTTCTTCCACCAGACTCCATTAGTCGAAGCAGTCACAAGCCAGCCTAGATTCAAGAGGAAGGGAATTAGACTCCACCTCTTGATGGGTCATGGCAAGGTCCCACTGTACACAAACATATGGCATGGACGCTATTGTTGTGGCCATCTTTGAAAAGGGCAATCTGCCACTCCAAGCCTCTGTTCACATGCAAAATCCAGTAAAATCAACCGGGCTGCTTCGATCTGCAGCCTGGAGAGAACAATGCTTAACATTCATCAAAGTCACTTTTCAACAGCCTTCCTCATGCTTCATAGTTCGCCCTTTCTGCTTCAGGAAGAACTGCAGTGGCACAACAGGTCCCTCAACGGCCACATCAGAAAGTGCCTTCAGTGGCAACACTTTCCTGGCAGCTTGTGATCTCGTGGACCAATTTAAAAAAAAAAATGTGTTCATCCAGCTTCCTTCTGCATCTAGGTGGCCTTACCTCAGGGCACAAGGGGGACATAATGGGAGACCCAGAATCAAAATGAAAAAGGTTCAACAAGAAGACGTCACAGACAGAGGACAGAAAGAGTGTAAACTGGGAACTGAGACAACCTTTCCAAAGGGCAACTTGGCCACATATATCAAGATGTAAAATGTGCGTACTTTTTAACCCAGCATTCCCACTTCTAGAATTCAGCCCAAGGAGATAACAGCTCAAATGCAAAAGAAGACATATGCATAGCATATATACACAGCATTGTTTACAATAGAGAAAAATTGAAAACAACCTTCATGCCCACAAGTCAGTGATAGATCAGGCAAATAAATTGTAGCTCATTAATACTAATTTTCAAAGAATGAAGTAGATCTATAGGGACTGATATGAAAAAATCTCTAAGACATATGGTTAAGTAGAAAAAAAGGTATGTGAACAATACATATCATAAATCACATTTATATAAAACTATGTGTGTTTTAGCCCCAAGAGAGATTTCTGGATGAAGGTCCCCTGGGTGATAGCATTTGGTGTCAATTTTGCTTTCTTCTGCATTGAAAGTGTTCAAGAATAATAATGAAGGTGCATCTATTATACCTACTCTGTGCTGCAGACTCCAGTAAATCCCTTATATATGTTAACTCATCTTATCCTAACAACAATGCTACAAAGTGAATACTGCTATTACCTCTATCTTACAGGACTGGAATACTAAGGCACACGGAGGTCAAATAGCTTGCCTACAGTTACACAGCCAGTAAGTGGCAAAGACAGGAGTCAGACCCAGGCAGCCTGGCTCCAGAGTCCGTGTGCTTAGCCATCAAGCTGTCCTACTCCACAGTGGTTAGACACTATTTCTACGAAAACAGTAAGACCATTTTTCTTATTTAAGAAAAGACCGCGTGCAGTCGTTCATACCTGTGGTCCCAGCACTTTGGGAGGACGAGGCGGGCAGATCATTTGAGGCCAGGAGTTTGAGACCAGCTTGGCCAACATGGCGAAACCCTGTCTCTACTAAAAATACAAAAATTAGCCAGGCGTGGTGATGCACAACTGTAATTCCAGCTACTAGGGAGGCTGAGATGGGAGAATAGCTTGAGCCCAGGAGGTGGAGGTTGCAGTGATCCGAGATCGCACCACTGCACTCCAGCCTGGGCGACAGAGCGAGACTCTGTCAAAAAAAAAAAAAAAAAAAAAAAAGGTTCATCAGCTTGGCTTTAAGGTGCCTTATGTTTCCAAAAGACACATCCCCAGGTCTTTGTTGATGATTCTCCTGCCTCCTTACCAGCTGGGGCATAGACAGAATTCCTACAAGGTAAGTTCAAGGGACATGACAAGACCTGGTCCAGGAAGCCCCATGGTGGAAAGGATGTTAAGGAGACCCCAGATTGTAGGCTTATCCCTTGGTGGGGTGAGAGGTCCATCCTGTGAGTCTACAGCTGACCAACGGTAAAGAAAGAGACGCCTATGGCATTCAGTTCCAAGCCCCAGACCCAGCCCATGCTTGACTCAAAGCCAGAAAAATGTGTTATGATAAATATCTGTTTCAAATGAGACCCAAATGGCTAGCAAGTGAGATCACCAGAGAGGCGGTATCAACGAATGCAGAGGTCTGAGACACAGGGTTCAATCTATGTGCATCCTTGGACTCTAGTACATCTGCAGAAGGGGTGAGGCAGGCCCACCAGGAGCTGTTGCCATGACGGAGGGAAAACTCATCAAAGGGAAAGGAAAACTGAGGTCCAAACTTGGTCCAAAGATGACCGTAGAGGAGGTTCTAGCACAGCTCTGGTGTGTCACTCCAGCTCTGGTGTGTGCTGCAGCACAACCCCAACCACCTCATCCCTGAGATCTGGCACAAGGTGGCCTCCAGCTCCTCACCTTTACAAGTTGAAGTTTGAGTTGTTTCTCTCCTACCTCCGTGGGTCTCTGCAAGCAGCTGAGCTGGGAGCAGCCCCTCAGGCCCTCAGCACACATTGTGACAAGCAGGAGTTGTGGCCCCTTCTGTCTGGGGGACACAGCTGATATGCTGGGCTTCAATAGGAACAGGAGACATCACCACAGCGACTTGGAGTATAATGAAAGGAAAGTGGTGGACACTCATGGTAGACAAAGGCACACAGGAGGGGTCCCAGAAGGTGCCCAGGGCAGCTTGGAAAGGGATTTATGGTATCAGGGTTTGCCTTGAGCAGCTAGAGGTCAAGTTGCTCATGGAGTGTGTGTAGTGTGAGAAGCAAAAGGCCCAGTGCCAATCCTCAAGCAGACAAGAAAGAAAGAGGGTATGCAAAAGAGACTAGGTCTGCAAGCCTTTGTGTCCTGGGCCTGCCCTAGTGAGGAGAGGGTCTGATTTCTTCCCACCTCCTTGTTCCCATTCCACTCCAGCCTCTACGCCTCCGCTTTCTCCACACTCAAAGAGCCTCTCTCCCCAGCTCGCTTCCCATGTCCCCATCCACCTGCACTGTTTGGGGACCCACGTCTGGGTCCTCCTTCCACTGAAGAGTCAAAGAATCAGGCAGGACTGCCAGGCTGGAGACAGAAGGGATCCTACTCTGGAAACTTTCTTTTTAAATCAGAGCAAGGAACAAATGGTTCTGCCATCCACTGGGATCACCTTGGGTTGGAAATTTAAAATGCATTAAGGTTGAAAGACCTATAAACATGACGTAACACGCTCTGCAAGCTGCTGCCTCTGTGACTTGCAGTCACAGGAGCTTCAAAGGGGACAGGCAGGCACACTCGAGGCCCACAAATGGGCACACACCCCCATACACACCCATCCCTGGAACATCCTCCTTCCATGCCTGTACACTTATGTGCATGCACTCTCCCCATAGACAGATACACACAGGTCTGTGCATATGATCCCCCAAATAGATGTGCATACACAGACCCTACACACACACTCATGCCTCATGTAGGAAGAAGTGTGCAACTACATGCAGCTCCACCCTCATGCATGAAGATACGCACTTGCTGCATCCACACATGTACACCAACTTGCACACAGTCACCCCACATACATGCACACGCCTTCACCCTGCATACACACAGACGCATACACACAAACCTCACTTATACGCGTCTCACAGAGATAAACCAGGCCTGGGCTCACCCTGAACCCGAGACAGACATTCTCACCACACACGCAGACACACACAGAGGTACACACTCACACACACTGACCCCACCCACACCTGCATGGATGTGTGCGGACATTCCTATACAGTCATCCAAATACAGACCTTCATGTGCATACACACTCACCCCACCCCAAATGGATGCATATACTTTACCCAAAGCAAAAATGTGTACAAACATCAATGCATACTCGCCCACACAGACTGTGCTCACATGCTCAGCCCACAGAGACACAACATAATCAGATAAACACTCAGCTTCCCTCCGACTTCAGCAACCATCTGGATGACCATCCGACTGCCTGGATTCTTGATTTTTTTGTTCTTAACTTTCTCTTCTCTGAAAATGGTTCCACCATTTGCCCAGTGGCTCGGGCCAAAAACCTGAGCAACTTCCTCACCCTCCACAGCCAGGCTACCTGCCATGTCTGCCTTGAAAGTATGTCTTGAGTTCAGTCAGTTCCCTCACCTCCAAAGCCATCACTCCACTCCGTGCCCCCATCTCCCCAACCCCAGGCCATTGCTATAGCTCCTCCCTGAGGTCCTTGCTTCCACTGTTACCACCTACAATCTGTGGCAGTCGGAGCAAGAGACCTTTTTGTGACATCAATTGCACTTTACATAAGTGCAGGCTCCTTACCCGAGCCTACAAGCCTACGTGATCAGACCCTGCTCCCCTCATGCCCTGCCCTCATCTCCTGCATCCCCTCCCCTTGCCCACGACACTCTCACCCATTGGCCTCCTCGCATTATCTCAGGTATACCCACCCCTCTCCTACTCAGGGCCTCTCTCCCACTGTTCCCTCTGCCCCTGACTCTTCCTATGGCCCACACTCATCTTCTAGGTCTCTGTTGAAACGTCACCTCCTCAGAGAGGCCTCCTCTGATTACTTAATCTAAATAGGACACTCCCCATTATTTTCATCCACTGGATCTTGCCTCCTGCATAGCACTTATCACCATAAGCACTTCTTTATGTTTACTGTCTGTCTTTCCCTCTAAACTTGCACTGTCCAATAGCATAGCCACTGGCCTCGTGTGACTATTTAAATTTAGATTTAAATTAACTGAAGTTAAATAAAAAAATTAATTTAAAGAATTTAAAATTCAGTTCCTGTCACACTAGCCACATTTCAAACCTGCAGTAACCACATGTGGCCAGTGGCTACTGCACTGAACACCGTGAGTTATTTCCATCGGCCCAGAAACTTCCCTTGGACAGTGCTGCCACAGACTGTAGCTTACAGAGGGCAGGGCAATGCCTCTTCTACTCACTAATGTGTACTCTGTGCCCAGCATAGGATCTGGCACATGGTAGGGGTTCAGGAAATCGTAAGTGAATGAACCCACTCATGTGCGCACAGTCATAAATGGAGATAGGCCCTTCCCTGTATCAAAGGCCTCATTCAAATGCCACTTCTTTCTTGAAGACTTCTTGTCTTCTTTCCTTTACATTTTCTTCCAATCATGATGCTTGCACCCCCATAACAGGCAAGTACTTATTATGAGCCACAGACCTAAGTTCACTGCAGGCACTTTTGCCCCACGTTGGCTGTGAGATGGAGAGGGAGGAGGAACTGTTGCGGGCCGTCTCTTCCCCCACTATCCATCTCCTTGGGCAGCAGAGGAAGGACATTAAAACCACAAGCCCTGGACACAGCCAACTCCACGGTGACACTCCAGCTCTGCCTTTTACTAGCTGTGACTTTGGACAGATTGCTGAGCCTCCTTGAGCCTAATTCTCTCATCTATAAAATGCACATCGTAATGCATACTTCATAGAACTGCTATTCGGAGTAAAAGAAATAACCTATGTCCAAGATGTTGTGCAGTGTTCCCTTTGAGGGTGTTGCAGAAGTAGGACTCATTGACATTCTACTTGCCACATACAGGGTCTGGTGAGGAAACCTCAGTTAGTTCGCAATTTATTCCAAAGATGTGTGGAATTCCATATAGGCGGGTGCTCCAGGTCACTGCCCCATGGCCTCATGATTAACTAGGCTCTGATTCTGACCTAGTGGCTGCAGCTCTGGAGCAAAACAACCGATTGCTGTATTTCCATAAATCGTTAAAATGATACTAAAATACTAATTTTTTTAAAAAGCAATCTATGATCACCACTGAACCCACACGGGGTCCTCAAATGCTGCTTTATCTGAGATGGGCCAGGATAAATAACGAAGCTTCCTCCATCTTTCTGACTTCAGTCTCTCCAGGTATAATGATGGAGGGCAAGGTCCTGGCCAGAATAAATTATCAGGGAGGAAGGAGCAGGGCCCATGAGGAAGTAGCGTGTATTGGTCCGTTCTCACACTGCTGATAAAGACATATCCAAGACTGGGCAATTTACAAAAGAAAGAGGTTTATTGGACTTACGGTTCCATGTGGCTGGGGAGGCCTCACAATCATGGCAGAAGGTGAAAGACCCATCTCACATGGTGGCAGACGAGAGAAGACAGCTTGTGCAGGGAAACTTTGCTTTTTAAAACCATCAGATCTCATGAGACTTACTCACTGTCATGAGAACAGCACGGGAAAGACCTGCCCTCATGATTCAGTTACCTCCCACCAGGTGCCTCCCACAACACGTGGGAATTCAAGATGAGATTTCAGTGGGGACACAGCCAAACCATATCAGAGCTGGCTCAGGAAGAAGGAGGAGGAAATCAGAGGGAATTTAGCTATCAGGCAAAATCCAGCAGCGTGCAGTGGTGAATTCATGGGTTCTGATGCCAAACTGCCTGGGTCCAGTCCGGCTCCGTTCATCACTGTGAGACCTTGAACAAGTTGTTTATCCTCTCTGTGCCTTTGTCTGTGAAGCAGGGTTAATGATAATACCTACTTCAATGGGTTGTTTTAAAGAGTAAATTCTTTAATATATATAAAGTGCTTAGAAAGTTGCCTGGCACATGTTAAGATGTCAAGTTCTTTTTTTTTTTTTGGAGACAGTCTCACTCTGTCACCCAGGCTAGAGTGCAGTGGTGCAATCTCAGCTCACTGCAACCTCCACCTCCCAGGTTCAAGCGATTCTCCTGCCTCAGCCTCCTGAGTAGCTGGGATTACAGGTGTGCACCACCACGCCCGGCTAATTTTTGTATTTTTAGTAAAGACAGGGTTTCACCATGTTGGCAAGGCTGGTCTTGAACTCCTGACCTCAAGTGATCCACCCACCTCACTCCTGACCTCAAGTTATCCACCCACCTCTGCCTCCCAAAGTACTGGGATGACAGGTGTGAGCCACCACGCCCAGCCACATGTTAAGTTCTTAATGAGGGTTGGTTAAGTAAATTGGTGAAGAGAGTGGGGAAGGCTGAGAACTGGGTCTGGGGAACCTCCCTATACCTTTTCCACTCTCTTCTCTCCTAAGTCCCCTAACCAAACCTTCTTCCCATTTTCTTTGAAGTCCTCTCCACCACCTGATCCCAGGTAGACTCCATCAGAGACCCAAAGTGGCTCTAAAGGGAACACAGTGGCTGAAACAGGGGGAAGACATCCAGCTCTGCATCTTCACTATCGCCCAGGGTGAGGGAATTAAAACAACATTAAGAGGACTTGGAAGGGTCTCAATGAGGGCCAGGAGGTGCTCAGCATGCCTTATACATGAATACACCTTTGTTTAATTGGAAATCTTAGTGCAGCATATCCCTCTCTGAGTAGACTTCAGGCAGCTGTGATTCAGATGTTTCTAAAATACTGAAAAAATGCTGGTACTACAAAAATTGCCTGCATTTCAGTGCATAACAACACTACAGTGTACCAGAACTCCCAAATATTAAATGTTAAGAAGTCTTAGAATCCCCTTATCACTCCCAGAGTTCAGAGTGAAGAGCTGTTGGGAACAGAAACCATGGTCTGTCCATGGAGGCAAACCCTTGATGTTGTGGAGCCTGGGGGGGCCAGGGGTGTGGGGCAGTGGGATAGGGGAGAAAGAAGAATGTAGACAGAAAGAGAATAAATCATCAGAAAGAACAGATGGGGTATCAGGCCTGCAGTAGACAGGATCACAGCCCCCCAAAGATGTTCCCATTTTAATTCCTAGAATTTGTGACTGTTACCTTATAGGGCAAAAGAGACTTTGCAGGTATGATTGAGCTAAGGATCTTCAGATGAGGAGTTTCTACTGGATTCTCTGAGTGGCCTGAGAGGGAGGCTGGAGGGCCAGAGTCAGAGGAGATGTGATGATTGAATCAGAGGTCGGAGTGATGCGGAACCACAATCCAAGGATTGCGGGAAGCCTCTAGAAGATAGAAAAGGCAAGGAAACAGATGATCTCCCAGAGCCTCCAAAATGAACACAAACTGTGGCCCATTTTAGACTTCTCACCTCCAGAACTGTAGGATATTAAATATGTTACTGTTTTACATCATAACATTTGTGGCAATTGGTTACAACAATAGGAATCTAATACAGGATCCATAACAGACATGAGGGCAATTAACTCAACAAATATTTCTTGAAGGTCTGCTATGAGCCAGGCACTGCTCTGGGCATGGAGAAAAGAGCAATGAAAAAGGAGACAAATCCCTCTTTCTTGGAGCTTTCATTCTAGTGGGAAGAGACAGGTAGTAAATGAGTTACATAGGATAATTTCAAATAGTTAAAAGTACATGAAATTCAGTAGCTATTTTTATTCTTGCATTTGAGGGACCAATGGCACACCCAGGTGGACAGTTTCGACAGTCAGTTGGACTTTCGGCCCGGCTATTTCAAGAGTGGTTCAACTGCCATTTTACTGAACACCTACTATGTGCCAGACACTGTACTGGGCTCTCTCACATTGGCTAGCTTCTCTCAGCTTCCTAATAGTGGAGCTCTTAAGAATTTGGGGCCCCGGATGCCAAGATGAATAATTTATATCAGGCACCTAAAGGGCTGCATCATCTGGCCCACTATGTGTCACTGACACAAGCAGGAAGGATCAGAGCTGTCTGTCACCCCAGTTTTTCCTATAACTTATATCATAGGAGGCACTTCCTATGTGCCAGGCACTGCTCTAAACATTCCACGTGTATTATCTCATTATATCCTCACAAGACCCTTGAGAAATGGGTTCTGTTTTCATTCCACATTATAGCCAGGAGCACTGAGGCCCAGCCAGGCAGAGCTGGATTTTTTTTTTTTAGATGGAATCTCACTTTGTTTCCCAGGCTGGAATGCAGTGGCATGGTCTCAGCTCACTGCAACCTCTGCCTCCTGGGTTCAAGCGATTCTCCAGCCTCAGCCTCCCAAACAGCTGGGATTACAAGCGTGCGCCACTGCACCCAGCTAATTTTTGTATTTTTAGTAGAGACGGGGTTTCGCCATGTTGGCCAGGATGGTCTCGATACCCTGACCTCGTGATTCCCCCACCTCAGCCTCCCAAAGTGCTAGGATTACAGGCGTGAGCCACTGCACCCAGCCCAGATCTGGAATTTGAACCCAGACAGGGAGACTCCAGGGACTACTACCCTGCACTGCTCCATTGCTGGCACTTGGAGGACCAGCAGCCTTCCCTTGATGCAGGCCTCTTTGGAGAGAGGGAAACAGACAGAGGCCGCGCCTGTCTGTTTGCAGGCAAACAGAGGTTGCAGGCAGCGTGATGCCATGGGAAGAGAGCCAGCTTGAAAGCGAGGGGGACACGAGGTGACGGCCTGGCTCTATCCCTCTACCCCTTACTGAGGGACAGACCATAAGGAAGAACTTCAGATTCGCTAAGCCTCCGCTTCCTTTTGAACAGAGATCTTCATTCATTCATTCATTCAACAAATATTTACTGAGAGCTTTTCATGTGCCACACACTGTCTTCACGAATGTGATGTTCTAGCTAGGAAGACAGACAAGAAAACAAGTGACCAGACAAATAAAATAACCGCAAGCCGTAATGAGCACCACGCAGGGAGGTAGCCAGGGGCTTTGGGGAGAAAGCTGGGTGAGGGCCTATTGTGGATAATAACAGCGGTCACCTGGAGGGTCAGAAGGAGCCAGCCGCATAGAGAAGAGCAAGCATTCTGGGCAGACAGAAGAGCGTGTGCAAGAATCCCAAGAAGTTTGGGAACTGAGGGAGCCCAGTGTGGCTGCAAGCAGTGAAGAGACCATAGGCGATCCTAGTCCCTCTTCCTGGCTTATCGTGAGTATGAAAGAGGGCTGCACACATGTAGTAGACACTTAATAAATGTGAGATCTCCTCCTCTCTCCCCCAGGCTGGGTGCCACCGGGCCAGAAAGAGGCTCCTTCCCAGGGGTGGGGCAACACTCCTAGCCATCTTCAGCCACGAAACCCTAACAGCTCCTCGGGGTCCCCAAGCTCCAAGCCTCTCTTGCCACCATCAAAGCACACACTTTCTCCCTTTGTCTAATTATTCCTAATTGGAAGAAAAATTGTTTGGCAAATCAACTGGCATCTCCTCGGCTCCGGTGTCCTAGCAACCCAGCTCTCAAGGGGTGACACCAGAGAGGAGGCGCCTGCCGCCTCCACACTGCACAGAGTGCCAGGGAAGGGCAGGCATGACAGCTACACCCCCAGACTGGCGTCTCCTCTCTCCTTGGCCCCTCGGTGCTGCACCCCGCATGCACATGCAGTCGTGCACACACACACACACCCACCCCCCCAACAGAGGCCACCAGCACTTGACCTGCCTGAAACATAACCTCAGCCTTTCTGGAAAGCAGAAGGTGTCTCAGAAATAGATTTCTAATTTTCCAGCCACCTGCTCGGCTGAAAGATATTCTGGAGTTTATAATTACTTTTCAAGCACTTAACTAGAGCCTAGTTTCTAGGGCAGCTTGATGCATCTCCTAATGTTCTCCTAATGTTTATGGGGAAATCTCACCCTTCTGCTCAGCCAGGGTAGCAGGAGAGTGGCCCAGGCACGTCCCAGGGAAGGGCGCTGCCTCCTGAGCTCGGGCTTTGTAAAGATAGCAATACTGCCCTTGCGGGGTCTGAGGAAGGAGTCAATGAGATAATGCGGGTACAGCTCCTGAACAGGACACCGGAAGTCGAAGAAGTTCTCAGAGACTATTTAACAGTGGTTCTAACGAAAACAGGCTGCATGGGCCAAGCGCGGTGACTCACACCTGTAATTCCAGCACTTTGGGAGGCCAAGGCGGGTGGATCACTTGAGGTCAGGAATTTGAGACCAGTCTGGCCAACATGGTGAAACCCTGTCTCTACTAAAAATACAAAAATTACCCGGGTGTGGTGGTGGGCATTGGTAATCCCAGTTGCTTGGGAGGCTGAGGCAGGAGAATTGCTTGAACCCCAGAGGCAGAGGTTGCAGTGAGCTGAAATCACACCACTGCACTCCAGCCTGGGTGACAGAGTGACACTCAGTCTCAAAAAAAGAAAAGAAAAGAAAAGAAAAAAAAAGAAGAAGAAAAAAGAAAACAGACACAGACAGCATGGCCTTCACCTCTGGGAGCATGCCAGTTCAGGGACCAGCCCTCGGAGGCAGAACTTCCCTCATTTGCCCTCTAACAGGTGGCTTGAGCTTGGTGGCTGGACCAGGGTTCAAATCCCAGTCACACTATCTACTGGCTGTGTGATAATGGGCAAGTTACCCACCATCTCTGTGCCTCAGTCTCCCCACCTGGGAAGTAGAGATGATGATGGTGCCCACCTCATAGGGCTGTTAAGGAGCTTAAAAGAGTCAATTCATGTAAAGCAATTAGCACAGTACCCAGCTCATAACAAGAGCGCTGAGTAAATATTCTATTACTGTTACTATCAAATAATGAGCAAACAGCTACCCCTGTTCTCTGATTATTTGATAACAGTAATCAAATATTTATAGTTACTATATATTTATATTACTTCTCAAGCACTGTTGAAAATAAATATATAAATATATATCTATTTACATACATTTATATGTGTGTATATATACACACAGAGTAACTTCCATTTGTATTTTTATCTCATCCTGTTAAATTTATACTTCATATATGTCTCATAACATATAGATTTTATAAATAAACATACATATATTGATGGGCCTTACGCAAGAAAATTTCAAGGACAGGGGAACACAACCCAAAAAAGGTAGGAAAGAGGGAGTAAACACAAATTATTTCAAGTGGAAGAGGCCCTAGGAATCCTTCAGCCAATCCCCACTGAGGACACTGAGGGCCGGGAAAGGGGTGATACAACCCGGAGTCACACCAGAAACAATGAACCAAAACCCTGAAAAATCCACAGAAGGCTTGAGAAGCTGACGCCACAGAACTCCCGGGAGACAAGCATCTCCACCCCATGGGTGGAGCAGTCAGAAAGGCTTCCTGGAGCAGGTGGCAGCACCTGACCTTTGAGCAGAAGGGCAAAAAGTCCCACATGGGTCAAACCTAGGTCAGAAAAGAGGAGGCATTGCTTCTAAAGTCGCCACCACTTGGGGTTCACAGGGTGTCCACACGGGGTGAACACTCCCAGCAGGGCCAACTTCCAACAATTAAGGGTTTACAATTCACCCGCAAATGTCCTGAAAAC
Organism: Homo sapiens; assembly: GCF_000001405.40. Classification (NCBI taxonomy): domain Eukaryota; kingdom Metazoa; phylum Chordata; class Mammalia; order Primates; family Hominidae; genus Homo; species Homo sapiens. The sequence continues at coordinate 34,738,922 of NC_000001.11, forward strand.
TGAGGGGTACAAGTTGGCACCAGCACACCCTAGAGCTCCCCCCGGCTGCTCGGTGCTCACGCACTGCGAATCTCCACCAGCCTCTCTGTCCTCCAGTCAGTCTGTCTGTCTGTCGTTGGGTCAGCCTACCACTCTGTTTCCCGAGGTCATTCTCTGAGCTGGGGTGAGGGGCCAGGAAGATGTCACTCTCTCTGTCCCTTAGGTGTCTCCTCCCTGGGTCTATACTGGGGTCCTTGTCTCCCCCAGCTCTGCTGATGTGTGTCCGGGTCTCTCGCCTCCTCGGTGCCTCCTCTGACTAGAGGGTGTCTGTGGGTTGCTTGACGGCCCGCCTTTCCTCTGGGCCTGCTGCTCTCTGGCTCTGGGTATGTGTGGGCCGAGGTGGTGTGTAGCTGACTTCTCTGTGGGCCTCTAAGTCAGTGGTTCTCAAAGTGTAGTCCAGGGGGCCAGTAGTGTCACCTGGGAATTTGTCAGAAGTGCACATTCCCAGCCCCACCCTAGACCTACCAAATCGGATGCCCTGGGGTTGGGGACCTGGCAATCTGTATTTTAACACCCCTCCCCCAACCCCCGGGGCTTCTGGTGCAGCTCAAGTTTAAGCACCAAGTCAATCTCTTTCTGGATCTTCCTTGCGGGGAAGGAGGGGTGTTCCTCGCTCTAGGCCTGGCTTGTCCGCCCCTTCGTCATTCTCCCAGTAGGTCTGCATCTGTCTGTCACCCCCAAAGCCACTGGACAGAAAGCAGCTGCATCCCAGTGGGCACTTGGCTCATGCCCTGCGCCTGATAGCTGGGACCCAGACAAAGAGCAAACAAGCCAGGCAGAGGAGAAAAGCCCAGTGAGAGGCACAAAGGCAGCTTGTGGACTGACCACAAAGCCTGGGGCAGACTGTGGTGGATTAATCGGGAAACAGGAACCTCTTCCTCTGCTGGAGACAATCACAAGGCTGTGTTCAGATCACCTCTGGCAGGGATTCTCCTGGCTGCACACGGAATCACCTGGGGCTCTGTCAAAGCATCCTAGATGCTGGGGATGCACTCCCAGAGACTCTGCTTCAGATAGTTGAGCTGAAGCCCAGACATCAGTATTTTTTAAAACACTACCCAGGTGATCTGAACGTACAGAGAACAGATACCTAATGGAACCATCACAACCCCCTTCAAGATGGTGATCAGGATTCTCCTTGTGCCAATGGAACAAATGAGGCTCAGAGAGGGAAAGACTTGACCAAAGTCACATCACTAAAAATGGCAGAGCTGGGATTTGAACCCGGATCTGTCAGGCTCCAGGCCCACATCTTTGACTCCACCTCGAGCTGTACATTTTGCACATAATAGTGTCATTCTCCACGGCCCGTTCGCTGCTGGTCTCCCTGGATGGCCGTGGGTTGCCCCTTCAGCCAACCCAATGACATCCCCCCCACCTACTTTCCCACCTCCCCGGTACTCTCCAGCCGTGATGCCCGCGGCCTGGGACAGCCAGCCCCTCTGAAGTGGCTGACCTGTTACAGCACCCCCACTCTCTCACTCTTCCGAAAGGATTTTTGTTATTTCGTTACCAGGAAGGTTTCCTTCCTGATACCCCCTAGAAAGCCTCCCTGCATCCCCACTCCTCCACAAAAACACTCTTCTCCTCCAGGCCCCTGCCCCTGGAGTCTGGCCAGACGACTTCTCGGTATATAAAGCAGGCGTTTGCTTTCTCTCCAAGTGCAGTCAGCGCCCAGGCTCTAGAGCCACAGCGCCAACAACAGCGCAATTGCCTAACAGCAGTTTCTCAGCCTCTCCCATGGAGGTGCCCTAACCCACAGGAGTGACCTCATCCCTGCAGGAGCCTGCACTGCAGGTCAGTCTGGCCCCTCTTAAGCTCAAAATGTCTTTGAAGCCTCCTATTTTCTCTTTAAAAGTCAAGTGAACTTTTTGTTGTACTCCATAATGTGTCAGGGTTTGTTTCAATGCCTATTGATTGAATTTTGACAAGGAACATGTATTACTTTTGTAATGTAAAATATTCTATTAATAAGTAAATAGAATGCTTCTAATTCCTTGCCATCAAGTAAAATTGATGATCCAGAGACATGCCAGGTTTACTCTGTGGCTTTATGAATTCCCAACACATAGGGCATCCCCAGGGGCATCCATAATGCGTTTATTCTTTCTTTCCTTCACCCATTCAACAAATATTTTTAGAGTGCCTGCAGTATCCCAGGCCTGGGGCTAGAGCCTGGGACTATAATCATGAGTAAAACAGACATGCTTCCGGTCTCCAGGGAGCTTCCAGTCTATTCAGGGGGTCAAGATGTTAACACACACACACACACACACACACACACACACACTCTCTCTCTCTCTCTCTCTCTCTCTCTCCAAGTAAAAGTATAATAAGCTGTAATAAATACACTGCAGGAAAAGCAAAGGACGCTCTGAGCAAGAATAATGGGTGCACTAAAATTGTTTCCAAGGAAGTGACATTTAAACTGAGACATCAAGATGACTAGGAGTTGGCCAGGTAAAAGGGAGCAGTGAGAGAATGCTGCAGATGCCAGGAACAGCCGGTGGGAAGGGGAAGAGGGGCACAAGCCCAAACCTTCCTGGCGGCTCAGGGATGAGTCCTTCACCATCTGCAGCAAGAGTTTTGAGGAGCAGTCCCCCTTATGAACCCTGGGAGGCAGCCAGGCCCTCTGCTAGACCCAGCCCAACTATAGTCTCTGGGCCAAACCTTCCTGGCGGCTCAGGGATGAGTCCTTCACCACCTACAGCAAAGGTTTAGAGGAGCAGTCCACCTTAGGATCCCTGGGAGGCAGCGAGGCCCTCTGCTAGACCCAGCCCAACTGTAGTCTCTGGGCACAAGTTCAACTGTGATCACACAGCCAGCTTCCAGCTCAGTACCAACCTGGAGGACCTGGAGGACCTGGAGGACCTGGAGCCAGGTGGGGTGAAGGCCAGCAGGCAGCAGGCACAAAGGCTGGCGAGGCCTGTGGATTCAGCCCCAAGTTGGAAAGTGTAGGACTCCAGTCAACTCCAGGTCAGGGCCAAGACCAGGCCAATCCTCTAGGGCTTCCTCACACTGTCCCTGATGTCTGATGACAGCACCTTTGGAGCACATGGCATGAGAGAACAGCCTTTAGGAATTAGAGGGCCAGCTGCCCTTCTGAGCCCAGCTCTGGTCAGAGACTCCACCACGGTCAAGTCCAACACCTCACTTTGTGCTCAGTTGTGGGTCCCTGGCCCCTGTTCCTGACTCACTTTCTAGCAAGCCAGTCCATCTAGGGTGGAGGGCTGCTCCCCTTCTACCTGCTGTCACCCCCGTGAAGGGAATCCTAGCCTTGAACCCAGGCCTATCTGGGCTGGGGGCCCTGTGTCCTGAACCCTCTGCCACCACTGCAATAGTGTGCTCATTCTGGGGTTCAGCACTGCCCCCCTGCACTCAGCCCAGCTCTCCCCATGTCCCAGCGAGGGGGTACCCACCATCCACCTCATTGTCTCACTGGTTCTTCTCTGACCCCTCTCCCACCTGAGCCTTGAAGCAGCTTCTTGTCTGGGCTTTCTGCTTCCCGATAGCCAGAGGTATCTTTCTGCAAACACAAATCAGGGACTTCAGTGAACTTTCCATGGCTCTTAGGGTAAAGTCCAACTCCTTCATTGAAGTCGACAAGTTCCAGGCCCCCATTCCACCGCCACCTCTCTGCTTTCATCTTCTGGGAAGATTTGTAAAGGAGGAAAGGACACTAGGAGAAGGCTCAGGGGAGAGTGGAAGGAACAATTCAGAAGGAGCACAGACTGGAACACCCCAAACTTGTGACCTCCACCCCACCCAGCAGCTTCTGCCCCTACAGGAGCAGGAGCTGGTCGCTGGTGGCTGGTCGCTGGCAGCACAGAACGGCTCTGAGGGCGGAGGCTGCAGGAGCCCGGGCGCTGCCGCCAAGCCTGGGCCTCTGCTGCCCCCCAGCGGCTGAATGGAGCAGCCCGGGCAGGTGAGCTAGTCTTGCAGCGACCAGCAGCCAAGTGTGTCTCCCCAGGACTCAGCAATCCCCTAACACCTCGGCAAGTGAGCAAAGTCCACAGTCAAGGGTGTGGCCAAAAGCAAAGTCCTCCGTTCAGCGGTCAGCATCAGCGTCCAGCCTAATGGGTCCTGAACACACTCCTGTTAGGCATCTGCCATAATGCATTGTAATTTTCCTGTTGCTACATGTGTAGCAACTAGACCCCACTAGATCCTATAATCTGGGGTCTGCGCTCACAAGGTAATTCCATGCCTTCTGGTCATCCAGCCTCTCCAGGCTTCTCACTCCCTTACTGCTCTACTCTGCTCTTCCCTGCCAAACCTCCTTCCCAATCCCCTGAGCCTCGGAAACCATCCCAGGCCAACAAACCCCAAGCGGAGAGCTTCAGCCTCTCCACACACTCCCCTTCCACCACCAGTTTGAAGTGACTGCAGGTTCTCCCACCACCACCACCAAAGCTCATTCATTCACTCATTCCTGCATTCACCAAATACTTACTGAGAGCCTCATGGGTGCTGGGCTTTACGCTAGACCCTAGAACAAAGGCAGAGAACAGACTGATGAGGTCCGCTCCCACAAAGGAGCTTACCTTCCAGCTGGGGCAGACAAACAATTTGAATCAATGAACAAGGTAATCTCCGATGGCGATAAGTTGAGTGATGTGTTATAGGGGACTTGGAGGGTGGCAACAAGAGTCAAAGTTAGGTGACCTAGGGAAGGCCTGTCTGAAGCCAAGTATAATGGTTTTTGAATATGTCCGTCCACTGCCTTCAAAAAGTGGAGACTAATTTCCCTTCCCCTACATCCCTTATGTGCAAGCTGTATTTAATGACTCACAAGAAGAATGTGGCAGAAGTAATGATATTTGACCATGGATGACTTCCAAGATACGGCATAAAAGGATTCCGCCCTACTTTCCCCTCTCTCACTCTAGGGGAAGCAGCTGTCATATCATGAGGACACTCAAGTCAACCCATTGAGAGGCCCACAGCGGGGAACTGAGGCCTTCTGCCAGCAACCATGTGAGTGCACCATCATGGAAATGGACCATCCAGCCTCGGTCAAGCCTTCAGGTGACTGCAGCCACTTGAGTGACCCCGAGCCAGAACTAGCTGGCTAAGCCACTCAGGGCCAATTTGTCCGCTAAACACAGGAGGCACCATGCCTTGGGCCCACAAGACATTTAGGACCAGTGAAAATGTTTTTCACTTCTTTTAAAATTAGGAGAAAGAAGGAACTTTTAGGTCAAAGAAAATGTTTTTAATATATAACATTAATATATTTATCTTTATACCAACACAATCATGAAATGTGATTTTTCAAATATTCTTTGAAAAGGGAAGAGGCCATAAAAGGCAAAAGTGCCTAGGTCCCATAAACATCATCATGTGGTCCTGAAGCTGCTCCAGAATTCCTGACCAACAGAAACTTGGAGATAATAAATACTTGTGATTGTAAGCTATTAAATTTGGGGGTGATTTGTTATAGCTTTGTATCCTGGCTTTGTGAATATTTTAGGGCGGAGCATAAGCACTGCAGACAGGGAAGAGCAGGTGCAAAGAAGTCATCTTGACATGCTCAAAATGAACAGAAAAAGAGTTATTTAACTACTTTAAGCCTTCATCTTCTTGCCTGGAAGATGGGCCGATGATCATCACACCTCATTGTGTAGCTGTTGGGATTAAATGAACCGTATCTGGCACAAAGTAAGCACTCTGTCCCGTGCTGGTGTCCCCTCTCTCCAGCAGGTGCGGGGTCCCAAGGAGGTTGTGTTCTGGTTGTCAGCAGACTCCGGAAGCTTCTGACGCAGGCCTCTTCATTCTCATCTATCTTCATTTGCATTAATAGCACATAGGTAGCACTTGCCATGAGCTAGAGATGTTTCTAGGAGCTTTGTAGGTGTGCACATGTGCAACGTCTTATTGTTTGCTAGGATAACTCAGCCTCCTCTTGGCCTTTCTTCCCCATCCCACGTCTTGCCTGGGCCCCATACCTGAAGGCCTGAGCCATCCTAGCACCAGAGCCCTCAGGCTTCTTGGGCCTGTGATCTGCACCAGTGTGCCCAGCAGCTGGAGGTGGGTGGCGGGGGTTGGGGGTACAGAGAGACTTCTAGGCAGGATTCTGAGGTGGGAGAAGTAGGTGTTCCACAGAGCAGGATTGGAGGAGCTCAGGCTTTGCAGCTCTGCCCACAAGATCTGCCTTCCTTTCCCAGCACCCACTCGCTCATTCACCCAGATGCTGTCAGAATCTTCTGTAATCCTGGAAGATTCCTGATTGAGAGGCAAAGTCCTTACTTTCCCCCTAAAAGCCTATCATTTGCACACACATTTACCTGTGTTCTGCTGAGGTAGGGAAGAGCCCTCCCTCACCACTGTCAGGGCATAAGAGACAAAGCAAGGCCATAGCCCAAGGGCTCAGGCACGGCAGTTGGGGACAGAGGGGGCATTACTTCTCCACGTGCACGCACACACGTGCACACACACACACAGACACACAACTTGAAGCCTGAAGCCTGAACTCTCCCCTTCCTTAGGAAGTCTTTTACCCAGATTCACAGACAGGTTAGGAGCATCAGGATGAGCAGTCCCTGGGCTGGCTGGGTGTAGGAGGTGTGTCCATCACTCCCTGCCCTACTCACTGCCCCTGCCAAGTAGACACACTGTGATCTATGATGGCAGCAATAATAATGGCAAAAAGCGGTGGTAGCAGACTGCGTCCTCTGGGCCGGGGCTCTGCATGCATTCATTCACACAGCATCATGTATTCAGTCTTCACATGGGGAAGATAGCACTGTTACCTCCAAGGATGAGTCAAGAGCACAGAAAAGTGAAGTCACTTGCCCAGGGTCACACAGGGAGAAAGTGGAATTTAAATCTAAGCAATCCATCTGCAGAGCCGGGGCTCATGGCACTGAACCATACTGTCCTACTTGTCTTGCCCATCCAGGTCACAGACACCTGGACCCAAGGGCGGCCAATCCTCAGGAGGAGGAGCTGGGCCAATCAGTCACTCCTTCAGCTAGACTGGGAGCAGCGAGCGCAGGGGCCAGGAAGAGAAGCTGAGCTTCACCATGGAGTAGAGCAGACAGAATAGCCTTGGGGACCAGGTGTAAGAGAGGACAGAGCAACCATGCAGAGAAGAGCCAAGCCGAGATGCCCAAGAAGCTCCTGGGAGATGGGCCAGAGCCCCTCTCAGTCCTGCTGGCTCCCAAGCTGCAGGCTGCCAGAAACCTGCTGGTCCAGTGGCTCCTGCCCTGAGAGACATAGAAGTCCTGCCATACCTACAGTGTGTCCCCTTCATGGGGCAAGCTTTAAAAGGTCTCCCATCCTGGCTATCAGAAGGGTTCTGGTCAGAACATACTGTGTGACCTTGGGCAAGTTACTTAACCTCTCTGTGCCTCAGACTCCTCCAGGAGATGGGATTTTGTGAGAATTCAAACTGACGCTGTATATGAAGCAGCTTAGGAGACTACCAGCACATAACAGATGTGAAGTAAGTTGTAGATATTTCCGGTGCTTACCCCTGGCATCCTCACCCTCCTAGTGGATTGAATCTTAAGTGCGCACAGCGTAGACTCAGGTTGAGGCCCTGGTGACATGGCCAGTGGGGACCTAAGTGAATGATACTGACCCGAATGGCTTAACTCGAGTGCCACGGGGCCCTCGTATGCCTGAGCTAAATGAGAACACTGTCGTGGGGGCCTGCATCAATATTCTGCACCCCAGTTCCCCTCTGGGGCCTGGCCTCTCCCCTCATTAGCCCCCTTCCCTGCCCCCAACCAACAGCTGGAATCTGCTGTTGGTTGTGGGGTTTTTATAATAAACTTTTTATTTTGGAAGAATCTAAAAACTACAAAGATAGTACAAATAGCTCCTGTATACTGATAACATCTCACATAGCCGTGGCACATCTATAGAACTAAGAGACTACCATTGGCACAGTAACTATAAACCAAACTCCAGGTGAATCCGGAAGCATGCTAGAGAGGCATACTGCTGGGGGTGCGGAGGGGCGGGACGCAGAGGCGCCCTTAGTTCCAACAGACGAGGGAGGGGCCCCATGCCAGCTGACTGGAAGGATCCGTCACACCTGCTCCCTTTTCCTCCCTCACATCTACGAAAGTCACTGCTCTTCCCTAGGTCTCCACCTTCACTCAGACCGGAAGCAGCTCTGATGCAGGGTTTGTGTGCTGAAGTCCTGTTTCCAGGGGCCTTCTCAGTGAGGGAGAAGGTCCACCATATGTAACAAATCTGCATATTGTGCACATGTACCCTAAAACTTAAAGTATAATTAAAAAAAAAAAAGAGCATGCTCTCTGGACACAGACAAACAGAGGCCAAATCCCAGCTTTGCTGCTGTGTGACTCTGAGCAGGTGACTTAACCTCTCTGAACTTCAACTTCCCTGCTCTTTCCCTCCATCTCTGCTTCAGACCCTGCATCTTGGGCTTTCTGTCAGACACAGTCTTCCCATGTCTAGTTTCTCTCTCCTCAGCCTCTCTCAGCCTTGGTGCTCCCCCACCCCAAACCCCTTGGAGTCCCATTAATTTTGAGAGGCTGTCTGTATGGGTTGCCGCCTGGCCCAGTCCTGGGGCTCGGAGAGCTGTGTAATTATCCACTTGGAGCTGAGGGGAAGCGATAACCAGTTCTCCCTCCCTTCTTCCCTGCCTGCCTCGCTATTCCGTTTCGCTCAAACATCCCCAGGGAAGCCGATTACGGAGGGGCCCGCTGGGTGAGGAGGGTGGGATCCTCATTACCTTGTGGAAGGTCAGAGAGACTGAATGGCGGGGGCATCCCTCCAACCTCCACCAAGCACTAAGGCCACAGTTGGTCTGGACACCCCAGGCCTGGCCCCTTTTGTCTGTCCTGGGCATCACGGCTTACTCTCTGGATCATTATCTCCAGCTAGGAGCGTCCTCCCGTGCTCCAGACTTGTTCAGCCAACTCTCCCCAGACATCTCCCTCCAACTGAACACCTCCAAACTGGATGCGCCATCTCCCCCTCCCAGACCTGCTTCCCCCAACCTCTCTCTCCTCCCCTTTCCTGCCCCTCCCCAACCCTGATCTCCTGAAGCGCCACCCACTGAGGCTGTCCAGCAAGGCACCTGAACAGCATTTCCATCTCCTCCCTTTGCCTCATTCCCCTTGGCTAATCAGACACCAGGTCCCCAAAATATCTCCAGCCACAATCCTCTATTCCTCAGACCACCAGGCCCAGGCTCCAGGTGCTAAAAGTGACCTGGGAGTGGACCCCTTCACCTGGACACCCTGAGGTCCCTTCACACTGGCAATGGCCTGGTCTGACAACGTCATCTCCCCACCCTCAAGTTCTCCTGCCTCTACCTGTGGCACCCCCACCCTTCCTAATCACTGATACCAAACCTGTCTCCCTCCTCACTCTCCTCCCACAGACAGCCAGACAGTCTCCATACTGTGGTAAGAGAATAGACTCTGGGGTCAACAAGAACTGAGCCACAACCCCAGCTCCATCAATCCCTAACTATGTGGTCTGGAGCAAATCACGTTATCTCTGACTCTCAGTTTTATCATCTATAAAATGGAACTAAGTGGGCTTTGCAGGGCTATTGGGAAGATGAGTTGACAGTGTCCAGGATTACCATCCTAATGACTACAAGGTAGGGCCAGCTGCTTGTCAACTCCAGCTCTTGATGCTACAGGGAATATAGACCCCATGCTGCCAGATCCTCTAGAACTTCCCCCAAAATATGTTTTCATATGGAACCTCCAGATTTTGATATGTTGGTAATTAATTGAAATGTTTCTTTAGAACCGTGAAGGCCAAACAAAACATTTGCCTCCAGGTCACCAGTTTGCACTCTCTGATGTATGTGAGGAGTTGGGCCCAGTGAATGCTACATAACAGAGAGTCAATAAACATTAATTCCCTTCCCTTCTCTGCCCTTCTTATTGATTCTCTCAAAAGAAAAAAAAATCTCCCCAAGCCATTCCTCCCATTCCACTCCCATCATCTTCATCTTCATGCAGCTTTCACTAGCTCTGTGCATCCACAGATCCAGGCAGGGCTCTGAGCACCTCACCCAAGATGCCCTGCCTTCCCTGGCATCCTCCCTGGCACCCTCCCTGGCTCACAGGCAGAACAAAGCTCTTTGCTTGGGTCTGACACTTCATAGTTGACAGAGATCTTGCTATGGTCCGAATGTGTCCCCCAAAATTCATATGTTGGAAACTTCATCCCTGATGTATTGGGGGGTGGGGCCCTTGGGGAGGTGTTTAGGTAATGAGGGCTTCACCCTCATGAATGGATTAATGACATTATAAAGTGGCTTAATAGAAGAAGTTTGACCGTTTTGGCCCTTCTGCCTCTGCCACGTGAGGACACAGCATTCCTCCTCTCTGAAGGACACAGTGTTTGAGGCACCATCTTGGGAGCAGAGGCCACATCCTCACTAGATGCCAGGAGGCATCTAGAGTCCTTTGTCCTGGACTTCCCAGCCTACAGAACTGTGAGAAAATAAATATCTATTCTTTATAAATTACCCAGTCGGTGGTGGTCTGTCGCAGCAGCATGAAACAGGCCAAGACAGCCCTCTCCCTCTCATTTTCTCATCCATGCAACAGCCCTACGAGCTACTAATTATCACCCCCAACACACAAGTAAGGGAAACAGGGTCCAGAGGGTACAAGTCAGTCAACAAATATTTGTTGAACACCTACTATGCACCAGGCACTATTAAATGGCAAATCCAAGGTTACAGAGAGTATATTTGGCTGCAAATGACAGATACCTAAATTAAACAGGCTAAAACAAAAGGATAATGCAGTGGTTTATGTGCATGCAGGAAAGAAAACATTATGGCTGGGCTCCAAAGATAGATCAAGCCAGGGATTCCAGTGCCTTCCAAGCACTCGCTTGCTTATCTTTTGTTTCTGCTTCCCTTTCTGCATCAGAATCATTGTCTCACTCAGCAAAGCAGCTTTGTCAAACAGCAGGCTGCCAGCAATTCCGGAGCCTCACTTCTCACTATGTCTATCATCAGATGGACACTCTCCCTATCCAATGTTCAAAAGTCCCAGGGAAGACCCCTTGGTAGATGAGCGTGGGTTAAGTTGTCACACTGGACCAATCAACTGAGCAAGATAAGTATGACTGATTAGCTCAACTGGGGGCCAGTCCCACCTCTGAGCCAATCAACACTCAATGAGCGAAGATGCGGCTGGTTAGAGTGAAGATAGGCGAATTCCCCAGGAAATGAGATCGCTTCTCTGTTCAAACAAGAGATGTCTTAGTTTGGGCTCTCCCAAAAGCCAAGCCTGAGACAGGATTTGCATGCAAGTTGTTTATTTGGGAGGCCATCCGAGGAAACATCAGCATGGGAATGGGCAGTGAGTCAGAGAAGGGAAGAAAGCTAATGAAGGGTGTTTAATTGAGTGAGTTACCTCCATGGGCAACGGAGCTTAATCCTGCTGGGGACTGCTGGGAAACAGTAGAAAACGACTTCACAGTCATCTCAATCAAAGGCTGAGGAGGCTGGAGAATTTATACCCTAACTTCTATCAGTCACTGGTTGAGGGCTTTTCCCAGTGGGGCATCAGTTCACTAGCACTTCCAGCCTACCTCATATGTAGGCAGAGGCCCAGAAGCCCAGAGAGCCCCAGGCAGAGTGGCAGGTGCTGGCCATTGGACACTGGTCCTGCCTGCTGTAAATCATTGTGCTGTACTAGGTCCTCTTAACCACCGAAAAGGAGTATGCCAAGAGGATCTGGGGCAGATACTGATAGCACCTGCTACGTGTACTGACCACTTGATGGAACCAGATTTAAAATGCAGAGCTGTCTGGTTACTTTCAGTAAGTCCTGTGGTGCCCACACTGGACCATGACTCAGCAGAGATTCTGAGCATCCAGGCAAGAGCCCAACAGGAAGGTCCTTGGCCTTGGAACTCTTGTTAGCAAGGGGAAATGTGGCAGCCAGTGGCCAAAGCTTCAAGAACTGCTCATGAGCCCTCAATCCTCTAAAAGAGAGGCCCCAAATGGAACTGAGACAACCCGCCCAGAGACGGCAAAACACTGTGTTATTGAGACCAATGATTCAGCTTTAGTGTGGGCCGGGCTGGAGGGACGAGGATACCTAGAAGCATTGGGCCCCAGTCTCAGGAATGGTGAGCCTCTCCATGACCCAGCTCATGCAGAGCCTCAGAAATCGTAGGGAGAGACCAAGGGGCACATCCCAGTTTCAGCCTCCTCGGACTGAGCTTGGAAGCATGGGTAGAGCTGGTGGAGTAGGTCTAGAGGCCTAGGAAAGGAGGCACATCATAGGGGAAGAGCATGACCATTCGTCCCAGAGGAAAAGCAAATGTCCACCCAACAGGTCAGAGAGCAACAGCCCACAGAGTGGAAGAAAATGAATGTGTGAGACATGCCAGCTGTAAATCACCATGTTTATATACATCCTCTCAAGCACTCCTCACAACAGCACCACCCGACCCCTTCCACATTCGAAAGAAAGGAAACTAAGGCTCAGAGAGAAAAAATGAGTTGACCAAGGCCACATAGTTAGGGAGCAGAAATGGGGTTTGAGCCCAGGTCTGTGTGGATTCTGCCCATCACACAACTCTTTCCCTGTTTTCCAGGTTTGCCTGTTCTCTGTCATGCCCACCTTCCACCCTTCCCACCTCCAGCTCCCTCCTGGATTTCCAGCATCCCCTGAGTCCCATCCCTCAGTAAAAGAACAGCCATGAAGCCTCCATTGAAACCTCTCACTTGATAATAAGCCCACTTTCATGATAACAAACCCACTCCCATGATAACGATGTTAATCCAACTAACCTAATTACCTCTTAAAGTCCCACCTCCCAACACTGTTGCATTGGGGGTTAAGTTTCAATACATGAGAGCATTGGGGGACACATTCCAAGCATAGCAGGGGGAGTGAGTGGGAAAAGTGGTGCATAGGTTCATCACAGATGTGTTTGGAGTTAATGAGTTCAGTGCTACGTGTGCTGAGTAAGAGCCACATGAACTATCCAGGGTCACGAGGTGGCAGCAATAGTTGGAGTCCTCAGCCCCAAGCTGGTGGTAGGAGCCACAGCCTGTGGAGAGTGCACTGAGAGAAGAGAATCCAGGAGAGCTCTGGAGAGTGCTGGCATTTTAGGAAGCAGGCAGAGGGTTACTGGCAGAGGAGAAAGCTCCAGGCCTCAATTTAAATCTTACACTTTCAGAAAGGCTTTCCCTGCTTCCTGAAACTAGGTCTGGTTCTCCATTATACATTTTCTTGGCACTGTGCTTCTCCTTTGTGACTCTATCACAATTGCATTTTTAGAGTTATTGGTGTGTGTGTGTGTGTGTGTGTGTGTGTGTGTGTGTGTGTGTTTAATGTCTTATTTCCTCCTTTGACTGTAATCTTCAAGAGGACCAGGCCCAGAGGTTGAACCATGAGAACCATGCTTACTGATTTATTTCCACTATCAGGCGCAACACGTGGCACATAGTAGGTGCTTAATGAATATTTGACGATGAGTAAATGATTCTGTTTATCAAGCATAAAGGAGCCGACAGTGTTGCCAAATCCTTGGGTATGAAGATGTTGAAGCATTACGGTGTTAAAAGCACTGGCTCTGGAGCTCAGCTACCTGAATTCCACCCCCAGCTCTCCTGATTACTGATTGTGCAAGCCCAGGCAAGTTTCTTAGCCTCTCTGGGCCTCAGTTTTCCCATCTGGAACATGGAGCCATTGGAGTTCCTACCTCATAGGGTTATTTCTATCAGTGGCCCAATCACCTATCAAATCACCAAAACCAGTGACCTATGAACCATCCTAGGTCAGCCTCCTGCCTCACATCCTACATCCAGTCAGTCCCCCAAGTCAGTCCCCCAAAGCTGCCAGCTGTATTTACCAGCTATTTCCCAAATCCAACCCTCTTGCTCATTTCTTGCCTAAATCATTGCAGTAACTTTCATACCGGTCTCACAAGCCCCTCCAGCCTCTTTTCTCAAACAGAGGAAGCTTTCTAAACATACAGTTGATCTTCATTATTCACAGATTCCGTATTGTGCATTCTCCAGCTCACCACAATTTATTCCTAAGCCAAAATCTACACTTAAGACACTTTCATGGCCATTTATAACATGCACAGAGTGGCAAAAATTTGAGTCTCCCAATGCACGTGTTCCCAGCTGTGGCTGAACAAGGTGACATTCTGCCTTCCCCTTTCAGCTCTAATGCTATAAACATGTTCTATTGGAGGTCTACTTGGTGCCATGTTTTTCTCATTTCTTGCTTTTTGCTGGGGATTTGCTGTTTGAAATGGCCCCGAGTACAGTGCTGAAGTGCCATCTAGTGTTTCTAAGCACACGAAGGCTACGATGAGCCTTATGGAAAAAATATGTGTGTTAGACAAGCTTCATTCAGTCATGAGTTATAGTGGTGTTGGCTATGAGTCCAATATTAATGAGTCAACAATATATATTAAACAAGGTGTCTTCAGAAACACACATAAAACAGACTTCTGTATTGATCAGTTGATAACCACATTGTAAACAGAAGCTTGCAGGAACCTAACCTCATATGTCCTCTAGGAAGAATGCTTCAATATTCACTAACTTGGTGCTCATGGTGACTCATAGACTATAACTACCTTGAATAATGAGAATCAAATGTACCAATCTGACCATGTCTCTTCCTTTTTCCTGCCTCAGCACAATACAAAATGTAAAAATAGAAAAAAGAAAAGAATTCCCTCATGCCTCCCTCTGCACCCAAGATAAATTCAAACTCCTTAGCATGACATTCCAGGTCCTTCATGGTCTGGAAGGTCTTTGCTGACCTTCCAGGCTCCTTGCCATGTGGTGTCCCCACCACTACCCAGCCCACTCTCCAATGCTCTTCCATTATTTTTCACAAAGGTCCTCTGCACGCTATGTGCCCACTGCCTCAAAGGCCCCTCCTCAGCATCTCTTCTTGGTAAACTCCTATACATCCTTCAAGACCCAGCTTAAATGTTACCTTCTCCGGCTCTCCCTCTGGCAGAACTTAAAACTCCCTTCTCTCTCTGTGTCTTTTCTAGGACTTCTCACAATGTTGTAACTGATCTCTTTATATGCCTCCTCTCTCCTGTACTTGGCAACAGCTTTTTGGAAAGAGCATGGAGTATAGAAATGTGTGACTCTCTGCAGGGTGTGTGCATTTCACACATCATTCATTCAATAAATATAAATTGAAGCCTAACTGGACAAGACACCAGGCACCATACTAGGCACAAGGGATAGAGCAGTGAATAAAATAAAGCCACTGCTGCATGTGTGTGCAACACTGTGCCCATAATTGTGGCCTGTGTGTAAGAGTATGCTCATGTGAAGCTACATTGTGTTTGCTTGTGGACATGAGGTGTTTGTGGCTCCTGGATGCTTTGTCTGTTGAATCCTGACCCCAAGTGACCTGCTGATACAGGGCACCTTGGAAGTCAATTAGGCCAAAAGACCGTGTCTGTGCACTAATGAGAAGCTTTCCCCAGGTGCCCCTGCCCACCTTCTCCACCTCTCCTGTGGTTCCTGCCTGGCTTGGGTTTGGCCTTTTTAACCCAAAGACAACATGCATCCAAATGAGATTTTCTCTAGTGCATACGTCTCTCTCTCCCTCCCTTCTCCTCTGCCTTCCCTGTATCTCAGAAAGAAAAGGCCTAGGAATAAGGAAAAGGAGGAGGAAGAAACATTTTTTTGAGGACATACCATGCGGCAGGCCTGTGCTGGGCAGTATACACGCATTATAGGCAATTGTAGACAGGGCTTCCCTTGTGTCAGGCACTGTTCTAAGCACTTCACCCCTAAGGCTGGGTTAATCCACGTATCCACCCTATGAGGTAGGTGTTGTTCTTTTCCCACTTTCACAGAGAAGGCAAGAAATCACACAGTGAGAAAGTGGCAGAGCTGGGATTCAGGCCTCAGCTTCTCCCACACAAGCCCACAGATGGGAGGATGAACAAGGAGTCAGAGTGGACCTGTGGCTCTCCCCTGAGAGGATACCAGGATTCGAGGCTCAGCGCCCTGGGAGGAGTGAACCCCTCAGTTTCCTGAGCCTCATCAGAAGCAGTCTGGGGAGGCTGGGGCCCAGCCAATGGCAGTGCAGGTCCCAGCTCCTCCTCCTCCCAGGCTGGGCCAGCACACCCGGCAGGCTCTGTCCTGGAAACAGGCTTCAACGGGCTTCCCCGAAAACCTTCCCCGCTTCTGGATATGAAATTCAAGCTGCTTGCTGAGTCCTATTGCCGGCTGCTGGGAGCCAGGAGAGCCCTGAGGAGTAGTCACTCAGGTAAGGGCATCTGTGTCCGCATGTGCCCTGCCCCTTGGCATACGTGGCAGGAGGACACTTCTCTGCTGGGGAGTGGTGGGATGTGGCCTGGACACATCTGCCACCCTGGGTCCTGATGGTGGAGGAATAAGGGGCTCTGGGTTCTTTCAGGTCTCCCCAGCCGGGCAAAGGTAGGAGCAGGGGCCAGGCCGGAAGCTCAGCAGGCAGGGTAGCTCTGCCTGGGCCTGCAAAGCCCTGCCCCACTCCTCCCCAAGTAGGGATGGGCTGGGTGAGAGCCCCTGGGGCTAAGGGCGGGGCCTTCCTGGGTGTTCCCTGAGAAGCTGCAGGAGTCCTACCTTAGACAGGACTGAGCATGCAAGATGGTGATTCAAAACAGAGCTCCCCCCAACCCCGGCCCCCACCTCCACCCATCCCCCGTCCAAGTGGCGCAGGTGGTGTGGAGACAGGGTGGTGGGCAAAGGTTCCCCCAGCCACCCTCATCCAGGATCCACACACAAGGGGAAGGACAGAATCCGTCTGCACACAAACAGGCAGGCAGCTCATTGAAACTTGAGGAAAGGGTCTGAGGCCTAAGGCTGGGCAGTTCCCGGAGGGTGGGCTCTAGAGCCAGCCTGCCTGGGTTCAAATCCTAGCTCTGCCACTTATTAGCTGTGTGACGTTGAGCAAGTTAATTAATCCCTCTGTGTTCCTCTTTCCTCATCTGTAAATTGGGAATAAAAAATATGCCCTTTCCTAAGGTTGCTGTGAAGGAATAATGTACTGATTCATACAAAGAACTTAGAGCGGTGCCTGGCACGGCATGAATGCTTCATGGATATTGGCTGTTATCACTACTCTGCTTTGCAGTTGATCATGCAGAGGCTCCAGAGAGCCTGGTGAGCTTCAGCCTGGACCAGCATGGGAAGGCCATCATGAGCCCTTTAGTGGCTAGGCAGACAGGTTCCTTGGGGTCCCAGGGTGCACAGTTGGTTGAAACCACAGTGCATGGGTCTTAATGGACACACCCCCATCTCCAGGAATCAGGCAGAGGACTCGCGGGTGAGGAAGTGGGGACCCCTTACTCTGCCTAGCAGTCACAGTCCTTACGCGGAGGTGAATCTGATTCTGTGAGTTCATCAGGCCAAATTCACCAGCAGAACTGACAGGAGCAGCATTTCCCACTTGATGTCTTGACAAGGCTGTTCCACAAGATGATAAATGTTATGTCAGGAGGAAAAGGGCTTCTGTGGGCAAATGAGTTTGGGCAATGCCACATATTTCATACCTCTTTTGGTGAATTTATTAGTGAGTTTATTAGCACGGTTGAGCAAAAGAACCCTATTTAACTTTACTAAACCCAATGTTTGCCAACTTTTCTTGACACAGAATCCTCTTCTCTCACTTCTCCTATTGCCAACCTATGGGACAGGGTTCCAGGGAACACTGTTTGGGAAACACTGGAATACCAGGTTACTCTAGGAAACCTACTGTATGAAGAGAATTTATTGCTGCCTGCTTTAGCTTTCAGCTGGATTGCATTGAGTGGCACTTGAGCAGGACTCTGCCTGGCTAATTACAGAGTGTTAGACCAGATGGGGGCTTGGGGACAAGGTTCCAGCCTCCTTTCCAGTCCCATCCCTGAGCCAAGAAAAGGACAAAGAGCAGGTTCCCCTGGGGAAGGGGCTGTCTGAGAAGAGGCAGCAGTGCTCAGAAAGGAGAGAACCATCTCAAGGCTCAGCCCCCCTGAGGAGGAGGGCCAGGGTTGAAACAGAGGGAGCAGGCAGAATGTCCCAGCTCCACCAGTCTTCACTCTGCAGAACCTCAAGACCAGAGCCTCAGGCCCGGGGAGGAATGAGTGGCTCCCTGGACCTGCCCTTATCCACTGGTATTGGTAAGAGCTGGGTTCTGGACTTAATTACCTATGCTCAAATCCCAGCCCTGCACCTAATAGTTGTGTAACCTTGTATATAATGCCACTAAACCTCAGCTCCCTCCCTCTACAAAATGGGGACAGTAGTAGAACCCAGCTCCTCTAGTGATGGTAAGGATGAAATGTGATGACATATTTCTACAAAGTGCTCAGAGCAAGTCTGTGATAAATGTAGGAAATGATTGTTCTTGTTTCCCTGCAGTAGCAGCTGACGCGTGGGTCCACCATGAACTGGAGTATCTTTGAGGGACTCCTGAGTGGGGTCAACAAGTACTCCACAGCCTTTGGGCGCATCTGGCTGTCTCTGGTCTTCATCTTCCGCGTGCTGGTGTACCTGGTGACGGCCGAGCGTGTGTGGAGTGATGACCACAAGGACTTCGACTGCAATACTCGCCAGCCCGGCTGCTCCAACGTCTGCTTTGATGAGTTCTTCCCTGTGTCCCATGTGCGCCTCTGGGCCCTGCAGCTTATCCTGGTGACATGCCCCTCACTGCTCGTGGTCATGCACGTGGCCTACCGGGAGGTTCAGGAGAAGAGGCACCGAGAAGCCCATGGGGAGAACAGTGGGCGCCTCTACCTGAACCCCGGCAAGAAGCGGGGTGGGCTCTGGTGGACATATGTCTGCAGCCTAGTGTTCAAGGCGAGCGTGGACATCGCCTTTCTCTATGTGTTCCACTCATTCTACCCCAAATATATCCTCCCTCCTGTGGTCAAGTGCCACGCAGATCCATGTCCCAATATAGTGGACTGCTTCATCTCCAAGCCCTCAGAGAAGAACATTTTCACCCTCTTCATGGTGGCCACAGCTGCCATCTGCATCCTGCTCAACCTCGTGGAGCTCATCTACCTGGTGAGCAAGAGATGCCACGAGTGCCTGGCAGCAAGGAAAGCTCAAGCCATGTGCACAGGTCATCACCCCCACGGTACCACCTCTTCCTGCAAACAAGACGACCTCCTTTCGGGTGACCTCATCTTTCTGGGCTCAGACAGTCATCCTCCTCTCTTACCAGACCGCCCCCGAGACCATGTGAAGAAAACCATCTTGTGAGGGGCTGCCTGGACTGGTCTGGCAGGTTGGGCCTGGATGGGGAGGCTCTAGCATCTCTCATAGGTGCAACCTGAGAGTGGGGGAGCTAAGCCATGAGGTAGGGGCAGGCAAGAGAGAGGATTCAGACGCTCTGGGAGCCAGTTCCTAGTCCTCAACTCCAGCCACCTGCCCCAGCTCGACGGCACTGGGCCAGTTCCCCCTCTGCTCTGCAGCTCGGTTTCCTTTTCTAGAATGGAAATAGTGAGGGCCAATGCCCAGGGTTGGAGGGAGGAGGGCGTTCATAGAAGAACACACATGCGGGCACCTTCATCGTGTGTGGCCCACTGTCAGAACTTAATAAAAGTCAACTCATTTGCTGGTTCCAGGTGCCCTCTGGTTGTGCGGCCTTCGTGACCCTCACACGTTCATGGTGTCAATCTCTCTGCCCCCGTGAAGAGCTGCACTTGATCCAGCCTGTGAGGGGCATCCTCTCTTCCAGAAAGGGGGCCCCCAGTACTCCAGGGGACGTGCTACTTGCTCATGCTCCCATCTAGCCTTTATCCCCCATGGCAAGTTTAGTCCTGTGGGTTGTCTGCAGAGAGAATGGAGCTTAGTCCATGTTGCAGTGGGAAGTTCATGAACTTAGAATGCCTGTGTCGAATCCAAGTTCCACCGGGACTCTGGGAAAGTAACTTAAGCTTCTCTCCAAAATGGGTTAATAATACCTAGCCTGTGGGGTTGTGCTGAGGACTGATGAGCTCATGGCTGTGGACAGGGCTAGCCAGCTGTAAAAGGACACATAAATGTTAATCATTGGTATTAGGAAGTGCTTGATAATGCCTGTGAGAAACGAGGCAGAAGGCCCCTCCCTAGCTGCACATTAACCTTCATCATCCCAGCCAGAACACAGGTCCCAGGCCCCCCACCAGCATATGTGAGGTCACACTCCAGCCTCCCTGGAGGCCTTCCCCAGGACCCACAGAGGATGGACAGCGATGCTGTGCCTGGCCCTGTGCTAACTGGGGCATTTCATGCTGCTGACCTGCATTCCTTGCCTCCACCAAGGCTATGGGTGCCCTGGTCTAGAAAAGTCATAGTTGACCCCTCCCATTTCCTACACAATCCAAGAGCTTCCAGACTCCAGTCCCAGAAATATCCCACCACCAGAATGGGATGCGTTCCTGCACTAAATTAAGGTTGCCCCTTTCCGTAGATGTCAGCTGCTGAGACCTCAGTATCAGGCTTCCCAGGAAAAGGGCAGGAGAGAGGGCAAGGAGGCAGGGTAAGGAGGCAATGGGAAGGGGACAGGGTCAATCCCACTGGTGCTGTCCTAGGCCTAGGCATAATGATATCAGGCTCCTGAACCCCACACAGCAGTCTCACCCACATACCTGCCTGCCTGGGAGCCAGGCTCAGCCATACCCAGCCAGGCTAGAGAGGAGGCGTGGGCCAGGAGAGAAGAGCCGCAGGTGTTTGCTCTGAGTATGTGCCCGGGGAAGTCCGCCCTCCTGCCTGCCCACCCAATCACTCTCGCTTGGCTCATTGGCCCAGAAAGCCCCACCCAGCAAGGGAGAGAGGAACAAAAGCTGCCTCCGGGAGGTCCTGAGGCAAACAGACAAGCCCAAGGACAAGGAAGCAGCTACTGGACCCAAGAAGGGTGAGGACCGAATAGGGCAGGAGGCTGGCCAGGAAGCAAGCAACCAGCTGAGCTGAGGATATCCAAGGGACCTCAGGCTGTGGGCTGGGCTTCAGGGAGGGAGCCAGAGGGTCAGTGTCCCTAGAGGATCCCCAGGGAAGTGCCAAGGAGGAGAAGGAATGTCCTGGCTGACCTAAGGGACGACAGAAGATTGGGGAAGAGGGGGTATCAGGAAGAAATGGGTTTCAGTTCAGTTTAACAAACATCTATTGTGTGTTCACTGGGCCAGGCCAGTGCTAGGTGCTAGGGAGACAGAGGTGAAGAGCCTGCCCTCTAGCAGCTGACAGCCTGGCAAAAAAATAAGACAGGTAAATAGACCATTTGGGTACAGGCGATGCCTCTTGCTCTGAAAGTGTCCCAGGCACACGATGTCTGAAGAGGCTGAGAGCAGAGTCAGGGATTGGGGATGGGGAAGGAGGAGGGTAGGAGGAGGGGAGGGTTGGACATGGGGCCTGATGGGGACTCCAGACAAGGGGGTGTGGAGGTCAGAGTCCACAGGAGAGGGGCCTGAGAGGAAATAATGGAAATGCGGCTAGCAAACAGCCACTAAATGGACAGAGGAGGGGGTGCCCCCAGAGAAAGTAAATGGGGGGTCCAGACCATGCCAGAATCCATCCTCAGTCCTTCCTAAAGCTGGAATGGTTGGAATTCCAGAGGAACCCACTGTGGTCAAGACAGTCAGCCCTCAGGCCCCAGCACCAGTACACGGGTTGGCAGGGATGATATCAAGTCCCCGTGATTCCAAAGCACCTCTGTTTAGTTTGGGAGGGAATGCCAGGGCTGAGAACCTTCCTGGAGCCAGAGGCAAGGAGTAAGGATGCAGATTGTTCTGGGATTTACCAAGGGGCTGATGTGAACGTCCCCAACACGGGGCCAGGCTCTTGTTGGTGTTCAGTAAAAGTGGGATGGATCTGACAACTGATAAGGATACGTTCCCACCCCTCCTGCCCTGGCCCAGCCCTGGCAGCTGATGGGAGAGCAGATCGTCCAATTCAAGCCTTCCTACGGTCTCTTTAGAAGACATGGGCTGAAACTTGGGGTAATAGAGGTTGGCTGGCATATCCATGCAGGATGATTGTCTTCACATGTATCTATTACCTTGTAGAATAAGGTAGACCCTGATTTTGGAACCTGAAGACCAAAGTGCAAGATTAGCTCTGCTACTTCCATCTGTGGACCATTGGGCAGGTATCTCTGGGCCTTCACTTACTCTTTGTGAAATGAGGACAGGGGCAATCCCTACCCTACCAAGTCATTGGGAGTGAAGACATGATGACACGGTGATTGTGAAAAGATTTTGTCAATCGCACCAGCATTAAGGGTGCCCATCTCCAGGTTCCCCCAGGCCTCAAGGCTCCCAAGGCCTGAGTGGGCAGGTAGCACCCAGGTATAGACCTTCCACGTGCAGCACCCAGGACACAGCCAGCATGAACTGGGCATTTCTGCAGGGCCTGCTGAGTGGCGTGAACAAGTACTCCACAGTGCTGAGCCGCATCTGGCTGTCTGTGGTGTTCATCTTTCGTGTGCTGGTGTACGTGGTGGCAGCGGAGGAGGTGTGGGACGATGAGCAGAAGGACTTTGTCTGCAACACCAAGCAGCCCGGCTGCCCCAACGTCTGCTATGACGAGTTCTTCCCCGTGTCCCACGTGCGCCTCTGGGCCCTACAGCTCATCCTGGTCACGTGCCCCTCACTGCTCGTGGTCATGCACGTGGCCTACCGCGAGGAACGCGAGCGCAAGCACCACCTGAAACACGGGCCCAATGCCCCGTCCCTGTACGACAACCTGAGCAAGAAGCGGGGCGGACTGTGGTGGACGTACTTGCTGAGCCTCATCTTCAAGGCCGCCGTGGATGCTGGCTTCCTCTATATCTTCCACCGCCTCTACAAGGATTATGACATGCCCCGCGTGGTGGCCTGCTCCGTGGAGCCTTGCCCCCACACTGTGGACTGTTACATCTCCCGGCCCACGGAGAAGAAGGTCTTCACCTACTTCATGGTGACCACAGCTGCCATCTGCATCCTGCTCAACCTCAGTGAAGTCTTCTACCTGGTGGGCAAGAGGTGCATGGAGATCTTCGGCCCCAGGCACCGGCGGCCTCGGTGCCGGGAATGCCTACCCGATACGTGCCCACCATATGTCCTCTCCCAGGGAGGGCACCCTGAGGATGGGAACTCTGTCCTAATGAAGGCTGGGTCGGCCCCAGTGGATGCAGGTGGGTATCCATAACCTGCGAGATCAGCAGATAAGATCAACAGGTCCCCCCCACATGAGGCCACCCAGGAAAAAAGGCAGGGGCAGTGGCATCCTTGCCGTAGCAGGGTGGTGAGGAGGGTGGCTGTGGGGGCTCAGGAAGCTCGCCCAGGGGCCAATGTGGGAGGTTGGGGGTAGTTTGGTCCCTGGGTCCTGAGCCTCAGGGGAGGGAGGTTGATAGCTACTGGGGATTTTGTATATGGCAACAGTATATGTCAAACCTCTTAATAAATATGATTTTCCCAGTACTTTGCAGACCAGGTGGGGAGTGGCCGATAGGAAAACGGGGGGCAGGGGGGATTAGGTGGACCTCAGAGAGGATGCCAAGACTACTCAGTGAGCACCTGAGCACTGGAACCTCAGATCCAGGCTCACCCATCACCCCCCAACACACACAGTGTGTGCCCCCAGAACATGATGGGCTGTGCCCAAAGGCAGAGGCTACTCCAGGGGCCTCTGGGTTGTGCAACCACCTGGCCAAAGCAGGAGGAGAGGAATTCCAGGAGACCCTGTGCCCAGCAGGAGTCAGTTCTCAGTGATCGTCCATCACAGGAATGAGCGTGGGTTGGGCCTCCCTAGCCCTGCCCAGCACAGGTCCCGGATAGGTGAGTCCCCTCTGACGGTGGGAGGGTCACGGCTGAGAGCAAGCCAGGGATGGGAATCTGTCAAGGTGCCCAAGAGGCACATCCTACAGGCCAGGGCCCACTGAGAGTGTCTGAGCTGAAAGGTCCCTTGTGGATCCTGGAGTCTATGGAATTTCATGTTCTTTTTCACTGATACAACTTCCCCATCCCATACTCCCCCACCCCACCACCACTCAGACTTTGGCAACTCCCAGAACCACACCTCCACCCTAACATGCCTCTGAGTCCCACCAAATGCCCACTAGACAATTCCCTGGGAGGCCCCCAGGCATCTCATACCCGCCACTCCCAAGCTGACCTCATCAGCTCACCCAGACCTGCCCCCTTGAAGATGCCCCACCCCATCTCATGCAGGACACAGCTATTCACCCAGCTGCCCAAGCCAGGGGACGAGACAAGCCTGACATCCTTGTCCCTCACACCCCACACCCCCACTGGCACCAAATCCCACTGATTCCAGTCCCTAAATGCCACCTGAATCTGCTCTTCCTCTCCTTACAACAACCTAACTACCTCCTGGACCTCCCCCATCTGCCCTCCGCTACAGGGATGGAGTGATTTATCTGTCTATGCAACTGACCATGTCATTCCACCTGCTTTAAAATTTCTTCCACCATCACCAGCCCCATGCCCTCAGCATGGCCCCCGCTGACCTCCCCACCTCATCCCAGCTTCCTCCCCTTTTCTACCTGCAAGTAATACCAAAGGGCTCCTGGTTCCCCAGGCAGACACGTCATGTGGTGTCATTCCTCGTGCCTTTGTCATGCTATTTCCTCTGGCTAGAATGCCCTTCCCACCCCCTCTGTGATCCTCCCTCGAACCTCTAGGACAGCTTTACCCATCTCTCTAAGTGCCAGCCTCGCTTGTCCCTCTGCCACTCTCCCCAAATCGGAATTGTCACTTCCCCTGAGTGTCTCCCTATCAGTCTGTGAGCCCTTAATGGGCAGGTCACTGAGTCATCCAGGTCCCTGCTGCCTTCAATAAATGCTTGTTAGATGAGTAAATAGTCTGCTTGGGGGAAGGAACTGAGTCTTGTTCATCGGAATCTTCCACCACACCTAGCCTGCGGACTTCAGCAAAGCATTTGTTTGCTTGCTTTGTTTTGTTTTTGTTGTTTCAACTAGAGCCAGCATCAAGGTCTCACCTTTAGGTAAGCAAACTTGAGTCTAGAAAGGGGAGGAGGCCCTTCAAGACCACACAGATCTGCTGAGTCTGTCAGGGGCTCTGTCCTCTGTGGTCCACAGGTAGACTCCACACCCACCCCTGATTATGGCATAAGATCGAAGTCACCTGTCTTTAGGGCAGGCTCCCTGGAAGCAGAGCCAGAGGCAGGGGTTTCTGTGCATGTGAAGGAAGAAGCAAGGGGAGTTGGGGAGGGAGGGGCTGAGCTGAGCAGGGATGCAGACTCAGGGAGATGCAGCCTTGGCCCGACCCCTGTGGGATGAGGGGGCTTCAGATCATAAGTCTCACCACATTTCAGTCGGTCATTACTTCAGGTGCCCCCAATGGCAGGAGGGTTGGCAGGAAGTGGTAGGTGGCTCTGGCTCAGTCAAAATCAATTCTTCAGGGGTAGCCATAAGCCATCAGCAGCCAATATTCACAGCATTTGGGGAATGGATTCCCCCAGTAAAGGGGACATGGGCAGGGCACCAATGCCATCTACTACACTCCTGACTCCAGGAAACAAGAGTAGCTCCCACTTCCAATCCAGACTAGAGCTGTGACCACCAGCCCAAAAGAACAGGGTGGCACTCCTGACCAGTTCAGAGCCAGATAGCCCCACATTGCTCAGACCACAGTAGCTCCCAAGTCCAGGCCAGAGGACCCCACGATAGCCAATGCCCCCAAGATTCCAGATCCATCCTCCAGGGGCAGCTGCTTGGTCCAGCTTATAGTGAGCTCACTCCAGGACCTGACAGCTCCCATGGCGACCTCTCCTTGGATGCTCTTCCCAAAGATCTCGAGTCCTGAGCCACTGAGCCAAGTGGGGACCTTCAGAGGAGGCTGCGACTAAGAACTGCTTCAGCCATCAGGCCATTTATCCTCAATCCCACCCACAATGTCAAGACTCACACTGCTCTCACCACCACTCACACCTGTCCACCTTCACCTTCTTGAAAAATCCCCCTTTGCTTCCTCTTCTGCCCTCTGTCCTGCCCACATTATTGCCATCTACCTCTCCTCATTCATTGAAGACTGAGCCCATAGCCCAAGGCCTTCTCCTCCTGCTATTCTCCCATGATCCAAGGCCTCAGGGGTCACCTGTGCATCACCCTGTCCTTTCTATCCCATGACCACCTTTGCCACAACATTTAGCTACCCACTAGCAGGACCCCACCCCAGACCTGGTCATCACCCAGAACTGTTTCACCTCTAGAGCCTTCCATTCCTGGAAATATTTGTTCTTTATTATTCACTTTCATGTGAAAGCTCCATATAAGGTGCTAAGGAGTCATCTGGGAAAAATCAGACATGGTCCCTGACTTCATGGAGTTTACATTCTAGAGAAGAGGACAGCTACCAAACTCATGGCGCACTGGGGAAGCTGGGGAGAGAGGGAAGAGGATCTAACATCCAGGCATCCAGAAAAAGGCTCCCTGAGACATCTAGAGAAGGAGGATTTTGCCAAGCAAGGAGGCGGAATTCCAGACAGAGGGGATAGCTTATGCAAAGGGAGAGTATACCTGGTGACAAAGATGGAAAGAACCCAGGAGCTCTTGGGCCAGGTGAGGGGCTCAGGTAGGAGTCAGGCTGGAGTAGACAGAGGCTGGATCCTTGCAATGATTTCTTTGTAAATCTCTGCTAATGACTTTGGACTTTATCCTGAGGACAATGACAAGTCCCTAGAGAGATGTAGCACAGAAGTGACATGATCCAATTTGCAATGTCTCTGGATACAATGTGGCGGGGCCAAGGCAGGGCTACCTGTTTGGAATCTGGTGCAATCGTCCAAGCAAGAAACAGCAATGGCCTGAACTAGGGTGTGCACCTTGGGGATGGAAAGAAGTAGATGGACTTAAGAAATGTTTACAAGATAGAATCCAAAAGATGTGATGATTTAATTGGGTGTGGGGATCAAAGTGACACCCAGGTTTCTGGCTGTGAATGGTAGTACCATTTACTTGAGTGGGGAGGTGTGGATGACTTCAGTTTCAGACATGTTGAATTTGAGATACAAGTAAGATATCGTGGTTTTTCCCTCTCCTTCACGGATGACCTCAGCCCCTCGTTCAGTGTCTTCCATCTGCTACTACATTTATTAGTAGTGACTCCATTTTCAACACCTTGACTTCTCAGTTCCTTGACTTCCTTGATTTCAACAACCTTTTTATCCACTCTTCCAACCCACCCACCTGCATGTTCACACCCTAGTTCTGTCTACACCAAGAGCTGCATCATCTCCCATCTATGTGGCTCACCCAACCTGATTCCCATTCCAGCAATCCTTCTGCCCCATCTACTGACCCACCACTATGTTCCCCCACCCCTTTCCATTCTCCCTGCCCTCCTTTCTCAGCTTAGACTCCACAGTCCCCCAGATAATCACCAGCTTGCAGGTGTCCTCCACTCCCTCGCCTTCTCATGCCTCTCCAGTACTTATCTGGCAAGACCCTAACTCCGGTTAAACCCAACTCTCCACATGGCACCTGTTCCTGAGCACCTGGAGGATAATACAACTGGACTGACTGGTCTCCATTTAAACTTTTGACCACAAAGTTCAAGTGGACACTCAGCACCTCTAAGAAATTCTATATTTTCCTAAAACTTTATCCCTACTCCCCAAAATGACTCTATCATGCCTTCTCCTCTTTCCTCAAACCTCCAGACCCCATTCTCCTAATCCTCCATTTAAGCTGATAGTCAGGCATAACAACGTGCTGGGAATAGAAGCAAAAGGCCAGCTCAACTCAGCCTACTGCTACCACATCTGCCAAACTCAAAGCATGAGCGGCTGTCAGCCTTGCTCCTCCCCTGTAACGTGGACAAAGCATCCCTGCTCCTGGGACACCCTCCTCCGCTTGGACAATGGACCCCTTCACCCCTCACCTACTCTAGACTGTGCTCCACAGTTGGTGCCTCTCTCTCCTGCCTTGCCATTTCCCTTTCTACCAATACACTATAATACTTTCATCTCTCTCTTTTTTTGAATTCTCTCTTGAAACTCCATTCTTCTCCAGCTGCTACCTCATTGCCAAAACAAAAGTCTCCTATACTTGCTGCCTCCACTTCCTTGTTGCTTTAACTTGTTCCAGTCAGGACTGCTCTTGTCAATATCCCCAAGGGCCTCCAAGCTGCTACATCCAGTGGTCCATTCTTCGGCCTGGCCTAACTCCCTCAGCATCACTCAGCCATGAAGAGCTCCCTCCTCAAACATTGTCTCCTCTCGGCTTCCAGGCAGAATCTCTCCTGGCTTTCCTCCCACCTCACTGATGTGTCTTTCTTGATGTCTTTCAATGCCTCTCCTTCCTCTTCCTAAGCTCTAAACGCAAGATGCCCCAGGGCCCAGTTCTCTACCTTCTTTCCTCCTCTCTATACATTTCCCCTTCAGTGACCTGATCCAGTACCACCTATAAAACCATCCATAAACTGATGACTCCCACATTGATGTGTTCAGACCTAACTGTTCCCATGAGGGTCAGACTCCTGTATTCAACTTCTATTGGTCATCTAAAATAGAACTCCTAATTCCCCTAACTGAGAACAGATTTAGTTTTCTCCAGGTTTTCCCCACCTTGGAAAATGTCATCCCCATCCATCCAGATGCTCAATTCAAAAACCTGGAGTCTGTTTCCTCGTAATCATATTGGCATCATTAGCAAGTTGTGTTGGCTATAATTCCAAAATACCATATCAAAATCCAAACACTTGGTGACTTCATATCCAACACCCTAGTCTTTCCAAGTGCTTCAGTCCCAGGCGAAGGCACCTCATTTCTACACCTGGACACCTGCAGCAACTGGTCTCCCTGCCTCCACTCTTGTTCCCCTAAAAGTCTTCTTCCACATAGCAGCCTGAAATATCTTTCTAGCACGTCAGTCAGACCAGTGGAGTCACTCCCTGACTTAAAATCCTCCAAGTGGCTTCCCATCATGGCCAGAAAAATAAATTTAAGCCAAACTCTACCATCGCCTGCAAGGTCTTATGGGGTCAGGCACTGACTACTGCTCCTGCTCCAAGCCAACCTCCCTTCACTCTCCCCTCTTGCCATGCTCCACCCACACTGGCCTTCTCCCATCTTGGGGTCTTTGCACCTGTCTCGCTGACAGGGCTCTTCCCCTCCAGATTAACATGTCTGTCTCCCCAGCATTCACATCTCAACTCAGACATCCCCTCTTCCAGGAGGCCCTTTCTGACCCACCCTCCTCACCCACCACACACTGTCACTCTCCATTATGTGATCTCATTTTATCTTCTTTGTAGCACTTACTAGTATATGAAATTTTCTTATTTTTTTACATATTTATTCTCTTTATTGCCTCACTGGGATGAGCTCCTCAAGAAGTGGGACTCTGGGCCGGGCGCAGTGGCTCACGCCTGTAATCCCAGCACTTTGGGAGGCCGAGGCGGGCGGATCACAATGTCAGGAGATTGAGACCATCCTGGCTAACACGGTGAAAGCCCGTCTCTACTAAAAATACGAAAAATTAGCCGGGCGTGATGGCGGGCGCCTGTAGTCCCAGCTACTCGGGAGGCTGAGGCAGGAGAATGGCGTGAACCCGGGAGGCGGAGCTCGCAGTGAGCCGAGATCGTGCCACTGCACTCCAGCTCCGGCAACAGAGCGAGACTCCGTCTCAAAAAAAAAAAAAAAAAAAAAAAAAGAAGTTGGGCTGTGTTGTCTTCACCCTTTTATCCTCTAGCACCTAGAAAAGTGCTTGACACATAGTAGGCACTCAATTAAAATGGGTTGACACTGATGATGGGCACCCAGGAGATGTCTAGTAGGCTGCTGATGTAAGAGGGAAAAGGACAAGTCAGGAGATATCTATTTGGGAGTTGTCAGCATAAATGCATGAATATAAGACATGATTTTGCTCCAAAATTACCCTTTAGGAAGGAAGCCTTTGTCTTTCATTCAAGTCTTTACAAAGTTCCCTGCATTTGCGGGGCATGCTCTCAATTATTGCATTTTGAACAACAAAACGCTCTTTGGGGAAAACTCATTAGCCCGAAATAACCTCAATCAATGAAGTTTTGGATATTCATGGTAGTTGCTTGGCAGAATCAGAAAAAAAAAAAAAAGTGAAGGCAAAGGCATTTCACGTATATTGAATCATTATTCCCAAGGGCAGGACTTTACAATTGCAAGGATTGTCTTTGTAAGCAAGCCCATTTTAAAAAATCACTTTAAAACAATAAAGGAAGTGGTTATGTTATGGAGATGACAAATACCTACTGGAAGATTTTTTTTATTTATGCAACCTAATGTTAAGCAGCCAGACTTTTATGGCAAAGAATAAAATCTCCAGCATCATAAACAGATTCAAAAAGCACTATGTCACAAATAACTTGGGCAGAAATAAAGTTTTTGTGTTTTGTAAAATGTTGATAACAACCAAAGCTCTAATGATGTAGACTCAGATGTTAGAGAAAAATGTTAAAAATTTAAATAAAATTACTTCATAAAGCATGAGGAGAGAAAAACTAATACTTCTTACTACATTGTTGTATACAATGTGATTTTTAAAATGTATAACAAACTAAGTTAATACAGTACATTTTATTTCAACCACACTAAAAGTTTATATATCCAGGTCAGCCCCCACACATTTTTGAGGCTCTCCTCAATGGGAATATGGGGGGTTACCTTTTATCTGGAGACATAATCTGGGCCTCTATGGTAGTTGGGGGCTTGAGCCTTGGGAGTGGGTAAGACCATACAGAGACTGGGGGAGAGATGAGAAGATACCCTAGGCTGGAGACTTAAAGGTCAAATAACATGGGGGAAAGACAGCTCCGGGCAGGGTAAGTAGAGATCATACAAGCCATGGGGGTATGACATCGTAGAGGAGGAAGATGGTGTCGCAGAAGCCAAGAGAAGTGTTTCTAGAAGGAGAAAGTGATCATCAGAGCCAAACGCTGACATGGGCCAAATCAAATAAGGACTGAAAAGTGTTCGTTCGATTCACAAGATGGTCATGTGTACCTGTGCAGGAGTATGGGATGTAGAAACCAGGTCCCAGGGCAGTGAAGGGACAGTGAGGGCTGGGCACATGGAAACAGGTGTGAACAACTGGCTGGTGAACGTGGCTGTGAGAAGAATAGGAAACAAGAGGGTGTTTGTTGGCAGGAGAATGAGGGGACCAGCGAAGGTTTTTTTAATGATGGGAAGTCTTCCTATGCTCTGACCACGGCCTCCACCCGACCCCCTCACTTAGCTCCTCCCTCAACACCTGTTCGTGACCCCATAGGCACTTCCAGACCTGACCCTGTGTCCTTCTCTCAATCTACCAGCCTCCCTGCCCTACATTCCCTTCCTTCTGCAGCCAGCCTAGGCCTGAGCTCCACAGTGTCTTTATTATCACCCTTATCTCACATGGGAGCTGCCTTCCCTACTAGACCACAGGCTCTCTGAGGGCAAGAACAGTATCTGTCTGGTTTGGCAATGTATCCTCAGACCTCGCGCCATGGCCAGTACACAGTAAAAGGGTAATGAATATTTGCTGAGATGGTGACTAGAATGAACTGCTGTTGCATGGCATACCCACTACCCTCTGCCCCTCCTTCCTTAGCAGAACTCCAGGCCCCAATCAATCCAACGGGGCTTTTCCATCTCTCCACCCTGTGTTGGACTCTGCTAGAGTAAACCACCCAACCAAACAGAGTGAGGCCACTGCAAATTCTTGCTCTCCCACCTAACCTGGGCGCTCGGTGCCACCTGACGAATTCTGCTTTGGTCTCTCTGCTGTTGTACATGGTGGCAGTTTCCTCAATTTCTCCATTCTCCTCAAACTTTCTAGCACATTCCATCTTATTTACATCCTATTTCTTAAAGAAAGTAGAAGCTATCTGAGAAGAATGCTCTCCTCTCGACTGCCACCAAACCTACAGACCAACGCTCATCCACAACCTCCCTCTCTCCTTTCCCGCAGCACAAATGGGTGGGCCCACTGTTAATTCTCTAAATTCCCCACCCGTGCATAGGATCCTCTTTCTCTCCCACCTCCTTGCTTTCTTCTGCATCTTTAACACCTACTTCTCTCCTGCATCTCTCAGCATTTAAGCATGCTCAGATCTTTCCCATCCAAAAACAAAAGCAAAACCCTTCCTTGATCCCACGTTCCCTGCAGCTACCTCCTTACCTCTCTCCTGGCTTTCACAACTGCGCCTCCTGAAACTGATGTCTGCACTTACTGTCTCTACTTCCTCACCTCCCACTCACTCACCCACCAGCTATGATCTGTCTCTGTCCTCACATGCCACTCAAACTGCTTTGCCTCTGCCAAGTTCACCTACGATTCCTTTGTCACTAAGCCCAGTGGATGCTTTCCAGCCCTTGTCTGTGTGATGAGGCATTTAGCAGGGTAGATGGTCTTCCTTCTTCAGCCTCTCTGCCAGGCCATTGAGTCCTTACTTATTCTGCCCACTCAGCACTTCTCCTGTTCCTCTAAGCTGGGGTTCTAAAGGCACCTGCCAGGCTGATGTCCAGGCCCCTTGTCCTCAGGGTGTCCTCTAGGTGAGGCCAATCAGCGTTCTTCCGCAGATCATTTCAATCTTTTCTAAGAGAAGAGTGTCATGGTAAAACTTGGAAGGGAGGAGCTCAAGCTAAGAGTAACCTTGTGCAAAAGCCCATTAGTGCAAGGAGAGAAGAAAGCCAACAGTTAGAGAGGAGCAGAAGTGAAGCAGGCAGGAGAGCAGCTCCAGATGCACCCCAGACCTAATTCCAGGTACCCCTGGGGCCCCAAGGCTCCCCTGCCCTACCCGTGTTTCTATAAACCAATGAATTGCCTTCTGTGCCTGGAACTAATTCAAGCTGCATTTCTGTCATTTGCAATTAAGAGTGCTGACTAATACACCCAGGCTTCTGGGACACCATTCATCTGGTTTTCCTCCCACTGCTCCAGCCGCTCCCTTTCAATCTCCTTCAGCCCACCTCTTAATTAGGAAGGTCCCTGGGGCTCTGTACCAGGCCACCTTCTCTCCTCAGTCTCCATGCCCTCCCTGGGCGATTACATCCTCTCCCATGGCCTTGACCACCATCTCAACACTGTTGACTCCAAAATCTGTATTTCCACCCTTCTTCTTTTTTAATTTTCATATTGTAATAGAATAGACTTAACATATAAATTGCCATTTTAACTGTTTTAAGTGTACAATTCAGTCACATTAATTACATTCACAATGTCGTGCAACCATCACCACTACTTATTTCCAGAGCCCTTTTTTTTTTTTTGAGATGGATCTCGCTCCGTAACCGGGCTGGAGTACAGTGGCATGATCTCGGCTCACTACAACCTCCGCCCCCCTGAGAGCTGGACTACAGGCATGCGCCACCACACCCAGCTAATGTTTTTGTATTTTTAGTAGAGACGAGGTTTCTCCGTGTTGGTCAGGCTGGTCTTGAACTCCCGACCTCAGATGATCCGCCTGCCTCAGCCTCCTAAAGTGCTGGGATTACAGGCGTGAGCCAACATGCCCGGCCTTCCAGAGGCTTTTTATCACCCGCGGCAAGAGCTCCATCTGTACCCATTCAACAATAACCTCCACTCCCCCAGCAACCTCTGGTACCCTTGGTAACCTCTAACCTACTTCCTGTCTCTATGAATTTGCCTATTCTCAATATTTCAAAAAAGTGGAATCATACCATATTTGTCCCTGGGTGTGTGACTTATTTCACTTATAATGTTTTCAAGATTCATCCATATTGTAGCACGTATCAGAACTTCATTCACTTTTATGATTGGGTAAGAGTTCACTGTGTGAATAGACCATATTTTATTTATCCATTCATGCACTGATGGACATTTGGGTTGTCTCCACCTTTTGACTATTGAGAACAGTGCTACTAAGAACATTCATGTACAAGTATTTGTTTAAGTTTCTGTTGTCAATCCTTCTGCGTGAATATCTAGGAGTGACTTGCTGGGCCCTATGGTAATTCTGTGTTTAAGTGCTTGAGGAACTGCCACGCTGTTTCCCAGAAAGGCTGCACTATTTTACATTTGCACCAACTCACACAAGGGTTCCAATTCCTCTTCTCTTTCCTGAGGCCCAGTCCCACGCATCCAGCTGCCACTGGACATCCAAACACACATGTCTCTCGGGAAACTCAGACCCAACCATAGCAGGGCATCTGGAGGCAAGGGACATTTTGGCTGTGTGAAAACAACCAGTCCTGAGGCTTTGGGATGGGCTAAGTGCTGGGGATTAGGTGAAGCTTGGGAATGCATGTGGGATGGGGTGAAGCTTCTGTTGTGCACTTTTATCATAATAAGAAATGGTTTTTAAAGGCCATGTCAAACTGTTCCAATGGCCTTGTCAAAAATGGCTGCTCCCACTATTTACAGTAGCAAAGACTTGGCACCAACCCAAATACCCATCAATGATAGACTGGATAAAGAAAATGTGGCACATGTACACCATGGAACACTATGCAGCCATAAAAAAGAATGAGTTCATGTCTTTTGCAAGGACATGGATGAACCTGGAAACTATCATTCTCAGCAAACTAACAGCAACAGAAAACCAAACACCGCATGTTCTCACTCGTAAGTGGGAGTTGAACAGTGAGAACACATGGATACAGGGAAAGGAACATCACACACTGGGG
The DNA here is from genome assembly GCF_000001405.40 of Homo sapiens. Classification (NCBI taxonomy): domain Eukaryota; kingdom Metazoa; phylum Chordata; class Mammalia; order Primates; family Hominidae; genus Homo; species Homo sapiens. Next base: position 34,773,492 of record NC_000001.11, read on the forward strand.
CCTGTCGCTGGGTCGGGGGCAAGGGGAGGGAGAGCATTAGGAGAAATACCTAATGCATGCAGGGCTTAAAACCTAGATGATGGGTTGATGGGTGCAGCAAACCACCATGGCACATGTATACCTATGCAACAAACCTGCACGTTCTGCACATGTATCCCAGAACTTAAAGTAAAATTAAATGAATTTAAAAATAAATAAATAAATAAATGGCTGCACCAGCAGCTTGGATGGAGTGGAGACCATTATTCTAAGTGAAATAACTCAGGAATGGAAAACAGAATACTGTATGTTCTCACTCATGAGTAGGAGCTAAGCTATGAAGAAGTAAAGGCATGAGAGTGACAGAATGGAGTCTGGGGAATTGGGGGGACGGTAGGAGGGGTAAGGGATAAAAGACTACATACTGGCTACAGTGTACACTGCTCGGATGACAGGTATACCAAAATCTCAGAAATCACCACTAAATAACTTATCCATGTAACCAAAAACCACCTGTTCCCCAAAAACTATTGAAATAAAATTTTAAAAAAGGAAAAAAATGGTTGTGCCAGAACACATTTACAAACATACAGATCATTTAGCAAACTCCAGGCACGACGACCCTGTTGTTTTCTTCTGCCCCTCCCAATATGCTCCTTTCCTCATCCTTAACAGCTCAGGTAATGGCAAACTATCTTATCAGGTGCTTATCAAATTTGTAGAGACAGCGAGGCTGGGAACAATATGGCCCTACAGCTCAGATACAATCTAAGCTCTACGCCCTGAAATCCATTGCCATCACCTCTTCAGCCCAGGATCAAGGCACCAAAAGCTCCCACATGGCAGGTGGCAGACTGATTTCAGGGCCTATTGCACACACCTCACCCTAAGCTGGCTTCCCCAGACATCCTGATGCCCTATACTCTTGCAGCTCAAACCACAGCCAAGCAAAGAGCCTCCTCCCATCCAGAAGGAGGGAAGAAGCTGGATGAGGACAGACAGACTACTGCCAGCCACGCAACTGACTTGACCCCTGAGCACCAGGGATTCTTACCTGGTGGCAGGAAGGAGGGAGGAAAAATGAGGCTCAGCCAAAAAAGGCTTCCTGGAGGAGGGCAGCTGGTCAGGGAGGAACTTCTGGAGGGTAGGAGGTGGCGATGCTGAGCTAGAAGGGAACTGATGACACGGCTGCCATGCACTGGCCTGGGACAGGAGCTTACTATGCTGTGGGGGTTTTATTCACTCGTGCGACAAGTATTTTTTGTCTACTAAGTGCCAGGCACTGTTTTAGGCACTGGGAATATAGCAGCAAATACAACAGAAAGTAAATGGCTGTCCCCACAGATTTCTAGTGATATGAGAGACAACAAACATAAAACACAAACAAAATACAGGATATGTCAGATGGGTATACTGCTATGGAGAAAAATTAATCAGGAAAGGAAGTAGGGTAGGCTGAGAAAGGAACTACGATTTTAGATGGGGAGGCCGGGGAAGGTCAGTAAGTCTATTTCAGAGAGAAGAAAGAGCAAGTGCAGGGACACTGAGACCCAGAAAGTCTTGGCACATACCCAGGACACAAGGAAGCCAATGAGGCAGGGCAGCCAGTGAGCCGAGACGTGGAAATGAGGCCAGAGCCTGTGGGTGAGGCCTGAGAAGGACTCGATCGTGTAGGGTCTTACAGGCCATCCTGATGCCATCGGCTGTCAGTCAGAGTGAGTCGGAAGCCAGTGCAGCATTTTTAAGCAAACAGGAGCACAAGCCCTCTGGCGGCTCTGTTAGCAGCAAATGGGTAGGGGCAAAGGCTAAAGCAGGAAGACCAGTTACAAGGCTACTGCAATCATCTAGGAAAGAAATGGTTCTTGATTTCATGTTACCCCAATAATATTAATGGAGTCAGCGAGAAGTGGCCAGACCCTATAAATATTTTGAAAGTGGCACCAAAATGATTCACAGACATTGAATGTGGGATATGGGAAAAGAGGATCAATGAAGACTCAAAGGTTTGGGGCCTGAGCAAGTCGATGAGTAAAACTGCCATTTACTAGAACAAGTGAGAGAAAAGGTCAGAGAGGAAGAAAAGGAATAGGTTGCCAGATGAGCAAATTTCAGACAAACTTTTTTTTTTTTTTTTTTTTTTTTTTTTTTTTGGAGATAGAGTCTCACTCTGTCACCAGGCTGGAGTGCAGTGGCACGATCTCGGCTCACTGCAACCTCCACCTCCCTGGGTTCAAGCGATTCTCCTGCCTCAGCTTCCTGAGTAGCTGGGACTACAGGCACGCGCCACCACGCCCAGCTAATTTTTGTATTTTTAGTAGAGATGGGATTTCACCATGTTGGCCAGGATGGTCTGGATCTCTTGACCTCGTGATCTGCCCTCCTCGGCCTCCCAAAGTGCTGGGATTACAGGCGTGAGCCACCGCACCCAGCCAACAATTTTTTAATGTGTGTCCCATGTACTAGCTGAAATTCAGAATTAACTGGGTGTCCTGGTTGTGCTTTTGCTTTGTTCCTAAATCTGGCAACCCTAGTAAGTAAGGAGCTTAACATAGGTTTGTGATACCTATGTTAAACATCCTAGGAGAAAGTTTACTAACAGCTGGACACATGAGTACAGAGTTTAGAGGAATGGTCTGGGCTGGGGATACGTATTTAGCGGTTGTCAGCTAAATTTTCGTATTTTAAACCCTGAGACTGGATGATGTTACCAAGTGAGCAAGGGAGGACAGAGAAGAGAAAGAATGCAAGGACTGAGCCTCAAGGCATCCCAGTTCTTAAAAGTCAGGAAGATCTGGAGTAACCAGCAAAGGAGACTGAGAAAGAAAGTGCAGAAAGGAAGTAGAAAAGTCAGGAGAGTGTGATGCCTCTGAAGCCAAAGGAATAGTGTCAAGGCGAGAGGAATCAACTTCATTCAACGCTGCTGAGGGTTCAGGGAAAGATGAGGGTTGAAACTTGGCCATGGGGTTTAGCTATAGGGACTTTGACAAGAGCAGTTTTGGTGTCATATAGGAAGCTAAAGCTTGATTAGAGTAAGTTCAAGAGAAGATGAAAGAGAAAAAATGGAGATAATGAATCAGGACAAGTCTTTGGATAGATTTTGCTGTAAAGGAGTGGAAAGAAATGAGGCAGATGCTGGAAGGAGAAGTGGGGTTCAGGTTAAGGTGTCTTGTTGTTTTGTTGTTAAGATGGAGAAATACCCACATGGTAACAGGAAAGATCCAGTAAAGAGCAAAAGGTCAATGATGGAGGAGGAAGAGAGGAGGTGGAGGGAGGTGCCTGGTGGGTAAGAAGGGGTGCGTGCATATTAGAATGGTATGGTTGGCTCCTGACAGCAGCTCAGCAAAGTCACGTATTACCTCCATTCGAGGAGCAAGGTGTGTGGGCAGAAGTTTCGAGCAACTCTAGGTGTCTTGGAAAATAAGCAACACTCCAGCCCAGGGCCTCCCTGGAAGATCGCCTCCTCCCTGCCTGCAGCCCCAGACATGCCTGAGCAGGGCTCAAAAGCCCCCATCCCTCTGCCTGATCTGTTTCCCATGGCTTCTGCCTGCCCCACCTCTCCACTCAAGGAAGGAAAGGGCCTCATGCCTCTGCTGCAGACACACAAAGATAAGGAAAACTCCAGTCTGAGAGGTGGCAGGGGTGGGGGGCGGGGTGGTCTTCCCATCTCAGGAAGCACCTGCCTGAGGCCTGGGCAGAGCTCTAGGTGGAGAGGACAGCCTGGGAGCAGCACCGCCTGGGCCAGGGCCAGGGCCAGAAGAGGTACAGGCTCTGGCCCTGCCACCCCTAGAGAGCAGGTGTAAGCCCTGAGGGCAGCTGCCAATCCCTGGTGCAACACAGCTTTGTCCTGAGGCAGGGGGATGGCCTAGATGGCCTCCTACACATTCCCCTACTCAGGGAGCAGAAATTTAGGGCAGGACCACAAGGCATTAAGGTTCTCAGAGCCATTCTCTCTGGAATGGGGAACTCTTCCAGCTCACTCCAGAAAAAGCAAAGGCCAGTTGTTGGGGGCACTATCTCATATCAAGAGTGAAAAGCCAGCATCTGGCAGAGTCAGAATGACAGGACCTAGGTGATAAAATCACCTGGTTACCAGAGCAGAATAACCCAACCACACACATAGACACCACTACACACCACCACAACCACATATGCACACAGCCTCCCACACCACCCCAGCCATCTCCATCATCACACACATTCACAACCACACATGCACACAGCCTCCCACACCACCCCAGCCACCTCCACCATCACACACATTCACAACCACACATGCACACAGCCTCCCACACCACCCCAGCCATCTCCGCCATCACACACGTTCACAACCACACATGCACACAGCCTCCCACACCACCCCAGCCACCTCCGCCATCACACACGTTCACAACCACACATGCACACAGCCTCCCACACCACCCCAGCCATCTCTGCCATCACACACGTTCACAACCACACATGCACACAGCCTCCCACACCACCCCAGCCATCTCCACCATCACACACACTCACAACAACGCACATCAAAGCCTACACACACGTGGCCCACATACCACCCTTAACACACAGCTCTCCAGGCTTACACACACAGAAACAGTTCTCGCACATAACCTTATGTGCACCCAGTGTTTACAAATAGTGACTGAGAGTCTGTACATTCCAGGCCCTGGTAATGTGGCAGGAACGTGACCAGGGAGCTCCCTGCTCTCCTGGAGATAATTTCAGAGACGGCTGTGAAGAGTGTCTGCTGAGGAAGTGGAGCAAGGAACATTTGGGGTGGGGGTGGGGGAACCAGGGAACACCTCTGTAAGAAGGTGAGACCTGAATAAGGAGGAGGAAGCTTCCAAGTAAAGAGTCAGGAGAAGGCAGTCCAGGCAGAGAGAACAGCAAAGGCAAAAACCAGAAGGCTGACCTGAATGTGGCTTGTTCAAGAACCAGAAAGAAGGCCACTACAGCGCCCAAGGGGATGAGAGATGGGGGAGAGGCAGGACTAGGTCGCCTGGTGCCTTGGGGCTCAACGTCAAGAGAGTGGATGCCAGTCTAAAGTTAATGATAAGTCACTGTAAGGTTTTAAGAGGGAAGTGGCATGATCTATTAGGTTGGTGCAAAAGTAACTGCGGTTTTTACCATTACTTTCAATGGCAAAAACCACAATTACTTTTGCACCAGTCTAATAGATCGTTAAAACACTACTTCAGCTAGAAGCAACCACGGGAAAAAATGTTATTGCAGTCCTCAGAGTGGTGAAGGCATTTCTAATGACAACAAAACCCAAGGGCCATAAAAGATAATATTAATACACTGGACTACATAAAACATGTTTAATTCTGTATGGCAAAACCCCCGTCTATAAAGTCAAATCACAGGTGTCAAGAAGCAGCAGAGGCAGAGGGAATCCTTTCTATTTGTATCACAGACAGAGGAGGGCTTATTTCTTTAGTATGTAAAGAGCTCCTGAGAAATAAATAATAAAAGTCAACCATCCAATAGAAAAATGGCAAAGGCAAAGAACTGTTCACAGGATAACAAACAAAAGCGGCCCTTAAATATGTGAAAAGATGCTCAATCTCACTCATACCAAGAGAAATGCAAAATAAAGTATGATGAGATATCATTGACAAAGATCATAAAGCTTGATAACGCTCTCTATTGGTACGTATATGGGGATACAGGCACTCCCTTGTCCCTTGGAGTGCAAACTGAAACATCTGTGAAGACGATTGGGCAATATGTATCAAAATTTTAAATACACATACAACTTTAAAGCAAACATTTCACATGTAGGAATATGTCCTGTAGACACAATTTTCAAATGTGTTCAATAATGATTATCCAAGGATAGTCACGCAATGGTATTTGTAATAGAATGAAATAAAAAAGTGGAAACAGCCTTTTCATCAGAATAGGACTGATTAAATAGAGTACATATACTATTCAGCTGTTTTTAAAATGAGAGAGCAAGGCAGCTCCATATCCACTGATGGGGGGAATGTCTCATATTTTGTTAAATGAAGAAAGCAAAGTGCAAAAGAGTGCAGATAGCATAGCACACTTCCATAGGTTAAATGTAAAAAGAATATATAGTTGAATATGAACAGGTGATTTGGGAGTAAGAACAAGAAACTAGGGACCCTGGTGTTCAGGTAGGCAGCTCCGGTTACAGTCTGGTGTTCAGGGAGAAGTCACGTCCGGTGTTGGAAATGTGTGAATCATCAGTGAGTGGATGGTATCTAGAGCCCCAGGACTGGGTGAGCTCACCTGGGAAGGAAGAGACTGGGCCCTGGGACATGCCCACCTTAGAGGCCAGGATGTGAGGCCTGTGGTGTCAAGGAAGCACGGGGAAGAAAGTGTTTCTAGAAGGAAGGAGTGCCCCATTGTCCCAGGTGCTTCTGAAGGTCAAGGGTCATGGGGACAGAGCTGTGATTGCTGGATTTAGCATTATGGAGATCCACGGAGACTCTGATAAGCCGTTTTTAGTGACATGGTAGGGACAGGAACATTGTTCAAATGTGTCAAAAAATGACTAGGAGGGGAGGTAGCGGGGAGCAAGTCTTGCTCTGACAGGGAGCAGAGCAGCAGGCGGCAGAGTCCAGGGCCCCACACCCTCATGCTCACTTCCCCGCTGCCCATGCACAGAGCATAGCACATGCACCTGAGCCACCTGGCACTCCTCAATCTCAGCAAAGATTTTCAAGGGCCACGACCCCAGTGAGTACAAGGGAGCCTCTGCCCTGCGGCTTTTCTGTATCTGGAAACAACACTGCTGAGGCCTCCAGAGCTGGGTCTGCTGCTTATTATCTGTGTGACCCTGAGCAAGTCACCTCACCCCTGTGTGCCTCAGCTTTCTCATTCATAAAAGTAGGAGGGATTGGACCTTCCTCATCTGGATGCTGCCATGATGAAATAAAGCATGTGGGACAGTGTCGGGTGCAAAGATGCCGCTGGGCTCCCAACTCAGTGCTCATTCTCTACCAAAATGAATAGGAGGAGGGTGACCATAATTGATGCTCCTAACTTTGGGGCATTTTTGAAAGTAAAAGGGGGCATTGTTAATGATGCCAGCACTGCAAACATAAACCAGTACAGTCCTGGGCAAACACCATGTGGAGCCACCATAGTGCCAGCAATATCATCTCTGTGGAGACAGGACTCGGGCCCCACCCTAAGATCCAGGGACTCCCAAGGGAGGCTGGAAACCCTGGGGTTTTCCAAAAGAGGCTGGGGCACTGCAGGCTTTTATTAGTTCCTAGTCAGGACACACTAGTAAATAAGACAATGTGTCCTTATCCCCAGGGCACAGCCCAGCCCCACCCCAGCCGCAGACCCACCTGCTTTGGCAGAGGCTATTTACTGCAATGGTATTTGTAATAGAATGAAATAAAAAACTAGAAACAGCCTTAATTTTTATCAGAGTAGGACTGATAAAATATATTACAGTACATATACTATTCAGCTGTTTTTAAAATGAGAGAGCAAGGCAGCTCTATATCGACTGATGGGAGAAATGTCGTATTTTGCTAAGTGAAAAAAAGCAACGTGCAGAAGAGTGTAGATAGCATACTTCCACAGGTTAAGACTATATAGTTGAATATGAACAGACGATTCAGGAAGGAAAACAAGAAACTAGGGACCCTGGTGTTCAGGTAGGCAGCTCCGGTTGCAGTCTGCCCCTCTGAGTCACTCCAGGCGGTGACCTCCCCCAACCCGCCCTCATTCCTGAACTTCTTTCCTGGCACAGGACTCACTGTGCCCCTTCCCGCTGTGGGTACAAGGTCTGCCCCCCACCCCAGCTCTCCAAAGCCCACCGGCCTCCCTGGAGGCCGAGGTCGACGGCCCGTCGCACCGGGAGGGGGGGCTCCCAGGGGTGCCCCACGCACGGTCAAGGTCCCGCGCCAAGCGGGGACCGGGCTGGGCCGGAAGCGGGCACGGTACTCGCGGCAAACTAGCGTGGGCGAGTCCTGATTGCAGTCGGACCTGCCGCCGCGGCACTTAACAGTTTGCAGAGTGCTTCCCGCCCCTGATCTCATTGGAGCCTTCGGACAGCCCAGCCCATGGCCACCGATGCCCCCATTTCACGCCTGAGGAAGCGGAGGCTCAGACGGGCCACCAGCCCCTCCGGAGGCTGGCCCGGGAGCGCCTGGCAGCGTCGGGTCTAGGAGCCGGCTCCCTCCTGCTCCCTCCTCCGCGCCGCCCGGGGTGTGCCCGCCGTCTGTGTGCACCACTGCTGAGCCCAGCTCCGGCGCCCTCGCCTCTGCTGTGGGCCCCGGGGACGCGGGGTCAGGCCACCGCGTTGGCCAGGCCGCTGCAGGTAAGTGCTGGACGGGGCGGGGCGAGGCTGGGCGGGACCCTCAGGGGCGCCAAGCGCTCCTGGCGACCCCCTGCGGCAGGGCTGGGGCTTGAGCCTGCCAGTGCGCTGGGATGGGGCGCGAAGCGGGGGTGCGGGGAGCCCGCCACCCCGTACCTCTCAATCCTCCCTCTCGCCTCTCAATTCTGGGCCCATTAGGGGTCCCGGCTGCGGGAAGGTTCCGAGACACCCCCTCCCCAAGTCCGCAAGCTCCCAAGCTGCCTAGGATGGAGGGAAACTGGGAAGGAAAGGGAGCTTTATCCTTCAGGGACATTGTGGGGCGGGAGGTAGGGCTGGGCACAGTACAGTCTGGGGGTCAGGGAAAAAACGGTTGCGCTGGGAGCTGGCTTTGGAGGGCAGCTGGGGGAACCAGAACCGGCTCCACCAGTCCCCAGCCTAGACTTGGGAAGGAAATTCTTTGCCAGTGAAGCTCCTCCCTGGGGTGTGTCAGGAGGGACTGGGCAGACAGCACCCAAGGGTAGAAGATGGGGGCCCAGGAGGGAGCTGCACCCTGGTGGGCAGCCATGGGAGTGTGTCAGGTGGAAGCAGCCGTCAGGGTCCCTCTCTGCTCTCTGTCCGGACAGACAGGGCTCCAACCTTCACTTCAGTTCTTGTGAACTCCCACCAGGTGAGTAGCAGCCTGGGAGGGAAGAGTCTCAGGATTCTACCAGAAAGTAGGAATTATTTCCCTTTAGAGATTAGTAAATAGGGTCAATGAGATTAGGGAATTCTTGGAAGTCGCCCAGCTACTAAGTGGCCAAGCTGAGGTTTGAATCCAGGTGGAACTCCGTGTTCCATGCTATCCCACTCCCTTCCCCCACCACGAGGGCTTAGAAGGAGCAGAGTAGGGGAGAAGAGGAGGGTTTCCAAGAATGAGGTCTTCCCAATCACCCCATCCTGCCCAGACTGTGATTCCCAGAGGAAACGCAGCCAGGAGAGCCAGGTGCTGAGAAGGAACTGTGCTCTCTCCCTCTCTCCAGTGTAGGGAAGTCTTTCCCCCAATCCCCCTGACCAGGCTGCCCCCTGACCAGGATCCTGCCCACCCTCCTGTCCCCTCCCTCCAAGCTGCCTTGCTGAAAACTCAGCATTCATTTGTTTACCCATTCAGCGCTGAGTGCCTACTATGTGCCAAGCACTGGGCACTAAATATAAAGCAGTGAGCAAGACCAAGTTGACATTCTAGAGGGGGAGCCAGATAATTAATAAGACCAAAAAAAAAGGACAAATTCTTTAATTTCAGATAGTGACTAAGTGCTATAAAGAAAACAGAGGGGGCTGGAAAAATTAGGTGGGCATAGTGGTGTGCACCTGTGGTCCCAGCTACGTGGGAGGCTGAGGTAGGAGGCTCCCTTGAGCCTGGGAAGCAGAGGTTGCAGTGAGCCAAGGTCGCACCACTGCACTCCAGCCTGGGCGACACAGCAAGGCCTTGGCTCAAAAAAAAAAAAGAAAGGGGACAGGAACAGAGTGACAGAAGCAGGGGCTCTTTCAGACCCAGGGTAATCTGGAGAGGCCTCTAAAGAGATGAGGTTTGAGCAGAGGCCTCTGTGATGAGAAGGATCCACCCATGTGAGGTTCTGGAGGAAGAGCATTCCAGGCAGAAGGAATCAGTAAAAAGCCCCCAAGGCCCTTATTCCAGGGTGGCAGGGTGAAAATGTCGAATCTGGGGTTTTGCTAAGCCTAGCGAGAAGCTAGTAGAGTCTTAAACAAGGGAGTGGCATGAACTGATTTAATGGACTCTAGGGGCACAGGGGGAAGGTGAAAAGCCAGTAAAGAGGCCATAATACAGGCCAGAATAATAGTGGTTTGGGGCAGGGTGGTGGCCTCGCAGGCATCACGCATGCTCAGAGGTGCAAGTCAGCTCCAGGGGGACTCACATGCACATAGGCCCACACACACACGTGGACAGGCAGGCGGGTGCTCTCACACCCACAGCAGCACAGAAACAAGGCACACTCAGGCAGACCCACCCGTCCACACCCTCTGAGTCACTCCAGGACTGGGAGGAAGATGTGTGAGTTAAGGCCTGAACAAAGCACATCTTTCCACCACAAGGCCCTGGCAACTAGTGTGGCTGGGGGTGGCTGGGCTTCCCCAGGCCCAGCACAGGGAGCAGGGAGTTTTCTCTAGATATTCCCTGGATCTAGTGTCCTCCCAGGAGTCAGATCATAAGGCTCCATGCACCCCCCACCTGAACTGGTCTCCCCTCTTCACCACCCAGCAGCTGTGAGACCTTGAGCTGGTTATTTCTCCTCTCTGAGCCTCAGTTTCCCTGCTGTAGAATGGGACTCATAACTGCAACTTCACAGTATAGTAGTGAGGCATCCACAAAGTAAACGTTTCAAGAATCTGGTCTAGGGCAGGAGTCCAGCGGAGAAGGGAAGAGGAGGTGGTGGAGAGCACAGGCTCTGGTACCCAACAGCCTGGCCTTGAATCCACCTCTTGTTTTAAGTGAGTGACTTGACCTCTCTAAATTTCACAGTAATGAGTAGCCAGCATTTATGGGGCACTTACTATGTACTACTTGCTTTGCAATCGTTCAATGATCAGTTTCATCTGTAAGTGAGGAGCACTGTAATAACTACCTTATGGGGTCATTCTAAGAGATTAAATGAGGTTCTGCTCATAAAGTGTTTAACTTCATGCCTGACTCTGAGTAAACACTCAATAAATGGTGATTGTTATTATCAGCCAAAGCATATTTGCTTCCTTCCAGCATACTAGCTCTGTTGCCTTTGGTTAAGTTATATAACCTTGCTGTGCCTCAGTTTCCTATCTGCAGCTTGGGAGGAATAACAGTTCTGAACTCAGAGGGTCGTTGTGAGTATTGAACAAGTCAGAACTCAGAACACTGCCTGGTACATAGTAAATGCTCAATAAAGTCACCTATTCATTCATACGATGGTTTTTCCTCTAATTCTCTCAGGTAGGCACGGCCCCCACCAGGCGCCATGGACTGGAAGACACTCCAGGCCCTACTGAGCGGTGTGAACAAGTACTCCACAGCGTTCGGGCGCATCTGGCTGTCCGTGGTGTTCGTCTTCCGGGTGCTGGTATACGTGGTGGCTGCAGAGCGCGTGTGGGGGGATGAGCAGAAGGACTTTGACTGCAACACCAAGCAGCCCGGCTGCACCAACGTCTGCTACGACAACTACTTCCCCATCTCCAACATCCGCCTCTGGGCCCTGCAGCTCATCTTCGTCACATGCCCCTCGCTGCTGGTCATCCTGCACGTGGCCTACCGTGAGGAGCGGGAGCGCCGGCACCGCCAGAAACACGGGGACCAGTGCGCCAAGCTGTACGACAACGCAGGCAAGAAGCACGGAGGCCTGTGGTGGACCTACCTGTTCAGCCTCATCTTCAAGCTCATCATTGAGTTCCTCTTCCTCTACCTGCTGCACACTCTCTGGCATGGCTTCAATATGCCGCGCCTGGTGCAGTGTGCCAACGTGGCCCCCTGCCCCAACATCGTGGACTGCTACATTGCCCGACCTACCGAGAAGAAAATCTTCACCTACTTCATGGTGGGCGCCTCCGCCGTCTGCATCGTACTCACCATCTGTGAGCTCTGCTACCTCATCTGCCACAGGGTCCTGCGAGGCCTGCACAAGGACAAGCCTCGAGGGGGTTGCAGCCCCTCGTCCTCCGCCAGCCGAGCTTCCACCTGCCGCTGCCACCACAAGCTGGTGGAGGCTGGGGAGGTGGATCCAGACCCAGGCAATAACAAGCTGCAGGCTTCAGCACCCAACCTGACCCCCATCTGACCACAGGGCAGGGGTGGGGCAACATGCGGGCTGCCAATGGGACATGCAGGGCGGTGTGGCAGGTGGAGAGGTCCTACAGGGGCTGAGTGACCCCACTCTGAGTTCACTAAGTTATGCAACTTTCGTTTTGGCAGATATTTTTTGACACTGGGAACTGGGCTGTCTAGCCGGGTATAGGTAACCCACAGGCCCAGTGCCAGCCCTCAAAGGACATAGACTTTGAAACAAGCGAATTAACTATCTACGCTGCCTGCAAGGGGCCACTTAGGGCACTGCTAGCAGGGCTTCAACCAGGAAGGGATCAACCCAGGAAGGGATGATCAGGAGAGGCTTCCCTGAGGACATAATGTGTAAGAGAGGTGAGAAGTGCTCCCAAGCAGACACAACAGCAGCACAGAGGTCTGGAGGCCACACAAAAAGTGATGCTCGCCCTGGGCTAGCCTCAGCAGACCTAAGGCATCTCTACTCCCTCCAGAGGAGCCGCCCAGATTCCTGCAGTGGAGAGGAGGTCTTCCAGCAGCAGCAGGTCTGGAGGGCTGAGAATGAACCTGACTAGAGGTTCTGGAGATACCCAGAGGTCCCCCAGGTCATCACTTGGCTCAGTGGAAGCCCTCTTTCCCCAAATCCTACTCCCTCAGCCTCAGGCAGTGGTGCTCCCATCTTCCTCCCCACAACTGTGCTCAGGCTGGTGCCAGCCTTTCAGACCCTGCTCCCAGGGACTTGGGTGGATGCGCTGATAGAACATCCTCAAGACAGTTTCCTTGAAATCAATAAATACTGTGTTTTATACAGGTTGGCTCTGTCTCTGGTTCTCCCACACTCCCACCCACTGACAGAACCCTGAAGGTAGGGAAAGGTAAGCCCTCAGAAAGGGAAAGAGTTCCATGGCTCGGGGTGGAGCTAGGGTGGGGGCTGTGGCTGTGGCTGCAGCTGGGGCTTGAGCTGGAGCTCGGTTAGGCTGGGGCTGATGTTGACAGCCGGGAGCTGGGTTTGTACCAGAGGAGGAGGCTGGGGTGGAACCTACTGATACATATGTTGGGATTCTAGCTGTGGCCACAAGAGTGCGCTGTGCTCCCTCTGCAACGGTGCTTCCAGCCTTCGTAATTAGACTTCACCCTGAGTACACACACAATCACTGCCACTCTCACTATAGACAAACCACACTCCCTCCTCTGTCACCCAGTCACTGCCATCTCAACACACATCCCCACCCTGTGTACACACAATCTCTGTTATTCATACTCTCACTCCTTATGCGCACTCTCAACAGGGCATGTAGTCTGCACTCAAGCATGCCATCCCAGCCTCACCCTGCATTTTATTCGGCTCATCCCATTTTCCCTGAACATTTTCGCTGAACTAGGGCCCTGGCAGGATGCTGGGACTGTGCAAGGAGGTAGGACCTATGCCCACGGAGCTAAGAGACAGGAACACAGGCTCATCTCCCGCACTAACCAACCCCTGGGATGGCTCACAGCCCTGCTCCCAGTGCTGTGTCATGACCTGAAATTTAGGGGACACCAACACCCAAGGCCAGACCCAAATGGAAAGCAAAAGAGGATGCAAGGCTATATTAACCCAGTGGAACACTTAGTGACTATCACAGCCGAGGCCGGGAGTCAGAAATTCAGGAGCCAGTGAGCCAAGCGCCACAGCCAGCAAAGACAGGTGGGGTCATCACGGAAACAGAACAGCCAGTGGTTCACCTGTGCTCTCACAAGTAGCCATTTGAAGGTGGATAAGCCAGCCAAGTTTAAAGGACCCAGGGCCGGCTGACACTGTCCCTACACCCCCATGACTGATTCATAGCTTGACCATTCCTGAGCACAGCTTCCCCGCACTACATCTTGGGCAGGCCTTTAGAACCTCAGTCTTGCCATCGGTACAATGGGAATTGGATCAATCAGGGTCCTAGCAGAAAACAGATGGCACATTCAAACCAAGTAACTTTAAAGGGAGTTTCCTAGAGAGACTGTTTTCAAAGGTATGGCTACTGCAGCACCCTGGGGCTAGTACCAGGGTAACAATGGACAGGATGCATCCAATGCCAGCAACCAAGTAAATCCCCCAACTTCACTCTCCCATCTGCTCGCCTGCCAGTGGCTCCCACTGACCTAACCCAACCGGAAGTCAGAGGGCAAGTCAGCCTCCCAGTGTACAGGGCAGGGTGGAGAGTAGACCTGAGGGACACAGGGAATACGGTCAGCATGACACCCAGTTGTTCCTACACAGAGGATTTTTGTAGAGGTAGAAGGAGACACTGCAGGTAAAACATTAGCACAGCACTAATGTATCTGATAAATTCCCAGGTATGACTGTGCTCAGGAGAGTCTCTGCCTGATGCACTGGAGGTCAGCCTCTGCTTGGGCTGGAGGGTTGCAAAGGTCTCAGGGAGGGGTGGTCGCCACCTACTTGCCAACATGCATTCCAGCATCTTCCTGGGTGGTTCTGGCTGCCTGGCCAAGGGTGGCTTGGAGGTCAGAGTAACCAGAGAACATCACTGGCTATTCCTGCAGAGAATTAACGCTCAGCAAGGACTGAGCTTCTAGTCCTGGCCCCTTTTCTCCAGGCTGTGGGCCAGGACCATGGAGGAGGGGACATTCCAGCCCTGCACAGCCTGCCTTTGGCCTGGAGCTGTTCTGAGCAGTGCAGTTCACTGATCTCATCCAGTATGTATTGGGTGACTACTATTCACCACCAAGAGCCAGGGCACATTAAGTCACCACAAGGTGGCCCTCACGTCCCCTTGACGTTCTCAGGGTACGTTCCTCTACCTCCGCCTTCCCCACCCATGAGGATTCACTGCAAACTCCCTCCAATCATGCATATGAGATTAGGATTTCATATAGTCTTCAAATCCACATCTACTGTGTAAGGTCACAGCCACCCTGCAGCCCAAGATAAACAGGACATTCCTTTGTATTCATTCACCCTGGTCCAAGTCCCCATATGGACTGAATGTTTGTGTCTTCCCAAAATTCATATGCTGAAGCTCTACCCCCCAGTGTGATGGTATTAGGAGGTGGGGCCTTCAGGGATCATTAAGTCATGGGATGGAGCCCTCCTGAATGGGATTAGTGCCCTTATAAGAAGAGATAAGAACGAGATGATCTCTCTCTCTCTCCTCCATGTGAGGATACAAAGAGAAAATGGCCCTCACCAAGAACTTGACCATGCTGGCACCTGGATCTCGGACTTCTGTGCTCCCCAGCTGTGAGAAATGAATGTTTGTTGTTTAAACTACTCAGTCTTACAGCAGCCCAAACTGACAAATCTCTCCCCGGGATGACTGCTTCCATCTTCTCGCTTCCTGCCCCTGACTCTGGGAAGTGGACTCTGAGGAAGGGCTAAGTGGGTACATTGGGGAGTGACTCCTATAAGTGTAAAAGGGGAGGAAGCAGGATTGAGCAACAAGATGTGTCCCAGGGAGCTCAGAAGCAGAGACTGTCCATGCGGGCAGCTCTGCACCGGACAGCAATGGCGAGGCCTTGACCACCCCCTGGTTCAGTCATGGCCTGAGGCCACCCCAAGAAGAACATGGCCACTTAGACAGCAGAAGCACACCTGGAAGTGCTGATAGGTGAAGGCAGTCAGCTGGCCAGTCTCCACACCGCTACACAGCAAGTCCTACATTGAAGGGGGATGTCTGTCTGTCACCCACCCCTGTAGTCTATTCCCAGCACAGCAGCTGGGGTGATCCTGTCAAAACCTAAGTCAGGCCATGTCACTCCTCTGTCCCAAACCTCCAAAGACATCTTACACAGGCCTTCAAGGGCCCGCAAGATCTGCCCCATCCGCATCTCGCCTGTTGCCTTTCTAAACTCACTTCGCTTTCCTCACCTGCTGCAACCACACTGATCTCCTGCTGTCCCCCAAGCCAGGAAACACCAGGCACACTCCTTCCCCAGGGCCTTTGCATCCTAGGTTCCCTCTGTCTGAAATGCTGTGCCCCCAGATAGCCACGGGGCTTCCTCCCTGCCTTCAGGGCTTGCATCAAATGTCAGCTGCTTAGTGAGGCGTTCTCTCCTCTCCTACTAGAAATTGAGGCCGGCCACAGTGACTCACGCTTATAATCCCAGCACTTTGGGAGGCCGAGGCGGGTGGATCATGAGGTCAAGAGATCGAGACCATCCTGGCCAACACAGTGAAACCCCGTCTCTACTAAAAATACAAAAATTAGCTGGGCGTGGTGGCATGCGCCTGTAGTCCCAGCTACTTGAGAGGCTGAGGCAGGAGAATCGCTTGAACCTGGGAGGTGGAGGTTGCAGTGAGTTAAGATCGCACCACTGCACTCCAGCCTGGGCAACAGAGCAAGACTCCATCTCAAAAAAAAAAAAAAACAAAAGAAACTGAAACTTGCCACCCCTGCACTCTCACTCCTCCCTACTTCATTTCCCCCAGAGCATTCATCACCGTCTAACATGTTCTACATTTTGCTAGAATGTAAAACCTCCGAGGACAGGGATTTTTTTGTTGTTGTTCCCTGGTTATCTCCACTGTCTAGGATGGCATCACAGCACATAGGAGGTGCTTAGTAACTATTGCTTTTAATAGCAAAAACCACAATTACTTTTGCACCAAACTAAATACTTGTTAAATTAACAAATTTATATACAGATCTGGTGCCCTGCTAGGTGGTGGAGATATAAAGACCCAGCTGCCTGCCCTCAAAGGGCTCACAGTCTAATGGAGGAGGGGAATAAAGATAAGTAGACCATGCACCAAGGAATGGGGAAAGGGGAGTGGTTTACTAGAGACAGAGTTTCAGTTTTGCAAGATGGCAAAGTTCTGGAGATCTGTTGCAAAACAACGTGAATATACTCAACACTACTGAACTGTACACTTAAAATCCTTAAGATGATACATTTTATGGTAGCTGCTTTTTAACATAATTAAAAATTTTTAAATAACAAAAACAAAGCACCATGGGTAGTAGCTGAGCTGCTGAAAGCACAAAGGTACACCTAGCACAGAGGGAGCCAGCAAGGGGACTTCTGGGAGAAGGCAACAACTGAGAAAAGTCCTGATTCACAGCGTTCAGCACGTGAGGGTGCTCCATGCAGAGGGAACAGCAGGGACAAAGGCAAGAGCGCACAGAGAACCCCATCAGTGAGACCTGGTTGGGTCACAGCGAGAAGGGTGAGGGGTAAGGCTGGAGAAGTGGCCAGGGACTGGAGGTTGGGGAGCCTAGGGCTTACCCAGAAGGTGATAGGGAGCCATAGATGACTTTTCAGCAGGGCGATGTTGGTCAGATTTCTAGGGAAGTGTGGAGGCTGAGTTGGAAGGGTGGGGCTAGAGGTCAAGAGACCAGCTGGGAGGCCACTGAGGTGGCAGCAGCCTGAACAGGACCAGGGCAAAGGGAATGCAGGGAAGCATGTGGTTCCAGGGACATTTCCAGGTGGAATGACCAGGTTGTGGTAACTGTTGTCTTAGTTGATCCCAGCTTCTTCATCCTCTGGGGAGGAGGCCGAGTTATTCAAACCTCCAAAGCCCTTGAGGAAGGAGTCAGAGCAGGGTGAGGGCAGCCTTGACGTCACTCCCCAGCCCTCCACTGGCTCTTCCCTCTTTCCCAGTATACTGAATCAGAAAGGCTTTGGGAGAGCTGGGCCCAGCCCCAAGAGAGGAAAACTCGGTAGTGAGCAGAGGCTGCAGTGGGGGCGTGGTGAGAACCAGCCTCCAGGGGCCTCGGTTCTCATGCCCTCAAGGGTCAGAATTAAGTGGGGCAGTTGTTAGCTTCAGAAATCCAGGAGACTCAGTTCAGCCTGGCCCTGAGGGAGAGGCCTAGAGGGGAAGCCAGCCCAGCCGGATCCCTCAGGGCAGCTAGCCCTGAAGTTCTCAGGTCTGCGTGTCCCCAAAGATGTCCTCCTGCTGGTCCTGAAGACAGAACCCTCAGGGACCCGGCCCTGGGGCCCAGGGAATCCAAGGACTAAATCTTGCTGTGGAGGAACAGGGACTTCTGTGCCACCAGCCCCAGGCCTCAACAGCCCCCTGCCACCTTCCCTTTCCTCAGCTGCGCCAGCCCCTACCACCCTCTAAGAACAACCCACAGACCCTTTTTGTTACAGTATCACAATGTTTTTAGCCACCACTCACTTGAAAAACTTTATGTACCACTATTACACTATGTGCTTTGATCACACTGTATGCCATCAACCCCACAAAGTAGATACTATCACTATTCTCATTCTGTAGAGGAAGAAATTGAGGCACAGGGATTTGAGTAACTTGCCTAAGGGTACAGGAGTCAACAGCAAAGTCTCAGCTCCTGGGCTCAGCCACCAACAACGTCTCAGCACTCCGAGGGCAGTGGCCACAGTCTCAGAACCCCACAGCTCCAGGCCCTCGAGCCACACTCATGCCGCCCCTCTACCTAGAATGCTCTTCCCTTCCACTTGGCTAATGGAGGGGGAAAAGCATTTCCTCTCCTCCAGGAAATGTTCCTAACCAAGTCCCCTGGGAATCACCCAGTACCTCTCAGGAGAACTTTCCACATTTATTATCTTACCGTTATCCAAGGGCTGATATGCTCAATCCCTGCACCAGCCAGTGAGGGAGGAGGCCAGAGACCAAGTTTGGCTGGTTCCTCAGGGTATCCCCAGGTCCCCAAGCAGCGTCTGCAGCACAGCAGATGCTCACTGATGCTCATCCACCTGTGATGCCTGAATGCATGAAGGCAGGCTCCGCATAGCCCTTTCATTCCTATGGATGTCCCCCACACCACCCAGCCACCATTTAGAGGCATAAGAACGGGGTCCAAGCTAAAGGTCAGGTGGTTCCCCCACCCCCAGTCTCAAGGAGTCCATGGGAATTGCTTAATGGCCTCTGATTGTGTAGCCTGCCCAGACATGGGGATGTTTGAGAATTCTGGAAGAACGTGGGCTGGGCGTGGATAGAGACGCCTGCTCCACCATGTATGCTGGAGGTGTGGATTACAACCCCTGTCCCCCATTGGAGCTTCCCGCGCCGTAATTAGCCTTGATCGCCTCATCCTGGCACACTAGGGCCAGCCACCTAGCAAATGAGTGGTCCCCACACTCCATCCCCATCCGCCCACCCCTCACAGCCCCGCAGGCCAGTTGCCCAGATCCACAGCCCTTACTGCAACCCCTTCAAATCCAGCCACCCTGAGAGATCCTGGCCTGGGAGAACTCTCCTTCCCTGGCCAAAGAAACGACAGGAGAGTTTACTGTCTGGAATACCTGGTGGAGAGAGAACAGAGGAGAGGAAGGGTAGGTCAGCCCCTCTTGCCCCTCCCCACCGCAAATCACACAGGCCCACCTCCCCGGAGTGGGTTTAGGGAGTCTGCACCTCCCAGTCCCCGCCCCCGCCCTCTCTCCAGCGCCCGCCGCCCTCCCCGTCGCGTTTCCTGCCCCCACCCCGCCCCTCTGCGCTATTTAAGGCGCCCCCGCCGCTCGTGCGGTCCAGCAGGGCTCCCGCGGGCGTCACTCCGGCCATCGTCCCCACCTCCACCTGGGCCGCCCGGCAGGCAGGCGGTGAGTCGGGGGCTAGGAAGGGACCAGGGGCGCCACCTGCTCGCGGGAGGCCGGGAGGAGTCTTGGGTCCTCCGATGCCGGGACGGGGGTTGCTGCGGAACGCCCGCCGCGACAGAGCCGCGCTCACCCAGGTGGCCTTGGCCAGGCTCCCACCCTCTTTCCATGGAATCCTTGTAACAACCCGAGGCGGGAGGAATACTATTGTTTCCACTCTATCGTGGAGGAGACTGAGGGGCCCAGAGGTTGTTCCTTATCCAAGGGGCCGCAGTTACTAAAAGGCAAGATTTGAACCCAGGGCCGCTTCCAGAGCCTGGCTCTAAACAGCTTTGCACTTGGGAAGAGGCACCTCCCCCTTGGGAACTTTGTGGCCTGTGCCTCACCCTGCAATGACAATTCCTTTCAAGAGTCTAGAATTTGCCAGCATCAGCTTTGGAGGTGGAAGGGGGTGGGAGTGGAGGTGGAGGAAGAAGACAGGACCAAATGTCCCTCCTCAAGTGGCAGGTGGTCATTATTGCTGACCGGTGGAGCTAAAGGATGATGCTGCCTTCAGCTCCTAAAACCCCTTCCACTACCCAGCCCCTGCAGGCTCAAAGATTAGAGTGAAGCCAGCTGGGTAAGATATGAGGCGGGGAGCAGGGACCTGAGGCTTTGAGCCCCCTAAGAAGCAGAAGATAACACCTCTACCATCATCACTAGCTCCCACTGTCTGGGGGTAGCCAGCCTTGGGCAAAAGGGAGGAAGGGCTTAGCCCAGCTGCACAACTTTGGATAAGTTCCTCAAATTCTGTTCCCATAGGCAAAGGAGCCTCAACTCCACCCAGATTTCCTTGGCCTGTGTCCATCCTGGGGCAGTGGCTCGGGGACAAGAGGGACATAGATGTCTGATTAGGCAGGGACCTTAGCCAAAGCAGAATGAGACCATACAAAGAGGTGGGCAGCCATCATCCAAAAATCTGGGTTGGGTCCTGCCTGCACTGCTGAGTGGGAGCCTCCAGGCCAGTCCTTCCCCTTCCTGAGCCTGGGTTTCTTTGTAGGTAGAACGGGCGTGGCAGACCTCCCTGCAGGCTTGTTGCTGGGCGAACGAGAAGGATGCCATGCTGACACACTGACGTGCTCTGTCTCCTTGCAGACGGAGGCCCGGGAGCCATGGGTGACTGGGGCTTCCTGGAGAAGTTGCTGGACCAGGTCCAGGAGCACTCGACCGTGGTGGGTAAGATCTGGCTGACGGTGCTCTTCATCTTCCGCATCCTCATCCTGGGCCTGGCCGGCGAGTCAGTGTGGGGTGACGAGCAATCAGATTTCGAGTGTAACACGGCCCAGCCAGGCTGCACCAACGTCTGCTATGACCAGGCCTTCCCCATCTCCCACATCCGCTACTGGGTGCTGCAGTTCCTCTTCGTCAGCACACCCACCCTGGTCTACCTGGGCCATGTCATTTACCTGTCTCGGCGAGAAGAGCGGCTGCGGCAGAAGGAGGGGGAGCTGCGGGCACTGCCGGCCAAGGACCCACAGGTGGAGCGGGCGCTGGCGGCCGTAGAGCGTCAGATGGCCAAGATCTCGGTGGCAGAAGATGGTCGCCTGCGCATCCGCGGAGCACTGATGGGCACCTATGTCGCCAGTGTGCTCTGCAAGAGTGTGCTAGAGGCAGGCTTCCTCTATGGCCAGTGGCGCCTGTACGGCTGGACCATGGAGCCCGTGTTTGTGTGCCAGCGAGCACCCTGCCCCTACCTCGTGGACTGCTTTGTCTCTCGCCCCACGGAGAAGACCATCTTCATCATCTTCATGTTGGTGGTTGGACTCATCTCCCTGGTGCTTAACCTGCTGGAGTTGGTGCACCTGCTGTGTCGCTGCCTCAGCCGGGGGATGAGGGCACGGCAAGGCCAAGACGCACCCCCGACCCAGGGCACCTCCTCAGACCCTTACACGGACCAGGTCTTCTTCTACCTCCCCGTGGGCCAGGGGCCCTCATCCCCACCATGCCCCACCTACAATGGGCTCTCATCCAGTGAGCAGAACTGGGCCAACCTGACCACAGAGGAGAGGCTGGCGTCTTCCAGGCCCCCTCTCTTCCTGGACCCACCCCCTCAGAATGGCCAAAAACCCCCAAGTCGTCCCAGCAGCTCTGCTTCTAAGAAGCAGTATGTATAGAGGCCTGTGGCTTATGTCACCCAACAGAGGGGTCCTGAGAAGTCTGGCTGCCTGGGATGCCCCCTGCCCCCTCCTGGAAGGCTCTGCAGAGATGACTGGGCTGGGGAAGCAGGTGCTTGCTGGCCATGGAGCCTCATTGCAAGTTGTTCTTGAACACCTGAGGCCTTCCTGGTGCCCACCAGGCACTACGGCTTCCTCTCCAGAATGTGGCTTTGCCTGAGCACAGACAGAGTCAGCATGGAATGCTCTTGGCCAAGGGTACTGGGGGCCCTCTGGCCTTTTGCAGCTGATCCAGAGGAACCCAGAGCCAACTTACCCCAACCTCACCCTATGGAACAGTCACCTGTGCGCAGGTTGTCCTCAAACCCTCTCCTCACAGGAAAAGGCGGATTGAGGCTGCTGGGTCAGCCTTGATCGCACAGACAGAGCTTGTGCCGGATTTGGCCCTGTCAAGGGGACTGGTGCCTTGTTTTCATCACTCCTTCCTAGTTCTACTGTTCAAGCTTCTGAAATAAACAGGACTTGATCACAAGTAGGTGTGTATTGATGCTATCATGATGTGCTGGGGGTTGGGGGATAGAGTTATTTTGCCCAGGCTTCCTTTACTTCTTGGTCCTGTATAATCTCTTTGGTCTCTATAACCCCCGATTCCAGCCAACACCTTGAACCCTCAAACTCATACCTTCTGCCTCCAACAGCCCTGATTTCTAAATGCTCTGCCTTTTGAAATGCCTCAGACACTATCTTCTTTTCATCCCCACTGCTCCAGCGCATTAATCAGTGGTCAAAGCATAAACGTCCTTGCCCTCCCTCCCCCATGCCCATCGTCGCCCTGGCCACACTGCCCCCTGCAAAGTGCTTCCTTACTGGATGGTTTGCTCTCCAAGCGTGCCTGCCAGCCAAGCCCTTCGCAGTCCAGTTCAGATGGGCCCTGCACTCATCCCACCTCATCCTCATCCTTGGTATTTGGGAAGGGAGGTTTAGGTCACTAGTCCTTCCTACCTTGGCCCTTTCTAGTCTGCCCACCAGGAGAAGCAACTGAAGGATTTGCTTCATATCTGCTCTCCATGCACCCAGACCTCAGTGAGGACAATGGCAATGTACAGAAGTGGAAGAGACTGAATCTTGCCAATGAGCCACAAAGGCTGCAGAAACAAAATGAACAATTGAACTGGGTCTTGACTAGGAGTTCACTGGGGAGGGAAAGAGAACACTGAGCATTCAAGCGGAGAAAACTGTTTGTGCAAAGTCAGAGGAGGGATTGACAGGCTGAGGGGGCATTTAGGTCCTGATGAGCCACCTAGATACAGGAGGCGTGGCTGAGGATGGGCCCACTGCTGGCAGAATTGACCTATGTGGAGGCGACCCAGGTAGGGGAGAGCACTAGGTAGTGACCCTCAGAGGCAAGCTGGTTGTCCTCCCTTCCCAGGGACATCTGGGGCTAGGGTTGAAGAAGGAAAGGGGGTCTCTCTGATGTGGCCACATGCTTCTCCTTGAGAGCCACAATGCCTTCACAGCAGGTTGGCAAGTTGGCCCCTCTCCCATCAGGATGGGTGTTGAAAACACCAGCTCTGTACCCCTCATCCAGAGCTCATTCGCTCACTCGCTGCTTACCCAGCGAGTCTGAATGCTCAGCCTAATAAATTACGACCCTCTTCCTTTTCCAGCTGTGGTTCCCATTGTTCCCTCTGAATCGCTGAAATCGATCAGGCCAGCTTCCTCATGGCTCCCAGATTCACCCAGTATGTTCCCACCCTGCCCCTGTGTCAGCATGCAGCGTCCCTGCCCCCCACACTTCGAAACTCCACAAATCCTTTAAATACTACTGGACCCTGGAAAAGGGCTTGGTGCGGAAGAGTGAGATGAGCTTATCACCAGAGGGCCCTGAATTTAAATGCTGTGGTCTGGAGTCAATCATTTCGCTTCTCTGAGTCTCAGTTTTCTAACCTCTAAAATGCAAATAACATCACCTGCCTCACAACTGACTGGAAACCAAATAAGTGAAAGTATGTGACTGTGCCTGGCTCAGTAGTCATGCAGTAAAATTAAGCTCACACCTTTCAGCCAGACTAACATAGGCTCTTCCTCCAGGAAGCGCTCTCTGACTTCTCCAGCTAGTCTCCGGCAATGACCTCTACCTCTCAGGGATCTGAACCACTGCTTGATTGAGTGAGGCTGGGCTCAATCCTGAAAGCCTCAAAAAGGAGGCTGTTCACATACTGGAAGTCCATGACCACTGGAAGTTGAGGTCCCTGTCTAAGAGATTCTCCTCCAGCCAGGGTGAGAGGCCAGAGGCTGCAGGTTAGAAGCCAGCGTTAGAGCCAGCATTACCTGAGGGGCTTCAGAGCCCTGGTTTGGTGTTTCTGTTATCCCCAACCTTTCCTACTTTGGAAAGGTAGGAGAAGAAAGGTTTCAGTGAGCAGAAATGGCATCCTTCCCCTCCCTCAAAGCTCACCCACTCTGAGCTTGGTGTCAGAGCCGGGGTCAGGCTGGGGCTCAGGAACTTGGACCTTTGGCAAGACAAGTTGGGTCCTAGACTGGCGGCCACACAAACACAAGCACATATGGGCTGGGGGTTTAAGAGTGAGGACAGTGTCATGGGGCTGGGATCACACCATTTGGGTTGGGGGTATGGTGAAGACTTTATGGAGAGAAGAGTGGCTGTAAGCCCCATCCCACCTGTATTCCCTTGCCAAGGCTACTGTACCAAAGTACCACAGACTGCACGGCTTAAGCAACAGAAACTGATTCTCAGTTCTGAAGGCCAGAAGTCTGAGATCGAGATATCCGAAGGGCTGGTTCCTTCCGAGGGCTGTGAGGGAGACTGTTCCAGGCCTCTCTCCCAGCTCTGGTGTTTTGCTGGCAATCTTTGGCACTCCTTGGCTTTTAGACGCATCACTCCCATCTCTGCCTTCATCTTCACCTGGTGTTCTCCCTTTACCTGTGTCTCTGTGTCTAAATTTCCCCTCTTTATAAGGACATCACTCATATTGGATTAGGACCCACCCTAATGACTTTGATCTAACTTGATTACCTCTGAAAAGACCTTATTTCCACATAAGGTTACATTCTGAGGCATTAGGGGTTAAAACTTCAATATATCTGGCAGGAGGCACCATTCAACCCATACCACCACCCTCGTGGCCCCACCTCACCTCCAAGCACTGGTCAGGCACGGGGCTCTGGAGAATGCTAGGTTTGTTGGACGCAGGCATCTCCTTGGTGATGTCACTAGGATGAAACACGGCAGGTTCACACCTTTCTTTTCCTTTGTTTCCTTCTTCCTCTCACCAGCCTATCCCTTGCTGCCACCAACCAAAATCTAAGTTGACAGCTAGTGGCTCTCAGTTAGAGAAAGAGCCATCGTTTGGAGTTAGGAGACTTGGCTCCTACCTCACACCTCTCATACGCACTTGACTATGGCTCTTTCCCTTCTCTAGGCCTCAATTTCCCCATTGTGAAATGAAAGGGTTGGATGAGAAACACGTATGTGACAATTAGGTATGAGGAGCGTTGCGTGTGGTAACCTGTCACTGATCATTGATCTGAAACTCATGAGTGATGTGCTATTTCGCATGAATCAGAAAAAAGTCAAGGTTGTTTCTACAATAAGATTAATTCCAGTCGCTTAAATTCACATTGCCTTCCTAAGTAGGAAAGACAGGGATGGGGTTATGTGGAGTGCACTGGGAATTTTGCATAACCCAAGGTCATCTTATCTATGACGGATGGGAGCATGAGAACATCACGGGCTGCACATAAACAAGGCTGTCAAGCTGGGTGATGTCAAAACTTCTTCCCAGTCTAACATGCTGGCTCACTGGCCACTGGCTTGCCAGCCTCATGGTTCTATCACCTCCAGTTCCTTGACTGGGGATTCTTCGTTTTCACACCAACCTCAGCATGACTATTGACGTTTGCAGGAAGAGGTATCCATCACAGGATTGTCAGAACATCTCTCTCCACCTTTAAGAATCTCTCTCCAGACTTGGCTCTGATCCCAGAGCCACAGGACACCCAGTTCTGTCCTTCCCAAACAGTACTGCAGCCACATACAGACAGCCACCAGGTTCAGCCTGAGCCTGCTCTCCTCCTATTCCTCCAGATAATCCTGATTTCCAGAAGTCTCTGGCCAACCTGCAATTTGTTTACTTTCCTCTTTTTTTTTTTTTTTTTTTTTTTTTGAGACGAAGTCTCCCTCTGTTGCCCAGGCTGGAGTGCAGTGGCAGGATCTTGGCTCACTGTAATCTCTGCCTCCTGGGTTCAAGCAATTCTTGTGCCTCAGCCTCCCCAGTAGCTAGGATTACAGGTGTGAACCACCACGCCTGGCTAATTTTTGTATTTTTAGTAGAGATGGGGTTTCACCATGTTGACTAGGCTGGTCTCAAACTCCTGACCTCAGGTGATCCACCTGCCTCGGCCTCCCAAAGTGCTGGGATTACAGGCGTGAGCCACCATGCCTGGCCTAATTTCCTCTTAACATATGCCACCCTCCCTGTATGCTGGATACGACACTCCAGTTGGTCCGAATCCAGATTATTGCCTCTCTTGCCCCAAAACTTCTACCTCTCTTAATGCAACCTAAGATTATAATTTTTTTTATTTTCTCCTCCTTTACATATATATAAATTCTTTTGAATTATAAAGATAATGCATGATCATTGTAGACAGTGAATGAGATCCTACCATCCAGAGGCAACAACTGTTAATATTCAGAAGTAATTCCCTCCAGCCTTCTTCCATGCATATTTTAAAATAAAATCTTAGTAAAGATATACCTACAATTTTATATTATGCTTTTTTCATTTTATGATAAATCATTAGTTTTTTCCCATGTCGTTAAGAACATATTTTTGGAAATACCACTTAAAGGCTTTATCAGTGCCTACTTAAACCATGACCCTGATATTGGATTTTTAGGATGTTTGCAACTAATCATCCTCTACTATAAATGGTACTGTGATGCAGATGTCTGTACCTAAATGTTTTCCAAATTTCTATTTCCTTAAAAGAAAAAGATATTCCAAGAAGTAAAATTACTGGGTCACAAAGTAGGAAATCTTAAATAAAGAAAATTTAGGGGCTTTTATCTGATTGTGAAAGTGATTCATTGTGGGTGACTCAGAAACACAGAAAAGCACAAATTACAAGAAATGAAAGCACAAACTGCCTCTGAGTGGGAATTGGGGTGGAGCTGAAAACAGGAGAGTTCATTGAAAGCACCTCGGCCTGGGGATTCCATCCCTGCACTGAGCAGCTAGGTGACCACATCTTCCCAACTCTGTGAAGAGGTGGAGGTTTATTCTCTGGAGAGGATAAAACAGAGAAATGCAGCCAGGTGCAGTGGCTCACGCCTGTAATCCCAGGCGGGAGGCGGAGGCGGGCGGATGTCTTGAGGTCAGGAGTTCGAGACCAGCCTGGCCAACATGGCGAAACCCCATCTCCACTAAAAATAGAAAAACTAGCCAGGTGTGGTGGTGTGCACCTGTATTCCCAGCTACTCGCACTCCAGCCTGGGTAACAGAGCGAGACCCTGTCTCAAAAAAAAAAAAAAAAAAAAATCGAGAAATGCCAGGCATAATTGAGGGTAGGAGCACCATAAATAAAACAGAGGAATTAAGTGGAAGTTTACATACTGAACAGTGGGTCCTTCTGCCTTCTCCCCAAAATTGGCTTCCAAAACACTGGCTGATGGATCAGGCTTTGAAAAAAAAAAAGAGAGAGAGAATCTGATCTAGCCTGAGGTCATAGAAGCCTGCCTGCAGGAGGTGGGCTTCAGAAAGCCTAAAACGTGAGAAGGAATGAGCTAGGAAGAGATGGGGAAGAGCATTCCAGGTAGACGGAATAGCACTTTCAAGGCTCTGAAGAAGGAGGAAGGGGCTTGATATATTTGTTGTTCAGGGTTGTTTTTGATACAGACTGCCAAGCTGCTTTCCAGAAAAAAAAATTACTTATTCGTTCAATAGCATTGTATGAAAGTGCTCATTTCAAGGTATGCATACAAGCATTATTGTAATTTTTAAATTGCTTTGCCTATTATTAATTATTAAACAGGGAAAAAATGGTATCACGTTTCATGAGGGAGGCCTGATTACTAGTGAGTGTAGACTTCTATGTGTGTGTGTGTGTGTGGCAGGTCTTACTCTGTTTCCCAGACTGGAGTGCCGTGGTACAATCTCAACTCACTACAACCTCCATCTCCCAGGCTTAAGCAATTCTTGTGCCTCAGCATCCCTAGTAGCTGGGATTACAGGTGCGTGCCACCATGCCGGGCTAATTTTTGCATTTTCTTGTAGAGATGGGGTTTCACCATGTAGCCTAGGCTGGTCTCAAACTCCTGGACTCAAGCAATCCACCCGCCTCGGCCTCCCAAAGTGCTGGGATTACAGGCATAAGCCACCATGCCTGGCTAGTGAGGGTAGATTTTTTAACGTATACTTCTTCAGCACTTATGTTTGTTCTATGAATGTTTTTTGCCCATTTTTCTATCAGGTTTTACTATTTTCTGATCAACTTGTATAAACTCTTTATAGGTAGAGGATATCAACCCTTCATCTGGCATATGTTATAAAAATTTTTCTGTATTATTTTGTTCCTTTGTCTGCAGATATTTTTAATTTCTATGTAGTCAAATTTATGGACTTTTTTCCTTTCCAGTAACTTTAGGCTTACACTGTTATCCCCTTTTCAATATTATTTTTAATTTTATACTTTAACCTGGCTTGAACATAATAGGAGAAAAATAATTATTGAACAAAAGACAAAGCATGAACAAACAACCTAATTTTAGCATATAAGGTGAAGTGCTAACTTTTCCCCCCAAATAATCAATGGTTTTGGCAGCACTTATTGGATAATCCTTCCTATACTAATTTGTGATAACAGCTTCACTATACTATATGTAACAGACTACATTTTATAGACTACCTATAATTCTGTTCCATTAATCTGTCAATTTATGTGATACTACCACTCTTTTCATTAGTGTAGCTTTCTAACACAATCTTTTCGGGGTTTGGTTTGGTTTGGTTTGGTTTGGTTTGGTTTGGTTTGGTTTGGTTTGGTTTGGTTTGGTTTGGTTTGGTTTGGTTTGGTTTGGTTTGGTTTGGTTTGGTTTGGTTTGGTTTGGTTTGGTTTGGTTTGGTTTGGTTTGGTTTGGTTTGGTTTGGTTTGGTTTGGTTTGGTTTGGTTTGGTTTGGTTTGGTTTGGTTTGGTTTGGTTTGGTTTGGTTTCGAGATAGGATCTAGCTCTGTTGCCCAGGCTGGAGTGCAGTGGTGCGATCTTGGCTCACTGCAGTCTCCACCTCCTGTACTCAAGCCATCCTCCCACCTCAACCTCCCCAGTAGCTGGAACCACAGGCACACACCACTATGCATGGCTAATTTTTGTATTTTTGTGTGGAGACGGGGGTCTCACTATGCTGCCCAGGCTGGTCTCGAACAACTGAGCTCAAGCAATCACCCATCTCGGCCTCCCAAAGTGCTGGGATTACAGGCATGAGCCACCACACCCTGCATGTAATACAGTTTTAGTATCTGGTAGAATCCATTTCCCTTTTGTTACTTATACTTTTCTTGAGAATCCTGGAAGCCAGGTATGTATTTTCTATGCAAGTGTTTGGAAGAGTGTTGCCAGTGGATCTGACAGATCCAAAGGAAAAAACCTAAAGATATGGGCACCAGGGGCTGTCCAAGGAAATAGACAGCTAGATGGCCACACAATGAAAATCACAGTAAGGAAGTCCTAATCATGCATACAGATCGTCCAAACAGCTTTTTTTTTCTCCATTAAGTTGGGTTTTTATTTGCCTACTGCAATGGTTAGAGTGTCCAAAACAAATGTTTTGTTTGTATTTGTTGAACAGAGTTTATCTTCTAAATATTCAAAAATACTCTTCTAGAATATTTTTAGGTTCACAGCAAAACTGAGCAGAAGATAAAGAGATTTTCCTTATATCCTCTGCCCACTTCCCACATGCACAGCCTCCTCACTGTCAACATCCCCCACCAGAGAGGTACATTTGTTACACTTGATGAACCTACATTGATACATCATTATCACCCAAAGTCCACAGTTTACAGTAGGGTTCTCTTTTGGTCAGACAGCGTTTTAGTGACCCTCTTTTAAATATGAGCACATGGGTGAGGATCCCAGGCATTTGAGAAAACCATCTTATATGAAAGAGTCTAAAATAATCAGAATAAAGCTTTCCAGAGAAAAGAGAGATTATGCATGGAGAATAAAATATTTTTAAAACTAATATTACTTTATTCAGAAAGATTTTATCACATCTTTCTGATATGATAAAGAGGGTATTGCAGCCATGAAATAAGACAATACTCTAAGAAACAGCTACATAGAGAACAACAATGACAAAACCAAGGTATTGGAAAGTAAAAGTATGACAGCAGAATTGAAAACTTCAATAGAAAGGCTGGAAGATAGTTAAGCAATTCCCCAGAAACTAGAATAAAATACAAAGATACAAACAGTAGAAAATATAAAAAATGATTTGAGGACAAGTCCAGAAGGTCTAACGGAAGCTTCGGAAAAGAGGAGTAGAAAAAATAGGAATGTAAATAATCAAAGGAAATTCAATAATCTCTAGATTGAGAGAGCCACTGAGTGCCCAGCCCAATGGATGAGTATAGGTCCACTCTACTGAAAACTTTCAGAACGCCAGAGACAAAGAGATGAGCCTACAAGTTTCCAGAGAAGAACATAGTTTCACACATAGGCTCAAGAATCGGAGTGACCTCAGACTTTGCAGTAACAATACTGGAAGCTACAAGACAGTGGAACAATGCCTTCAAAATCCTGAGGAAAACAATTTTCAATGTGGAATCCTATACTCAGGCCTGCAATCATTTTAATAGCATAATTCCTTGAAAGTTTGGATACGTTACTTGCCTGTAAAGCCAACTGGATTCAGTGTCTTTCTTATATGTCATTCTTCAAAAACTTTTTCACTGTCTTCAGCAACTAGTTATCTATTCAAATTCTCTTTGTCATAAATCTCTCTTAGTAATTTAGACTTCTTCACAAAAAAAAATGCTTATTTGAATTAAGTATTCAGGCATCCTTATCTCATCACACCACATATTCTCATTTTAATTAAATTTTTACCAAAAGCTCTAAGTAAAATTGTTCCTTGACATCTGTGTATGCCATGTGAAGATGTTTTATAACTAAGGTTATGCTAGTTTTATAGTAAATTGGAAATATTTCCAACTAAAATCCCTGAGCCTTTTATAAGTGGGATGCCACTAAGCTATTACTAAATATGAGTTTATGTAATTGGGAATTTGGGCAATGAAAGTGACAAATATGACATCTGTACCAATTAAATGCCATCATATCCACTTCAGCTCATTGATCCAACTAACAAGAACTATCCTCTTAAACCTGGATTTTGTCAACCAGAATATCGGCCACTCTGGTTTTGATAAATCAGGCTTATCCTTCATCTGATAAATCTAAGAAGCTTAATGCAATTAAGTGGCATTCCCTGGTGGAGATTATGCTTATTCCTGGGTTTGAGGTCTTTGTTAAGTGAACAATACTGTTTCTAAAAGACTATATCCCTTGCTCCACCCAACCCCACAGAATGGGAAATAGAAAAGCAAAGCATCACAGAAGGCTGAGGTTAGGAGGCCTGATTATCTAGGCCATTTGCTGATTTCAAGGAACCTCCATCAGTTCAGCTCAGTGATGACCCAGAGGAATCTCTAAAACCAAAAATAGGAACACTTATGTAAAGAGAGGGTGAATTCCCATGAAAGGCAGACAAAGGAAGTCAAGTCCAGCACAGGGTCCATAATGCTTTCCAAGAGGTGATGTCCAGGCATTAGGTTAGGATAACAGGTGGAAAAGCCGAGCTTTAGCAATAGGAAGAACCAGGCTTATCCTATGGTCGTCAGTCCTGCCAAGGACAGAACCAAGGACAGGGAGCCCAGATGGTTTGCCTTCTCTAGAGAGGCCTCCAGAAGGACTGAGCAGATGACAGCAGGGTGTGTCAGAGCCAGACATACCTAGAATAGAAATAACAAGGGACAGACCAAGACCAAGAATTTTACCAACCCAACAGCAACATCAATGGGATTTTTGACATTATTTACAAATAAGGTTATACATACAATTGTGTTTTAGCATGTCTGTTTAAAAAGCACCTAACATTCACATATTTGAAACATTCCACGATGTTTGTAACTCTGTCTATACAATTCTTTAATATTTACTATGGTGGCCGGGCACGGTGGTTCACACCTGTAATCCCAGCATTTTGGGAGGCCGAGGCGAGTGCATCACTTGAGGTTAGGAGTTCAAGACCAGCCTGGCCAACATGGTGAAACCCCGCCTCTACTAAAAATACAAAAATTAGTTGGGCGTGGCGGCTCACGCCTGTAATCCCAGCGACCCAAGAGGCTGAGGCAGGAGAATCACTTGAACCCAGGAGGCAGAGGTTGCAGTGAACTGAGATCACACCACTGCACTCCAGCCTAGGCAACAGAGAGAGACTCTGTCTTAAAAATATATAATAATAATCATATTTACTATGCCAAAAAGTGAAAATGCCCCAAGCTTCTCAACATCTGAAAGGCTTTAAAAAGAGTAAAAAAAAAACTGGACCAAGGAATTTTATATTATGGGTTTCTAGGTCTTTTAGGGTCTGAACTATACATCCCCAGTGCTCAAAATCAGGGAATTCCTACAAAGAGCAACTATTTTCTCAATCAGGGAAATGAGTTCATTAAAGTTTATAGAATTTAATTAAAGTGAATTCAGAGATTCTGACAGGACTCAGCAGGAAACTCTTTCAAGACAGTAAAGTCTATGAGATTTTTGCTTTTGTTTTTCAAAGAATATGAAGAAGAACATAGGAGATCTACCCTATCCACAGCCACATTAGAAATGAATTCTAACAGATTGCATGAGACACAGGCAAGGAACACAAAAAGGAAAGGAAAGTAGGCTACATCCCTGGACCTGGAGTGGGGACAGGCTGGCAGCAGCGGGGGAGGTGTTGGGTGTTATAATAAAGTGGGGCAAATAGGGATCCAGCTCAATAAGAGAATTATCTTCCCTGGGGTTAGCAGCTGTCTCTGAAGAGACATATGAATCCCTTCCTATTGAGGAGAGCGTCCTAAGATCAGTTGAAGGCAGATTCTGTCTTCCATCATGGCAGCCAAAGTGAAGAGACAGTACCTTTGTACCAAAACCTAGCAAGCAGGGCAAGCCCATGACTTAAGTTCAGCCAACCAGATGCTTCCACCCAGGACGCTCCAGAAAGTGCTGCAAAGGCACAAGGAAGGTAAAGATAAGCCCAGTAGTATGATAATGAGTGAGCAGGGAATACAGAATCCAAGAACAGAGCAGGACGTGTCCAGTGACAGCATCATCAGATAGGAATTCTAAGCAAACTATGTCCACGATGGTATGAATCTTGGCTGGTGTCTTAGCCAGTTTGTGCTGCTATAATAAAATGCCTGCAAGTGGGTAATTTATTTTAAAAAAAACAAAAACAAAAATTTATTTCTCACAGTTTGGGAGGCTGTGAAGGCAAGATCAAGGCACCAACAGGTTCAATGGCTGGTGAGGGCCTAGTCTCTGCTTCCAAGATGATTCCTTGCTGCTGTATCCTCCAGAGAGGATGAATGCTGTATCCTCTCATGGTGGAAGGGACGGAATGGCAAAAAAGGAGGGCCTAGCTAGTCCCATCCAGCCCTTTATAAGGTCACTAATCCCATATATGAGGGCTCTGCTCTCATGACTTAAATTACCTCCTAAAGGCCCTACCCCACATCTTAATACAACATTGGCAATTAAGTTTTGACATGAATTTTAGAGGGGACACAAACATTCAAACCACAGCATTCTGCCCCTGACTCCCAAAATTCATGTCCTTCTCACATGTAAAATATTTGCCATTAAAAGTGATAACAAAAACTGCAACTACTTTTGCACCAACCTAATATCTTCCTTCCATTCCAGTAGCCCCAAAAGTCTTATCTCATTTCAGCATCAACTCAAAAGTCTAAAGTCCAAATCAGATATAGGTGAGACTCAAAGAAATGATTCATCCTGAGGCAAATTCTCCTCTAGCTGTGAGCCTATGAAATCAAACAAGTTATGTGCTTCCAAAATACAAAGGTATAACGAGCATAGGACAGACATTCCCATTCCAAAAGGGAGCAAAAGAAAAGAAGAAAAGGGTAACAGGTCTCAGGTAAGTCCAAAACCCAGCAAGGCAAACAGCATTAAATCTTGGGGCTTAAGAATAATCTTCTTGGCCAAGCATGGTAGCTCATGCCTGTAATCGCAGCACTTTGGGAGGCCGAGGCAGGTGGATCATGAGGTCAGGAGTTTGAGACCAGCCTGATCAACATGATGAAATCCCATCTCTACTAAAAATACAAAAATTAGCCAGGCATGGTGGCGCACATCTGTAATCCAAAAAGGAACCCAAAAGGAAAGGAAAGTAGGGTACATCACTGGACCTGGAGTGGGGACAGGCTTGCAGGTGTGGGGGAGGTGTTGGGTGTTATAATAAAATGGGGCAAATGGGGATCCAGCTCAATAAGAGAATTATCTTCCTCAGGAGGCTGAGGCAGGAGAATCGCTTGAACCCAGGAGGTAAAGATTGCAGTGAGCCAAGATTGCGCCACTGCACTCCAGCCTGGGCGACAGAGCAAGACTCCACCTCAAAAGAAAAAAGAAAAAGAATAATCTTATTTGACTCCATGTCTGTCCCACCTTCTGGACACAGTAAGATGAGGGTTGGACCCCCAAGGCTCCAGGCAGCCCCACTCCCATGGCTTCTCTGAGTACAGCCCACACAGCAGCTCTCAAGGGCTGGAGTTAGGTGCCTGTGGCTCTCCCTGGCTGACGTTGCATGCCGGTGGCTGGTGGCTCTACAGGTCTGGGATCTTCGGGGGCAGCCCTGCCTCCAAAGCTCTACTAAGCATTGCCCAAGTGGGGGCTGTCTGCAGTATCTCTGACCTCACAGCTCTGCTGGGTATTACCCTAGTGGGGACTCTGGGGTGGCCCCACTCCCATGGTCACTAGGCATTGGCAAGGCTCTTTGAAGCATCCTTTGAAATCTAGGTGGAAGTAGCCATGCCTCCATAGCTTGTGCACTCTGTGCACCTGCAGAGTTAGCCCCACAGGAACTTTGCCAAGTTTTGCCATTTGTGCCCTCCAGAGCAGTAGTTCAAGCCATACCTGGGCCCACTTGAGCCACAGCTCGGGTGGTTAAGGAGCACTGTACCAGAATTTGAGGAGCAGAAACGGAAGGCAGAACTGGGCAGTGAGTCCTGAGGTACCGTGGGTGCCCTGGGCCCTTCCCTTGAAACCATTCAGTTCTCAAGGCCCTGGCGCTCTGGAACTATAATGGGAGTGGCAGCCTCAAAAATCTCCAAAATGCCTTTGGGGTCATTCTTTCTTTATCCTGATGAATAGCATCTGGCTCCCTTTCATCTGTGCTAATCTCCTTATCAAACATTCGCTTGGCTACCCCGTTGGTATTCTCTCCTGAACATGCTTTTTTATTCTGTACATAGCAAAGCTGAAAATTTTCCAAAGGCTTAAATTCTGCTTCCCTTTTGATTATAAATTCCATCTTTAATTCATTTCTCTCTTCTTATATTTTACTATAAGTATTCAAGATAAATCATCCAGCACCCTGAACACTTAGATTTCTTCTGCCACATATCCTAGTTCATGGCTCCTAAGTTCTGCCTTCTACAAAGCAGGAGGGCATGAATACAATTCAGCTAAATTCTTCTCCACTTTGTAACAAGAATGGTCTTTTCTCCAGTTTCCAATGACACGTTTCCTCATTTCCATCTGAGACCTCATCAGGATTGCCTTTACCACTCATATTTTACTTTATTTTTTATATACAGAGTTCTGCTCTGTTACCCAGGCTGGACTGCAGTGGTGCAATCCTGGCTCACTGCAGCCTCGACCTCCTGGGCCCAAGTGATCCTCCAACCTCAGCCTCCCAAGTAGCTAGGACCACAGGCATGCACCATCAAGCCTGAAAACTTTTTTTTATTTTTGTAGAGGTAGGGTCTCCCTACGTTGCTTAGGCTGGTCTCAAACTCCTGAGCTCAAGTGAGCCTCCTGCCTTGGCCTCCCAAAGTGCTGAGATTACAGGCATGAGCCACAGCGCCCAGCATACTACCAATATTTTTACCAACATTCTGTTCACAACCACTCAGTCTCTAAGAAGATTTAGGCTTTCTCTACAGCTCTCTTCTTCTGAGCCCTCACCAAAATTACCATTCATGGTGATTAATGCTCTGTTCAGGATCATCTAGGCTTTTTCTGGCATACACCTCCAATCTCTTCCTTCCAGCCTCTACCCATTTCTCAGTTCCAAAGCTGCTTCCACACTTTTAGGTATTTGTTATCATAATGCCCCACTTCTCACACCAACTTCTGTCGTAGTCCATTTGTGTTGCCATAACAAAATACTTGAGAGTAGGTAATTTACAAGGAATAGAAATTTATTGCTCGTAGTTCTGGAGAATGAGAAGTCTAACCTGGCAGGTTTGGTGTCTGGCAAGGCCCTGTCTCTGCTTTCAAGATGGTACCTTGCTGCTGCACCCTTCAGAGAGGACAAACACTGTGTCTTCACATGGCAGAAGGGATAGAAGGGCAAAAGTGGGAGGGGGGGTGCTATTTCCCTCCAGCCCTTTATAAGGTTGCTAATCCCATTCATGAGGGCTCTGCTTTCATGACTTAATTACCTTAATTACCACCTCTTAATATTATCACATTGATGATTAAGTTTCAACACAAACTTTAGAGGGGACACAAACATTCAAACTATAGCAACTGGGCTTTTCCTTTCTTGGATCCTGTTCAAACCTAATTCCATCTTCCCATCAGTTGTACAAGTTATATAATACCTTTTCAATTAAATTCCTTTTCTGTTTAAATTAATCAGAGTCCATTTCTATTGCTTTCAACCAAGAGTCTTGACTGGTAAAAAGCTTGTATAATTCTCTGACACAGTCCATACATGTCATTATCCAATCATTCATTAACAGGTTGACCAGAACAGAGACTAGAACAGTCTTAACGCAGGCAAGTAGCAAGCTTTTGGAAACCATACTTAAAAGTACTTTGACTAACATAATGTCACATACATGACAGTAATGACAAGTGGTATTTCCAAATATCACGACTATTCATTCAACAAATACTTACAGAGGGCCTGTTATGTTCTAAGCATTGTACTAAGCTCTGGGAATTAGTAGAAAACAACACAGATCTGGTCTCTGTCTATGAGGAGCTGAGAGTCTAATGGGAAAAGCAGAAGTTAAATAAGCATATAAGATCACAAAATATAAACACGCTATGAAGGAAAATAATTTCCCCACGAGAAAGAAGAAGAAGAATATCTAATTTACCAGAGGATTCAGAAGAAATGGAGCCTAAAGTGTAAGTGGATATTGGGAGTAATCCAGGAAAAGAGAAGATCATATACAAAATCGCAAAATAGCTAATGAGAGAACCTGAGAAAACTCACTATACAAAACAGATAGAGATACTGGGTAAACAGCAGTCTTATTACTGGGTACATACCCAAAGGAATATACATTGTTTTATTATAAAGATACATGCATGTATATGTTCATTGCAGCACTATTCATAATAGCAAAGACATGGAATCAACCTAAACGCCACTCAATGATAGACTGAATAAAGAAAATGTGGTACATATACATCGTGGAATACTATGCAGCCATAAAAAGGAATGAGATCACGTCCTTTGCAGGGACATGGATGGAGTTGGAAGCCATTATCTTCAGCAAACTACCACAGGAACAGAAAACCAAACACCACATGTTCTCACTTATAAGTGGGAAGTGAATGATGAGAACACATGGACACCCAAGGAGGGACTGACACACACTGTGGCCTGTGAGGGGTGCTGGGGAGGGAGAGCATCAGGAAGAATAGCCAATGAATGCTGGGCTTAATACCTAGGTGATGGGATGATCTGTGCAGCAAATCACCATGGCACATGTTCACCTACGTAACAAACCACATCCTGCACATGTACCGCTGAACTTAAAATAAAAGTTGAAGACAAAAAAATAAAGAAATGCTGGGTAAATTTTTACAAGCAACTTTTCAAGTGTAGCACCGAGCTAAAAATAAAGGCAACAAAACTAAAGAGGAAATTAAAACTAAAATGAATATGTGGGTACCAATGCTTTTTTGTTGTTGTTGTTGTTGTCATGTGTGTTTTTGTCTGAGACAGTCTCACTCTGTCACCCAGGCTGGTGTGCAGTGGTGCAATCTTGGCTCACTGCAACCTCCACCTCCTGACTTCAAGTAATTGTCGTGCCTCAGCCTCCCGAGTAGCTAGGATTACAGGTGTGCACCACCACACTTGGCTAATTTTTTGTATTTTTAGTAGAGACAGGGTTTCACCATGTTGGCCAGGCTGGTCTCAAATTCCTGGCCTCAAGTGATCTATCTGCCTCAGCCTCCCAGAGTGCTGGGATTACAGGCGTGAATCACCGTGCCTGGCCTACCAATGCTTTTTGTTGTCCTGCTTTTGGTAACAAGGGGTTGGCTTTTAATGATGATGTAGGAATAAGGCACAAGGCTTTGGGCCCACCTGAGGAGGTTAAACTGAGGCTCCTGCATAAAGCCAGTACACTATCCGTCTCTCTCAGCCCTGGTTCTAGTAGGAGGAAATATGCCTCACCTGAGATTTGGTAACCACTGCTCTACATGATATAGAGTTCAATTTTCTTTTTCTTTTTTCTTTTTTCTTTCTTTTTTTTTTTTTTTTGAGACTTGAGTCTTTTTTTTGAGACGGAGTCTTGCTCTGTCACCCAGGCTGTAGTGCAATGGCGTGATCTCAGCTCACTGCAACCTCTTCCTCCTGGGTTCAAGCTATTCTCCCACCTCAGTCTCCTAAATAGCTGGGATTGCAGGCACCCACCATCACGCCCAGCTAATTTTTGTATTTTTGTAGAGACGGGATTTCACTATGTTGTCCAGGCTGGTGTTAAACTCCTAACCTCAGGTGATCCACCCGCCTCGGCCTCCCAAAGTGCTGGGATTACAGGTGTGAGCCCCTGTTCCCAGCCTAGGGTTCAATTTTCTACTCCTTGCAATGTCCACATACCTCCAACCTGAGAAATTAACGTAATAAAGAGTCCCTGGCTAATGCGAACCTTAGGGTACCTGGAAGAGACCGACAAAAAATTATTCTTGAGGGATGTTTCCTCAAGCCAGGCCACATGGAAGTTCCATTTCTAAAAGGCCTACCATATCTGAACACCAATCCAAAATGACAAAATACACCAGAAAATAATGCACCATGAATGGAAGTATGCAAAAACAATATACGGAAGAATTTCACTTCCAAACACTTCAAGTCATTGAACCATTGGTCAGGATTTTAAATTCATGTAATAAGCCAGGCACGGTGGCTCACACCTATAATCACAGCACTTTGGGAGGCTGAGGCGGTCAGATTACTTAAGGTCAGGAGTTTGAGACCAGCCTGGCCAATATGGTGAAACCCCGTCTCTACTAAAAATACAAAAATTAGCCAGGCGTGGTGGTGCACGCCTGTAATCCCAGCTACTTGGGAGGCTGAAACACGAGAATCGCTTGAACCTGGGAGGCAGAGTTTACAGTGAGCCAAGATCGTGCCATTGTACTCCAGCCTGGGTGACAGAGAGAGACTCTGTCTCTAAATAAATAAATAAATAAATAAATAAATAAATAAATAAATAGAAAGAAAATTTATGTAATAGTTTGAATTACTGGTTTCAATACTTTATCCTCCCCTGCATCCACACCCTTGCCCTAGCCCCACTGTAGGCAGAGTATACTTTTACGCCTTTCAACTTAGAGCTTGGCTAGGTGCCTTGTTTTGGCAAATGACTTGAGGAGGAAGGGGCCATGGACGATTCCCAGACTCAGCCTTAAGAAGACTGAGTGTTTCTGTTTGTTCTTTTGTGCCTCTGCGATCATCACAAGAAGAACTTCCTCGGGGTGGCTGCTGCCTTTCAGCCAGGGCCCCGAATGAACGCTAGAAGCAGAGCTGCCCCAACTGACCACAGATCTACAGTGAAAAGTGGAGCCACATCAGCTGCCCCAGTTTTAGGCAGAGGCCCCCAGCAAAGCCCAGCCTAGTTCCAGCCAGTCAACAGATTCATAAAAATATGCGATTTTTGTTTTAGGCCAGTGAGTTTTCGAGTGATGTGTTATATAATATTACTATGAAAATATCCATGTGATATGAATAAGTATGCTTTATATTATCGAGAAAAAAACAAAAAGGTATCAAAATTGAGGGAAAAAAAAGGTGTTCTTTTAAGACCATGAAGAAAGAAATCTAAATCAAACATAGAAATATTTTAGAAGTTATTGAATTTAAAAGCTAGTGGAGAATTCTGCTTCTACTCACAAATGACACTTCTATGCAAACTTTCTTCCAACCATAAACAACTAGAAAACCAGGCAAAATATATGAAACAACTCCTTTTGGATACTGAACAATAGGTAGTGAAGAACTCAGGAAAGGGAAATAAAGTGAGCCCTACCATTGCCCCAGTTACTTGTGAAGAGTTTCCAGGCTGCAGAGCAGGGAGAGAAACCCAAACAGAGATCCACAGTCTTGCTAAATTGAAGAGAAAGAGCTCAGAATTCAGGGAGGCAAAAATGTCTAGATTTTCTGGGGCAGAATACCACAGAAGATGGAGCTGCACAAAGAAAGAGAATTCCAGAGATCTTCAGAAGGGTACCCTTGAGTGTTTACCTAAGTAACAATCACTGCATGTGTAAGGTGAAACTCCTAAGGCAATAATCAATAGAAAACTATAAGCTGAACAAATCCTGGAGCTCCACAAGGCTAAGAATAGTTCATGTTTGCATCTTCCAGAGTGGAAAAAACACAGAATACACAGGGCACTGGATAAAGTCTTGACATTAGCAACACACAGGAGCAGGCTAAATTAGCCCCACACTAAATGATCCTCTTGACTCACCCTAACAAAACTTAAAAGCAAGCCTCAAGAAGATCTAATATCCCAAGTGGCTCAACTGCATGGCAGAGCAATTTCAATATTTTATAAAGGAATACAACAAAACCCAGCATCCAAAAATTACAACTTACAATATCCAACACTCAATAAAAAATTACCAGGCATGCAAAGAAGCAGGAAAAAGTGACCCCAAACCAAGAAACAATTTCATAAATAGAAACAGGCCCCTAAATAACAGAAATGATGGAATTAGCAGAAAATGAATTGAGTTACTTTATAAATATAAAAATATATTCTCAATGATATAAAGGAAAACATGAATATGCTGAAGAAAAAAAGAAAAATACATTTTAAAGACCAAAATGGGATTTGTAGAGAGAATAAAATGCAGTATCAGAAGAAAAAAGTACATTGGATGAGATTTACATCAGAATAGACACTACAGTAAAGATGAAGACATACCAACAGAAACTACTCGAAATGAAGTACAGAAAGTCATTCAGGTGACTTTCTGTCACCTGTGCAGTGGCTCACGCCTGTAATCCCAGCACTTTGGGAGGCCGAGGCAGGCAGATCACAGGGTCAGGAGATCGAGACCATCCTGGCTAACACAGTGAAACCCCGTCTCTACTAAAAATACAAAAAATTAGCTGGGCGTGCTGGTGGGTGCCTGTAGTCCCAGCTACTCGGGAGGCTGACGCAGGAGAATGGCGTGAACCCAGGAGGCGGAGCTTGCAGAGAGCCGAGATCTCGCCACTGCACTCCAGCCTGGGCGACAGAGCGAGACTCCGTCTCAAAAAAAAAAGAAAAAAGAAAGTCATTCAAAAAGACTGAGCAGAGCATCAGTGACCTATGAGACAGTATCAAGTAGTCTAATGAAGAGAAAATCTGAGAAGTAAAAAGAGAAAAGCGGGAATAGGAAATAGGAACAGCATTTAAAGAAAAAAATGACAAAAAATTCAAATTTGATGAAAATAATAAACTCACAGAATCTCAACTAAGAAGCTCAATGGAGCCCAGACAAGATAAATATAAAGAAAACCACACCAAGGCACATCATAATCAAAACTTGAAAATCAGAAATCTTAAAAGCATCCAGAGAAAAAAATATTACATACAGAGGAACAAAGATTAGAATGAAAGAAAACTTCTCATCAGAAACTAAGCAAGCCAAAATCAAGTGGAACATTTTTAAAGCTAAGAAGAAAAAGAAAAACAAACAACTATCAGGCTAGAACTCTAAACCCAGGGAAAATATATTCCAAAAATAAAGGTGA
The DNA here is from genome assembly GCF_000001405.40 of Homo sapiens. Lineage (NCBI taxonomy): Eukaryota > Metazoa > Chordata > Mammalia > Primates > Hominidae > Homo > Homo sapiens. The sequence goes on from NC_000001.11 coordinate 34,815,518, forward strand.
CTGATATATGCTACAATGTGTATAAAAACATTATGCTAAATGAAGGAAGCCAGTCACAAAAACAACAGATTGTGTAATTTTATGTACATTAAATGTCCAGAATAGACAAATCTATAGAGACAGAAAGTAGGTTAGTGATTGCCTAGTGCTGGGAGCTTGGGGGGCAATGGGAAGCGACTGCTAATGGGTCCAAGGTTTCTTTCTAGCATAAAAAAAAGTTTTAAAATTAGTCATGGTGATTGGTTACATGGCTCTGTGAATATACTACAGACCACTGAATTGCATACTTTAAATTAGTGAATTGTATGTTATGTGAATTATATCTCATCAAAGCTGTTATTTTTTTAAATGACAGCTAAACAAGACATTTTCAAACAAGCAAAAACTAAGGGAATTCATGCCAGCAGATATGTACTACAAGACATGTTAAATGAAGTTCTTCAGAAAGAAGTAAAATGATACAGGTGGAAATGTAGATGTACATAAATGAATGAAGGAGAAAATATTGTAAATATGTAGATAAACATAAAAGACACTTTTTAAAATCTCATTAAAAGATAATTGTGGCTGGGCACTGTGGCTCATGCCTGTAATCCCAGCACTTTGGGAGGACAAGGCAAAAGGATTCCTGAGTTTGAGACTAGCCTTGGCAACACAGGAAGACTCCATCTCTTAAAAAAAAAAAAAAATTAGTCGAGCATGGTGGCATATACCTGTAGTTCCAGCTACTCAGAAGGCTGAGGCAGTAAGATCGCTCAAGCCCAGGAGTTTGTGGCTGCAGAAAGCCATATACGCACCACTGCACTCCAGTCTGGGTGACAGAGTGAGACCTTGTCTCAAAAAAAAATAAAAATAAAAAAGACAATTGACTGTTTGAAGCAAAAAATAACATTATATTGTGATGTTTATAGCATATGTAGGAATAAAACATGACAGTAATAGCTCATAGGCCAGGAGAATAAAAAAATAGAAATATACTGTTATATGGTTCTTGTATGTGAAGCAGTATAATATTGCTTGAAGGTAGAATGTGATAATAAGTTAAAGATTAACATTGTAAACCCTATGGAAACCTCTATAAAAACATTTTTTAAAAGAGGTATAACTCATAAGCTAATAGTGGAGCTAAAACATAATCATGTAGCTTCCACTTCCATAAAGATGAGCTAGGGACCTTAAGACCAGAGAAATGACATGAGATGACAAAGTTCACTGGATTTTCTTTTGGCCTCAAAAATCCCAAATTTGGAGGTGAAGAAGCTGGCAACTTTAAATGCCAACAGGCACAGACCAAAAATAAAGCTCCAACAAAAGCCTACTCTCTTTAGCCAAAGGACAAGAAAACAGCAGGATAGAAAGAAAGAAAACCTTTAGACAATAACACTCTACTCCAGGAAAACACCAAGAAAAAACTGTATAACTCACAATGTTGTATATGTGTACATTTGTACACAATGTTGTACGGTGTAGCCACACTCCCTCCTACACGAGCAAAGATTGAGTGAGGAGCCTAGACTTTCCCCTTCATTAGGCTATAACAAGGTGCTCCCAACACCCCTGTCAGTGCAGAGAAAGCCAAGTAGGGAGCCAGGAAATAAAAGATATACATATTTGAAAGGAAGAAATAAGACGTCCCTATTTGCAGACAGCATAATTGTATATGTAGACAACCATCTGTACTTCTATATAATAGCACTGAACTTAACATTAAAGTTAAAAATACAATACCACTTACAATCACCCAAAAAAATTGAGTTGTAAATCTAACAAAACAAGTGCAGGACTTGTTTCCTTAAAACTACACAATGCTGCCAGTGGCTCATGTCTGCAATCCCAGAACTTTGGGAGGCCAATACAGGCAGGTGACCTGAGGTCAGGAGTTCGAGACCAGCCTGGCCAAAATGGCAAAACCCCGTCTCTACTAAAAATACAAAAATTAGCCGGGTGTCGTGGTACACACCTGTAATCCCAGCTACTTGGGAAGCTGAGACAGGAGAATCGCTTGAACCCGGGAGGCGGAGGTGGCAGTGAGCCAAGATCATGCTACTGCACTCCAGCCTGGGTGACAGAGCGAGAATCCATCTCCAAAAAAAACAGAACAGAACAAAATAAATACACAATGCTCATGAAAACAATTTTAAAAAGAGCTAAATAAGTGGAGAGACATGCTATACTCATGGATTGGAAGATTCAACATAGTAAAGATGATAATTTCCCCCAAATTACAGAATTAACGCAATTCCTTTCAAAACCCCAGCAAGTCTTTTTATACATAGAGACAAGTTCGTCCTAAAATTATATGGAAAGGCAAAGGAACTAGAATAGCTAGTAAAAACATTGGGGAAAAAAGAATATAGTGCGAGAAATCAGTCAACCCAATTTCGAGACTTATTACATAGCTACATAATCAGAGCCACATGGTACCATGCAGTGACAGACACATCAGTGGAACAGAATAGAGACTTCAGAAATAGACACACATAAATATTCCCAACTAATTTTTGAGAAAAGCAACTCAATGAGGAAAGATAAGTCTTTTCAACAAGCAGTGCTGTAGCAATTGAGCATTCATACACAAATAATAATAATAATAATAATAATAATAATAATAATGCACTTCAACCTAAGTCTCACACCTTATACACAGTGGATCATGGACTTAAATGTAAAATCATAAAATTTTATAAATGAAATCCAGGGCTAGGCAAAAAATGTTCTTAGGCTTCACACTAAAAGCAAAAGGAAAAACTGATGAATCAAACTTCATCAAAATTAAAAAATGTGTGCTTTGTGAAAGACCCTGTTAAAAGGATAAAAAGATAAGCTGCGGAGAGAACAAAATATTTGCAAACCATATATCCACCAAAGGACTAGTATCTAGAATATATAAAGAACCCTCAAAACTCAACAGTAGGCCAGGTGCAGTGGCTCATGCCTGTAATCACTGCACTTGGGAGACTGAGGTGGGAGGATCACTTGAGCCCAGGACTTTGAGGCTGCAGTGAGCCATGATCACCCCAATGCACTCCAGCCTAGGCAACACAGTGAGATCCTGTCTTGAAAAAGAAAAAAACTCAACAGTAAAAAAAATCCAAACAATCCAATTAATACATGGGCAAAAGATGTGAAGAGACATTTTACTGAAGAAGATATACAGATGGCAAATAAGAACTTGAGAATATACCCAACATTATAAGCCATTAGGAAAACGCAATCTAAAATCAGAATGAGGCCGGGCGTGGTGGATCATGCCTGTAATCCCAGCACTTTGGGAGGCTGAGGCGGATGGATCACCTGAGGTCAGGAGTTCAAGACCAGCCTGGCCAATATGGTAAAACCCCGTCTCTACTAAATATACAAAAATAAATTAGCCAGGCATGGTGGCATGTGCCTATAATCCCAGTTACTCGGGAGGCTGAGGCAAGAGAATCACTTGAACCCAGGAGGCAGAGGTTGCAGTGAGCTGAGACTGTGCCAGTGTCCTCCAGCCTGGGTGACCTAGCAAGACTCCATCTCTAAATAAATAAATAAATAAATAAATAAATAAATAAATAAATAAATAAAATCACAATGAAATCTCACTATATACCTATGAGAGTGGCTAAAATAAAAAATAGCGTCAACACCAAATGCTGGTAATGATGCAAAGAAACTGGATCTCTCACACACTGCTGGTTGGAATGTAAAATGGTACAATGTTTCTAGAAAATAGTTTGTCAGTTTCTTTAAAAAGTAAACACACAACTATTACATGACCCAGAAATTACACTCCTGACATTTATCCCAGAGAAATGAAAACTTTTGTTTACCAAAACAACATCTGTAGACAAAAGTTTGTAACAGCTTTACTCATAATAGCCAACGACTGGAAACAACTTTAATGAGGGAATGGTTAAACAAACAATAGTATATCCATACTGTGGAACACTACTCAGTAATAGAAAAGGAACAAACCATTGATACATAAAACAACCTGGATAAATCTCCAAAGAATTATGCTAAGTGAAGTAAGCCACTCCCAAAAGATTAAATACTATATAATTTCATTCATATAACATCTTCAAAATAAGAAGATTATAGAAATGGAGAAAAAAGTAGTAGTAGTTTCCAGGGGTTACGGAGAAGGTATAAGTAGAAGGTAGGCAGGTATGGCTATAAAAGGGCAACATGAGGGGTCCTTGTGGTGGTAGAAATATTCTATATCTTGACTATATCAAAGTCAATAACTTGGTTGCAATATTATGCCATAGTTTTGCAAGATGTTACCACTGGGAGAAATTGGATAAGGATTCATGAAATCTCTCTGTATTATTTCTTACAATTGTATGTGAATCCACAATTATCTCAAAATAAAAGTTTAATTTAAAAATGTAATCATACAAAATAATTAATTCAAAAGAAGGCCAAAAGAAAGGAAAAAATAAAAGACACATAGGACAAAGAGAAAAAAATAACAAGATGATAGATTTAAATCCAGCTATATCAGTGCTTACATTAAATGCAAATGATCTAAGCATTCCAATTAAAAGAAAGAAATTACAAAATTGGATAGGAAAGCAAGAGCCCACTATATGCTGCCCACAAGATACTCATTTCAAACATAAAGACATAAATAAATTAAAAGTAAAAAGAATGGAGAAAAATACACCATGCAAATACTAATAGATAACTATATTAGTGGCTATATTAATACCAGACCAGCTAGACTTTATAACAAGGAATATGACTAGGGATAAGAGGGGCATCTCATAATATAAAGGGATAAATTCAAGAAGATGTAGCAATCCTAAATCAGTATGCACCTAGTTACAGAGTCTCAAAAATACATGAAGCAAAAACTGACAGAACTGAAAGGAGAAACAGATCTCCAATTACATAGCTGGAGATTTTAGCCCTCCCTTTTCAGTAATGGATACAACAAGTAGACCAAAAAAAAAAAAATTAGTGAGGATTTAAAAGCCTCTAAGAATACTATAAAGCAACTCAACCCAATTGACATTTCTACAATTCTCCACTTATTAAGGACAGAGTATACATTTTTTTTATTCAAATGGAACATCACCAAGATAGACCAAATATTAGACCATAAAACCAATCTCAACAAATTATAAAGATTTGGATAATGCAAATTATGTTCTTTGACCACAATTAAATTGAATTTAAAACTAAAAAAGGTACCTGGGAAAAACAAAATATTTGGAAAATAACACAGAGAAATAAATCAAGGCTCAAAGAAGTTACAAGAAAAATTAGGAAATATTTTAAACTAAATGAAAATGAAAACACACACAAAATTTGTGGAATGCAGCTCAAGCAGTGTTTAGAGGAAAATTTATAGCTTTAAATGCTTATAATAGAAAAGAAGAAAATACCAAAATCAATAATCTAAGTTTCTACTTTTAGAAGCAAGAAAAAAAAGACTGATCCTAAAATAAGAGAAAAAAATAATAAAGATAAGAACAGATGGCTTATGCCCGTAACCCCCATACTTTGGGAGATCAAGGCAATTGGATTGCTTGAGTCCGGGAGTTTGAGACCAGCCTAGGCAACATAGTGAGACTCTGTGTCTATGAAAAATTTAAAAATTAGCCGGGCATGATGGTGTGTGCCTGTAGTCCCAGCTAATCAAGAGGCTGAGGTAGGAGGATCTCTTGAGTCAGGGAGGCCAAGGCTACATTAAGCTGTGATCATACTATTGCACTACAGCCTGGGTGACAAAGAAAGACCCTGTCAAAAAAAAAAAAAAAAAAGAACAGAAGTCCATGAACTATATGAACAATAGAGAAAATCAAACCAAGCTGACTTTTTAAAAATAAGTATAAAGATAAATAAAGTGGATAATCCACCAGCCAGATTGATCAAGACAAATAGAAAAAGACACAAATTACCAATATCAAGTATAAAAGAGTACAGATCCTACAGGTATTAAAAGAATAATAAGGATATATCATGAATAACTTCATGCCAACAAATTCAACAATATAGATAAAATGGGCACATTCTTTGAAAATACAAACAATCAAAGCTTGCTCAAGAAGACATAGATAACCTGGACACTCTCAGATCTATTAAATAAAGTTCATAGTTTAAAACCTTCCCACAAAGAGAACTCCAGGCCTACATGACATCACTGATAAATGCTATCAAATATGTAAAGAAAAAGCATTAACACTTCTACACAAACTCTTCCAGAAAACAGAAAAAGAGGGAATATATCCCAACTTAATTTGCAAACAAGCATCTGCCTGAGTAAAATAACAGATATTCACAAAAAAAGAAAGAAATTACAGACTGTAACCAGGCATAGTGGCAAACACCTGCAATCCCAGCTACTCGGGAGGCTGCGGCAGAGAACTGCTTAAATCCAGGAGGCAGAGCTTCCAGTGAGCCGAGATGGTGCCACTGCACTCCAGCCTGGTTGAGAGAGTGAGACTCCGTCCCCCCAAAAAAAGAAATTACAGACTAATACACTTTGTGAACACAGACACATAAAATCCTTAATAAAAGTTTAGTGATATATAGAAAAGATAATACATTATGACTAAGTTGGCTGATTCTTGGAATGCAGGATTGGTGTAACATTAGAATATCGGAAACACATGATCATCTCAAAGGATGCAAGAAAAGCATTTGACAAAATTCAACACTTGATGATTATAAACTCAATTTTCTAAGAATAGAACTTCCTCAATCTGATAAAGAGTGTCTATAAAAAACCTACAACTAACATCATACTTAACGGTAAATTAGGCAAGGATGTCTGACCACACCGCTTCTGTTTAATATTTTACTGTCCAGCGCAATGAGACAAGGCAAAGGTAATAAAGGCATATATCTTGTAAAGGAAAAAGTCAAATTATTTTTATTCTCAGATGACATCATTATTTAGAAAATCCTAAGGAATCTACAAGAAGATACTAGAAATAATAACTGAATTTAGCAGGATCTCAATTTACAAGGCCAATTTACACAAATTAACTATATTTTTATATACCACAAAGGATCATTGGAATTCAAACTTTTAAAAATATTACTTGCAATAGCATTGAAATCATTTTTTTAAAATCTAGGCATCAATTTAACAAAATGTACAAGACCTCTACTCGGAAAACTATGACACATGGTGAAGAAAATTAAAGATCGAAATAAGTAAGATAGATACCATTTTCATGGATAACAAGACTTCATGTTTTTAAGATGCTGGTTCCCCTGAAATTGATTTATAAATGAAATACAACCTCAATGAAAATCTTAGCAGGCTTTTGGATAAAAACTGACCTAGAAAAAGAACAAGATTGGAGCATATACTTTACCTATTTTCAAGATTTACTATAAAACTATGATCAAAAGGGTGTGGTATCAACATCAGGATAAACATATAGAGTAATAAAACAGAATACAATCCAGAAATAGACATACACATATATAGTCAGTTGACTTTTGACAAAGATCCCAAAGTAAATCAGTGAGGTCAGAATTTTTTTTTTCATTAAATGGTGCTGGAACAATTGGATATGGAGAAAAAAATTAATGTCAGCCTATACTTCACACCATACATAAAAATTAACTTAAAATAGATTTAAAAACCTAAACAGAAGAGCTAATAATATAAAACTTCCAGAGAAATTCTTGATTTAGGTAAAGATTTGTGACATTGAGTTCTTAACAACACAAAAAGTACAAACCATAAAAGAAAAAAATGACAAATGGAACTCCATAAAAAGTATTAACCAAAAGACATGAAATGATGCTCAACAATACTAGTCGTTAAGGAAATACAAGTTAAAACCACAATAAAATGCCACTACAAAACCCTGTAGACAAGCTAAAAAAACTGATCACACCAATAACACAGGTGAATCTCAAGAGCATGCTAAGTGAAAAAAGCCAAACACAAAAGATACCATACTATACGATTACGTTTATATGAAATGCTACAAAGGACAAAACTTTAGTGAGAGAAAGCAGATGAATAGTTACCAGTTTCCTGATCTATAAAGTGGAGGAATCATCTCCATAAGTACTTAACCTTCTTCACAAGGTTGTTGCAAGTATTAAATGAGAATTAAATGAAATAACCTCTATAGAGCACAGTATCATACACGTAAGACTTCAATAATTGTTAGCTGTATTTTTAAATGATTATTATTGTGGTAGAGGTTGCTTGGATTCACTCATATCATGTTGCCCTCTTCTTCCTGACAATGCTGCTGGACTTCATTTCTAGACTCCTTGAATCTAGTAGAACTACACAACTAGTTCTCATCAATAGAATGACTGTAAAAATGATGTGTGTTACCTCTTCACAAGGTAGTTAAGGCCGTGGTGCCTTCTCCATGCTCTCTGTTTGCTGGAGGATAAAGAGGATGCAATGGAGGACTCAGACCCTAGAAGACAATGGAACCACAGCATGACAGGGGCCTGAGTCCCTGAATGACTGCCTGGAGCAGAGCTGTCCCCATTGCACTGGACTCTGAAATAAGCAAAAACCAAACCTTTATCGTGTTAAGCCGTAGAGAGCTGGGTTTTTATTTTTGTTGTTGTTACAGTATTAGTCTAACTAATCCAATATACCCAGATATATGTATAACCATATACAATACTGCTCTATCCTTATCTTTCCTACTTTGAACACAACTCCTCAAAAGTCCTAGTTCATACTGAGCTCAGCCTCTCACTCTTCAGTTTCCATTCCTGGCCCTATACTTGAACCTACATCTTTACTTCCTGTTACAATCCTGAGTCTACAATCATGGATGAGCCAAATCTCCACCAGCAGTCCAGGATGTTAAGTAGCACATCTTTATCGCTAGGGAGGGAGGCACAACCAAATGAACATGGCTTGGTGTTTCAAAGACCTAGACTGAAATCTCTGCTCTACAAATTACAAATCACATGCCAAGGCCATGTGATACCATCTCTCTGAGCCTCAGTGTCTGAGCCTCAGAGCCTTATAGATAGGCCTCAGCCTATCTATAAGATGGGGATAATAATGTCTTCTTCACAGAGTTGTTGTGAAGATTAAACTAGGTAATGGATGTGTAAGGACCCAGCATAGCGTCTGACACACATGAGTCTCTTGGTAGACCCAGAACTACTTTCCCAATTCCCAAAGAATACTAGAGCTGACCAGGCTCCCAGGGGCCAGCATACCATACAGAGGCCTGTGGATAAGTACAGGGATGCACCTTCAGCCCCAGTAGAAGTGGCATCTGCTCAGCTCTCTTTCCTGTACCCCTGGAAGCAAAAGTAAGTACAGACCTCTTACTTGAAATACTGTAACAACCTCCTCTAAATCACACACTGACAATACCACCACCAACAGCAACAGTCTAATGATAGCTAAAATCTATTGGGTTTATTGTGTTGTACACTCCCCATGAGAAAGTTGAGATGCTAGAAGCACATTTAATTTTCACAATAATTCTATAAGGTACATATTCTACAGATGAGGAAAATAGGGCCCAGAGAGGTTATGTAACCTGCTGAAAGTCACACAGCCACCAGGTAGCACAGCTAGAAATTAAACGTATTCATATGTTCAATCTTTCATTGATTGGGTCAAGAAATTGTTTCTGCCACATGCCCTGTGCCAGGTCATACACAGGGCCTGAAGACACAAAGGTGCAGAGACACAAAATCCTCAAGGTGCCCCAGGGGAAACAGATCATGACTCATTAGCAACAGTCCCATGCAGAATGCAGCCTGTGCCATGCCAGTCCCACTCTGGCCCCTTCCCCCAGCTCTGCTGCCTCCAAAAGCTGTGGAACCCCAGCAACAGCCCAGAGACGCTTCCTGAGACCGCTGTTTTCCTTGGCCCTGAGGTGAGAGACAGTGTGCCCAACAAGGTGGAAAACAAGACAGTGGGTGGGGGAAGTAAGAGGAGAGCAAATCTCCCCACCCAATCAACCTGTCTCTGTCACTGGTGGAAGCAGGGATCAGAGGGGGCTGCCTTTCCACCCACCCACCAGCCCGTCCAAGCCATTGTTCCCTTGTTGTGACAGGGGGTTCAACTGGAGCCCACGGACTGGGGGCTTCCTCCCCAGCTCGCCGTGCTTGGACAGCTGGAGGAAACAGGCGGCTGGCGGGCCAGCTCTCCACTCCAACAACAACAGGCTGCCCGCCCACTGGCGGCCTTGCTGGGGGCCCAGCCTGGAGCCAGAGAGGCCACCCCACTCCACCCCATCACTGGCAAAACATGTTTTCTTGTTTTCTGAAGGGGAGGAGGAGGACTGTACCCATGCTGAGCAAACACAGGCACTGATAAGCATGGACAGGCCTGGCTGCCAGGTGGGGCTGCAGAGGCAGGGCCAGGACCAGGCTGGCCCCGGAGGTCATTCTGACCAGCCTGCCAGGTTCAGAGTCAGGTTGGGGGACAGAAAGCGCCTGCCACTCCAGGGATAAAGCACCCAGCCACAAGCCTTTCAGAGAAAGAGAAGAGACTGCCAGGCCACAGACCTCAGAAGCACAGCAGGCTAGCCTTCAAGAGCTGGAACGCTCTATCAGGTGCCTGCTCCTCAGCCAGTCTCTATGCCAGTCCCTTTGCCAGCTATTAATATCCTTTTCAGTGCTTGTAGAGACCATGAGAAGTAGGGACTGCTGCCCATGGCCTTCTTCAGATAAGGAAACTGAGGTTTAGAGAGGCTGAGTGACTTGTTCAAAGTCACACAGCAATTGGTACCCAGTTGGGATATTAATTTTTATCTGTCTGACCACAAAGTTCATGTGCTTTTTACCATGCCCTGACCAGTCCCAGAGCCCTTTATATTTGTAGGAGTCTTTAGTTTACAAAGCACTTACCAGGTTACTGTATTAGTTTCCTAGAGAGCTGCTGCAGAAACCATCATCAACCTGCCAGAGCTGTATCTCTTATCAAAAAGCTCACAATAGATCAGTTAGGTTAATGTCTTAGTTTGGGATCCCCCCTCCTCCATCCAAAGCAGGTGGTAAGGATTTGAGTGCAAGATGGTTTATTTGGGGGTTGATCCCAGAAAGCCACCATAAAAGAAAAGAGATAGGGAAAGGAGGAAACCAATACAGGGTGAACAGGGATTGCTGTGGACAACTGGGGCTCAGTCCCACTAGGGACATCTTGGAGACAGCACAGAACAAAATTGTCCCCCAGAGATGCCGTCCAAACCATTGTTCCCTTGTTGTGACAGGGGGTTCAACTGTGGCCCATGGACTGGGGGCTTCCTCCCCAGCTTGCCGTGCAGGAAGCTGGAATATTTATCCACCACTCCTACACATCATTGGTTGAGAGCTGTCCCCGGCATCTAAACTCTCTAAGCTTCCAGACTGCTCCATGATTGAGCTGAGCATCTCCTGTATCCAGAGAATGTCCTCAGGCAGAGAAATGCAAGTTGACAGCTGTGCAAGGATGGTCAGTACCAAGGGGGTATGGGTAGGACACTGACAGCCCCTGCTACAGTTGGTAAAGCAGGGAGCATCACCCCCATTTTGTAGATGTAACTCTTGCTCCCCCAGGCCGCACCATCTCCATACCCTGTACACACAGAGACTCTGGCCCCATTGGTCCCTCTTTAGCTCTAAGGAAAAGAATGACCTCTCTCCAAGGGTCACAGCCCCTGCAGCCAACCTCACAGCTCTGAACACCACCAAGAGATTACATCTTGCCGTCCTTGCCGATTCTGACCCTGCCCAGAGAAAGTCCATGTCCTTTGACTCCACTTCACCTCTGTCTTCCATTCCTATCCACGACCTTCCCCTTCAAAAGGCTGGGGCAGTATTTATTTTCCTTTCTTTGGGGGAAGGTCTTAATAGTACTGTCCAGGAAGCAAATAATCAACTCTCAAATACCTTTCAATCATTTCTCTAACTGAGCCCAGGGGCTCTTGTACAAACAAGACCTCTGATGTCCACCAGCTCAGGGCCAGAGTGCTCCATGTATGCCAGAGTGCTAGAATGAGGCCACACCAGGTGTTTCACTGCACAGACGAAGAAAAGCTCTAAAAGCCAAGTGATATGACCAATGCAACACAGCAAGCTATCCTTCGAGTCCAAGTCTTTGGAAAAAAGGCAGGGTGCATCCTGCCCCTGGAGGCTTATAACAGATGCTAGAAAGGGGTGCTTTGCTTTTGCTCTACCATCTGCACGTGTACAGGGATGTGCCAAAGTCGGGGATGGGAGTGGTCAACCCGAGATGTGGGCAATAAGGGGGTGCACTGTCTGTGGTAAATTTAAAAAGAACAATAAAGCTGCCTAAAACTCAGCCAGCTTTTTATTTTCACCATGTGCTGGCAATTCTAGAGGGTATTAGTGATAAAACACCCCCCAAAGGTGGGCTGCTCCCACCAAATACCCAGTGCACTGTTGTACTGTGCTCCTCCTCTCCCTTCCATGACCATGGCAGACATTACCAATAAAGTCTTTCTTTACCACTAAAGTGGGAGGCTGCCTCAAAATCCATCTTCCATGCATTACTTTAAGCAGCTGCACTCTGAGCTGGCATTGGAACTGATCTCTGGCACCTAAGATCCCTGGGACCTAAGGGGCTTCACCCAGGCCCTGTTCCACAGGCTGTTCTCTAACTAGACTCCATCCTGTCAAACTTAACCCAACTCCCCATCCCCACCTCTCTAATTTCACAGTCCTCCCTCATCTTCCCTTACTACCCTCAGCTCTATTTTTGCTCTGTCCTTATCCAACTCCACACCTGCTTCCTGCCCCAGGGCACCTAAGGCCCTGGCCTGAGAATTCAACCCAAAAAGGCTTGGCCTCCGGCCGATCTACCTGTGGGCTGCGCTCTCCCTCTGGCCAGACAGCACAGCCCCACAGGGAGCACTGGAAGGTGACTCCTTGCCTGTGTATTCTACCATCAATGCAACCTTGAACCCACCGGGGAATCCCCTTCAGGGAGACCAGGCCTTCAGTTCTTATTACTATCTGAAGTTACATTACGGATCTACCTATAGGTTTAGTGTCTGTCTCCCTCCATTGGGAAGTAAATTTCAAAAGGGCAGTAACCTGGTGTGTCTTATTCCCCAGTACCTACAACAGTGCCTGGAACATGGTAGTTACTCAATAGCCCTCGGTTGAATGAGGAAGTAAATGAACTTTCAACCCAGATGCACCTGTGGTAGCCCCCACACTCAGGATGGCTCTGCCTCAGGATGTAACCCCTGTAGCAGGCACACCTGCCCTTCACCCCATGTAAAACCTCAGGCCCTTCTGCTGCCCCATCCTCTGCCCATCAGCCACTACTGTGCTCTCCTGCCTTCCCCCTGTGCTCTCACCTGTCCTCTGGTTCCCTGCAGTCTGGGTCTCTCCCCAGTACCTGTCAAACCAATCGGCAGCCCCAACAATGGAAAGACAGGAGGTGGAAGAGCAGAGTATTTGAGGGCAAGGACGCTCAGATCAGACAGGCCAAACCATGTGACTCTGGGCTGGTTACTTAACCTTTTTAAGGTTCAGTGTATCTTCATCAACAAAATGACAAAAGTAATAATACCCATTTCAAGAGTTCTTAAGGGATTAAAGAGGGAGCTAAAATATACCAGATGTGTAGTGAGTATTCAGTAATTTGTACCATTATTCATACTAAGTTAAAAGGCTTTTACAATAGTCCAGAGGAAAACTTCCAACCCACTCAGCCTCCCCCAAGGCTTATAGGGATCCCTGAGAAAAATGTGCAAAACTTAGGCTTGCATAGAACACAGGCTGAAAAACACTGGTCTAACTGCCACCTATTTTGCATTGCATTAATGTCCCTAATTCTTCATCCCTCCCTCTACCCACAGGCTTTGTCCTAACGCTTTGCAGTTTATCTCACTGAAGAGGTAGGGTTTATTTCCTCATCTTTGAATGTGGCCTGGCTTGTGGCCTACTCTGACCAACAAAATGCAGTAGGAGTGACTGGATACCAGTTCTGAGTCTGGGCCCCCAGAGGCCTTGCATATTTATATCTGCTCCCTTGTGCCTCCACCATAGCCAAGAGAACAGGCCTGGGTGAGCCTGAGAGAGAATGAGAGACATGCGGAGCAGAGCAAAGCCATCCTGGTCATCCCAGCCGAGGCAATGTAGACCAGCCAACACCAACCAACCCCCAGACATGTGAATGAGCCCATCCAAGATCAGCAAAGCTGCCTGGCCTGTGAGCCATAAGCCCTTACTGTTGTATAGCACTGAGGTTTTATGGTTCTTACACAGAAAAAGCTGACTGATACACCATCCAGCCAGGTATTGGACCCCATTGTGATCTAGCCTCTCTACCAACAGCTGACCAGCTTCTGCTCATGCAACCTCCACCAACGGGAATCAGATTGCCTTCAGAGGCAGCCTACTCCAAAACTCTGTCTATATTTTGACCTAAAATCTCTCTACTTGTACTTGAAGCCTTGAAACAAACTCCTAGATCCACACAAAAGGAGCCCAGTCTCTCTCTTAGGCCCATCTGTGTGTTCATTTAGAATCCATGCAGAATACTACTGTAGGTGCCCATTCCTGCCTGTGGGGATGGCCTCTCTGAATCCTCCACTGTCCCTTTATCTCTAGGCCATCTGAATCCCCCACTGTCCCTTTATCTCTAGGCCATCATCTCTGGATTCTAAGTCTAGAGCCAAGATCACATACCCCCAACCAGCAGCCAGAAACAGGGAGGAGGAAATATCTTGCTCCTTGTGACCTCCATAGTGAGAGATGGAGCGCTGCTTCCCTCCAGGAATCATATGAGATTCCCTCAAATCAAGGAGGGGGCTTAGGGTGCTGGGCAGGCAAAATTAGGGGACAAGTGTCAACAATAGTCCCTAAGCTCAAAGACCTTACATTTTGGAGTAGAGGTGAGGAGGGACCTTAGAGATCATCTATTTGACATTTTCCAAAGTGTTATTGTAACCACGCTGGAAAATTCCTGTTCAGCATTTTTTTTTTTTTTTTTGAGACAGAGTTTTGCTCTGTCCCCCAGGCTGGAGTGCAGTGGCATGATCTCGGCTCACTGCAACCTCTGCCTCCTGGGTTCAAGCGATTCTCCTGCCTCAACCTCCAGAGTAGCTGGGATTATAGGCGCCCACCACACCTGGCTAATTTTTGTACTTTTAGTAGATACTGTTGGCCAGGCTGGTCTCGAACTCCAGATCTCAAGTGATCTGCCCACCTTAGCCTCCCAAAGTGCTGGGATTACAGGTGTGAGCCACCACACCAGGCCTGGTTCAACTTGCATGTAAGAAAGTTATGAGTTGGTTTTGAGTTTGCCAGGGACCCTCAGGTCACATAACCAGAGCATGCCCAGATGAACCAAGGGTGCAACCACAGGGGGATCCTAAGGGCTCAGTCCGAGGAGTGGGGACTGAATTCAGAAGCTGATGCTGGCCAGGTGCGACGGCTCACGCCTGTAGTCCCAGCACTTTGGGATGCCAAGGAGGGCAGATCACTAGGTCAGGAGATCGAGACCAGCCTGGCTAACATGGTGAAACCCCATCTCTACTAAAAATACAAAAAATTAGCTGGGCATGGTGGTGGGTGCCTGTAGTCCCAGCTACTTGGGAGGCTGAGGCAGGAGAATGGCGTGAACCCAGGAGGCGGAGGTTGCAGTGAGCTGAGATTGCGCCACTGCACTCCAGCCTGGACGACAGAGCGAGACTCCATCTCAATAAAAAAGAAGCTGATGCTACATGGCAGGGTCCAGTCAGATCACGCCTCCTGACATCACCTCATTGCAAGATCCAAACAGATCACGCCTCATTATCCTAGGCTTATAAAACCTGACTCAGCCCCAGCTCAGGGAGACACTGCTTTGGAAACTACCCCTGGCGTTCTCCTTATTTGTTACATGTAATAAAATCCCCTTGCTAAATCTTTCTTGGTTGTGGTCACTGGGTTGATACCCACCAAGAGACCGAACCCATCCATGGTGTGATGAACATTATCAACAGAACACTATGAGGAGTATGAGAAAGGTTCTGTAGTCAAATAAGTTGCTTGAGAAACACTGGTGAGCTTGGGTTTCTTCATTTATGGACATCTCAGAGTCTTTACTAGGCCAATGTGCACTGTGAACATCTAGAAGAAATCGCCAGCTTTTCCCTGGTTTATTTGGCCATCCAACTCGATTCTTGTGGAGTATTTTGTAGGACTCATGTTCAGCAGATCACACTTAGGCAAACTGATCTAACCTAAACCCCTCATTTTCAGACAGGGAAACTGAGGGACTTTCCTGGCCTCACCAGGTCCCTGGCCTCATGAGAGTCAGCTCGGGACTCAAGGAAGGGACCAGTTCCCAGAAAGAGGAAGCAAAGATGGATGTAGGGACCTGGGCCAAGGAAACTGCTCAGGCAGTTTCCAATTCCTGGTCTGGTGCTGCCTTCCCTGTTCTGTCTGCTGACATGAGCTCACCGCCAGGTGCAGCTGAACAATGCACACTCTCTATGCCTTCAGGTCTCACTTCCACCTTCAGGAAACCCCTTCCGGGAAAGAGGGGAAAACATCATGAGCTGCACCAGGCAACTCAGCCCTGCTCCCCAGCTGCCTCCACAGCCAGAGGGCAGGGGCAGGACACTCCGTAATCAGCAGGTGCCAGGGCCTGGTTGTGAAGCAGGGATGCCGGAGTCCAGGCCCGGATCTGCCACATGGCTGTGTGACCTTGAGAAACAATAGTTAATTCTCTGAGCCTCAGTTTCTTCAGCTGAAAAAGAAAACACTGACCAGTTGAGACATTTCAAATGAAAGTATCCAGCAAAGTGTAAAGGATTCTGCAAATGTGAAGAGTTATTGTTACATTGGACATCAGATATGAAACAAACCTTCCTCTTTTTCCTAATGAGAGATCCTGAAAAAAGATTTCTCAGATGGGTCACAGTAACCCTGGGGGCTTCCCTAAAAGGAGGTGTCTCCTATTTGGTTTAGTTTGGCAGGGCTGTGATCTGCCAAGCAACAAACAAAACAGCATAACACTGAAGTGTTTATTCTAGAAATATTCACTGAGTGCTGCTATTGTGCCAGAACTTTGCTTATAGTCTCACACACATGCACACACACACTACACACAAATATACACACACACACACCATATCAGCTTGCACCTTCATCTCCACACCCTTTCTCTGATGGTCCAGGCTGCCTAGAATGTGCTGCCCTCTCTTCACCTGGTGAATTTCTATTCATCCTTCTCAATTCAGCTGAGGCATCACTTCCTCAGGGAAGTCTGCCCAGCCTCTCCTCCCTCCAGGCTAAGTTGGGTGCCTCCTTTGTGCTGCAACCATGTAGACTGCCATCACTGATCCTCCTATCCCAGAGTGACTCTTACCTGTTTGTACACCTGTCCCCTCTAATAGATTGTGAATGACTTGAAGGCGATGACCCTTGAGCCCAGCCTGGCTCATACAGGTTGATTGAATGAATATGTGACCCAGCTTTCAGCTCTCCCTGTTGAGGGAAGCCTCAGATTTTGCCTCCTGCCAATCCTTGAGCCAAGATTCCACATGTCTTCATATGTCCCCCCAAGAAAATCCATATCCCAAAGCACCTGAGCACTGAAGGTTTTGTAAGGAAGTCAGAGGTGATGCACACCCCACAGCAAAGCCCCCCAATACTCAGCAGACACGTGTATTCCCCAGTCTCCTTCCTATCAGCAGTAGTCCTTGGTGGAAGACAGAATGAGGCCCCCACCCCCAAGATGTCCATGTCTTAAACCCAGAATCTATGAATATGTTAGGTTACATGGCAAAATGGAATTAAGGCTGCAGATGGAATTAAGGTTGTTAATCAGCTGACATTAAGACAGGGAGTTTATCCTGGATTATCAAGGGAGTCAGTAAAAGCACAAGAGGAGGCCAGGCTTGGTGGCTCACATCTGTAATCCCAGCACTTTGGGAGGCCAAGGTGGGCAGATCACTTGAACGCAGGAGTTTGAGACCAGCCTGGGCAACATGATGAAACCCCGTCTCTATAAAAAATATAAAAATTAGCCAGGCATGGTGGCACATACCTGTAGTTCAGGCTACTTGGGAGGCTGAGGTGAGAGGATCGCTTGAGCCCAGCAGGTGGAGGTTGCAGTGAGCTGAGATGGCACCACTGCACTCCAGCCTGGGCAGCAGAGTGAGTGTCTCAAGAAAAAAAAAAAAAAGTGCAAGAGGAAGGCAGAAATGGAGGTCAGAGTAAGGTGATGTCACTTGAGCTGGCTTAAAGATGGTGGAAAGGAGCCATGTGCCAAGGAATGTGTGTGGCCTCTACAAGCTAGAATGGGTAAGAAAACAGTTTCTCCCCTAAAGCCTGAAGAAAGGATGCAGCCTGCTGACACCTGGATTTTAGCTCAGTAAAATCCACTTCAGACTTCTGGCCTCCAGAACTGTCAGATAATAAATTTGTGTTGCCTTAGGCCACCACATTTGTGGTAATTTGTTCAGCAACAATAGGAAACTAATACATCCTCCTTTTTGCCCTTGCCCCATACCATGCCCAGACTCTCCTGTCTCAGACAATTCAGTTCCGGCCCAAAACCTGCAGCACATCTCACTCAGTTAAACAAAAGCCCTGCAGTTGCCCAATCTATCCTCTTTTTTTTTTTTTTTTTTTTTTTTTTTTTGACACAGAGTCTCACTTTGTTGCCCAGGCTGCAGTGCAGTGGCACAATCATAGCTCACTGCAGCCTCAAACTCCTGGGCTCAAGGGATCCTCCCACCTCAGCCTCTCAAAGTGCTGAGATTATAGACATGTGACATGGCACCTGGCTTACCCTCTTTATTTATTTTATTTATTTATCTTTTCTTATTTTTTGAGATGGAGTATCGCTCTGTTGCCCAGGCTAGAGTGCAGTGGTGCCATCTTGGCTCACTGCAACCTCTGCCTCCCAGGTTCGAGTGACTCCCCGCCTCAGCCTCCCGAATAGCTGGGATTACAGGCATGTGTCACCATGCTCGGCTGATTTTTGTATTTTTAGTGGAAGGAGGTTTCATCATGTTGGCCAGGCTGGTCTCAAACTCCTGACCTCAAGTGATCCACCCGCCTCGGCCTCCCAAAGTGCTGGGATTACAGGCGTGAACCACCGCGCCCAGCCTACCCTCTTTAAATAAAGAGTTCAGCAACCATTTGTTGTTACTCAAGGATATATCCCTTGACAAGAGGGCTTACCCCCTAGCAACTAGTCAAAGCATCCTTCCCAAGCAGATAGTGTGCTCCCTGAGGGAAGTACTGGTAAATGCAATTTTCTCCATCTTATCACTTGTGAAATAAGAACACAACTAATATGTGGGAGTACCTGCAGTGGGCCAGGAACTATTCTTAGTGCTTTACATGTATTAACTTGTTTCATCCTCCCAACAACTCAGTGCAGCAGGTACTGGTATCATCCCCACTTTATAGTAGAGGAAACTGAGACACAAGGAGTTCAAACAACTTGCTCAAGGTCACACAGCTGAGATTATATAATTCAGGCAGTCTGACTCCAGAGTCTGGGCTTTTAATCATCACAGTATAATCTTCCAGTATACAAGTAAATGAATAAATGACATAAACATGGATGCAGGTGTGGACGATACCTATGTGTGCAGATGCTGAGAAACAGTCATTAAGACAGGTCACCTGTGCTTATAATCCCAGCACTCTGGGAGACTGAGGCAGGAGGATGTGCTTAAGCTCAGGAGTTTTAGACCAGCCTGGGCAACATAGCAAGACCCCATCTCTAAAAAAATTTTAAAAATTAACTGGCCATGGTGGCATGTGCCTGTGGTCCCAGCTACTTGGGAAGCTGAGGTGGGAGAATGGCTTGAACCCAGAAGATCAAGAATGCAGTGAGCCATGATCACACCACTGCACTCCAGCATGGACAACAGAGCAAGTACCTGTCTCAAATAACAACAACAACAAAAAAAGACAGGGCACCTACCCTCAAGTTTCTCACAGTCCACCTGGGGAAGCAGGAGCGAACTGCATCCGCAACCACACAGAGCTCGGAGAGTTTTCCTGCACAGAGCTCCGGAAGCAAAGGGAAAGGGCATCTAAATTGGACTGAGTGATGGGTCAGAGAAAGCTTTCTGGAAGAGGTGTCACTGAGCTGAGTTTTATAGGGTACATAGGTGATCACTGAGTGAAATGCAGCAAGGCATTGGGTCAAAAGACCCTGAGGCCTAAGGGAGAAATACAGGGACAGGACAGGAACACGGAGAGACAGAGAAACACTGACTACAAATGGTAGAGGCAGAGAAAAAGCTACAGAGAAAGAGGCAGAAAAATAGCTGATTGTGTCGTGACTGGCTGCTCCCGGCCCAACCTCCCTCCAGTCCTGGGACAGAAAATAGCCTGGCTGACCCATAGTGTGCAAAGCATTTCCTGTGCAGCCCTGGGGACCCCTGAGCTGTACTTTCTCAGGGGTGGGGCTGGCTGGAGTCTGGGTGTGAGGGCAGAGGAGGAGGGGTCAAGCAGTCCTGGGCCTGGATGAATTCTCCAGAATGAGAGTGGCTGAAGATGGGAAGGTGCTGGTATGCGTATGTCAGGGTCCGTGTCTGCATATGGGTGTGCGTGTGCCCTTGTCCATGCCCATGTGGGCAACTGCACCTTGACTCAGCCATGTGGCTAATCCTGGGTTTCCATGTGTCTCTCCATGGGCACTGAAGGCTGGACAGGCACAGCAGGGCACAGTGGCCACCTCCCTATCTTGGGTACTCAGGCAAATGGCAGCTATGAGCCTTCTTGAGGTTACAAGCCACCTCCTCTGGGAAGCTGCCAGCTTCAGTGTTCCTGAATCTGCTTCCACTTCACTCCTTATAGCCTGCCTGGTCCCCAAAGACACCATCTCCATGTATCCCTTTATGGGTCAATGACCTGGTCCCAACTTTTACTGGGGACTGAATGATCCAGAAAGAACTTTCTCTGGGGGCCGTTCCTGGGGAACAGGGGGAGGGGTTGGGGGACAGTTAGGCCTGGCTCCCAGAACCCAGAACATCTCACTGGGGAGGACACCTCCTTTCAGGAAGCTCTCACACTTCCCAAGTGACTTCTCAATGACTTCAGCCTAGTCCTTTTCCCCTGCCCCCTTGTGGAGTCCCTGTCCCCACCCCTGAGCCTCCGCCAAGGTTGCTTTTTTTTTTTTGAGACAGAGTCTCCCTCTGTCACCCAGGCTGGAATCCAGTGGTGCAATCTCGGCTCACTGCAACCTCCACCTCCCGGGTTCAAGCATTTCTCCTGCCTCAGCCTCCTGAGTAGCTGGGATTACAGGCACGCACCACCATCCCCAACTAGTTTTTGTACTTTTAGTAGAAATGGGGGTTTCACCCTGTTGGCCAGGCTGGTCTTGAACTCCTGACCTCAAGTGATCCACCCACCTCGGCCTCCCAAAGTGCTGGGATTACAGGCTCTCACAAAGTGCCGGCCCCCAAGGTTGCTTTTTAGATTAACTATCTTTAAACCAGCTCTCCCCATCCTGTCTTTATGCAGTTTGTTATTTTACCCTCTACTCCTGTTAGATTTTTCTCATTCCAACATACGGAGGTGGCTTTGAATCTAGAGCACAGGTCGTTCCTATTCAATGGACCTGCTTTCAGAAGCATCCTAGCAGCAGCTGAGTGACCACCAACAGGGCTGCTGCAGAAGGACTCCTGCCCAGAAGGGAAGCTGGGCTTTCATCTGCAGCAGGGTAGACACACCTGCTGCAGGGGTAGTCCAGGTGAAACACAGGTTTTCAGGATGCCCAAAATGTACATTCTTGGGCTGGGCACGGTGGCTCACGCCTGTAATCCCAGCACTTTGGGAGGCCAAGGCGGGTGGATCGCTTGAAGTCAGGAGTTCGAGACTGGCCTGGCCAACATGGTGAAACCCCATCTCTTCTAAAAATACAAAAATTAGCCAGGCATGGTGGCAGGCACTGTAATCCTAGCTACTTGGGAGGCTGAGGAAGGAGAATCGCTTGAACCCGGGAGGTGGAGGTTGCCGTGAGCTGAGATCGCACCACTGCACTACAGCCTGGGCGACAGAGCAAGACTTCACCTCAAAAAAAAAAAAGTACATTCTCTTGCTCCCCTCCTATGTGGGAGGTCCCCTGCCCACATCTCAGCCAGGATTACCTCTCCATGACCTTTAGTCTCATACCCTGGCCCAACTAACCACCAGCTAGGATCTTTGATTCTACCACATTTGGACCCATGGAGCTCCCCTGAAAAGCCCGTAGAAGCTGGATGAATGCCAGCTTCATTGGCCAAGCCATGCCAGGTCTTCCTGGCCTTCAGGCCCTGCTCCCCTGCTCAGGCCCTGAAGCAGGCCCTGCTCCCCTGCTCCCCTGGTTTCCCAGCAGCTGCACAAATAAGAGGTGCTAGCATCCCAGCCTTCCCAATAAGAGAGCAATGAGTTTGTGAACCGAGGAAATGGAACTAACATTTGTTGAGCACATATCCTGTATCTCCCTTAATCCACACAACAATCCTACTAAAAGGACACTGTAATTCTAGTGAAGAAGGGCTTTCTAGATATGGCAAGTCAGGATTCAAAGCCAGGTATATCTGATATGTGGAAAGGCCAGCGTCCACTCCTCCCAGCATATATTTATAAGGGGAAGGTCTGATATGGAAGGAGTGTGCAGGGGGCAGGCCTCTGGATGAAGCCAGGGCAAGATGACCCTTCCCTGGCCCAGCTCCTAGGACCAGGGCAGAACCTCAGGAAGAGAGAGGGGATCTTCTGGCAGAAACCAAAGAACTTTCTTTCCTGGGGGATTTTGTGAGAGAAGCCTCACAAGCTGCACTGCTTTGGGGGCCAGTGACAAGGTATGATCTGGATGTGGTGAAAGGAACCTTCTCCCACCTTCTTCATGGAGCTTCAAATGGCTCCAGTTGAATAAGGACCAGTGGAAATATGGTGCCACCTGGAACCCGGGCTGTCTGCAAGTTTGAGGGGACCAGGACAGCACTGGACACAGATGGAGTAAGGACTCCTCCAGGGGCCCTGCAGCCCTTCTGTGGCTTGCAAGCCAGGGCCAGTCATGAACCAGCAGGCTGTGAGCACATGAGAGATAGCCCGGGGTCTCTCTGAGTAGGTAGAAGTCTGGGGTCCTAGAAATGGGGGGGAATATGAGGCAGAAAAAGTAGAACATTAAAGCCAGTGTGATTTCATTTGAATCCACAGATTGATGAGGTCAGGGAAACACATCTCGTGCACTTTTAGAGATGGGATCAGAAAGGCCAAGTCACTTGTGGGGGTGGAGCTAATGCCAAGCCTTGGTCTCCCTGGCTCTACAGCCATGTACTTTCCAATACACCGGGCTAGCTGGGCCACTCTTAACACCCATTTCCAGACCACAATCCTAGGAATCCTCTTAGCTATCCTCACCTCAGTTCCATTTTTAAGGCTAGTGCACTTCTAAGAAATCACTGGCTAGGCGTAGTGGCTCACGCCTGTAATCCCAGCACTTTGGGAGGCCGAGGCGGGTGGATCACAAGGCCAGGAGTTTGAGACCAGCCTGACCAACATGATGAAACCCCATCTCTACTAAAAATACAAAAATTAGCCGCGTGGTGGCAGGTGCCTGTAATCTCAGCTACTGAGGAGGCTAAGGCAGGAGAATTGCTTGAACCCAGGAGGCAGAGATTGCAGTGAGCCAAGATCGCACCACTTGCACTCCAGCCTGGGCAACAGAGGGAGATTCCGAAAGAAAGAAAGAAAAGAAAGGAGAGAGAGAGAGAGAGGGAGAGAGAGAGAGAGAGAGAGGGAGAGAGAGAGACAGAGAGAGAGAGGGAGGGAGGGAGGAAGGGAGGGAGAGAGAGAGAGAGAGAGAGAAAGAAAGGAGGGAGGGAGGGAGGGAGGAAGAAAGAAAAGAGAAGAGGAGAGAAGATTAGAGAAGAGAAGAGAAAAGAAGAGAAGAGAAGAGAAATGAAAAGAAGAAAAGAAAAGAGAAGAGAAGAGAGGAAAAGAAAAGAAAAGAAATCACCAAAGCAGAGAAGGCCGGGACCATCCCTGCAAACCCCTGCTCTGCTCAAGAGGAGTTGTCACACCTGTTCCTTCTTGAAACGTCATCTGAGGAACCATGTGCCTTCTCTGGGAACTGTGACCCCATCCACAGGCCACTGCAGAAGCTGCCTCGTCTTACCTAACACGTCTTCTTCCCAGAAACTATTTAGTAGTCAAGGGACACAAGTACCTGTGTGTCCCTTCTTTAGGATTTTTGGATTTAGAAACCAAATTTGATAGTCAGCCCTCTCCTGTGACTGACAGAACCTGGAACACAGAAGGCCTGAGGGCTATCAGTGGCCCTGTTTTCCTCCACATGGAAGAAATAGGTCTGCCATGAGAGGCTGGGGCCACCCCAGAGAGAGATGCGGAGGTGAGGGGCAGGGAGATAGTACTGGGGAATCTCGTGTCTGTCGCCGAAGCTGCCCTGGGAACTAGTAAGGTCTTTTTGCCTGAACGAGTTGGATTTTGGTCACTTGACTAAAGCCCTGTCCAGCCCCCACATGCCCTTTCCCATCCTTCCCAAGATAGGAAGGACAAAGGGCAGCAGCGCCAGGGAAAAGAAAAGCCTGGAAGGCAGGGAGGTAGAGGGAGGCACCCGTTAGACTGTCCCCTGGGTTTCCTCCGACAAGGGCATCGGCAGTGACATTGTTTGTTTCTGGGATTGAGATCCCTCCCCGGATACCACCACCCCTTGGCTGGCAGTCGGGTGAGGCAGAGGTAAGAATTGGTGGTGGGGCAGTTGCCAGTGTCTTTGGAAACCTGGTGCCTGTGGACCACCTTTCTCACACAACTTCACACGGGCAGGGAGGGAAAGAGGAAGAGATCAGATAGGGGACAAGAGAACAGCTTATTCTGTGCTAGAGAACAAGAGAGTGACCCCAGGCTTGAATGAAAAGGGCTAGGAGACTTCAGAAGCAACCTGGATGGTTGATCACTACTCAGACACCCCAGTGTGGCCTTGTGCGGCCATTTCTCTTTTCTTTGCCTCAAGATCTACAACTCTGAAACGAGCAATGGGAGCAGAACATACTCTGGGCTACAGACCCTGATCCCTCCCAAGTTTGGGGAAAACTTGGCCTCACACGTGATCCCAGATAGGCTCCTAACCTTGGCACCTGCCAAGCTCCTATGAACTCTAATTGCTGTGACGTCTGGGAACCCCCCCATGGTAGGCCAGCCTACAGGGCCTTCCTAGACCTGTCCAACAGCCATGGCCTCAGGTGCCAGGCTTGCTGAGCCTCCACTGTTGGTACAGCTGATGGGAAAGGACAGGAAGCTGGGACGTGGGCAGGGAGGGTGAGTTACTCCAAATACAAGATCCAGCCCAATGCTGGTATCTTGAGGCCAGTTTGATGTGCAGAGCAGACAGATTTCAGAATTGGGGTTTCAGGAAACAGACATGTTCAGAGCAGGAGCCCAGTCCAGAGCTTAGGAGTACAGACACCCAGCCCCATTCCTCCAAGGGGAGCAGAGGGGGATGCTGACAAGGCTAGTCAGAGTGTCAGGAAGCAAAGCAGGGCTGATAAACTGTATAAACTGGGAATATGCAGCTGAGGTTGGATGGCTTTGGTCCAGGGGTGCCCAGGACTCATGCACACCAGGCTGTTGGCAACAAAGCTAATAATTCCAGAGCCCAGCAGCCCACGAAGGCTCAGGGAGCAGCCTGGTTAAGAGTGGTAGGATCGGTGCCTGCAGCAGAGGAGGGAGAGACTACGAGCCACATGCCACAACTACAATCTATGCTTGGGGGATGAGTCTGTCATTGACATCAGGGCAAGGCCATATGATTGTCTATGGTTTCTGTGACAAGGATGGGAGACAAAGGGAAGAGTCTAGAGTGGCAGGTATTGGTATAAAGAGTCCTAGGGCAGTTGTGGCTTCCCTGGGCCTAAGCCGTCACAATTCACACCTGTATAGGGGCCATAGAACACAAGGCAAACTCTGTTAGTCAGTAAGGCCTGGCCATGACCCATCCGTGGAGCACAGGGCCTGCTTGGGCAGCTTTCTCAGTCCAGCCCCAGAGGTTCCTGGCATTTGAGTGTTAGACCAAGTGTGCACTGGATTAACTCTACCAATGGAAGAAGAGAACCAACATCAAGAGTCCAAACCCCATGGACGCTTCAAATAGTAGAGGGATACTATTTTACTCAGTTCTCAGCCAACCAAATCCTTTTTCCTCATTAATTTATTTCCTTCTGCTTATCAGGTTCCATGGTTATATCACACCCTCTCACTCAGCACTATCCAATAGGACATTCTGCAATGATAGAAATGTCTGTCCCCACTGTCTAATACAATAGCCACTAGCCACGTGTGGCTAGTGAGGAGCTAATTTTTCATTTTTGTTCATTTTACTTTAAATAGTCACATGTGGCTAATGGCTACCACAATGAACAGAGGCCTGGTTCTCCTGTGCTGTAGGGCAGTAGGATCCTCAAGTCCAAACACTTAACTATATCTGTACACCAGCAATGATTAGAAAGGGATCTCTGCTCAGGGTAGGGCTGAGTGACAGAGAAAAGAGGAGAAGGGAAAGAAATGGAAGGAAAACGTGACTAGGTGAGGAGCATGTGCATTACCTTATTTTATCTTCACAGAGACCTGCAAAGTAAATATGATTAAGCTCAGATTATAAGTAAAGAGACAGAGACTCAAAGAAGTCAAATAACTTTCCCTGTCACACCATTAGTTAGGGCCAGAGTCAAGATCTGAACCCAAGTGTCTGCCTCCAAAGTCCATGGTTTTCCACCTATCAGACAGCTGAGAAAGAGAGTGGCCTCTTCCTGGCACCGGTGGGTCTCAGAGTTGAGCAGGTCAAATTCATGGGCTGCTAGACAGTTCTCTAACTCATCTCCTCCAGAGCAGGTCTGCCCTGTTACAACTGCATTGATGTGAACTTCCAGAAATCAGACACACCCAGATTCACACATAAGGCCAAAGGCACATGGCCAGAAAAAATGATCTGTGACTGTGCCATCCATTAGTGCAGATAATTAACGGTCTATTTGATCGTCTTGGCATTAAAAAAAAGGCAGAAGTAATGCTTTGTTTGGGCTGATATTAAAATATCTCTTCATACCCCTGCACTCACTAATTCACTTGCTCACTGGCAGACCAGGCAGTAGGGTCAGAAGTGAACTAGAAGGGAAGGAGATGAGGATGGAGAAGGAACTCATATTTCTTAGACATCTAATAAGTGCCAAGTATCAAGCTAAAGACTTCAACAGATTATTTCAAGCAATGATCATCCCTATGAGTCAGTTCTTACTGTCCTCACTTCACAGGAGCAGGACTAAAGCTCAGAGGGGTAGGGTGGTATATGCGCAAAGTTGCACCATTGATAGCAGTGAGGTATGACTTCGAAATCTAGGTCTGCCTGACTCCAAGCCCATGCTATGTCACACTGGCCAATGGCAGAGATCTAGAAAGCCCATCACTGCTAATAAAGTGATGGACCTCCTTTCCAGCTCACTCCGGTATCATGCCTAAAGCCAGGCTTCTGTGTAGCCATCTCATCTCCCAGAAGTTCAGGCTCCCATGAGCAGGAGAGGACCCAACCCCCAACCCCATTGTGCAACCAATGACAATGAGAGCCAGGCGTCCCCTTTCTTACCCACCACTTTCCTCCCCACACCATGGGGTGCTGCCAGTTCAGCACAATAGTGTATTCTGTGTCCAAAAGCCTCTGCTGGCAGCCCCTAGTCTTTTGCAGCCCCTCCAGACAATGGCAGAGCCCAAAAGGCCTGATAGCCGGTGACAAATGTATGTGAATGACCAGCTCACAGGAAGTGGCCTTCAATAGTCCGATAGCTTCCTGTATCCTGACATTGTGAAGGCCCACTTCCTGTGCTGTCTCTGAAAATACAGCAAGTCAAAGCTGGGGGTGGGTCCAGAGGCAGGGTTTCCCTGTCTACCCCCTAGCCCAGGCTCCCCTATAAAACGCAACTCTGTTTGCCTA
This sequence comes from Homo sapiens, assembly GCF_000001405.40. NCBI lineage: Eukaryota > Metazoa > Chordata > Mammalia > Primates > Hominidae > Homo > Homo sapiens. The sequence goes on from NC_000001.11 coordinate 34,843,362, forward strand.
AGGATGCCACCAGCCAGTCTCACCTGACTTCTGATTCAAGGGTGAATTCCTGGCTGGTCTCTGACCTGTCCCTTCACCTCTTAACCAAACCCCACCCAAGCCCAGTCAGAACAAAATGACCTATTTTTAAAGATTTTACAGGCTTCCTCAGTCTCACCCCCGACCCCCCCTTTCAAGTTCCCAGGCCTTCTCCTGCTGGGAAAGGCTTTCTCATGTCTACTCACATACCTTTGCTGCATACTAAACCCATTTCCGCGTGTCCGCCGGTCACTCTGCCCTGAATGATAACCTTCGATAGGTTTACAAATGCTCATTAAGTCACCCTTCAAGTTTATCTTCCCGGAGCCGATAATCACAATGCCTTCAGCTTCCTCCGTGTTACAAAAAGCAAAGCGAAGCAAGACAGCTGGGGAAGCAGGGAGGCCTCCTTTATCTCTGGCTCCAGCTGGACTCAGGAAAGGCTCTCCCAGGTTGTGCCTCCCCACAGCACCTTGCCTCCCAGCACAAGCTGGCCCAAAAGATCAAGCGCACCTGCCAATTACCAGGAAAGCAGGGGCAAGAGGGAGAACTGATGTCTTCTATGGAATGAGGCACTATGCTAAGAGCTTTCCCCTCAATTACTTGGTGAAGGAGGTAGTAAATCCCTATATTAAAGACTAGGACGCAGAGAAGCTAAGTGACTTTGCCCACGGTCTCACAGCTAGTGAGGGGGGAGCCATGTGACCCACAGCCTAGTAAGAGGAAGCCCATAGTACCCACAGCCTTGCTTGGCACTGGGAAATGGTTTGGATATGGGGGAATGGGGAGATTACCGTTTGCTCCCTCCTCTCACACCTCCTCTCAGGACCCTCATATCTCACACATGGAAAGTCATCTCCCAACTTCCTAGCATGGGAGAAACAGTGCTGGAGAGGAGCAGGTGGCTGCACCCAGTCCCGCCAGCAGCCTGTCTCTGAGCATTGTTCTCCACGGTCAACAATGACGGCACTGAATTAGCCTCAGGCCATTGTGGTTGCTGGGGTAGGAGACGTAGTGGGGGTGGGGGATACAGGTCAAGAGGTGACAACCCATTCATTCCCTCCTAGTCATTGGAGATCTGAGAGCTGCAGCCCAGTCAGTCAGGAGCCCTGAGCCCAGTGTGTCCAGGAATCAGGGAAAACAAAGAGGTCTCTGGAGATGAAAGGAAAGAGGAGGGGAGGAAGCCCCCACTGACTTTCCCACCCTCCACCCTCCACTGTCCAAGGGGAAGAAAGGCCAAGGGCACAGTGAAGCTGGGAGGAACAGCCAGCTTCACTGGAAGTAGACCAGAGCTCCAAAGCCTGCAGACCTAGGCTTCGCTCCCAGCACAACCACTCGCTCAACGTGCGATTCAGTTACTTAGCCCCTGAGTCTCAGTTTCCCTATCTATAAAATGGAGAAAACAACCCCTGCTTTGCAGGGCTCTTGAGAGGATTAAATGAGATATCAGAGGCATCCGGCACAACACTCAGCCTAAAGGAGCTCAGTGAGCACAGTTTTCCTTCTCTTCTTTTCTGGGATTTGTCTGCCTTGGGTTCCCAAGACTAATGAAGTCCACAGGAAAAGCAGGGTGGCTGCCTTCTAGCCCTTTTCCAAGAAGCCAGGGAACCTCTGCAATCCTAGGACTCTGTGGACCTGGCTGGGCAGAAGGCAGCAGGCAGCTGGACCTAAAGCATCCATCCTTCCTGCCCCTCCAATGCTGGCTTCTGGGCCTGGGGGGACAAGAGGCCGTGAAAGACCCAGAACTACTGACCCCAGAGGGAGATGTAGGATGCTGGGGGAGGGCAGTGCACCATCAGAGGACCCTGAGATGATCTCTAGCCCACCTAATGGGGCTGCGTGAAAGACTGATGGGGAGGTGGGCTCCAGGGCCAGGCAAAGCACTTACTTGTCATCTGTGGCCAATTCTGACTTCCAGAAAGTTTCTGAGCCACTTCCCTACCCGCCCTCAGCTTTTATCAGAAAACACATGGCACTCAGAGAGGAAAGTCTTTACTAGAATATCAGCCTAAACCAACTCAGTCAGACAAGTAAATCTCCTGGAAAAAATAATAGAAGTGATGTTTGAACTCTCGGTGCTATTTCTAAACCACTCCCTGCCAGGTGGGGTACATGGAGAGCTGCAGAGCTCAGCTAAAACAAAGGTGGCGATGTTACCCCCTTCAAAGTCACTGCTCATGGGGAGAGCCTGGGTCACAGCCTAGAGGCGGAAGGGAGTCGAGGCTCTGATAAGGCAGGGGAAGGACAGGACAGTGCCTGGGGCCTGCTGACTGTTCCTTCACCCCAGAGACCACAGGGATAATCAGCTCACAGAGCCTTCCGGCCTCAGGCATTTAGTTCTCACTCTAGGGCCTCTTGTGGGAGAGAGGGACGAGGACCCAACACCAGCCTCTCCCCAGGGTAGGCTGAGCGCCTCCCCATTAAAGGCTTTGGCTGTAGCCGCTCTCCCGTGCAGAGGTTTCCCCGGCGGCAGCGGCCCGCTTCATGCTGCTGCCGTCTGTCTTTCTGTTACTGCTGAAATGTGTCCCCACAAGATTCATATGTTGAAGTCCTAAACTTCATATTTCTTCATAATATGACTGTATTTGGAGATAGGCTTTTAAAGATAAGATTAAGTTAAAATGTGGCCATTAGGGTGGGCCCTAATCTAACCTGATGGTGTCTTTTTAAGAGGAAATTTGGATACACCAGGAGTGCACAGGCACAGAGAGATACCCATGTAAACAGGCAGCAAAAGGGTGCCCACCTGCAAGCCAGAGAGAGAGGCCTCAGGAAAACCCAATCAAGTTGGCACCTTGATCTTGGACTTCCAGCCTCCAGAACTGTGAGAAAATAAGTCTCTGAGGTCGGTGAGCCACTCTGTGGTGTTTCATTATGGCAGCCCTGACAAACTAAGACACTTCCCCTGTCTGGGGGTCATGAACAAGAGTCTGGGGGACCCCCTCCAACACACTCCCAAGAGCCCCAGTAGCCCGGGCAGGGTCCCCTCAGCTCAGCACCACCCTTAGTCAACCCTCAGCTTCTCCAGCCTCCTCCAGAAATCTCTAACTGCCTGAAGGCCAATCAGTGAGCCAACCAAGGCTGTGTGCAGGTTGGGATTGCTACAAGACACCAAGGCAGTCCAGGAAAGGCCTGGGGACTCAGAGCAGGGACAGTGAGACAGGGGCAGAGAAGCAACAAACAGCACAGCCAACAGGCCTCTGGGCTGAGGATCAGGGTACCCTCATGGTTCCCCAGCTGTCGGCCACAGGGCTACTGTAGGCCTCAGTTTCCCCACTACACTCAGGCACCCTCTCTTAGAGCCCAGAGAGAAATCAGGGTCCTAAAGTGTGGCTAAATGCATAGAATGGAAAAAATACTTCTAATCACAACAACCAACTTTTCCTAGTGCTAACTATATGTGAGCCACTGTTCCAGATGCTTTGGTGTGTTTTCCTTGAATCCTTGCAATAACCCCGTAAGTCATACATTAGCCCCATTTGACACAGAAGACACTGAGAAGAAGCTTGCCAAAGGACTGCAGCTGTAAGAGGCAGTGCTGGGCTTTGAATGGGAGCAGTCTAGCTCCAGAGCTGAGCTTCTTGAGGAGAGCAGATTGCAGGGTGGGAGGTGGGGTGGGGTGGGGTCTGAGCCCATCAAGGCCCCAGCATATATCAGTGAGGTGAGAGCCAGCCAAGGACAGGGCTTTAGGGACAATAGCAGCTGAACAATCCACCTTGTCATCAATCAACCAAATTATAAACACACAGGACTCGCATCTGTGGGAAAGACTGTGACCTCCTACCCTCCCGCACGTGGGGAAAACAGCTTGGAGAGGATCAAAGGGGCAGAGGTACCCCAGGAGTTATTCTTTAGTCTGTGTGCTGGGCAAACAAAACTGGGAGGGGGCAGGAAAAGCAGGCTGCAACCTTCATCAGAGGTAAGTCACATGAGCCACCAGCCAGAGGGGCTGTGGCTATGCCCTACGGCCGGCAGGCACCCAAGAGGGTTTCCCCTCATCGTCAACTCAAGCAAACTGCAGGCCAGAAGCTGACCTTGGTTTGGCATGATGACAAGGTGCAAGCTGGGAAAGGGAGGGGGCATGGGGCCGCCACAGGGCCAGCTCTGCTAAGAATCCCATTATCTTGGGGGAGCCATTTCCCACTCGAGGGGCAGAAGAAGAATCAGTGATTTTCTCTCTTTTATTTGAACTCCTTGGGAATGACAGACAAGTGGAAAGAGGGTTTCATATAAATACAAGAAGGCTTATAGTCTGCTTCTTGAGGAGGTGGGGAAACCAGAGCCTTCCCCATCTCTATTTTCAATGCTTACAGGCTTCACCTACCAGCCCACCCCACCCTCTCAGGCATGTGGCTAGAGGGAAGGCATGAAGGGGAAAATGGAGATAAAACAGAGACACTCCAGAAGCAGTGGCTCCCACAGGATCTCCAGGAAGCCATTCTCACCCCTTCCCAGGATTCCTCAAACCAAAGGGTTGGTCCAAGGGTCTGCCGAGAGGCTGCTGGAGAGCTCCACCTGGTAAGTGCATTAAGAGGATCCCTGGGCCTTGCTGGATTCCTTGGAGTTTTCCCATCCATCCTGCTGAGCTGCTCCAGAGCTTTGATCACTACTACACGAAGGGTTTCCTGAATGCTTTCCTGAGGACATTGTTCCCCACTATAGAGTCATCAGGGTCAAATTCATCATGGGCTATCCTGATCCAGGTCCTACCCAGGAGGAAAATGCAGCCTTCTGCCCAAGCCCCAGTCCCCTAGAAAAATAAGTCAGTAGTTTCTTTTGGTTCATCCCATTACCAGCCTTGGGGAAGGTAACGCTGTAGCAAAACACAGCTGCCATTAGCTCTAAGCTGCCAGGCACCTCAAAGCACACACCTGGCGGCCCTGCTCCCTATCCTTCTAAGAGACCTGTCCCCACACCCAGCCCCAGTACCTGCTCCATCCCAGAATCACACTCCAGGACCTCTTAATTCATTCAACATTTATTGACAATGATCATTTGTGAGGTACTCTGCAAGGGGCAGAGGAGTAAGAATTGGTCCCTGCCCTCAAGGAACTCACAGTCTAGGGGGGGATACAGACACACCAATCCCAGTGCCTTATTTAACAACATTCTTGCAGTGGAAGAATGAACACAGGGCTAGAGAAGCAGAGCAGGAAAGACAATCTGTGCTTAGGAAAACTGCAGGTGGCCCCGCATGCTAAATCCTATAGTGTAACTAGGAGTTTACTAGTTACCAGGCAGCCAGTGAGGGAAGTACCAAGGAGGCACGATGTGTAGGGCACATGGAGGTCTCAAAGTTTAAATGGGCATAACATATTCAAGATGTGGCAAAAACTAGGTTCTATCATGGGGAACAATGGGAGATGAAGCTAAGGAGGTGGGCAGGGGCACGATGGTGAAAGAGCTTGCATGACATGCAAGCGCCTTTCATTTGTTTCCTGTAGGCGAGGAGCCAGGAAGGTCTTCAGAAAGAAAATGCTGGCAGAAATGGGGAGAATTTTCAGGAAGAAACCAAAAGCTTAGGCAAGGAATGAAGAGGGCCAAAAGCAGCGGAATAAGGTGGAAAACAAAGGATGGATTTCAGATGTAGAAGTGGCCACCATGGGTGGGTGATGGAATCCATGGGAGGGAGGAGGGGCAAGATCAAAAACAACCTCAACAACAGGACAGAGGGCAGAGACTCTGCCAGACACTGCACTAGGTGTCTTATAAACATAAACACTATGTCAATGTCACCACTCTGTGAAGTAGGCAGAATTAGCCCCATTTTACAGATGATGTTCAGAAAATTTAAATAACTTCTCTAGTCACACAGCTAGATTACAGAGTTAGGCTTCAAACCCAGGTCAACATTTCAACCGTTATATTATATGGTAAATCTAGACAGAGATGGGTGGTATGCTGTTTTGGATAATGATCTAGAATTTAGGGGGAAATTCTGAACTAGAGATATACATTTGAGAGTCATCGCCACTGGGGTGGGTGAAGCCACAGATGAGGCTAAGACTGTCCAGCAAGAAAACAGGCAAGAATGAAGCTGGAAAAGCACTCACATTAGAACAGGAGGGAGCAGGGGCAGGAGAGCTGGAAAAGGAAACTGAGATGTGGTGATGTCAAGGGAGAATCCCATGAAGAGAATGTTGTGTACTGCAAAAAGCGAGAATATGACCAGTATATAAGATCTGCAATTACAAAGGCTTTGAACCAAAATGCCTTGACCACTGTATTGGTGGAGGCAGAGAGCAAGCAGTAAAGAGCAACAAAGGGCACAGGGATGGGGTTGGGAGCCTCGAGGAGTTTGGATTAAAAAAAGATTACCTTGGCCGGGCACGGTGGCTCACACCTATAATCCCAGCACTTTGGGAGGCCAAGGCGGGCAGATCACGAGGTCAGGAGATCGAGACCATCCTGGCTAACGTGGTGAAACCCCGTCTCTACTAAAAAAGTACAAAAAATTAGCCAGGCATGGTGGCGGACGCCTGTAGTCCCAGCTACTCGGGAGGCTGAGGCAGGAGAATGGTGTGAACCCAGGAGGCGGAGCTTACAGTGAGCTGAGATCCTGTCACTGCACTCCAGCCTGGGTGACAAAGCGAGACTCCGTCTCAAAAAAAAAAAAAAAAAAAAAAAAAAAAAAAATTACCTTGAAGTGTTGCAGACTCTGTTGCATCCACAACCCATGAAGGAAGAGGGCCGGGCGAGATGGTTATGCAAATTACTCCAGCTGCACTTAGCAGCTTAGGCTCAGAGAAGGAGAAACGGAATTGCAGCAGGGGTTGGAAGTGAAGAAACTGGGCAGTGAGAGAGGGAATAAGGGCCCTAAGGACTTTGGATTCTTCTACATGGAAAAGGTGCCCTTGCTGGGGCGCTAGTAAAGATTTTTTTAAATCTGAATAATTAGAAGGGCCCATTAGGCATTTTTTAACAAAAAACAAAGCCAGAGTTTACTTTTGTATTATGTAAAAAGGATCTGATTAACACATAATTGATGTTAACAAGTTTAATTCAAAAAGAATAAACTGTTTTTTAAGTACCAGAGGCACTGCTGGAACAGGATGAAAACTGATACACCGGTTACTAATTACTCTTCACTCTTCAAACTGATTCCCCTAAAGACTTCTACTTAGCAAATACTATAAAATACGCTCTGTACAGGAAAGAAATAATAGCACATGTATTTGTATTTTATTATTCAGACTGGCTGCCATCCCAACTAGATAAAGGAGGTTTTACTGGGCTGTAATATCTAGCACTTGCATGTTTTCAGAGCACTCTAAACTGGTTGTCTCACTCTTTTCACACGATCAGCAGGGAACACGTTCCCCATTTTGCAGGGAAACCAAGGCCAGTAGAGGTGAAGCGGCATACCCCAGGTCATCACTCAGATCGCTTGCCTCCAAGTCCAAGGCTCTTTCCCCTCCCAATTCTCCTGATCTGTGACCTCCTGGGCATTCTGGCCAATCTGCTTCCCTCTGACTTTGCAGACTGCACTGATGGAACTACCACTAAGGCAGGTGTGGAGCCTGCAATCTCCTGACCAGCTTGTGCTTCTTGGTTCTTATGCAAGCCAGTTCTCTCTGTGAAATATTTCTAAGCAGCCCTCAACCACCAGGTCTATGAGGGTCCCTGTTGTCCCTCAGCCAAGGCTGCTCTCTCCCCTAGATCCCCACCTCACCAGGGTCACAAGGATACACACAACTATTGCAGGAAACATAGGTTCTTCCTGCAATACAATTAAAGCTGCTAACATTTACTGAGTACCTACTGGTTGTTGTGAGGATGAGGTAATGTATGTAAAGTTTTAGCACAGTCTGTGACAATGTATATAAAGTTCTTAGCGTACTATGCTAAGAACCTTACATAATTACCTCATCCTCACAACAACCCAACAAAAATTCTTACCCCTATTTTACAGGTGAGGATATTGAGGTTCAGAAGGGCTAAGTGACTTGCCCAAGGTCATCCAGTTAATTGTTAAGGCAGTATTCATAACTCGAGCCTGTCAGACTCTAGAATCCACTTTATTTTTCCTCTGCTACACTGCCCTGGCTCCCTACCCTACAAGTGCTTAGAGATCTAAAGCAAAGTAGAAAAGGAAAAGTGAGCAAGACGGAGGGGCTTTTACATTTTCACTGCCTGGCTCCCAACCCAGACTCTGGCAAGGCTAATTCCATGATGTTTCACTCAGCGGCAGTCCCACCAGCCTGGAGCCCTGGGGAGCTGACCAGAGTCAAAAGGCTCCCTGGCAGGCTTGTTCTGGCAGCTGCCCAGCCGACTTGTGCTAACACAGCAACAGGCACAGGAAAGAGTCTAGAAAGAGTGGAAAAGCACCAGACACTGAACCGCTGCAGGGAGAGAAGTGATTCCTGCCGTGCTCGGAGAGGACCCTATACTAAAGCCACCACCATCATTGGGCTGGGAAGAGACGGGGGTAAGCGGGGAGCAAAAAGCCCCAAGCACATCCACTCACTCATGTGTTTCAGTGAACTGTGACTGGAAGGCCAGTCAAAAAGAGGGTCACATGCCTCCAAGGTGAATCAGCAAGCATGGAAGAAAACCGGTCTGCACCTTGGTTCATCCCAGCAACCCTGACCTGTCTATACCCACGTCCACATAAACCTTGCTATCTAATGTCACCCGAGCAGAGGCAAGAGCACATATACTATCTTACAGCCACCGCAACGGCTGATTTCAGCCAGCCTGTGGGAAAGAAAGATCTAGCTGAGAACACTAATAGACTTGCTAGAGGAAGAATTCAGTGACAAAGTGCCCTTGGAAAGGAAAGAAAAGAATTTAAAAGGGGGCACAATCAAAGTGAGACTGGAAGAAGGGAGCCACCTGGATTCCCAAAGATAGGGCTCTCTCGACCAGACACCAAGTGGAGGCCAACGGGTGGTGACAGGGATATTTTAAAAGATCTGAAAATCCAAAAATGTCCATGGGAAATGTGTTTGCTATTATTTCTGTAGGCTTTCCATCCTCACATTTTTCTTAGGTTATTAAGCTGCCTTTGTACAGGATGCCCAAAAGTGTTTTGAGGGAAACCAATTCTGGGATCTAATATTTGTAACAAGTTGTTAGATCGCCAAAAAAAAAAAAAAAAAAAAAACCATAATTATAGGTGTCATCAGAAGGAGGAGGCAGTTTGAGAGGTCACAAATTGGCAGCCACTGGGTCAAATTAACCCCACGGGTATGATAGCATGCTTAGAATTTTGTATAATGAATTATCAACACTTGAAAATCAGAAGGTTACACACACCAAAAAACCCTGAATTTCTAGCATCTCTTCATTTTTTTTTTTTTACCCCCTCTGGAGCTCTTAGAACATCTTTTAGAAAAATTCAAAAATCTGGTACCACTGGATGAGCAGCAGATTGGAAGGTGAGTCACCACTGCCCCCTTTCGGCAGGTCTATACTTTCTGCCAGCGTGGTGGCTCATTTGTCACCTGACCTCTGTCAGCACTAGTGTTTGGTTTAGCCCAGGGAAGTGACTGCAGGCTTGGTAATGCCCAGGACTGCCATAGGGTGGCAGCACTGGTGTGCCGATAAGGCCTGCTCATCAGCCAGAACCTGCAGCCAGAACCAGAAATCTCCTTACTTGGTAGCTGACAGTCTCTTCCCAAGTTCCATCCGATTTGTTCCCTGGGAAGCAACAGCAGCTCATTTCCGCATTCCCACTAGGCCTCAGGGAGCCTTAGAAGAAGCCAACGACTCAACCTGCTCCCTCCTCTCAGGCCACCACCAGGTCCTGGAAGGCACCTCCAGCTGGCACCTCTTCACAGCTGGCCCCTCTAACTGTTCAGGAACTCCACCCTCACCCACCTGTGGACACCATCAGGCCTCACGAGAGAGAACCTAAGAAGCAGGGCCAATACCCACTCCCTTTTAGAGGCAGATCAATTCATCAAATGCTCACTACTGCCCTGTGCTGACTTTAGTTAAACATCAGTAGGCTTCAAGAGGCAACAGCTTCTTATGCTTCTTCCTGCTCTCTGCTTTTACTCCCCTCACAGCCTTACCAGCAACGTCTTCAGTGGTAAGATTTAGTAGAAACTCCTAGAGCCCTTTTGGAAAGACATTTGGTGTTATGCATGAGATCCTCAAAACTGCTCATTTATCCCATTTCATCCAAAATGACATTTACTATTTTTACTGTTTATTCCAAAACGCAGGAAAAGCTTCATATAAGATATTCGTTGCAGTATCTAAACGAGTGACCAACCAGAAACAATTCAAATGTCCAGCAATATGGAAATTGTCCAGGATAAACTTATGTCATACTCCCACTTGATAGACAATTATGTTGCTATTATAAACAACTACAGCCAGGCACGGTGGCTCACGCCTGTAATCCCAGCACTTTAGGAGGCCAAGGCAGGCAGATCACAAGGTCAGAAGTTTGAGACCAGCCTGACCAACATGGTGAAACCCTGTCTCTACTAAAAATACAAAAATTAGCCAGGCGTAGCGGCGCACACCTGTAATCCCAGCTACTCAGGAGGCTGAGGCAGGAGAATCGCTTGAACCCAAGAGGTGGAGGTTGCAGTGAACCAAGATCGCGCCACTGCACTCCAGCCTGGGCAATACAGCGAGACTCCATATTTAAAACAACAACAACAACAACAACAAAAAAAAACTACAGACTGCCAGGCACGGTGCCTCACACCTGTAATCCCAGCACTTTGGGAGGCCGAGGCAGATGGGATCGCTTGAGGTCAGGAGTTCGAGACCAGCCTGGCCAAGATGGTGAAACCCCTGTCTTTACTAAAAACACAAAAACTAGCCAGGCACGATGGCGCACGCCTGTAATCCCAGCTACTTAGGAAGCTGAGGTAGGAGAATCGCTTGAACCCAGGAGGCAGAAGTTGCAGTCAGCCAAGATCACGCCACTGCACTCCAGCCCGGGTGACAGAATGAGAGTCCATCTCCAAAAAAAAAGAAAAAAGAAACTACAGGCCAAGGCCGGAGGATCACTTGAGCCCAGGAGTTTGAGACTAGCCTGGGCAACATAGTGAGACCTGGTTCTACAAAAAAATAAAAAAATTAGCTGGGCATGGTGGCATACTCCTGTAGTCCCATCTACTTGAGGAGCTGAAGTGAGAGGATCACTTGAGCCCAGGAGGTCAAGGTTGCACTGAGCCGTAATTGTACTGCACTCCAGCCTGTGTGACAGAGTGAGACCCTGTCTCCAAAAAACCAATTATGATGACCATGTAAAATGGGAAAATGATAATAGTGAGAAAAGTATATAAAATTAAATGTACAGTAATGATAACTATCTCTAAAACCTATGCAGAGAATTAGTAAAAGACAACAAAATGTTAACGGTTGTTATTAACGAGCTGGGAACATGGGTGACCTTTTTAAAATCCCTACCAAATTTTCTTGAATGTGCGTATATACTTTTATAGGGAAAGGCGTCTATGTGTGTGTATGTGAGGTCTACCTCCATTTAGACTTGAAGGTGCTGCAGCCAATTGTAATAATGGTAAAAAGGTTCCTGGGAATCTGTGCCTCCAGGGTTCAGTGCAACCGCACTAGTAAAGCAGTTTCCAGGGCTCCTTGGCACCCTTTAATACCAATGTTATCCTGCTCTAAAATGCCTGTACTTGCCTAACTCCTAAGAAGACCCCCAAATACCACCTGGATGATAAGATTCGATCATTATGGTTCTCAGATACCACTTTAATCAGGTTTTTCACTATACAGTGATGGGGGTAGAAGATGGTGACTGTTTTCAAGCAAATTCACGAGGCACATGTTCGTCCCTGCCCCAAAGTGAACAGTCTGGGCTTCCCAGAACAGAAAAGTGCTTTCCTTCCTGGGGGAATCCCATTCCTGAGCTGACAAGACAGATTTCAGTAAGAATGAGCACAAAGGATAGGGCAAAATAGTGAAGGGAGCCAGGTGCATATTTGAATTCTTTCCAGTGCAGACTGGAACTAGACATGCAGGTATCCCTCCTAAAGGCAACGCCCAAATCCCAGCCATTCCCACTAGAGGCCAAACCGCCTGCCCACAGAGATTGACAGCCAATGTTCATCTCATAACTCTCCTCCCAGCAGTGCACCAGTAAACTCAGATGCCTGAGTGCTTGTGGCCACCACACAACAGATGCGGCCTTCCTCTTCACTGGCCCCTCGGCTGCTGCTGGGTCTGCCTGGCCATCAAGGAGCAGCCAGTATTTGTGTGGCTGTGTGGTGTGGGAAGGGCCAGAATAAGCAACAAAGCCAATTAGATGTGGGTTCTGGGGCTCTGTCAACATGGTAGCAGGACAAGTCACCACCCACAGTAGGACCATAGGGCCCTGTGTCCTCCATTAATTCTTCTCTGGGCGGTTTCTGTTCAGCACAGCTTTCGGGGCAAATTCTAGCTTGTCCTTAAGGCTCACCACCTGCGTGTGGTCCTTGCCTAGAAGCTCATCCAGCTTGCGATCCTCCCGGCGCTCTGAGATGCTCTTTTCCTCCTCCACGGGCTGGGGGTCCTTTCCCCTGATGAACCATTCCAGGTGGTAACCCACAGCCCCGACCACGAAGGCAACAGGGAATGTGACATAAGGAGCATAGGTACGAACCACGGTCCAAAACACAGGCCACATGACATCTGCGGAAAAGCACAAGGCAGCATTAGAGAACCCAGCATCATCTCCCACCAAATAAGAGCAACCCACTAGAGCTCTCCACTTACCAGGCAGCCTGGCACAATTTTTTTTTTTTTTTGAGACGGAGTCTTGCTCTGTCGCCCAGGCTGGAGTGCAGTGGCACGATCTCAGCTCACCGCACCCTCCACCTCCCAGGTTCAAGCAATTATCTGCCTCAGCCTCCCAAGTAGCTGGGATTACAGCTAATTTCTGTATTTTTTTAGTAGAGACAGGGTTTCACCATGTTGGTCAGGCTGGTCTTGAACTCCTGACCTCGTGATTCACCCACCTCAGCCTCCCAAAGTGCTGGAATTACAGGCGTGAGCCACCACACCTGGCCAGCCTGGCACAATTTACTGAGCACCCACCCCCGTGCAGAGCAATGCGAGAGGTGGATCCCTGAAATAATCTAGGAAATTTCAAAAGATTCCATTGTTAGGGAAGAAGGAAGGATCTCCATTTTACGGACCGTACTCTTTGACAAGTGTGCACCAATATATGACAATGTTCCCCACAAGGGGACCTCTGAGCCTTACCTAATAGAGCTTCAAGCCTATTGTTGACCCCAGGACCTAGTCTGCCAACATTTCAAGAAGGGAAAAAGATGCCTTTCTCTGCTCTATGAAATTTCTCCATGAGCACAGCCGGCCACCTTTTCCCCATGAAACACAATCTACGATGAATCTCCTGGTTTCACAATATGAAAAGTCGTTCCTTTTCCTCATGTAAAGCATAAGGAGCATATTTAAACAGTCAAATACATAATGCATTACCTAATTATTCTGGATTTTAGGTAAATAGATAATGGTTTTATCCTGTTCTGAACCTGGCTTTTCTAACAATGGAACAAACCTATACTTTACAAATCTGCTGACTAAACCATTTTCAAAATATCCTATCTTGGCTAAAGACGGTGGCTCACACCTGTAATTCCAGAACTTTGGGAGGCTTGTAATCCCCATTACTCAGGAGGCTGAGGCAGGAGAATCACTTGAACCTGGGAGGCGGAGGTTGCAGTGAGCTAAGATCAAGCCACTGCACTCCAGCCTGGGCGGCAGAACGAAACTCCGTCTCAAGAAAAAAAAAAAAATCCTATCTTCAACCAAACCCATACCTTCATATTTACATAAAAAGCTCCTGAAAATATCACAAATCATTATACATACTCTGGATACCGCAGAACCTGAAGATTTTCTGTGAAAAATCACTGTACAAGCCCGGGGGGTGGGGTGGGGTGGGGTGGGGCGGGGAGCGGAGTGGAATGGCCTCAGGGCCTCCTGAATTGAAGTAGGGCAATACCAAAGTAATGTAAAAACACACAAATTGGATCACTCTAATGGCCAATTCCATCTCAAATGATTATTACCATTATCAATTATCAAAGATCATTCACAGTTATAATAACACAGCTACCATTTATTGAGCACTTACATGCCAGGCCTTGGGCTAGGTGCTTCATATACACTCACTCTCTTAATCCTCATGTCCACCACGTGAGGTAGATACATAACCCACTATCAGAGGGTTAAGAGACTTGCCCAAAAGTATCCACTAAAAGATCTTTCTGTTTATGCCCCTGTAGGTATTTCTCCAACACTACTATCTCTGATCTAAAGTGAACAATCGAAACCTCACCAAGGATAAGATGATTCTCCCCCTCTCTCTTTGGTTCCAATTCTCTTTGAAGGAATCCCAATGTTCTCTAGACGTAACACTATAAGGCAGCGGTCCCCAATCTATATTTGGCACCAGGGACCAGTTTCGTGGAAGACAATTTTTCCACAGATGGGGGTTGGAGAGGGATGGTTTCGGGATGAAACTGTTCCAGCTCAGATCATCAGGCATTAGATTCTCATAAGGGGCACACAACGTAGATCCCTCACATGCGCAGTTCACAATAGAGTTTGCACTCCTGTGAGAATCTAATGCCGCTGCTGATCTATCAGAAGGTGGAGCTCAGGCGGTAATGCTTGCCAGCTTGCCCACCGCTCACCTCCTGCTGTGCAGCCCAGTTTCTAATGGGCTGAAGACCACCACTGGTCTGTGGCCCAGGGGGTTAAGGACCCCTGCAATAAGGCAGCATCATGAAATTTAAAAAAAAAAAAAAAATTGCAGCATCTCCAAGACTCCCCCGCTTATTGTCTCAGCACCAGGCACTATGATGACAATTTACACACTAATCATCATTTGATCCTCATAACACCTCTATGATGTAGGAATTATTAGCCCAGACTCTTGTGAAGGCCACAAAGGCTCACAGACATTATGTTAACTTATCCAAGATCACTAGAAGTGATAGAGCCACTGATTTTGAACCCAGGCCTCTCCAATTTCAAAGCCTACACTCTTTCTAGTGGGAAGAACACACTGCAGAGGTATACGGTTTCTGTCCAAACCCTGGACTTAGGGAGAGCTTCCTACAGTTTTTTCCCATCAGCCTGGCATTTCATTACCTAGAAGAGCTTTCCTTTTCCCAAACTCTGAGATTGTACTCAGGGATTTATGAAATTCAGAGACATAGTAATAGTTAAAAGAGGCACCTCTGAAGAATCCCAAACCTAATACTTCTCCATTTTACTTCCACCTTTAAAGCAAGTCCTCTGTATAAGTAAATGCTTCCCTAAATAGCAACTGTCCGTTCAGATTTCCAAACCTGTCTTAAAACATATCGCGCATGAGTTCACAACTATCTCTCACATGCAGCATAAAGTCTCTCGCTACCGTCCTGCTCACATTCTAATCATTCCCAAATAAGTCAATTCATTCCTTTATTCGACACTTATAACCACTTACTCTGTGTCAGGCACGATGCTGGCTTACCCTGTCTGCGTTTCTCAAGACACTTTAAGCTCCAAAAGGCTAAGAACCGTGTCTGTCTGGCCCAATTATGCCCTATCCATCCAGGCACCTCTCCTACCCTGCCTGGCAGAGTGCCCAAAAAAGGTCTGCTGAACGAATGAATGACAGCCCAAACTCCCTAGTGTAAAATCACAACATCCTCCACCCACTCTCCCCCAAAAGGTGGCAGGAGCATAACAGATGCCTTTGCTGATTACAAAAACCTAAAGACTCCATCATAGTCGTCCCCAGGCAGGGTATCACAATGAAAGAGGCAAAAGTGTCTGAAAAACACTGTGACGCATATTTCCAGCCCGGCATGGAGGACGTCTGCCAAAAGCATCCGGTAAAGGTCAACTGGGCTGCTGGGAAACCTGCCCCAGTGCGAGGGCCCGGAGGCCCAACGAGGCCAGAAGCCGTAGTCCCAAATTCAAGAACTACTAACAAGGACACAGGAGGCCTGAGAAGGCGGAAGAATTAGCCCTGACAGTCACTAGAGCGCAGTCCAGGAATGGGAGCGCAAGTAAGGCGAAGGTCCATCCAAATGGCTACCCTTCTCCCTTCTGTGAGTCTCCCGGTCCCCTGTCCCTAGCCCACCTCATTCATGGCCTCATCAACGTCCGTCCTCATTGAGGTGCCGAGAAGCCCTGTCTGCGGAGGGCTACCTGGGCTCCCAGACTTGGCACCAGAACACCCGCCAGAGAGGGGAGCTGGCAGATCTGGCCGGGACCGGGGTGGACCCTAGCGATCACTCCTCCCGTAACTCAGAGGTTACTGGCCTGGGCTGACCCGACCTGCTCGCCGGGACCGCGCGCTCACCTGCGGCCCAGCCCACACTCCCCAGTGCGGCCCCCGCTCTCCGCCCGCTCGCCGGGAGCACGGAAGTCGCCGCACCCAGCGGCCCGCGGGACCTTGCCCTGTGACCCTGCCCACTGGCCGCCGGCTCTCTCGGAGCGCAGGGATTGGCTGAACTTCAGCCAAAGGACGGAAGGAAGCTAGGCGTCCGCAACTGGGCCCCACTGCGCTGAAATGGACGTCGCGCCCTCTGTTGGCCGGGAGGTTTCTCAGTGATGTCGCCACGTGTTTTCTGCGTGGAAAAAGTGAAAGATCATCCAGTCATTTTTTTCAACTGATGTTTATTAGGCGTCTTCTAAGACCTAGGTCTGGGCACGCAAAAACAAAAGACATGATCCCTGACCTCAAGAAGCTCTTCTTAGAAGAGTATATTTTAGTGCTTTAAGACCTCTTGGGATCCGGGCTAGCTTTCTAGTGACCTTGGGAACATTATTAACCTGTCTGAGCCTCCCTTCCCCTTCTGTGTAGAGGTAATAACACCCATTTCGCAAGGATGGTGTGAGGGTTGGAAGAGATAATATTTGTAAAGTACTGTGGCAGGCACACAGCCAGCAGGGAAATAAATGTGGCTATTGTTAGTGTAAAAATAATTCAAATATAGTAAAACCTAAGTCTTACATGACCTCTTGGGTACAAGTATTCACTTCCTCCTCTGTGTCCCCACTGTACCCTATACAGACATCAATTTTATCATATACAGAAAAGTCCCAAAGCTCAAGCTTGTTAATGCTCCCACAAGGCCCTTCCCACCCTCATCCCACTAATCTCAGCCTGCATATTTATTTTGCTCGCACATACTAAACCCGGCAGACCACACTGTTTCACACCTCAGTGCCTTATTGATGCTTTTTCATCTACCTTCCCACCTTTTTTGTTGTTGTTGTTCAATTTCACTCTTGTTGCCTGGGCTGGAGTGCAATGGCGTGATCTCGGCTCACCGCAACCTCCGCCTCCCAGGTTCAAGTGATTCCCCTGCCTCAGCCTCCTGAGTAGCTGGGATCACAGGCATGCACCACCACGCCCGGCTAATTTTGTATTTTTAATAGAGAAGGGGTTTCTCCATGTTGGGGAAGCTGGTCTCGAACTCCCGACCTCAGGTGATCTGCCCGCATCGGCCTCCCAAAGTGCTGGGATTACAGGCGTGAGCCACTGCGCCTGGCCGCTTTTTTTTTTTTTTTTAACAGGACTCTCGCTCTGTTGCCCAGGCTAGAGTGCAGTGGCACAATCATAGCTCACTGCAGCCTCAACCTCCTGGGCTCAAGTGATCCTCCCACTTCAGCCTTCCGAGTAGCTGGGACCACAGATGCACACCACCAGGCCTGGCTAATTTTTGTACTTTTTGTAGAGACTGGGTTTCACCATGTTGCTAGGGCTGGTCTCGAACTCCTGAGCTCAAGCAATCCGCCCGCCTCAGCCTCCCAAAGTGCTGGGATTACAGGCATGAGCCACCGTGCCTGGCCATGTAGTGCCCTTCCCACCTTTCTTTACTATGCCAGATTGTGCTCTGGCACAATTTTCAAGCTTAAGGGTCACCTCCAGAGGAAGCCTCATACATAGACTGCTTATCACATTAGACACCCTTCCTCTATTATCTCAAACAGCTCAAAGCTAAGCTCTGGCAGTGAAGATGGAGAAAAGGGAACAGTATTGTAGGGGCCAAGGTTCACTGAAAATCAACTGACAAAAGGCAGATTAATAGGAGAAAAGACATACAAAATTTTATTTTAACGTGCATAGCACGGGGCGGGGAGGCGAGGGGGTGGGAAGGGAAGGGTCACAGGAGAATGATTACCCAATAACCCAATGGGGTACAGAAGCGTATACACTCTTTTTCATAGGGGAAGGGGAGAGATGGAGAATATAGACAATTCTTCTGAGGGCAGCAAGTGATTCTTAGGGCGAAAAAATGGACAGAAATTAACTTGTAAATGATTCTCTTTAGAATTTGAATGAGCCCGAGAAACAGGCATCATCTTGTGAAAAATCCATCCAGGCGTAGTTGCCTTCCTCAGTCTTCTTTTCTGAGCTAGATGAGATTTCGGAGAGGGGAGGAAGGCAATTTTGTTTCTTTTGGAAAGACGTTTTCTCGATCAGATTAGGAAATTCTAGAGAGAGTGCCTCCCTATACTTGGGAGAGAAGGTTAGAGGGACCTTGATTCTGAGGCAGCTTCGAAGGCCTCTCAGCATGTCAAAGCGCCAGTCTTTGGGGTATCGCTTTCTGAGCCCCAACAGTACAAATAAATATTTAGGAGACCGTTGTTAGCAGAACCTGCTCACTAACTGAATATGTGGAGAGGAGAAGGGAACAGAACTGTCCAGAGTAACTGGCATTTGGTCAGCCAATCATGTGCTAGGCAATGGGGATGCAAAAATGACTGGGACCAACCTGCCTCCAGAGTTCTCTGACTAAAGAAACAGATGGGTCTACAAAATGTCAATAGAATGTAAGAAATGTGATGACAGAAGTATACACACGCAGCACAGAGGAGGATCTTCAGCCCAGCCAGGAAGATTCAGGGAAGGCTCCCTAGAGGAACCAAGCCTTGAGCTGAGTCTTGAGTCATGGCTAGCAGTTCCCTCAAGCAGAATTGCTGAGGGGCTCAGGAGCATAGACTGAGAAATCAGATAGCCATGGGTTCAAATCCTGACTCTTGTCTGCTTATCTCAGAAAAGCTATTTACACTCTTTGTTTTTAAAAAAAGACAATAATAGTACCCACTCCTAGGGTTGCTATGAGTATTAAATCACCTAAATGTGTATAAAGTGCTTGGCATAGTAGTTTGCACCTTCTCAGTGCTCAGTAAATGGTTATTGACATGTTAAGTATTTCCCAACTGTATTGCTCCTTCTGTAATGTCCTATGTCCATTCGTGGCATTACTCATTCATTAAGCCAGAAATCTGAGTGACACCTTCAAGGCGTCCCATCTTTACATTATTCTCCAGATCCAGCTTACTGCACTTATGCCTCCTAAATGTCTCTCAAAGTCAACATCATTATCTCTTACCTGGACCACTTTAGCAGCTCCCTGAATGGTCTCCCTGCTGTCTTGTTGCCCCATCCAGTCCATTTCCTTTCTTTTGGCCGTAGTTTCATCTTTCAAATAAAACTATGAGGTTTCCATCTTAGCCTCCCACCCCCAACTCTATGGGTCCCTTCTGGCCGTATCTCCTCCACGCCCTCCACAGCCACCATAACCTGTCACCCTCTCCAGCCTATGCTTTCATTCCCAACACACATGTGCTTCCATGGCTTTGCCCAGGTTGGTCCCTTGGCCAGAAATGAATTTCTCCCTTCTCTTCCTTGACTACAAAATGCTAATTCATCCTGCAAGATCCAACTCACAAGGCAGAAGGCTTTCCCAGACTGCCTGTGCTATGGTTGTACCCTCCAAAACTTACACTGAAATTTGTCATTGTATTAAGAGGTGGGACCTTTAAGAGGTTATTAGGCCATGAGGGCTGCACTCTCATGGGTGGATTGACACCCTTATAAAAGGGCAAGTTCAACTCCCTCTTGCCCTCTCTTGCCCTCTCACCTGCCATGGGATGACACAGCAAGAAGGCCCTCACAAGTTGCCAGCCCCTTGACACTGAATTCCCCAGCACCCAGAACTGTGAGCCAATAAATACCTGTTCATTATAAGTTATCCAGTCTGTGGTATTGTTATAGCAGCACAAAATGGACTAAAACACCCTGGTTGCTAGAGGCTCTCTCCTCTCAATCCCTTGGCCCCTCTGGGAGAACAGGTTTCCCTTTGCACCATAACTTTCTGTTTATATGCTGGCCATGGCCAGACTGTAAGCAACTCAAGCAAAAGGACTGGACCTAATCTTTCACTATCTATGGGGCTCAGCATAACTACCTAGGCCACAAGAACCAAAGGAGACTCATCCACACCAGACATGGAAAACTCTATGAATAAAGTCATAGACCCATAAAATGCTGTATAAATGTAAAGGTTAAACTCAGACTCAGCCACTTCCTGGCTTCATGGTTTGAGGTAAGCTGTTTAAACCTCTCCAAGCCCATTTCCTCATCTGTAAATGGGGGTGAAAACAATATCTGTTTTACAGCATTGCTCTGAGTTCAAACCTCACCCATGCCCCCAATTTTAGAGATGATAAAACAACCTCAGAGAGGTAAACTGACCCAGCCCTTCTACTGGAGACCTTTGGACAGTCATCCAATTTAAGTCTTCCCAAAGCTGGCTGCTCAGAATCTTGTGAAGCACTTGTTAAAACCTTATTCGAGGGCAGAGTCTATTCACTAAGTCTTGGACCAGGCCCAGGAGTCTGTATGGGATCACCTCCAAACGGACTGCTTTTGGGAATTCAGATCACATTAGAGTTCTCCTCACCTTCCAGGCTCATGTGTGTACGTGGACCATCTCTTGCTTTTCCAAAGTTGTCTACCAAACCAGTCTATAAAACGTTCATGCCACTCCTCTGTTCAAAACCCTTCTATGGCTCCCTACAGCCCACAAGACCCAGGCCACCTGCCTCAATGAGACCCAAACACTGATATAATCAAGTCTCTGTGCTCCCAATGTCTCTTCCTCTTCCAAGCCTTTGCACAGCTGTTCCCTGATCTTGGAACATTCTTCCCAGCCCTGGCCCTCCTTCAGCAGCTAATCTCTAATCATCTTTCTGGCACTTACTCCTGTATTTTAACTGCTTGCTTATTTGTCTGTTTTTCCCATATGACCATAAGTTCCATTAAGGGTAGAAACTACATCTTGTTCAGGGCTATTCCTGTGGCGCCCAAAAGTGATAAATGTCTGCTGGATAAATGAATGAGAAGAATTAGCTGACCCAGTGTGGCCCAGAAAAGCAGCCAATCCTGAAGGCTTTTCCTCCTGCCTGGAGGTGACACACCAACCCAAAGGACTGCTCAAGGAGTGGAAAGGGGCTTTCTGGGTGGAGACTGCCATCAGCCCTCTCTGGTCTAAGAAGCCTGCAAAGCTAAAAGCTCATGATTTGGCATTAGACCTGGGTCCACCACATTTAGTCCTGTGACCTCAGACAGGTCTTGTAACCTGCCCTGAGCTTTGGCTTTCTCTTCTATTGTAAGGACCAGCCACATTCATGTAAAGCACTCACCCCTTGCCTGACCCACACTGACCACTCAATAAAGCCATCGATACTAGGTTCTGGTTGCCATTTAGCTTCCCAGGAGAGCTCTGTTCTTTGTACTTCCTCTTCCCCCACCCCAGCCTCCACCAAGGTGGCCACCCATAGGAGGCATCAGAAAATGCGGCAGGACTGAAGATTTTCTGCTGCTGATCAGGAATGACTGGAGCAGAAGGAACATTGTGCCCCTAGGGGAAGGGAAACCAATTATTTGTCAATACCTAACAATAACCACACTCCCGGTTTATTGAGCACATGCTGCGTGCCCGGCGAGCTCCGGACTTCCCTCTCTGGGGGAACCCTGCGGACTGGGAGGCAGAACGGGATACACCGAAATAGGAAGAACGGAGAGCTTGGCACCCTCCCCCTCTTCACCCCACCTGGGCCCCTCCAGGAGGGTCCAGGCCCTTACTGTGGGCATCAGGGGGCCGAATCTCCTTTCCACCAGCTGGCCCATCCCTGGAAGGAGCTCAGGCAACCCCTGCTATCTCCAAACCAAGAGAGTGGGCTCCCGGTCCCTTCTCCCTTCACCCCCGTCCTCCCACACACGGGACGGAGGTGGCCTCTTCTGGAGAGAGCAGCTGGCTCGAGTGCAGTTCTGCCGTTTTATTTTTCCTGGGATATTCAAGGGGATGTGGGAACAGCCACAGGTGTGGTGAGGGGAAGCCCCCATCTCCCCTCCCCAGCCGCTGGGAAAGGGGAGAGGCCCAGGCGCCCTGGTCCTGGGTTGGTCCAGCCACTGTGGTCCCTGGGCCCAGTGGGCAGAGGGCTGAGGATGGAGCCCCTGGGAGGGTGGGGCGGGCTCCTAGGCAGGGTTCGGGATTCTTCATAAAAAGCCACGAAGCTTGATCCCCACGAAGCCCAGCCCCGCGGGGTGGGGGAGGGGGGGACGCAGAGCCCAGATGAGGGACCCGGCCCGGCCTGGCCCGTGGGGGAAAGAATGGCAGAGATGGTGCCCATGGGGAGGAGGTGGGGACAAAGCGTCGGACCAGGTGGGCAGGGGATCCAGGTGAGGGGCGCAGGGCGGAGAGGCACGGCCCCCTGCCCAGCCCGGGCGCCTTCGCGTGGGATCAGGAAGGTAAAAAACCCACGAGAGTGTGACGGGCCCGGGGGCCGGGGCGTCCGGTGCCGGTGGGGCGGGCGCACGGGGCGGCCCGCGTTCACAGTGACCTCGACGCTGGGTGTACAGTACGGGTGGAGAACCGCGGGCCCGGGCCGGGCTGGGCGGGCCGGACCGGTCACAGCCTGGTCTGGGCCTCGGGGATGTAGATCTCGATGCTGTCGGCGCTCTCGGTGGCCGAGCTGTGGCGGAAGGAAGCGGCGCGCTTGGCCGCCAGGAGCCGCTTGCGCGCTTCCTGCCGCTGCCGGTCCACGGAGTCCAGGGAGCGCTCCTTCACCGGCACGCCCCGGCCCCGCAGGGGCTTCTTTGGTATCGGCGGAGGGACCTTCTTCTCCTCCTGCGGGGCAGAGGGCGTCGCTGAGCTGGGGCGCCGAACCATCCCAACACCCAGGTGTCCGCCCCCGCACCCCCGCGCCCAGAGTGCTGACGACCGCGTGGCTCCGAACGCGATGGCGCTCAGAATCCGCCACGGATCCCGTGACCTGAAGCCCCAGGTGCTCCTGTTCCGACAAGGTCAAATCCCCACATTTTCCACCAAAGCGCGGCGCGTTCGAGCGCCCCCTGGTGGCGCCGTTCTCAACAGCTCGCAGCAGAGCCGGTTTTTCACTCCGGGTCCCGACCCGAAGGAGGGAGTTCCCGACCCAGGCTCCGCAATGAGGGTGCACATACCAGGCCTCTGGCCCTCATCGCAGACAAGGTCCAGGGACCTGGCGGCTGAGGGGACCCTCAAGGCTCTGCCGTCGATGCCTAGGCCCGAACTGAGGACAGTCTGTCCTTCCGTAAGGTCTACTTTTGCTCTCTCCAGCTGCAGCCGCCGCCACCCCCCCAACCCCGCTCCCCCGCGCTGAGGAAGCCTTGGGGTTCTGGCAGCTCAAGCAGTGATGAGCACTGGGGCCAAGCAGACGGCAGTGGCCACGAGCGTGGTCACTCTGGAAGGGGATGGTCACCTATCACCTGTCCAAGGCTGCCCTTGCTGCCCATGGATCCCTTCCCCTGCCCCCTTGTTCGTCCCACCCTCCACCTCTCTGGGGAGGGGAATTTCCCAGAGTCTGGCCTCTTTGCCTGAAGGCACCCCAGCCCCACCTTAGGCTCCAGGAGTTTCCAGCTGTTGGCCTTGAGTTGCTGTAGCTCCAGGAACTTGAGGGTCACATCCTCGATGGAGAGCTGTAGGAGGTCCCAGAAACCCGCCAGGTCCTGGAAGGTGGGCACAGGGAACGCAGTGGGATCCTGCAACAGAGGAAGATGGAGGGAAAGTGATTGGTCAAGGAGGTCTGAGCCCCAGCCAGGACAAGAGAAAGTCCTATCCACCCTTACTGCCAGGAAGCTCAGCCTGGGAGAGTGGGTGGGGGCTGGGAGACAGGGGGACAAGAGCGAGCCCAGGACTCCCCTTCTTGTGCACAAACACCTGGTCCTACCTCCAGGCACAAGACTCACAGCTACCCCAGAAGGCATGCAGGCCTGGTCTCACCTCTGGTACACACTCACTCTGGGTCACCTGCCTGTCTCACCTCCAGCACACACACACTCTGGGTCACATGTATCTGGTAGGATCTACTACTATGGGCACTCACCATGCTTTGCTGACACAGCCGGAAGAACTGCTGAACCTTCTGGGACAGGAGAAGTTGTGTGCTGCCCACAGCACTGCGGATCTTCTCCAGGACTAGAAAGCAGAAGGAAATTCAGGGAGGGAAATGATGCATCTCCTTCCCCAGCCTCCACGAAGTCTGCCCTGAATGACGCTGACCCCTCGGTTGCTTGGCACTGTGTATCCATCAGTCTCCTCCAGCCCCAGCCCCATCCCATCCTCAAGTTCCTAACAAGTTCTCGCTCCACTACACCAAGACTGTATCCTCAGACACTGATGTTCCCTCCTTCATACAGCCTACATTTCTTGAGTGCTCATCCTTCTTTATCCTTTCTCCCTCCCGTATCAGAGAACAGACGGAAACCAGCCCCAGCCTAGCCCTATAGCCTTGGCCAGGGCATTAGCTCAATGACCACCCACTGGCTAAGCTTTGTTCATCACTCCCCAGTGCATGCAAGACTCCTTGGCTCTTTAAGAATGACCAAGTAATTTCATGTACATAACACATCTTCATAGCCACTGTCCCCTCAACTCAGAGATTCTGGGGTAAGACTGTGTCTCCCAGTGGATCTGACTTACAGGAAGGGCCATGCTCTCCCTCGGGCCAGGGCCACATCTCCCTGGCTGAATCTCCCTCTTCTGTGCCTCAGACAGGATCTGACATTGTGAACTGCCTCCCTCTCTGTAATCTTGGTCGCACCACCTGGATCCCCACACCAGTCCAGATCTGAACGGAGTTCCCTTAGTCCCCATAAACTTGGTGATTTGGACTAGCAGCCATCCATAGAAGGCCCAGCCCTTTGGCCTGCAGTGTCTGCAGTCCCAGCCCTGGCCTCTAAAGCTGCACCATGTGCACCCTGCTCCCTTTCAAGAGCTCCCAGCATGTCTTGCTGCCGATGTTGACCCGCCACGCTCCAGTGCAGAAGACCAGTGAGGCACCAACCGAAGGGGCCTCCTGTTACACTGCAGCCCCAGCCACCCCCATCAGGGTCTCCTGAGCACACACGAGGCCATGGTCCCCAGAGTCCCCTTGTTCCGATGCCGTGACTCACTCTCCTCGGGTAGCTCATAGTCCTCCGCCTCACGCTCCATCTGCTGGCACCAGTGCTCCAGCTTCTCCACCTCTGCCCGCAGCATCTTGATGAACCACTCGCCGTCGCGTGGGCAGGGGGATGCGCGGCCTGAGTCGGGGAGGCTACGTGAACCGCGCTCTATCCAGGAGTCACGGCGGCCGGCCCCAGGGCCGGGGGTGGGGGCGGGGGCAGGGCCGGGCGACCCATCGGTGGCCGGCGGCTCGTACGGCAGTGGGTAGCCCTCGCGGTAGGCCCACTGGCCCTGCGTGTGGACCGTGCGGAAGACTGAGTAGGTGGGGGCCCGGGGCCCAGGCTGGGGCTCAGAGGCGTGCCTCTGGAAGGAGCGTCCAAACTGCAGGGCCTTGTCTTCTGTGGCCACCGTGGCCAGGCCTGCCAGGCCCTCCAGCTCCAGGTCTGCCTGCACGCCAGCCGTCACACTATTGGAGCGCTTGAACCTTGCTCGCCTGGGGAGAGGGGTGGCTGTCATCCCCCATTGCCCAGGCTCATGCCAGCTCTCACCCCCACCCCAAGCAAAAAAAAGGAAGGGAATGAGAAAGGGAACCTACAAAGTGATGGACATTAACCTATGCACTTTAAATATATTGGTCCTTGCAACAGCTACGTACATAATATACCTACCTATTGCACTGCCTCTAGATAGGGGTGATATCCAAGCTATTTAGCAACCAGTTCAGTCCATGGACAGAGCAGATGCTGGCATATACCAGGCAGAGCAGGCACAGACCAAAATGCTGCAGCAGTGCCCTGGAGAGGCTAGATTGTGGGGTGGGCTAGAGGGGTCAGGGAGGAGCCAGGGTGGTGGCTCTTTACCAGTGAAGGCAGAAGATATTTCAATTTTTTTTTTTTTTTTTTTTTTTTTGGAGATGGAGTTTTGCTCTTGTTGCCCAGGCTGGAGTGCAATGGCGCGATCTCGGCTCACCGCAACCTCCGCCTCCCGGGTTCAAGCGATTCTCCTGCTTCAGCCTCCCGAGTAACTGGGATTACAGGCATGCGCCTTTTGTCTCTTTTTGGAAGAGACAGGGTTTCTCCATGTTGGTCAGGCTGGTCTCGAACTCCCGACCTCAGGTTATCCACCCGCCTTGGCCTCCCAACGTGCTGGGATTACAGGTGTGAGCCACCACGCCTGGCCGAAGTATTTCAATATTTTAACAAATTCTATGTCTATGCTAGTTTACACCAGCTGCACTAGAGTGTCCTCAGCTCTACCTAGAGATGAGTAAACTAAGTAAACCCAGCTTCAAAGTAGCAGAGCCAGGATTTGGACTCAGCGCTGCTGGGCTCCACAGTCCAAGCACTTCCCACTGCACCAGCTGCTAGAACATCACAGGAAGAAATGCCTTGGAGCAGCTGGAGGTGGAGTGGGCCTGCAGCTGGGAGGACTTCTCTAGGGACCCCGATGGCTCAGCCCAGAGCCTGGCCAGACACAGTAAGTCAGTGCCAGTGGAGCTGAATTAAGTTGTTTGCAGGAATGACATAGGGCCTGGAAATTTCTTGTCTTTGAGTTAATAATATGCAAATCTTATGCAAACCAAAAAGTCAACTGGCCGTTTTCATTTTTTCCCTGAATTCAGAGTTCTTTTCTATAAAGAAGTCAGTGGCCGCTTAAGATGCATGAGGTTGGGACCAGGCAATACTTTAAGAAGTGGGAGTCAGGAGATGTGGGAGGTGGGGGATAAACAGAAGATCAAGGTTTGGAAATTCAAGGACCACAAAAGAAAAGCCTGTGTGTCCTGAGCTACCTCCACCCCTACATGGTCAGAAGGGATTGTGGGCCCAGCTCTAGGGTCCCTCCACCTCCCCAAGAGACTCTCCCAACCCCCGCAACTTCAGCCTTTCTCTTGCTGCCCAGGCCTTCTCTCCCTGCCTGCCTGCCTACTTCTCTCCAGCTGGCAGGCTGCCTGCTGGGAGCCTGTTGCCATAGAAACCAGGCCCAGAAGGATGCTGCAGGACCCAGGAAGGAGAGATGCACTCATGTGCAGTCTCCAACGAGCCCTATGTCCCAACCCCCACCCAGAGAGGGAGAAGGAGAGAGAACATATCCTCATTGCCTCCCACACAGTCTTCCCCTCAGTGTCTGCCCTGTCCTGCCCTGGTCAAGGTTTGCATCACCATCTGCCCTGATGATTAGACTGGCCTCCTTTCAGATACCTCTGCCTCCATCAGTACCCTGCAGAGGAAGAGCACGGGGCCAGGAGTTAGCTCTGAGTTCTAATGCTGGCTTTCTCACTGTGTGCCTTTGTCACTCACCCTCCATCTAGGTCATCCAATGTGTATGTGTGTATGTATTTAAAATATATGTATTAGATATAAATATACACACATATACATCTAAAAATACACACATATATACAATTATAGAAATAGATAAGTAATTGCCAAGGTAGTTCCTCTCTCTAAAATTATATTTTGCATATTTTAAGATCTGGGGCCCTCCCCAGTCCACCCAAGACTGGAATAGTCTTCCTAAAGCTGAGCTCTGCCAAGTCATTCCCCTGCTCAAAACCCTTCCACAGCCCCCTACTACCAACAAGACAAAGTTCAGACTTCCTGTACCAGCATTATCTGAGGCCCTGATGTCCTGGACACAGTCCTCCTCTTCAACCTCATCTCCCCCACATTCTCCTTGTTCCTTGAATCGACTATAAGCGATCCTGACTCCAAGCCTTTGCACACGCTACTCCTCTGCCTGAAATGGCCTTCCTCCTCCTGGCTCCTTGTCCATTCCCTCCTTAAGTCCTGTTTTACCTGTTTCACCCTCCACTGCCCACAAGACCACTCCTGAGTACCACACCTCCCTCAGCAGCCCTCCTGGCTTCAGAGGCAGCCCTGCCGTTCAGGCAGATTGTTCTCTTTCTGGTGAGAGTCTTGAATGTCTAGCTGCACTGTTAGGATGCATCTTGACTTACTTTGAATGTTTTTGTGCCTTTGTGCTCTAGTTAGCTTGTGGCTCCTTCAGAGCTACAGCTGTTGCAAACCACAAAGGTAAAGGAGGGGGTTGCTCCAATAAATACGTGCCTGATGATCTGCCACACCTGCGTGCTTTCCTGTCGCCCCTGCTAAACACAGCTGTGTCCTTCGGCACTGCCATGTTCGCTGCCTTCCGCCTGTCCTCTGAGATGTCTTGAGAGGATCCCATTCCATCGCGATGGAAACAGCCATACTGCCGGGAACAGAAGGACCAAGTGCCCCAGGCTGCATGCTTCTCAAGCCACTGCCTCAGTGAGCTCTCTCACATGTCTGCCTCAAAGGAGACCAAGGAAGTCGAGGAGCTGATGGGATGACCAGAAGCACAGTCCTCACCAACGCTCCTGGCCAGCAGCCAGAGATGTGTACAGCACAAGCAGGAGGCGCTTATCCCTGTGCAAGTGGCATTTAAAACCAGCAGTGTGGGACAAGCTCACCCAAGAAAAGAACAACGGATCCAAGATCCAAACCCCGGGAGAACACGGACATTTCAGGGGTGGGTGGAGACGGTGCAGCTCATAGAGGAGACTAAGCCAGAAAGGAAGGGGGAGAAAACCACCAGAAAGTGACATAAAAGCAGAGAGGGGACAGAAAGGTCTCATGAAGGAATGGGCAGCTAACATGGAAAACGCAGCCGGTTAAGAATGAAAGGTGCCCACGGATTTTGCAATCTGGAAGCCACGGGTGATCCAAGCAAGAGTGGGTTTGGTGGAATGTGGGGGCAGATGCAGACTGCAGCAGGTTGTCAGGAGGTGGAGAAAACTAGTCAAGGCAACCCTCAGAAAGCCTGGCTGAGAAGGGAGGAAGACAGAAGAGAATGTACTGTTAAAGAGGGATATTTTGTTTTGGGTGCTTCTTGCTTGCTGTATCCCAAGAGGAAAGAACCTGTGGTGTAGGCAGAATAATAGCCACCAAAGGAATCCACATCCTCATCCCCAGAACCCAGGAATATGTTACCTTCCACGGCAAAAAGGAATTTGCAGATGCGATTAAGTTAAGGATACTAAGAAGAGGAGACTCTCCTGGATTATCCTGGTGTAATCACATTTTATAAATGAAAGAGGGAGGAAGAAGAGTCAGAGAAGAAAATGGAATGACAGAATCAAGGTTGGAATAATGCAACCTAGGGACTCAACCCACCACTGCTGGCTCTGAAGATAGAAGCAAGCTGCAAGTGAAGGAATGCAGATAGCCTCTATAAACTGGGAAAAGGTGACAAATGGATTCTTCCCAGAGCCTCCCAGAGCCCAGTTTGAAACCCCATTGAGACTCTGACCCCAGATAATAAATATGTATTGTTTTCCATCACTGAATTTGTGATAATGTTTCAGCAGGAATACAACATTAACACAACCTGTAAAGAGAAATGAAATGAAGAGAGAGAAGAGAGGAGGAACCAGATATAAGGATGGATAAAAAAGAATAACATCTTCTAAGCACTTAGTATGTGCCAGGAGAAGCACTTTCCATGAATAAACATGCTCAATCCTCACAAACAGTCCCACTCTATGGATGTTAGTGTCAGCCCTACTTGTAGATCAGAAAACCGAGGCTTAGTGGGGTTGACTCCTAAGATGAAGGCAGGGCTGGTGGAAGAGACAAGGGAAGATATCTAAGTAAGCTGGGGTTTGGCTTGGAAGTGGACAGAAGTCCCACCAGTTGACCCCAATCATCACAATGAAGTGGGCGATGGGGGGTGGTTATCTGCTGGAGATGTCTGGGGAGTAGGGGAAGGAATGAAAATGAGCAGCTTTGGGTGGGGGCAGCGGAACAGAGCGGTTAGGCCCGTGTGCTCTGGAGCCTTGCCCGGGTCCAAAACCCAGCTCGGTGGCTTGTGCCTCATTTTCCCATCTGTAAATGAGAATGATAATAGTAGCAGTTCATAAGATTGTTGTGAGATAATATCCATAAAGAACTCAGAACAGCACCCTGCCTGCCCATTGTGTTAGCTATTCTAGAGAAGTAGAATGGTTTGCAGCTCTCACTGAAAAGAGAGGGAGCTGGACAAACACAATCATCGGAATGTAGCACTGAGAACCCGGCTAGGGCATTGTAGTTATTAATTATTATGATTGCTGTTGATCATTTCCATCTGTTCTCCCACAGCGCTTTGAACAAAACTCTTTTATACTCCATATCACATTGTATCATGGCTGGTTATTTGCATAAGTGTCTCCTCACTAAATAGGGCAGTTCATCACACTGGTTGGTTGGTTGGTTGGTTGGTTGGTTGGTTGGTTGGAAGGAAGGATGGTAGAGACCACTAACTGTCTTCCAAGATCCACTCTCCATTTCCCCCTTAGTAACAGAACCCCACCATTTTATGCTGGACACATGGCTACTTTGAATAAAGATTCTTTCCCAATCTCCCTACCAACTAAATGTAGCCATGTGCCTAAGTTCTAGCCCATGAGATAAAAGTAGAAGTGGCATGTGCAACTTCCAGAAAGTGTCCTTAAAAGGAGGGGGTATGCCCTTCCTTGTCTCTTCCTCCTTCCCGATCACCAGAATGCAGACATGATGGCTGGACCTCAAGCAGCCATTCTGGAACATGAGACCAAAGGGAAGTGCTAAGTGGGGTGGGGGATGAGGAAAAGATAGAAGGCTCCAGGTCCTGACACTGTGGGGCATCTACCAGACCTCAACTAACTCTCCCTGGATTTCCTCTAAGTAAGAGAGAAATAAACTTCTATCATATTTAAATCACTGTTGTTTGGGGGGTTTTCTATAACTCACAGTCAAACCCACTCCTAACTATAACAGATGAATTTTTAGAATAGTGAAGTTAAGGGCTTATGTCGCTATTTAGTTTTGGATTTGGCAGTATTTGCTGTGGTCTCCACCAACAGCTGTCAGCACAGGATAAAAACTGGCTTCAGCTGTGAATTGTCATTAATGCGTAACAATGCATTCACAATATTTTCTCCCAAGCCTTTAAATGTGGCTGCAGAAGCCTCCTCCCTTTGAGTGCTCCAAGGTGACAATGATTACATTCCTGATGATAATGCAAGTTGTTATCATGGTTACTTCAGGGAGAGTTTCCACTGCGATTCTACTTCAGGGAGAGTTTCTACTGTGATTCTCTGGGGGATAACATAAAAGCCTCTGGGTAGAAGCTGGATTATCCCAAGAGACACAGTATCCAAGGAAAGCTCTATATCCAGAAGTTGTCAAGAGGTTTTGCCAGGAGTATTTGGCAGCAGGCAGGAAGGGTGGGAGGGGGAGTGGGCAGGGAGGGGGAAGGACGGTGTCATTTCAACTAGGCATAGCCTTCAAACTAGCTTCTATAGAAGCTCCTGTGTGAAGGCATCTAAGAGCCTAAACATATAATCAAGCAGGGGTCACTGAACCCACCACTCCAGCCTGGGGGCTGTGACAGGGATGCCAAGGTGGGGCTAGGGTGGGAGATTCAGGAGGAGTCATGAGGGTCAGTCAGAAACCGTCCTAAATTTGCAGGCTCAGGAATGGAGGTAGCATCTGTGCCCAGGGCTTTGGGCAGTCAGCTTCTTATTGCTTTTGCAGGACTGTTCTTGGAATATAACTTAATGGGTATGGAAGCTTCTTTCCCAGGCCTCAAGGGGCCATTCTTTCAGCACATACCCTTCCCAAACTCCCAAAGCTAGAAATGACCATAATGTTAAGGAAAGGGTAGGCAGGTCTTCCTCCACAGAGTTCTCCAGGTGGCCCTTCGTGGGCACAAGCAGGTATGAGTAGGGTTGTCAGATAAAATATAGGACTCCCAGTTGAATTTGAATTTCAGATAAATAACAGATGTTTTTACTATGAGTATGTCCCAAATATTGCATGTGACATACTAAAATGCATTCATTATTTATCTGATCATCAAATTTAACTGGGCATCCTGGTGGTTTTTG
Organism: Homo sapiens; assembly: GCF_000001405.40. Lineage (NCBI taxonomy): Eukaryota > Metazoa > Chordata > Mammalia > Primates > Hominidae > Homo > Homo sapiens. The sequence goes on from NC_000001.11 coordinate 34,875,486, forward strand.
TTTCTTTATTTTGGTGGGTTTTGCTGTTGATGTTGTTGGTTTTGTTTTTGCTAAATTTACAATTTAAGATAAGGTCTGTCTGGGAGGAATTAGAGGTGGAAGATACAGGCAGATCCCTATGGTTAGAAAGAGTTGGAGGCAAAAATCCCATTTTCTATGACTTCAGAGGGCCCCTTGCTAATATTCAGCAAGACATCTGATGCATCCTTTTATCATGGCCCAGAGTGTGCTGGGTCTAGGGAAACAGGTGCCATAAGGACATGTTGAGACACGGCTGGTAACTGATTAAGTATGTTCTCTCTCACCACAAGGCCTTAGCATATGCTATTCCTTCTGCCTGGAACCTTATCTCCCATTTTTCACTCAGTTAATTTTTGTTCATCCTTCGGATCTCCACCCAAATGTCACTTCCCAGGGAAGCCATGCCTGACCCCTCTGGCAGACTCAAAGCCCCATAGTCTACACTGTCATGGCTCACATGCCGCTCCTTTGTGGCAGCCGGCACAGCGGCTACATCATTAATGAGATTCTTAGATTAACTTCGTGGTAAGCTTTGCATGGGCAGGAGCTGTCTCTGGTTCTGCTCACCTTTGCATCCTCAGTGCCCAGCACAGTGTTTGGCAAATAATACAGATCCAATAAATATCTGTGGACAGATGAATCTTGGCGGGGGGGTGGGGGTGTGCAGTGGAGATAGAACTGAAGGGGTGCCAGCCCCCTCCCCTTATATTCTAAGCCAAGTCATCACTGACACTGGGCAACTGGAAGGACTCACAGACAATTCCCAGACAGAAGGGACAATAAGTCCAAAATCCTCACCCAAGAGGTGAGCAGGGAACACCCTGAAAGGCAGAAGAGAAGAGACCTTTCCTGCTCAGCAATTTTTAAAACCAAATTACAGAGAGAGAAACAGATACTGGGATGAGCGAGACAGCAGTAAGGACAAGAGAGTCAAAGAAAATGGGGCTGGGCTGTGTGTGGCGGGCCAGGCCTGAATGCTGGCCAGGCGAGGCTGCTGGAATTCATGGCTCGCTTTTATGCACCAGTTGGGGCATGGTGTGTGAGGAGTCAGACTTAAAGTGCCAGGGACATAAGGGACAGAAAGGACTGTGCAGGTGTATGACTAAGGACGCCTGCAGCAGACAGGCCAGGGAGCCTGGCCAAAGAGATGGGCCAGATTTCCCCTCTCCCCACCTGTCACTCCCTCTGAATTCCCAGTGTGATCACCTGTCCCAGGCAGTTTGGTTCTTTCGATGCTTATTCAACACCATGTCCTCTCCTCAGCCCGCCACATCAAGACCTCACCAAGCACTTACACAAGAGCAAGGAAGGCCACGTTCTCTGCCTGTCCCTGCCCTTCCCTGACTTTCACTCCAAAATGCTGCTCAAATTGGCCCACTTCTCTCTGTATCCACTGCTATCAGCCTTACCCAGACCACTGATCAATAGAGTAGACTGAATTAACTTAGGAAGCTCCCACTCACACCCTAAACGCATAGAAATGCTGGGTTTTTAAAAATCAAAAAGGTGTTTTTGCTACAATGCTGGGTTTGAAAATAGGAATGAGAAATGTCCAGGTATCAGAAACAGGAAGGAAATTCAAAGAACATATAGTGAGAGGGGGTCTAAGCCAAGTGAACCACAGGGAGATCAGACCAGACATATGCTAGAGGCTGGATGAAAACGCTGAGGGAGGATGAGAGGAGAGACCCCAAACCTGCGCAGCAAGGGGAGCTGGAAAGAGACCCTGTGCGCAAAGTCGGCAGCCAAGAAGGTCTGTTTCATTTGCAAACTTGGACTCAAAACGCTCATGCCAGGGATGCAGGAATGTGGCCTGGAAGGAGGATGCTGGGAAATCGGAACATGAAGGCTTCCTTGTGTGGAGGTGTGGGGTTCAAATGAGTATTACCTGTGAAACACAAGAAACCTCAAGCCTCAAAGGGAGATATTAACTTTAAAACTTCAAGCAGTGCTTCAGCATGAAGGAAACTGAACCAGGAGAAAGAAGAGGGCAGTAAAAAACAATAGTGAACACACAAATTACGGAAACACGTATGTAAATCTAAACTGTTAAAGCATAAAAGATACAACAGCAGCTGATTTCACAGAGACTTTTTAAGAGGTATAATCAAACTACTAGATAAACATAACATGGAAGATGGGAGGAGAAACTTAAGAAGGAAATTAAAGTGTTCCAAGATTCTTGTTTTGTGCCTAAGAAGGACAGAAGTACTGACTAATGTTAGACGTTATTAGGAAAATATGAAATTAAGTATATCTGTCAAATGTTTAAGGGAAATCACTACTAAAATGTAAACTTCCAAACCAGTGGAGTGAAGAAGAGAAAGTAAACTCTATTTACTGTTGATCAGTTCAACATAAGATAAAAAGAAAGGGAGAAAGCAAAGAAAAAGCATGTCAACTAGAAAATTTTTAAACAGATGATAGAAATAAACTCAAGTCAGTAATGAAAAATATATACATGGATTAAATATGTCTAAACTCTAGCTATAAATCGCTTATAAGCAACACATATAGGCCAGGCACCGTGGCTCACTCCTGTAATCCCAACACTTTGGGAGGCTGAGCCGGGTGGATCACCTAAGGTCAGGAGTTCGCGACCAGCCTGGCCAACATGGCGAAACCCTGTCTCTCCTAAAAATACAAAAAAATTAGCCAGGTGTGGTGGCACATGCCTGTAAACCCAGCTACCCAGGTAGCTGAGGCAGAAGAATTACTAGAACCCAGGAAGCGAGGTTGCAGTGAGCTGAGATCACGCCAATGCACTCCAGCCTGGGTGACAGAGCAAGACTCATCTCAAAAAAATAAAAATAAAAATAAAAAAATAAGCAACACATCTAAAACATAAGGATATAGGAAGGTTGAAAATAAAAGGATGGAAAAAGATGTATTGGAAAATTAACCAAAAGCAAGCAGCCATAGCAATAAAAATCAGGTAAAAAAGACTTCAAGGCAAAAGCCATTAGTAAGGATGAAAAGCAGCCTATTTAATATTAAAAGAGCCAAGCCACCAAGAAGATACAACAATCATAAGCTTGAATGCTTATAAACAGCACACTCTCAAACTGAAGTAAAAATCAACAAAGTTACCAGGGAAAATGACATATCCACAATCATGGTGAGACATTTTTAACACACCTCTCAGAACTGATAGATCAAATGTACAAAAAAAAGATAAACATTTGAAAAATATAATTTATAAATTTGACCATATATGACAGCCGTCCCCAACCTTTTTGGCACCAGGGACTAGTTTTGTGGAAGACAATTTTTCCAGAAGCTGGGTGGGCGCAGTGGCTCACGCCTGTAATCCCAGCACTTTGGGAGGCCGAGGCGGGCGGATCACGAGGTCAGAAGATGGAGACCATCCTGGCTAACATGGTGAAATCCCGTCTCTACTAAAAATACAAAAAAAATTAGCCGGGCATGGTAGCAGGCACCTGTAGTCCCAGCTACTTGGGAGGCTGAGGCAGGAGAATGGCGTGAACCTAGGAGGCGGAGCTTGCAGTGAGCCGAGATCGCGCCACTGCACTCCACCCGGGGCGAGAGCGAGACTCTGCCTCAAAAAAAAAAAAGAAAAAAAAAAATTCCAGAAGCTGCGGGGGGGCATAGTAGGGGATGGTTTTGGGATGATTCAAGCACATTACATTTATTGGGCATTTTATTTCTACTATTATTATTACATTGTAATATATAATAAAATAATTATTCAACTCATCATAATGTAGAATCAGTGGGAGCCCTGAGCTTGTTTTCCTGCAACTAGACGGTCCCATCTGAGGGTAACGGGAGACAGATTATCAAACATTAGATTCTCATAAGGAGCACACAACCTAGATCCCTTACATATGCACGCAGTTCACAATAGGGTTCAGGCTCCAATGAGAATCGAATGCTACCGCAGATCTGACAGCAGGCGGAGCTCAGGCAGTAATGCTCACTCACCTGCTGCGCACCTCCTGCTGTGCCGCCTGGTTCCCGACAGGCCATGGACAAATACCAGTCCCTGGCCTGGGGTTTGGGGACCCCTGATACATGATATATATACATATGATGAAGGAGGTCTCAACAAATTCTAAGCAATAAATATAATAGGTACATAATATGACCACAATGTAGCAAATTTAGAAATCAATAATGAAAAGGCTGTCCCTTGTCAAAAAAATTCATTTGAAAACTAAAAAAAAAAATTATTCTAAAAATTCATAGGTTAAAAAGGAAATTACGACAAAAGTGATGAAAGATGAAAGTTACATATTCAATATGTACAATAAAAATACCGCTTCCCAAAACTTATGAGATATAGCCATAAAAGGATATAGTTATAAGGGAAATTATAGCCCTAACAGCACATGTTAAAAAATAAAAAATATTGAAAGTTAGGGATGAATTCAAGAGGCATAAAGAAAGACAAACACAGCAGACAAAAGAAAATAACCAAAAGTAGAAGGAAGGAAATATTAAAGATTGCTCACCAAAACAAAAAACTAGTTTTTTTCAAAGACGAATAAAATGTAAGTTTCAACATATGTATTTTTTTCTTTCCCCCCCTTTTCTTTCTTTGACACAAGGTCTCAGAGTCTCAGAGACAGGCTGAAGTACAGTGGTGTGATCAGAGATCACTGCACCCTCAAACCCATGGGTTCAAGTTATCCACCTGCCTCAGCTTCCCCAGGAGCTGGAACTACAGATGCATGCCACCATGCCCAGCTAATTTTTGCATTTTTTGTAGAGATCAGGTCTCACTACGTTGCCCAGGCTCATCTTGAACTCCTGATCTCAAGCAATCCCACCTCAGCCTCCCAAAGTACTGGGACTATAGGTATGAGTTACTAGGTCTAGCCTAAAAATATGTTTAATTATAAAATATACAAACCTCAGGCAAGGCTGACTCAAGAAAGAGAGGTAAGACATAAATACATGGTATTGGAAATAAAAAGGGAGCCAAGCACAGTGGCTCACGCCTGTAATCCCAGGACTTTGGGAGGCTGAGGCGGGCGGATCACCTGAGGTCAGAAGTTCGAGACCAGCCTAGTCAACATGGTGAAAACCCGTCTCTACTAAAAATACAAAAATTAGCCGGGCATGGTGGCAGATGCCTGTAATCCCAGCTACTCGGGAGGTGGAAGTTGCAGTGAGCCAAGATCACACCACTGCACTCCAGAGTGAGACTCTGTCTCAAAAAAAAAAAGAAGAAGAAATGCAAAGGGAGATATCAATATAGAGATGCAATAAATATTGATAACATTTTAATACTATGAGAAAGAATATTTGTGCCAAAAACTTTGAAAACTGTCAATTCTTATGTTTCTTTTTTAAATAAAATATAAATCACCAAAATGATTCAAGAAAAAAAATAAAACCAGAATAGGTCAATAATCACTAAAGAAACTGAAGCTGTAGTTTTAAAAGTCTCTCCTATCCCCAAAAGGCATCAGGCATAGATAATTTTATAGGCAACCTTTACCAAACCTAAAGAATAGATAAGTCTTGTCTTACACAAATTGTTCCAAAGAACAAAAACACAGAGAAACCTACCAAATTCATTTTAGGAGCCTATCTTAGCTCTAATACCTGAATTGAAAAGCAGTAAAAAATTGTAGGCTTACAATTATTATGATATATCACTTATGATACATTCATAAATCTAAATGATTTAAAATTTTAAAGTAGCAACTGTTCAAAAATCTAATACTGTATATAAAAATAATATAGCAAAACTGTAACAAAAACCCCTAGAGCTCCACATAGCTATTCTTTGTCTTTAGTCATGAGAACCCTGATTCTTAGCTATGTAGTTTACACCCTCCACATTGCTTCCCAGCTAAAAGACTATACCCCACAGCCTCCCTTGCAGCTAGGTGCCACCATGTGATGAGATTTTAGCCAATGTGATGAAACTGGTTGTGTGTAACTTGCAGGAAGTCTTTTTAAAAAGGATGGACTGCATCCCTCTTCCTCTTTACTCCTTCTCACTGCTCAGAATGCAGACATGACTGGGGGAGCTTGAACTTAAGGTCCCTAGACATGAAGTGATGTACAAAATAGAAGGAGCCTGGAGTTCTGACACTGCACTCCCTACATCTAAGCTGGCTTTTTTTTTTTAAGTGAGAGAAAAATACACTTGTTTAAGACACTACTGAGGCCCTGTGACTCACAGCCAAATTTAATCCAAACTGACAATGGGATCAAGCAGGGTTTATCCCAGGAATGAAAGAATGGAAAATCCATTCATTCATATAATTCACCATGTTACACATGGAAGGAGAAAAATCTATGATCATCTAAATAGATTCTGAGAAAACATTCAATAAAATTTCACTCATATTTTCTATTTTAAAAAATAAAAATAAGATGCTTATCCAACTAGGAATAGAAAGGAATTTCCTTAACCTGACAAATGGTATCCATCAAAATTTGTAGCAAACATCATCTTGAAAAACATAGCCACTAAAGTCAATACTACTGAACAGTGAACAGAAGTCCTATTCAATGCAATATTACAAGAAAAATAAATGAAAATACAGATTTAAAAGAAATATCTTCATTCACAGAAAAATAACTGACTATATAGGAAGCCCATCATGATTTTCAGATAACCTATGAGACTAATAAGAGAGACCTAATTCAGCAGCAACGTTACTGAATACAAAATCAACATACAAAACATACAAAACCTAACAGTAGAGGCCGGGTGTGGTAGCTCACGCCTGTAATCCCAGCACTTTGGGAGGCCGAGGCGGGCTGATCACCTGAGGTCAGGAGCTTGAGACCAGCCTGGCTAACATGGCAACACCCCATCTCTACTGAAAACACAAAAAACTAGCCAGGCGTGGTGGCGGGTGCCTGTAATCCCAGGTACTTGAGAGGCTGAAGCAGGAGAATGGCGTGAACCCGGGAGGCAGAGGTTGCAGTGAGCCGAGATCATGCCACTGCACTCCAGCCTGGACGACAAGAGCAAAATGCCATCTCAAAAAAAATAAAATTAAAATAAAAATAAATAAACCTAACAGTGCTACCACACACTAGCAGTGCCTAGTTGTAAAATGCAATAGAAGAAAAACATCCCAATCACAATAGCCACCACATTGCAAAACACAATCACCTTTCTTCTGGATCATGAAAAATCCTCCTAACTAGCCTTCTCGTTTCCACTATTGCTTTCTTCAAATTCATTCTCCACTCAGCAGCTTGTGATCTTTCATGAACATAAGTTAGATCATGTTGCACTCCTTCTTTAACCTTTACATGGCTACTCATTACTCATAATTAGATTCCAATTCCTTATCATGTCCATGCTCTGCATAACCTGCCCCTGCCTGTTCTCCAATTAACTCCCTTCCCACTCCCCTGCCCCACTCCACACCAGCCACATGGACCTTCTTTCAGTTCCCGATGCATGTCAAACTCTTTCCTGCCCCAACACCTCCACATATGCTATTCCCTCTCCCCTGAATGCTTTTCCTCCAATCATCACCTGAGAGTTCTTAGTCAATCCTCAAGTCTCAGCTTAAATGTCACCTGTTAATCTAAATAAGGTCCCTTCTTCTCTCTTATCTCCTCCTTTTTCTTTCATATTCCTACATAATATGCAATAAAATCCCACTACCTATTATATCATAATGTGTTGTCATATTTTTATTCAAGGATTATTTATTCATTGCCTTGATTTCCCTCTAGACCATAGCTTCTGTGAGGGCAGAAGTCATGTCTTTGATGTTTCCTGAAGCATTTAACACAGTGCATAGGAGCTGTCATACAACACGTGCTTAGTAAGTATCTGATGAATGAATGAATCAATCAATCAATGACAAGAGTTTGCTGATTTAGCAAGAGTCTCAGCTAGAAGGCCTGCAGCACTCTTCCCAGGATTCAAGGGTTATTAGGAGGAATGTGGGGAACCCCCACCCCCCTGGACCTATCTAGACAAGGAACCAAAAAGCCTCTAAAGGGAGTGAGTGGGCTTGGTGGTCCATGGGATAGCACTAGAATTGGGGGTGGGTAGGATTCAGAACATAGAGTTGCATCCATCCATGACTCCTACCCCATCTCTCAATAATTCAAGTCACAGATTTGCAAATTGGGTTTGCCATAAAATGCTATTTTTCTGAAATCTTTGTGGCACAGTAAAAGTTTGGTGAACAGCAGGTTTAGAAGTCATGCAGGCAACCAGGGCAGCATTATGCCACCCTCGATGAAGGCATTTACAGCCCCAGGAGCACACAGAACTTCAGGGAGCCAAATCAGAAGTTGAGAAAAATGGTGAATCCCATAGGAACACCAAAAAAACTTCATCAGGCACAAACACAAGACATCCCAAGGACATCCCAGAAATAGCTGGGGAAATCTGGGCGAAGGACAGCAACTGGGAACAGAGCTGCGAGGAACCACTGCTAGTGGGACACTGGTTTTTTGTGTTTTGGGTTTTTTTTGAGATAGTCTCACTCAGTCACCCAGGCTGGAGTGCAGTGGTGCAATCTCAGCTCGCTGCAACCTCAGGCTCCTGGGTTCAACCAATTCTCATGCCTCAGCCTCTCGAGCAGCTGAGACTACAGGAGTGTGCCACCATGCTCAGCTAATTTTTGTATTTTTAGTAGAGATGGGGTTTTGCCATGTTGGCCAGGCTGGTCTCAAGCTCCTGGCCTCAAGTGATCCACCCACCCTGGCCTTCCAAAGTGCTGGGATTACAGGCGTGAGCCACCGCACCTGGCCTGGGACACTAGTTTTATTCCTCCAGTCGTATGGCCTGGGAAGCTCAGATACCATGAAACCGTTATGGCCAGCCCCTGGCAAGCTCCCAGACACCCTTTCTCCCCATAGGCACCCAACAACAGAGAGGCCTCTTTCTGGTATCCCCTCCAGAGCTGGCAATGCTAATTCTTCAGTGAAAATTAAGGAGTCAATGTTTCTGAGGCCACCTAATGCCAGAATAGTGGCTGCTGCTAATTGTACTATCTCAGGTACACCACAGACTCAGGCATGTAATAGGTACCCCCAACTGGTTAAATGCTTGTGTGAGCCAAGTGAGGAGGAGTGTTATATCTGCCAGGGGCTCCTGAGAGGCAATCTTCCCGTTTGTTTCTTTTTGAGCTCACATACTTGTACACCACAGGATGTAATGAGGGATTGGCAGATCCTATCATCCCCTGGAAAGGACAATTGCTGGAGGCCTGCTCGGCACCTACATGTAACCTTTCCCATCCTCTCCTTCCCTGCAACTGCTGTGTATCTCCCGTCTGCCTCTGAGCACCTGGGGTGGGCATGGGCACAAGAACTCTAGGTTTGATGACTCCTCTGGTGACATCTCTATGGAACAGCCCCTGTGGCTGCTCTGACCACCCTCTATAAAAAGGCTTGGTCTCACTTCCAGGAAAAGAGGATGTGCAGGGAGACTGGGCTAGTGGGGACACTATGCAGCCCTCTCTCCTCCTGTCTCCCAGCGAAGCCTGGGCACTCCCACCGTGACTTTACCTCTTGTCCTCTTCCACCTGCACGCCAATAGAGTGGAACTCCCTCCGGCTCCTGTTCTCGGTGTCCGAATCTGAGATCGTCTCCACCTGGTGGCAGGGTGGAGGAGTCAGTGGCTGTGGCGAGCCAAGGTGAAAGCCCTTCCCGGGGAGAACGGCTAGCAATGGCTGCGCCCCAAGCCAGCTGGCAGGTCCTGCAAAGACCATCTGCCTGAACAAGATGAGAGACCCAGGCGGTCGGTCACAGGCCTCAAAGTGGCAACCACTGGGCACAGCCCTCCAGCCCTCCATTAGTCAGGAGGGGCGATGGTGCCAGGACGAGGGACGAGGGAGTGGGCGGGGGCTGGCTGGAGCAGCCCCGTCGATGTCCAGGCACGGGGTTCACTTGCAGCTCAGGGCAAGCCAGAAAGAATGTCGATATATCCAGAAGGCCGCTTCCAGCCCCTCACCCCAGCCCCGACCGACCAGGGTCAGAGCCCTCGTGGGCGCCTCCCCGTTCCATACCTGCACCCCAATGGACGGCCGCCACTTCCGCTGCCGCGCCAGGCTCCGCAGCTCCTCCCTGCCAGGGATGGTCTTGATGATGAGTGTGGGGGGCTTGGGGCTGGCCCGGGGCGGCACCGGCGCCAACTCCAGTGTGCGCGCACCCATGGCGGGGCCGTCCAGCCCGTCGGCGGAGCTGCAGCGCCGGGCGGGGCCCTCGGCCGCCGTGAAGCTCTCGTGCGCGGAGTCGGTGCTGCTCTGGGCGGTGATGGAGATGCGGGGCGGGGCCTGGCTTCCCGGCGGGATGGGGGGCGGGGCCTTTCTGAAGTTGAAGGCTGTGGCCGGCGAGCGCAGAGACGCAGTGGGTGAGGCTCGCGGCCCTGCCTGGGTCCTGGGCCCGCGCCCGACTCCCACCCTCAAGAGGCCCTACGGGACCCTGCAGCGGCGCGCACTCCACATGCTGCTGCACACACGCCAACGGACGCTCTCCCCGTCATCCGACCCCGGGAGCGAGCGATCTGCGCGGGTCACAGCACAGTCGAGGGGGAGGCCAGAACCCGGACCCAGGGCGCTCTCCTGCCTAGGGCCGGGCCAGGGGCAGGAAGGTGTACTCACAGGAGCCGGGCCTCCCTGAGACAGCGGCAGGGGTAGCGAGGAGGGGCAGGCAGTCGTCGTCTTGAGAGCAGCCGGCCTGGATGGCCCGGAGGTAGCTGTGGCTCCGCATGCGGAAACAGCCGGGCAGGTCCAGGGCGTCCACGGCCTGGGACTCCAGCTCCCCAAACACCGACCCGCACACGGCCTCCAGCTGCTGGTTCAACTCATCGCTGAGCTGGGGGGCAGGGGGTCGGGAGGACAGTTATAAGGTGCCGGGAGGGGGTGGAAGTCCCTGGGGTGCTCTGCCTTAGGGGAAGACCTCTCTATATCTGCAGAGGCTGTAGGCGACTCTTCCGCATTTGAACTAAAAGAAACTCTAACTCTTTGCAAAGAAAGATGGGGGCATCTCTGCCCCACTCTGCTCCCAAGGCTTGTCTTGGGGCCCAGTCTTTCCTCTAAATATCCCACCCCCACCCCCACCTCCACCCCACCTATGCCTCTTCCAGGTGTCTGGCTGGCTGCACTCCAGACTGCAGACCACCATGTTTTTCTCTCCACCTAGTCCCATCCCCTGACGTTTCTCTCACCTGACCCCAACAGAGAGGACCAGGGACCTGGCATGCACCCTCCTGCCCAGTATGGGGGTGGGGACTTCATGGAGGACATCTTTTATTATTTATAATCCATTACATTACAAAATTGATTGAAAGCTCTGTGTATATATATACACTACATACATGTACTATATATATACTACATATATACTATATATATACACTACATGTATATATGCTATATATATATAAAATACCAACTGGCAGGATGGAAACTAATGCGTAAGTGATGGAGCAAAGTTATTAACCTACCAGTGTCCCAAGCCTTCCCCCACCTTCTTTTTTTTTTTTTTTTTTTTTTTTTTTTTGAGACAGAGTCTCGCTCAGTTGCCCAGGCTGGAGTGCAGTGGCGCGATCTCGGCTCACTGCAAGCTCTGCCTCCCGGGTTCACCCCATTTTCCTGCCTCAGCCTCCCAAGTAGCTGGGACTACAGGTGCCTGCCACGACGCCCGGCTAATTTTTTTGTATTTCTAGTAGAGACAGGATTTCACCGTATTAGCCAGGATGGTCTCGATCTCCTGACCTCATAATCTGCCCGTCTCGGCCTCTCAAAGTGCTGGGATTATAGGCGTGAGCCACCGCACCCGGCCCTTGCCTTCCCCAACCTTCTATCCACTCACTCGGGTTCTGGCTTAACCTGTGGGTTCCTTCTCTACCCTCCCCCACTGAGGAAAGCTTAGCCATTGCTGGATGAGGTTCTGGTTTTGTTTTTCGTATTTTGGTGGTGCAGAATCCATGGTGTTAAAAAAAAAAAAAGTTAAAGTATGAAAAAAAGCAAAACAAAAATTTTGTTGGTGGAACTGTGCCGCACACCACCACATGAAGACTAAATATACCACAGAGGTTGCAGCTTCATTCACATTACAAGAGAGAACTGGTGCAAAGAAAAAGTAAAGGCAGGAAAAGGTGCTACCCGAGGTAAGTGCTACACCCAGAACACAGGTGACAAAGTCCTGAACATTGCTCAAGATGGGCACATGTTTAACCCTGAGCTTCCAAGCAGGCAAAGCATCAGGGAGTATAGCCTCAGAGTTGCCTGCATGGGCTATGCGTGAGACTTCTCCTAGATTCAAGTGCTGGCTCTACCACTTCCTAGCAGAATGGCCTGGGAAAGTTAAAGTTTGGGGGCCTCAGTTTGCTCAGCTGTCAAATGGGAGTGATAATGGTACCATCTTCATAGGGCTATTGAGGGGACTGAAAGAAAAACATGTGAGCCTTTTGGTACAGGTACTGGCACATAGTAAGCCCTCGGCTAGCGGCATGCGAAGGTCTCAGGGCCTCCCTGGTAAACACAGGCCAGATGCCCATGAGAACCACAACAATTCCTGTCCCTGAGACTAAGAGACAATCATCCCCTGTGGATGATTATGTAGAGTCCATTGGATGAAGTCATGGATAAGGTCCTCGACAGCATCCCATGGCAAACATAACAGCAAGTATCACATGGCTGCATCTTGTGACATCTCCCAGGAAAGATTCACGGCATTATATTTACGTGCAGTCAACAGAGGCTCAAAGGAGTGGCCTGATCCATGTGTAAACTGCAGCTCAGTGTTTCCATAATTCAGCCTCCAAAGCATAACATGATTTCACTGGATTCTACTTCAAATAGAGCCATTTCTATTCCAATCTACTAATGGGCAAACAAGACCCAGAGAGGGCAGGTGAATTGTCTGAGGATGCCCAGCTGGTAGGTGATAAAACTGAAATTAAATGTCATGCTTCCTGGCTCCCATGTAAGGCTGACTGAGCAACAGATTCTCTTGGGGAGCTTGTTAAACCTACATTAACTCAGGCCCCACCCCAAGGATCTGAACCCAAGGTTAACAAAACACCTCTCTTGCTTTGGCTGCTTAGAAGCTCAGAGCCAAATTTGCTGGAGATTTAGATTCGTTGGTTCCAATGTGGGCCTACTAATTGAAAAGAAGGATTGTCTGAACTTTTTGAAGCTTTTTCTAAAGGAGCTTCATTACAAGTGTATGGAAATCCCAGGCCATGGAAAATCAATCCAAGACCCCGCAGAAGTTAAGTTCTCTCATATTTGACTGACACAAGCCACACTTGTGTGACAGTTGTGGCTTTCACCATGATGCTCTGTCATCTACCTCTCAGTCTTTCTGTCTCTGTATTTCTGGGGCACCAAAGACAACAGTTGCCAGCGTATTTCCTAAAACACAGGAACTGAACTAACTCCTGCTATTTCTGGGCTAGGCTCAAGACACTCCCCAATTAGAACAAATGCAGCCCAGAGTGTCCCTCTTGGAGCACAGGGGAGCTAATCTAACCCTAGCAGAAAGCACACTGGTCTCGAGTCCAGACACCAGGGATGAAAGGAATCTCACTCTGTTGTATATTTCTGTATCTCTAGCCCTCTTCTGTGTATAAAGCACTAGGCATAATATCTGGCACACAGTAGATGCTCAATAAACTATAGCTACTATTATTAGCAACAAGAGGCTCTTAAATCGCAGTGACAATACCACTCAGAATGAGAAGTGCCTCTTTCCCTGGGGTTCTGCAGCTCTTGAAATCCCACCCACAGGCAATACTCACAACCAATTCTATCCAAGGCAGACAAAAGAAGGTGAACAACTCCCTGGGGTCATACACCCGCCAGCTCAGCTGGCCAAGAGGAGCTTCTGGGGTTCCAACAGGAGACCAGGACACAAGGGAAACACGGACTCAGAGACTCTCAGAGAAATATTACACCCATGTTGATCTTTACTATCCTACAGTTATAAAACTGTAACATTGTACTGTGAATGCTCCTATTATCCCTGCACTGACTTCCACCCTGCTTCCCCCAACATCCATTTACAGGAGACTCAAAGTCAAAGAATCCTCTTGGGATGAGATCCTTAGCCTTTCTCCAAACCAGACTGGAATCAGTAGCCATTTCCAAGCTCATGAAATATTTAAAGTAAAAATGCTTTGTGTCTAATTGGAAATTGTCCAGACTAGAGTTGGTGGGTCCAACAGGGGGCCAGGCAACATCGTGTATACTTTACTTGTGTTATTTAGTTTAGATAACCTTTAGAAAACTCTCCCATTTCAAAACATTGGATGAAATATAACAAATGTTGCTTTATATGCATAGCTGAGCTCACAAGAAAGCGAGATAAGTCCCCAGGGGACAAAAGCAAAGAGGAGACTGGAAAATCAGAATATTAACTGTGTGAGCCAATGCTGCAAACAGCCCAGTGGAGGCGGGAGGTGGGGGCAGGGGCTGTTGGTCTCAGCGTTTTGGTAAAGGCTTAGGTTTTAACACCCACTTGGGCATAGGAGGAAGGCTTTGGGCCCACATGAAGCGTGGAATTGGAAAGGAGAACCTGCATAAAGTTAGGAAAAGTGAAACCTTTGATGAAAATGTAGACTAGAATAAAAAAATTAGTCATCACCACAGGCTGATGACAAGGAAGCTGGTCTGAAGTACAGGGATGGCGGGAAGGGAAAAGAGGCAAATCCCCTAAGAATCTGTACCTACAAGCTGGTCCTCACACAGCCACGGTACAGTGTATCTGCATGAACCTTCATGGGCCACACCCCTAAAATTAAAAATTAGCATAAAATAGTTCCAAACCAGGCATATTCCAACAGAAGCAACTGCAAAATATTTCCTGGGGAACTCACTCCTAACCCAAGCTGCTCATGCTTCTCACAGATAAATTTCCATTGAAGGTGAGTGTATTATGTGGGAGACAGCCTCTGAAATAGCTCCTAATGATCTCCATCTCCTGGAACTCACACCCTTGTGTAATCCCTTTCTCATGAGTGTGGACCAGACTTATTGGCCCACTTCTAATGAATAGAATATGGCAGATACAATGGGATATCACTTCTGAGATTAGGTTACAAACAGACTGTGGCTTCCATCTTAGACACCTTTTCTTATTCTCTTTCTCTCAAAGCCTTTGCTCTGGGGGAGGCAAGCTGCTATGCTGTGAGTAGCCCTGTAGTGAGTCTCACATAGAAGAAATTGATGTCCCTGGTTAGTAGCCAGCAAGGATCTGTAGCCTGCCAACAGCCATGTGAGTGAGCATGGAAGCAGATCTTCACCCAGTGAAGCCTTGAGATGCTGCAGCCTTGGCCAACACCTTGATTGCAACTTTGTGAGACACTTGACCCAGTCGCACCCAGCCAGGCTGCACTCAGATTCCTGATCCACAGAAACTGTGAGATAATAAATATTTGTTGTTTAAAGATACTACATTTGGGGATAACTTACATAGCAATAGAAAATACAAATTGTGACATAAACAAAAACTAACTTTTATTGAGTTAAGCCATTGAGAATTCAAGATTTCTCTGTTAAAGCAGCCAGTGCTACCTTAGCTAAAATAAAATAACTTTTAAATGATGTTTAAAAGTTCCAAGCTTAAAAGATAAAACTGAGAACAGAAGAAAATACGACTCTAAAGCAGGACAAACTGTCAAAACCCACCATTTTATCACTCTGCAAATCAATCAAAGACATACAACAAAGAAACATGTATTCATAAAAATTACTGGACTTTGGGTAAGAATAGCACGACTCTATAGTATTCTTGCCTGAGGCTGCTCTCGTTCACCAGGCTCCCAATGCTATCAGTTGCAATACTTCAACAAACGTGGTGCCGCCTGTGAAAAATCAGCTGCTTCACTGCCTCTGCCAGAGGGCTCCACTTAATTTGGGGCATTGTCAGTTATAATATCAAGAACAGGAAAGGCCAGAAGCACTGTTAGGCTGGGTTTCAGCAATGTTTGGGCCAAACAATGGACTGGCAAACTAACCAGGAATTTATCAGAAAATTCCAGGGAGTGAGACAGACCAAGGGAGTTTGATAAGCTCTCCACATATCTTGGGTTAACTCGAAGCTGGGTGAATGCACAGCAGAGACCAGAGAAGCCTGAGCCACCCACACATCCCTAGCCAATGGAGCTTATATATGTGTGCAGGGGAAATAAAAGAGTCTGGTGAAGAGTAAAAGCCAGGGTAGGTTTGAAAACAACCTGAACTTTGCCCTCCCCAGCTCACACATAGAACTATAGGCAGACACAAAGTCTAACTAGCTTGAGGTTCTTGAGCACAACCTCCGAAAAATCTCTGGCTGAACACTAAGCTATGCAGATATGGGGGAAACCCCTAAGAAACAAGGCTTAAAATAAAAATAAGAAGGAAATAAAACTGAATGGAAACATCAGAGGCCACATGTTGTAGGGAAGACAGATTTCACAGATTTCATTCAGGGATTAACAAACAAAGCAATAACAATCTTCAAGAGGAAAACATAATCTAGAATTACTACAATATATTATCTAAAATGTTCAGTATTTAACAAAAAATTATGAAACATGCAAATAAACAAGAAGGTATGCATATCCCCAAATGTTGCTTTTATCAGACAAAGACTACAAGGCAGCTATTATAAATATATCAAAGAATTAAAGGAAACCATGCTTAAAGATTTAAAGGAAAGCATGACAACAATGACTTCATGAATACAAATCACAACAAAGAGAGAGAGATTAAATAAAGGAACAAATGGAAATTCTGGAGCTGAAGAGTAGGGTAACTGAAATTAAAAATTCAGTAGAGGAGCTCACCATAATAAATGATCAGTAAACATGAAGATGGATCTGTATAAATTATCCAATATGAATAATGGAGAGAAAAAATATTAAACAGAAATGAACACAGCCTCAGAGGCCTATGGGACAACATCAAGCATAGCACCATGCATGTGATGGGAGTTCCAGAAGGAGGAGGGGAAAAAAAGAGGAAAAGGAAGAGATAGGGCAGAAAAAAATATTTGGAGAGACAATAGCCAAAAACTTTCCTTTTGTTTTTGTTCTCGTTTTTTGTTTTTGTTTTTTTTAGAGATGAGGTCTCACTATGTTGCCCAGGCTTCAGTGCAGTGGCTATTCACAGGCACAATCATAACATAGTGCACTACAGGTCAAACTCTTGGGCTAAAGCAATCCTACTGCCTCCACTTCCCAAGTGGCTAGGGCTACAGGTGCCCACTACTGTGCCTACCTACCAAATTTAATTAAAAAACAAAAAACATTAGAGATCAAAGAAGCTCAATGAACCTAAAGTAGGTTAAACACTAAGAGATCTATATTCACACAAATTACAGTCAAAATGTTGAAAGCTGAAAACAGAAAATCTTAATAGCAGCACAAGAAAAACAATTCATCACATAGAGGGAAACAACTCACTTTTCATCAAAAACAATGAACACACGGCCGGGCGCGGTGGCTCACGCCTGTAATCCCAGCACTTTGGGAGGCCGAGGTGGGTGGATCATGAGGTCAGGAGATCGAGACCATCCTGGCTAACAAGGTGAAACCCCGTCTCTACTAAAAATACAAAAAATTAGCCGGGCGCGGTGGCGGGCGCCTGTAGTCCCAGCTACTCGGGAGGCTGAGGCAGGAGAATGGCGTGAACCCGGGAAGCGGAGCTTGCAGTGAGCCGAGATTGCGCCACTGCAGTCCGCAGTCCGGCCTGGGCGACAGAGCGAGACTCCGTCTCAAAAAAAAAAAAAAAAAAAAACAATGAACACCAGAAGGCAGTGGAGTGGTATATTCTAAGTGCTGAAAGAAAAATAACTGTCAGCCAGGAATTTTATATCCAGCAAAACTATTCTTCCAAGATGAAGTAAAAATAAAAACATTTCCAGATAAATGTAGACTGAATAATTTATTGCCAGGAGACTTATATTATGAGAAGCACTAATGGAAGTCCTTCAGGCTAAAGGGAAAATAAAGTAATAGCCAATGGTAACTCAAATACAGAAGAAGAAATAAAGAGCACCAGAAATGGTAAATATGTGAGTAAATACAAGAGCCTCTATAAATATATTTTCCTCACTTCCTCTCTTAACTTCTTTAAAAGATGTAAGATTACACAAAGCACTTATTATAATACCAATGTTGGTTTATAACAAGTGTTAGGTTTAAAACATATATAGGTAATATATGACAGTAATAGCAAAAAGGGGGAAAATGAGTTATATTAGAGCAATGCTCCTATATTTTACCATAATTATATTTTGATAAGCTAAGATATACATTGTAATTCCTAGTGCAATCACTAAGAAAGTAACTCAAATTGTATAGTAAAAAATTAACAAATAAATATAAATGGTACACTAAAATATTTATTGATTTAATACAAAAGAAGACAGTAAAGAAGGAACAGAGGATCAAAAAATAATATGACAGTCCAACCACATCAATAACCACATTAAGATGTGAAGGTCTGGCATGGTGGCTCATGCCTGTAATCCCAGAACTTTGGGAGGCCAAGGTGGGTGGATCACTTGAGCTCAGAAGTTTTGAGACCAGCCTGGGCAACATAGTGAAGCCCCATCTCTACAAGAAATACAAAAATTAGCCAGGCATGGTGGTATGTGTCTCTAGTTCCAGCTACTTGGGGAACTGAGGTGGGAGGATTGATTGAGCCTGGGAGGTCAAGGCTGCAGTGAGCCATGTTCACACCACTACCTTGTAGCTTAATGACAGAGCAAGACCCTTCCTCAAAAACAAATTAAATAAATAAAATAAAACATGAATGGACAAAAACACTCATTCAAAAGGCATAGTGATAAGATAAAGCAAAAAAAAAAAAAAAACCATTAGATGCTGTCTACAGGAGACATACCTTAAATCTGAAACACAAACAGTTGAAAGTAAAAGAATGGGGAAAAGATATACTATGCAAACTATACCATGAGAGAATTTTCCAGAATTGATGAAAAACATGAATCCACAGACCTATGGAGCACACACATGAATATATCATAGCAAAACTGCAGAACAATAAAATCAAAGCAAGATCTCAACAGCAACCTGAGAGAAATTAAAACTACCTACAAAGACAATCAGGATGATAGCAGACTCCTTAACGGCAACAACAGACAGATGACAAAAGAATATCTTCAAAACACTTAGAGAAAATAAATGTTAAGCTAGAATTCCCACAATAAGCTAAACTGTATCAAACAGTATGGGTAAAATATATTTTTTGTTAAAGTCCAAGTTTGCTACTAACAGATATTCACTGAAAAAATTACTAAAGAATATACTTTAGGAGGAAACAATGAGATGTAAGGAGGTAAAGTGAGGAGTAAAAAAGGTAGAGATGTGAGTACATACAATCAAGAGCTAATAATATAAAAAGTAACAATAATAATAGAGACTAATTTGACAGGTTAAAAGGTAGAACTAAAATACTGGGCAATAAGTCCACATAAGAAGGGAAGAAGTCAAGGAAATTAAAGTGTCCTAAGATCACTTAAGTATTTGAGGTGATGGGTATGTCAATTCACTTGATTTCATTATTCCATATTGTATTCATAAGTCATAACATTACTTTATACCCCATAAATATATACACCCACAATTTGTCAATTTATAATAAAAATTAAAAGTAAAATAGGCCAGGAGCATTGGCTCATGCCTGTAATCCCAGAACTTTGGGAGGCCAAGGCAGGCGGATGACGAGGTCAGGAGATCGAGACGATCCTGGCTAACACGGTGAAACCCCGTCTGTACTAAAAATACAAAAAAATTAGCCAGGCGTGGTGGCGGGCGCCTGTAGTCTCAGCTACTCCGGAGACTGAGGCAGAAGAATGGCGTGAACCCAGGAAGCGGAGCTTGCAGTGAGCCGAGATCATGCCACTGCACTCCTACCTGGGCGACAGAGCGAGACTGTCTCAAAAAAAAAAAAAAATTAAAATAATAATAATAATAAGTAAAATAAATGCTGAAAGAAATCAAAGAAGAACTGAATAAATGGAAATACATCCAATATTCAAGGATAATAATACTTAATATTGTTAAGAATACAATACTCCATAAATTAATCTACACATTCAGAGCAATCCCTTCAAATTCCCAACTATATTTTTTATAGAAATCAACAAGCCTACCCAAAATCCATGTGTATATGCAAAGGAAACACAAAACACAAAGCAGTCTTTAAAAGGAGTAACAAAATTGTATAATTTCAGCTTACCAAAATCAATCCTTACCACACAGTTACAGCAATCAAAGCATGTGGTAATAGCATAAAGATAGGTTCAAGCAGACCAATGGAATAAATTTTAAGGTTCATTAATAAACACATGCATTTATGGTAAATTGGTTTTGAAAAAGGGGCCAAGAAATTTCAATGAGGACATAAAAGCCTTTTCAACAAATGATGCTGGGAAAATTGGATATCCGCATTCAAAAACATAAAGCTGGACCCCTAACTTGAATCACACATACACACACACACACACACACACACACACACACACACACTACTCAAAGTGGGTCATACATCTAAATATAAATGTTAAACTACAAAATTCTTAGGAGAAATATTAGAGTAAATTTTTGTGATCTTGCATTAGACAAAGATTTCTTAAATTTTACACCAAAGCACAATCAAGAAGAGAAAAATTGATGAATTATGCATCATCAAGTTTAAAATGTTTTGTTCTCCAAACAACAACATAAAAAATATAAAAATACAAATTACTGAATAGTGGAAACCACTCCAGCTGACACCTTGGTCAGATTTCTAGCCTCCAGAATTGTGAGAAAATAAATTTTTGTTGCCAAAAAAAAGAAGAACAAGAAGGGAAGAGGTCATCAAAATCAGAATGTCGGCCAGGTGTGGTGGCTCATGTCTGTAAACCCAGCACTTTGGGAGGCCAAGGTGAGTGGATCACCTGATATCAGGAGTTGGGAACCAGCCTGGCCAACATAGTGAAACCCCGTCTCTACTACAAATACAAAACAGTTAGCCAGGTGTGGTGGCGCACACGTGTAATCCCAGTTATTCGGGAGGCTGAGGCAGGAGAATCGCTTGAACCCGGGAGATGGAGGTTGCAGTGAGCAGAGATCTAGCCACTGCACTCTGGCCTGGGCAACAGAGCCAGACTCCATCACACACACACACACACACACACACACACACAAAATCAAACTGTCCTATGGTCTCTGTATTGTTTAGGAGGAGCACAGAAAAAACTGTCAGCTTCAGACGTTAAGTCAAATATGCATATGAAAATTATAAGGGTAACCACAAAGAATAAAATACAATATATAACTATTAAACCAGTGTGGGATTTGGTGGGGAGAAGAATAAAGAAAACTCAAACCAAAAGGAGGCAGCAAAGGAGCAGGAAAGCACCAGTCCAAAGGCAAGATAAATAGAAGGCACAAAATAAGATGACAGAAATAAACCCAAGGGTTAGGGCTAGGGTCATCACACTACCCTAGGTTTAGGCCAAGGGGTAATCACAGATAATCTGTAATCACAATAAATATAAATGTACTAAACTCTCAAGCAATTATCAGAATGGATATAGGTAAAATGTAGCTATAACTATTTTCAAAAAATATACCTGAGACATAGACAAAAAGCTTTAAAGTAAAAGATGGAAAAAGGTGTTTTAGGCAAATACTAAACGAAAAAAAAATAGACTGAAGAGGAAAAAAGTATTATGAGACATAATAGGGTGACATCTCTAGTGCTTTAAACTTATTTCATCTTCTATAAAGCAAGAATAAGAAGCCATACCTCCAGGCTAAATATGTCAAGTATATGTGATGTTAGATAATGCAAAGTGCTAAGAAGAAGGAGAAAGAGCAGGAGGAAGAAGACAGAGAAGACCTCAACAATGACAGTACAGGGAAGGGGAATAGGAAATGTTGGAAAGGGAGAGTTAAATTAAAATTTTAGGGCATTTGGGAAAAGACCTGAAAGAAGTTAGGAAGTGATCCATGGGAGTGGCTGGGAAGGGGACATCCAGGCAAAGGTAGTGGCAAATGCAAGGGCCCTAGGGAGTCTAGTGTGGCTGGAGTGGGAGGGAGGGGAACAGCCTTAGGAGAGGAACTCAGAGGCAGCTCCACTCCAGCGAGGTCACCAGGTCATGCAGGCCTCGAAAGCCATGGTTAGGTTCTTGATGTTTACTCTGAGCAACGTGAGGGTTTTGAACAGAAGAGCGAGTGTGATTATAGTTTTTAAAGATCATGTGGGCTGTAATGAGAGAGGATGAAGTGGAGCAAGAGCAAATACAGGAGACCAACTACAAGGCAGTGCCATCGTCCAGACAAAAGGACATGGTGCCTGGAAGAACCGGTGGCAGTGGAGATGGTGAGGAGTGGTTGGATCCTGGATATATTTTAAAGGTGGGACCAGCAGGATCAGCTGAAGGATTGGAGGTGAGTTGTGAGAGAGAGAAAGTGGTCAAGACTGACTTCAGGCTTTTAAACCAGAGCTTCTAGAAGGATAAAGTTGCCATTATCTGAAATGGAGAATTCAGAGGATAGAGCAGCAACTGCGGCAGCCAGGGGCGGGAGGGGATTGTGGAGGGTGTGTGTATCAGCAGTTTAGTTTTGGACATCTTAAGTTTGAGATGTCTACTAAACATCCGAATGAGATTTCAATACACAGTTAGACATATATGCCTGGCATTTACAAGAGAGTTTGGGCTGGAGATATACATTTGGTAGTCATCAGGCTCTCAGCCATGAGCCCAGACAAGATCACCTAAGGAGTAGGTATAGAGAGAAGTCCAGGGACTGAGCCCTAGAAAACTCCAGTGTTTAGATCCTGGGGAGTTATAGAGGCACCCAAGACACAGACTGAGGATAAGCAGCCAGGGAGGGAATCTAGGAGAATGTAGAGGGTGTGGTGTCCTCCAAGCCAACCAAGTAAAGTCTTTCAGGAAGGAAGGAGTCTTCAACTGTGTTACATGTGGCTGATGGGTGAGGTAAAATGAGGGCTAAGCATTAACTCGTGGGTTTAACAACATAGGCTGGTCTGATGTAAAAAGAGAGCTGTGCCAATCAGATTTCCTGGTTCAGGCAATGGAACAAAGGAATACTGAGAGACTGCAGCAGTGAACAATGAGAGCCAACGTGGACAGTCTTTTGCATTGCATTTTTTCCCCAGCATACAGTAAAAATAGCTAACCTTTATTGAGTGCTGGCTATGTGCCAAGAACACTATTATGATGCCTATTTTTAAAAAGGGAAAGTGGGGCTCAAAAAAAGTCAAGTAACTTGCCCCAGGTCAGTCAGCTGGTAAGTAGCCAAGCTGGAATTCAACCCCATCTCATGTGTTTAATCACTAAATGCTGCTGCTTCCGTCTAATTAAGGGGAAAGTCTACACTTAGATATGGAACTCACATTTATAAAATGCCATTTTTGGGCCAAGTACCTTGTGTTTGCATACATTTTCTCACTGAACTCTCAAAAACCCCTGCAAAATAACTGTCCCTAACCATTGCCATTTTAAAGATGAGAAATGGAGGTGTTGAAAAGTAAGGTCTCTTGCTGGTGGTTCCTCAGGACAGAGGGGTAAGGTGGCAGAATTCAGGCCCAGATCATGTCTGAGGCTGCAGCTTGGCCTGCGCCCTGTCTGTACAAATCAATTCTACTTTTTTTTTTTTTTTTTTTTAAGACAGAGCCTCACTGTGTCGCCCAGGCTGGAATGCAGTGGCACCATCTCGGCTCATTCTCGCCATTCTCCTGCCTCAGCCTCCCGAGTAGCTGGGACTACAGGCACCCGCCACCATGCCTGGCTAATTTTTTATATTTTTAGTAGAGACGGGGTTTCACCGTGTTAGCCAGGCTGGTCTTGGTCTCCTGACCTCGTGATCCGACCACCTCGGCCTCCCAAAGTGCTGGGATCACAGGCGAGAGCCACTGCACCCGGCCAATCCTACCTTTTACATGGGGGCAAGGAGGGAGCAATCAGGCCTGTGAAGAGCCCCAGGGCACTGGCGTTGCCCTTACAAGCTCATCACTTTGAGGACACTTGGTGGGTTTTAAGGCTGTGATTCTCTGAGACTCCCAGCCTGAGTCAGCTCCAGGAGTCCTAAGGCAGGTTTCCCAGTTTCCCCAGAGCCAGGCCTGAGCTCTCTCCACAGGCAGACCCTCTGATTTTAAGTCCTAAGCTGAGCATGGGACTGAATCCCTTTTTCACTCTTTCCTCCAGGCATACTGGGCCTCTCCCTACCTGTCCAGTGGTGAGGGAACGGCTGTAGCCAGGGATGGAGCTCCGGGGGTGGATCCGGGGTGGGACACAGCAGCTGGAAAAGGGCAAAATTCCGGAGTCAGAACAGTGGACTGCTAGGAGGTGGGGGAGGGGAGATAATAGCACTGGGGCCCCTGAGTAAGTCCTATTCCTCAGAACCCCCAAAGAGAGATCCCTTAGGAGACCCTGGGTAAAGAGACTCCCAAAGAGGCACCAGAGAAGGACTCCCACCAAGACCCTCCCTTTACATGGAGTGGAGTGAGACACCCCAGTTGAAACCTAAGCAGGACTACCTGACTGGCACCCACTCTACACACATCTCCCGCAGGAGTCCAGCATCAGCCTCCTGACCCCGCACCCCCCGGCCCTCCCTGTCCTTACTTGATCCTGGCCTGGTCCACGCTGGAGGAGCGACGGGTGGTGAAGCGTCGGGCGACTGCTTTGGGAGATGTCTTGGGGCTGCCGTCTGAGTCTCCGCTCTCCTCATCCCCCATGGCTTTGATGTAGCTGCCGCTCCGCATCCTGCGGCAGGGGATCTCCCCATCCTTGCCACCGGTGGGGTAACCCCCCCAGTCATCTTGCGGCACCTGCAGGAACAGGGGTCTCTGTCTCTCAGACATGACCCTAGTAAATCTAGAGGCCAGGACTCTTTCCCCACTGCCAGTGGGAGATGCCCTGCCCTGGCTTGAACAGGCACACTCAGGTACATGCAGAGGCAGAAGGGGAGGTAGGGTCTCAGGCTGTCCCCGTCCCTTACAAGAGACACCTCGTCATCCTCCACAGACCTTCTGCACTTAATTAAGGGCCACCTAGAGAGTCTGAGGGAGTGACATGGCAGGCGTCAAGCGGTTGATGATCAGAGGCCAAAGTGACCTGTGTCAATCCCATGCCCAGCAGTCAGGCATCACCTGACCTCAGTCAACCTTCTACCCCTCCTTCTCCTTCATCCTTTCAACCTGCTTACATTCCAAATCCTCTCTCCTTCCCCGCTGTGGGGAGCCACAGAGGGCTTCATGCAGGGGAGTGACATCAGATTTGTGTTGCAGAAAGAGCTCTCCCACAGTCCAAACAGAGGCTGGATTGTGGAGGGCCAGGAGCAGGGCAGAGGCTCAAGTGGCGAGAGGACGACCAATTAGGAGGCTGATGCTGTTATCCAGGCAAGAGATGATGAGGCCTAAATTAAGACAATGACAATGAGGGGGAAGAGGAGGAGATGGAAATGAGAGGTGTTAAGGAGCATCAGTGAGCCTGATTAGACGTGGGGGATGAGGGGGCGGGAGGAGTCGAGGATGACTGCCAGGCTGCTGGCTGAGGACCTGGGGGAGGGTGCTGCCGCTCACTGAGCCATAGAACCCCAGAGAAACAAGTCTGGGGAAAGGTGGTAGGGTCGGGGTTGAGCACCTTGAGCTTGGCATAGAACTGTTGAGCAGGTGGTTGGATGTTTGGTTCTGGGATTCAGTGGGGAGATCGGGGCTGGAGGCGGACATGTGGGAGTCATGGGCGGCAGCTGAATCCATAGCAGTGAATGAGACAGCCCAGGGGAGAGAAGAAGAGAGATGAGCAGAGATCCACTGACATTTAAAAAGGGACTGTGAAGAAAGGAAGAGGAGCCTGTGAAGTCACCTGAGAAGGAGTGGGCAGAGGGGTAGGAGGGAAGTCAGGAAAATGCCATGTCATAGAAACAGGAGACATTTCAAGAATAAAAGGAGTCGATTATGTCAAATGCCACAGTGCGTTCAGAGGTTAGTAACTCAGGCTCGGGAATTAGAAGATCCATGTGCAATTCTGGCCCCATCACTTGCTGGATAGGTGAACTTAAGCAAAACAGATTAACCTCTAAGTGTCAGTTTCCTTGTCTGCGAGTTGGTCATGATACTTATGCCTACATCAGAGGGTTGGTGGCAAAGATAAATGAGCCAATAGAGAGTTTCCAGGACATAGAAAGTGCTCAATAAATGGTAACAATTATTATAGGCACTGAAAAGTAGCTTTTGAAGATAGCGCTCAAGAGATCATCTGTGGCCACTGCCAGGACATGTCAATGACAGGGAGTTTGGAAATCAGACCACAGTGAGGGGAGAATTGAAGGGAAGTGAAGAGTAGGTGTCTATGCTCTAAGAACTCGAT
Organism: Homo sapiens; assembly: GCF_000001405.40. Lineage (NCBI taxonomy): Eukaryota > Metazoa > Chordata > Mammalia > Primates > Hominidae > Homo > Homo sapiens. Next base: position 34,901,814 of record NC_000001.11, read on the forward strand.
TATGAAGGACATGGAAGGTGGGATGGGGCTGCAGAAATATTTTTTAGGATGCAAGCGACTTTGGACATGTTTTCAGAATGATGGAAAGAGCCAGTAAAAATAGTCTTTAAACCTCAGAAGGGAGAACAGTTCAGGGATGGAGGGGGTCATGATGAGATGGGATCAAGCCCTGGAAGAAGGATCGGCCTGGGATGGGTGGTCCCAGCTTTTCCTATGAGCCAAGGAAGGGGACGAGGGTGGCTGGGAATTTGGATGCGTCTAGAGAGATGCTGTCAGGAAGCTGAGGGAGTCCGTGATGTCAGCCTACACTTCGGAAAATGAGGTGTAAGTGAAGACGTGGGGGAGAGGACTGGGGGAGGTAGGGAGGATTTAAAACACTTGTGTAAAGAACAGGTTAAATGGGGTAGGGATGGGAGCTCCAAAAGGGGTAACGCCTCAGGGACAGCATAGGGTTCAGGGGAAAGGTGGAGACTCTGGGGATGAGATGGGGTCCCTTGAAGGAACCCACGGGCAGGAGCAGGGCTCTTCAAGGGGCTAGGGCTCATTTGGATGATGGGAAACAAAGAGATGAGGCTCCATAAAGAAACAGGGGCTCAGAGTGGACAGAGGGATCCTGGAAAAGGCTTAAGAGAAAGCTGGTACCCAGTGGGAGAAACAGGGCTTTGACAATCAGATCGGGAGTCCAGCAAAGACACCTGGCCTCATGGGGCCAGCCTCCCCTGCTTTTGTACCAGGGGAGTGCGAGGCTGTCTGGAGGGTCCCTATAGCCCTTTGGTTCTTCCCCACATGGGCTCAGACTTCCCAGTCCTCAGATGCCCTGGAACTCCAGACCGGAGGGATCATTCCCCTTCCCCATTCTCTACAGAGAGCAGCAGGCAGGTGGAGAGAGGCAGGCCAGCAGATGGGAAGGCCATACTGCAGGGTTCCCATTCTAGCCACTGCAGAGCTCCTCTGCAGGACACTGTGAGGTGCATGTTAAAAAGGAAGCCCCCAGGGAGGTCAGGGCAGCCCTGAAGCAGCAGCAGGGAGCAGCGAAATGGCAACAAGTCTTCAGGGATGGCAAGGAATCGGCTATGGGGGAGAAAGGATGGGTGCTGCCTCCCTGCACCCTGCAGTTCCCAGCTTAGAGCACCTCCCTACCCAGGGAGGGGGCAAACCAGGCCAATCCAGAAGTCCCTTCTTGCTTGCACTGTGGCCCTATGTGCTCCCTTGGGCCTTCATGAGTTCTCCAGGAGAGCCCTAACTTGTGTGCAACTTACCCAGCAAGGCCAATGCCCCACAAAGACACACACAGCCTCTATTCTCCATACCTTTGAACATGCTGTATAGTCTCTTCCCAATACACGTTTAGCCAGCACTCAACAACTGCAACTCCTCCACTGAGATTCAGCTCAGGGGACATTCCTCACCCAGGTCAGTGAGGTGTCTCCTCTGTGTTCCCAAGATGCCCAGGGCTCTCCCCTATCACAGCCTCATCACACTGTATTCTATCTGCTTCCTTGTCTATTCCCACTCTACACTGTGAGCTCCTCACAAGCAGCATCTGTATCTTCATCTTTGTATCCACAGCACCCAGAAAACGCTCATTGAATAAATAGATCTGTATCAACTATGTCGAATGCGGAAATACACTGGACCTCCAGAACTTGTATTGACTTTTTCTCCTAAAATTACGGCAGGACTTAAGAAAACGATGTGGGCTGGATGAGGCTGGGGTGAAGGCTCCATAAAAAGTAGGAATCAGAGTTCCTGGCCTCACCTGCAGAGACCATAAATGTGGTAAGACAAGATGAGAACAGCATGCCAGCTATCACCTGCACCATCCACTCCCGGGAGGCCCTGCCTGAATTGTATCAGGGCTGAAACCCAGTTTGTCCCCCAGCCTAGGAAAACACATGAGACACATGAAACTCCCAGGACCCCTCCACAGCTTCGGCTGTCCCACCACCGGTACCCCGGAATGACAAACCTCAGCAGAGGCACATTCTAGAAATAACTGATCTTCATATTCAAACATGTGGGCCATCCGGATTATAGCAGAAAAGAGGGCTGGAGAAGGCTTTGGGGCAGGAGAACTGCTTTCCAACTGCCGACCTTCAATCTTGAGAGCAGCTACAACTAAGGTGCACCTCTCTATCCTGTCTACTGCCTGCCCTCAACTTCATTATGCCTCCAACCTCCGAAGACAGATATCAGCACAGCCTGTCCAAAACAGTAGGTCAAGGGAAAATCTCTAGGGACAGACACATCATTAGAACAGAAGGGCCCCTTCATTGCACAAATGGGGAAAGTGAAGCCCCAAAGGAGCTCAGAGTGACCCAATGGGGCAGGGCAGAGCCTCCCTACACCCAGGCCCTCCATCACAGGGACAGCTGGCTCCCACCCAACCCTTTCCACTGCTCCCTAGTTGACAAGACTGGTGAAGGCTAAGGACTCTGTTCCCCAACCCCAAAAAAGCCTCACCTGCAGATAGTGATAAGTCCTGGCTTTGGCCTTGGTCTCCGGACCCAGGAGCCCCTTGCCTGGCCCGGCCCCCGGGTATCCATCCCGGCCCTGGCTGACCATCATGGTATGCCAGGCACTTCGCTTGACCGACTGTCCATCCAGTGACATGGACATGCCAGTGCAGGCAAGGCAGCGGCCTTCCGACCCGCCCGAGCGCCCCTTGAAGCTCAAGTCCCGGTAGGACCCATCTGGACCCTCCAGGCAGAAGGGACCACCAGGCTCCCCAGGGGGCCTCCCACCCGCCAGGAAGCCGCTATCACTGTCCAAGTTGTCATCGGAACTCCACCAGCCTGTGGACTTGGCCTGGTGCCGCCCATCCCCCTTGCGGTCCTTGCTCTTGCTCCTCTTGCCGTGCCGGGACTGGTGGTGGTGGTGATGGTGGTGGTGATGGTGGTGATGGGAGGTGTGGGGGCCTCCAGAGCCCGGGCCGGGGTAGCTGTCTCCTCCAGAGCCACCTCTTCCCTCAGCCTTGGGCCCATTATAGTCCCGCTTCCCCGGCGCCTCCAGAGAGTGGGACTTGGCAAAGAGCTTCTGCACAGAATGAACCAGGTGCCGGATGCGGCTAGGGCTCTCACTGCGGGGCTCTGGGGCAGTGCCCGTCCCTGGCGCTGGCCCGGGCCCTGCCCCTGCTGGCCCTCGCTGGTATGGTAGTGTGTGGAAGCCATCTTGTTGAACTGGCAACTGCTTTTCAAACTGATCCAGGAGTGTAGGAGGCAGGCGGGGGGCACCCTTGCCCTGTGGGTGGCCCACACAGTCTTCACAGGTGTCGAAGGGGCCCTGGCCAGGGTACATCCTGGGGAAGGTGCTGCTACCCCCCCCAACCCCGGCCCCCGCTGGCCCTCCCTCAGGGCCTACCGACGGCCCCTCACTCAGGCTCAGGGGCCCTTCAGGAGAAATGTGTCCCAGGCCAGCTCTCGGGGCACAGAAGCGGGGCTCGGTGGAGAAGGCCTCCCTGGAGCCCAGCAGGTATGGGGCCCTGGCAGCAGGGCCCACGTCCATATGCTGTTGGTCAGCAAAGCGGGCTGGGCGGGGATGGCTGCCTCGGTCGCCATGGTAACCCCTCATGGCCTCAGCAAAGGCTCTTCATAGTCTTGGGGGCCAGGCCCCAGGAACCTCCTGGAAAAATAGGGAGAAAAGGTATTTGAATTGAACAGCCCTCTTCACCTAAAACCATCTTTTATTAGGCATCCTTGTATCCCTTTAGGTAATACATATCAATTTATTATGATTAATCACACTACCCTCCCACAAATGGACTAAAAAGTCCTTTAAATGGTCATAATAGACATAGACACTCAAGGGCACAAAATAATCCCATCATTCAATGAATACTGCAAATCTGATAAATACTTATTCACAAGAGGATATTCCCTCAGTCAAATGGGTTTTTAAATGTCCTTAGAGACTGGGCACAGTGGTTCACACCTGTACTGCTAGCACTTTGGGAGGCCAAGACAGGAGGATCACTTGAGCCCAGCAGTTCGAGATCAACCTGGGCAACCAAGCAAGACCCTGTCTCTACAAAACAATTTTTTAAATTAGCCAGATGTGGTGGCATATGCCTGTAGTCCCAGCTACTTGGGAAGCTGAGAAGGGAGGATCACTTGAGCACAAGAGCTCAAAGCTGCAGTGAACTATGATTGTATTATACCAATGCACTCCAGCCCAGGCAACAGAGCGAGACCTGGCCTCTAAATTTATATATATATATATATTTGTTTGTTTTTATATTTGTAAATGTATATTAATAAATATTTATAAATGCATATATATTTTTATATACACATAGAAATATTTTTATATATACATATATATACACATTTATGTGTAAATATATAGATATACTTTGGGATGTGTGTGTATGTGTGTGAATATGTCCTTAGATTACCAAAAACAAAAGCATACCCAGGGAGACATAAAATAGTCAAAGAAACCAGTCTTTAGGTGAACTAGCTTTTAACAAGCTGGCATTAGGCAAATAGATCCACAGCCACATCTCTACTCCAACCCTGCCCTACACCCCACTGTTGCAAGAGCCAGGCCTCAGGGTCACAGCTCCCAGCTGCTGTGAACAAAGAGAACACTGGACCCAAATCTACATATCCAGCACCATCCCACAGAAAAATTCCTCCCCTTCCTTCCACACCCTGTGCATTCCATCTGGCTGCAGGCTCATTCTCCCTCCCCTGTGGACTGAAATAAGGAGAATCTGAGATGACTCTTCCTCCTTCCTCTTCCGGGTTCCAAATATTTTCCCTATGAAATTACCCCTTTTGCCTTTTACCCCCACCCTCCATTCCCATTCCACTGGAGGGGAATCATGAAGGAGGAAAATCCATAAAGAAGAAGAACAGCGGCTACACACAGTAGCATCTGAATCCTAAACTGGGATTGGAACCCAGGAGTTCCTCCTCCCAGGAACAGAGGGAAGGCAAGGCAGGAAAGTGATGGAGAAAAAACTCTGGAACCAGTGCTCCTGGCCCCCATCCCAGACTTGCCAAGGCTACAGGACAGAGAGGTCAGCTCTCAGCAAGAGCTGCCTCCAATCAGGACTCCAGGAGCTGCCAGGATAGGAGCTACGGCAGGAGGGAGTGACAGCAGGAGGGACAGGGACAGAGGAGCTGGCAGACGGTGCCCTCCCTCATCCTCGACCAGGCTCCTGGGCCATCTGCTGACTAGGAGGGATGACAGCCTCAAAGGCTCCAGACAGCAACACCTCCAGGACTCATTCTCTTTCTCCCTACCACCACCTCCCCACACCCACCTTTCTTCCAGATCCTGCTCACCCCTCATCTCCTACTATTTCCCAAGTACTCGCCATATACCAGGTATTGTGCATACCTGATATTCTCTAATCTTACTGAAATCTTGTAATGCAGGTATTATCCACACTTACCCATGAGAAAATTGAGCTCAAAACGTTGAGGTCACAAAGCCAGTAAGTGGATGAGTCACTTTGAATCAAGATTCAAACCCATTATTCTGGTATGAGAACCTGAGTCTAATCCCCATCTCCCAGACTCTTCTATCACTCACCATCCAGGGTGTCCCATCCTTGATGTCAGGATCCCCACCACCAGGCAGAAGCCTAACTTCAGAAGGCTCAGGACCACTGAATCCTGATGGAAAAGAAAAGGATGGTAAGCAAAAGGGGAGAGACGTTTTCCCACAGTCCTCAGAGGACCGGTCTCTGGCCCTGACAGCTTCCCTTCCCAACTCCCCCAAACCAGGACTGATTGGATCCCCCATGATGCAGAGCCTTTGAACCCCCAGGGAAATGAGGTTGGCTTCATTATGCAAATACATTCAAATGAGCTTACAGGTTGGACTATCTCCAACTGCAGGTGTCTGTGGGATCTGTCCATGGTGCTGAGCCACTGCGTTGTTTTTTCTTTTTTTTTCCATTGCCCTCAAATATGATTCCATTCCACAAACATTTATTGAACAGTTACCATAAGCAAGAGAGTGAGAAGTGTATAGAGGTGATTTAAGAGTGGTCCCTGTCCTCGAGGGGTTTATAGTCTAACAGGGGAACAACCTCTCACGTGACAGAGTTATTTCAGGCCACTTTATTTTTGCACTAACTCTTCCCTCCTCCTAGAATTTCCTTTCATCCACCTCAAAGCCCTCCCCCTGGCTAAAACTTACTCATATTAAGCCCCACCTTCCCTTAAAGACTTTCTGTGCTCTTATTCTAGGTTATGCTCTTTATCGGGCTTTTATAACACCCTGGGTGTCCCCATGAAAGCAGCTATCACACTGCATTGAAAATGTCTGTTTCGGTTTCTATCTCCTCACCTAGAATGTGGTCTTCTTCAGAATAGGAACCAAGTCCTATTCATCTCTGGATCTCCAGCACCTAACTCAGGGCTTTGCCCAGGGCCAGTCCTTAATAAACACTCACTAAGTAGATGAATAAATGGCTGTGCTGGAAAGAGGTACCAAAATGTTAGGCTACGTCAGATGAGAATGGGACAAGATTCAATAGAGGTCAATCAAGGAAGACTTCTCAGAGGAGAGGATGTTTGTGATGGAGTACAAGATGTCTGTGTGTCCCATACACATAGGTGATGAGGAAAAGAACCTACCCAGTGGAGGAAACAACAAGCACAGGGAGAAGAGGTGTGCAAATAGGGAATTCTAAGGGGTAGGCTCAGAGAGTTCTGGCAGACAGGAAATGGCAAATAGTGGGAATAGGAGAGAGAAAATCAGAAAGGAAGACGACTCTGAAGTTTGCAGCAGCCGTGACTGGAAGACTAATGATGTCATTATTAGACACAGGGATGTCAGGAAGAAGAGCTAGCTTTGCAAGCGTGATTAATAGTAGTGGAAGAGGCACAGTCAGACATCAGGAAGAACTTCCTGACCCTGAAGGATGTGAGACAATGAAGAAGACTGTGGTTTCCTAGAAATCTTCCATAGAGGACAAGGTGAGACATACCCAGCCCCTGGCCCACCCTGGAGCCTGGACTGTAGAAGCTGTTGGTTACCCTGCCCAAAGAGAGACTAGGGTGACCTCACAGATACCAACTGCCTGGCTCTAGATGACAATTATCTTCCATTGCCCTTCTTTGGGGAAACAGAGGGAATATCAGATCAAGATAGCCTCTCAAATAGTTGTTGAAAAAGCACCTGGAAGCATCTCTCTGCCTTGGAAAGAAGACAGAAAGCCTGGTCCTTCATCCATGTCATTCTCTTCCCTCTTCCTGCCCCAGGCAGGACCCATATCTGAGACTCACAGCACAAAAGGCCACTTTGGCAGAAGCCCAGACTATCCCATTTGCTCTGTGCATGGTGACATCAAGCTAGAGCCTCACAGAACTTCCCAGGGGTGGACATTCCCAGGTGCCCCTCTGTCTCCTGCTTCACACAGGTGCTGCTGGCAAGCTGCTCAGCTTTCATCAAGATCCTATGAAACTTCAGCCCCTCTGGCATCAATCCATGTTCTCCTTGCTCTTGTCTTGGAGAAGATGGGCCCTATAATTGCTGCTCTCCAGACAGATCACCCCTCAACTCCTTTACCCAGATCCTACAGGGAAGCCCTGTATAGTGGAAAAGCACAAGTCCTGAGACCAGAACGTATGTGACACCTGACGTAGCAGAGGCGGCCTACCCTCTCTAAGCCTCAGGACACCTGCTCACCTATCTCCCAGGATTTCAATAGGTATCAAATAATAAAATCACTCTTACAAACTCTAAAACATTAATACATGTAATCCCTCATGAGAAGCCTTTCTTTTGGATTTACAAAATCCCCAGTGTCCAAATAGTAAACAATATAATCAAATCCAAATTACTGGGAGCAGGAGATATCCAATTTATGGATTTTCTAAAGAAAATATTTAATTAACAACTGGCTTCCTCCTATATATTATGCTTTATGATCACATTCCTCCCCCCACATCACCCACCTTCACTCCATTACTAAACAAAATCAATGGGAGGGAAAAACAAGTGAGGAAGGGACTAATAATTCAATCCACCACCATGCTCTATGGATTTTGCTTCCTAAGAAAAAAAAACAGATGTGCCTTTTATTCCACATCCACCAAATCACTGTTGGCTGACTCGCTAAAATTCATTCCCAGCCTCCTTGTCCTTATCTTGGCCTCCTTTGTAACTAGAGGCCACATGATTCCATTTTGGCTAATGATATACACATGGAAGCATGATGAGGGTTTCTGGGAAAGATTTTGCCTTTGTGACCAAAGGGGTAGGAATTGCTAGTGCCATCTTTCCTCCCCTTATTCTTGGCTTGACTACAACCAGAGCTAGGGCCGCTATCTTGCCACCACAAAAGGCCTAGAGAACTGCAGAGATGTCAGTTCTGGCATCATCGGGCCATGGAACCAACATTAACAGTTGCTTTACTCCAGGTCTACATGTGATAAGGAATGCGCTCTTTATTTAAACCACTGTTGGCCAGATTTCCTGTAGTATTTGCAGCAGAAAGCACTGCTAACGAATCCAACTGTTCCTGAGAACACCATCTCCTGCCTGCATGTCTGCACGTCTTCTCCTAACTGGTCTCCCTGCTTCCGTTCTTACCCCGCTCCAATCCAAATGGTCATTTGAAAATGCAAATCTCATCATGTCACTTCTCTGCTTAAAACTCTTCATTGGTTTATTGATGTTCTTAGGATAAAATGCCTTCGCTTGTCCAACAAGGCCTGCAGGGTCTGGCCCTTCCTACTTTTCCAACATCCTCTCACAACATGCTCCCCTTGCTTTCTCTGCGGCAGCCAGGACAGTCTTTTGTCAGTCCCATGATCCCTCACATCACGGGGCCTATTCCCCCTGTTGGGAAAGCTTTTCCTACCCACCTCTGCCTTGCTAACTCCTACACACCCTTCAGATCTCAGCCCAGTTGTTGCTTCCTCGGGGAAGCTTTCTCTGGCCTCCCTGACTAGGTCAGATCCCCCTGCTGTTTGCTCTCAAGGCACCATGTACCTGTCTCTTATATTGTTACCATTTTAAATTTGTGTGACTCCTAGATTGTCCATCTCTCCCATTAGAATGTAAGCTCCACATAAGTGCAGGAATTTTATCCATCTTATCCACTGAATTCTCCCCAGTCCCTAGAACAATGCTTAGCATATGGCAGGCATTTGTTGAGTGAATGTGAGTCTACAAAGAACAAGATGCTTTCGTTTATGATATTTTATGTGATTCCCACAACTATTCCAAAGGATAGATATTATCCACCCCCCCCCCACCACCTTCCAGTGTACAGAAGAAGAAACTGAGGTTTGGAGAGGCTAACTGAGCTCCCCAAGGTCACACCGAGAGCTGTTGTCAAAGCCAGAAGTCAAATCCAGTGTTGGCCGATTCCAAAGCCTTAGCTTTTCCCCTGTCTGTGTTGCCAGCCCAGAGAAGTCAAACTTATTCAACGCCATTCTGAAGTGGGCACAGTAATGGAAGTGAATATGTTTTTTTAAAGCAAACAAACAAATAAAAAGACCTCATCCATACATATCTCCCAGAGCTAACCAGAGTGTGATTTAGCCTTTTCCCATGTGTGGTGAGCACTGAGTTTATACCAAGCCCAAGGTCAGATTAGTATAGAATAAAGGATGCTCCCTGAAGTCCTATGACAATTCTGGGTGCTGGTGTTATTTTCCCATTTTTATTGCACCAAATCATCCATCCACTATCCCAGGACACAGAGAGCTGCCCGAATGGTGAAGCTGGGGGCCGACGGAAGCAGCCACTTTTGCAGTAGCCTATGGCTGGCTGGAAAATGGTGACTGAAGGAGTCTGGGAGGGTGCCGTGTGTGACAAATTCTTCTCTGATGCAGCTCGAATCTATCTGGGAATGGAAGAAGTGGCACAGATGCCGTCACCAAGAAATTACCCAATTTAGCACCAACTACACAATCCAGCAATTAGTTTCTTAAACCGGAACTTGCTGGGGGCTGCCAGGCTGGCAGGGTTGTTGTTACAAATCTCACTGGGAAACCAGCTGTGTAATTCGCCAGGAGGTTGTCACTGCCCCAAGCAATTACCTTCCAGAAAAAGAAGGAAAATGGGAGAAGGAGTCAGAGTGTTTTCTCTCCCTCTCCACCAGGGCCCTGCCCAGCCAAATCAGTTGGTTTTCCTTTCTTGAGACCTAGGCAAGTCACAAACTCTCTTGATTAAAGCAGTTGTTGGTGTGGACTCTGTCATCAGACTCTGTGGGCTCAAATCCCTTTCCACTCACTTACTGGCTGTGTGTACTTGGGTAGGTGATTCACCTCTCTTAACCTGTCTCCTCATCTGTAAAATGGGGATAATATTAGGGCCATAATAAAGGTATGAATGATGTAAGGTTTAACAAGGTAAAGCATATAAATCCCTTAGAACTGTCCCTGGCACATGATAAAGACTCACTAACGGTAGCTATCTTTATCATTGTTTCCTCCATTGGTTTACAGTGTGATATTGGGTAGGTCACTTAATTTCTCTGGATGACCATCTAAGACGAAAGACACTCACCTGGGGAAAAGATAAGGTGTTCTCACTCTAGATTGTCCACATCTGGGTACCCAGAGATCCAGGTGTGTTTGACAAAGACCAGTATCTCAGCATTTGGCACAAAGTGATGCCTTGGGCCAAGATGAAGACTTCAAAAGTCAAATTTTAGCCAATTCACTCCTTCCCCAGGAAGTTGTCTGGGAGAGCTACAAGCTGGACATGACGATCCAAACAGCAGCAAAATGTTAAGAGTTGTTCCCTTGTGAAGGTCAGCCCTATCCAATCCCCTCACCTGGAGCCTATGAGATCATCCCCACACCAGTTCCAACACAGCAGAACTTCCAGCAAGTGAGGCCTAGAATTCATTTTGCTGCTGTTGGCCTGGCTCCTCCATGCCTGTGATAAGCCATGTGTGTCCCTGGGATCCCACAGTTTTAGGCTTTGTCTACCCACTCCCTCTCCCTGTGTTAACCAACCAGTATAGACAGGATTGTGCCTCGGTTTCTCTGTCCAGCCCTTCACACTGGGAGCCCTAACACAGAGCCTCTGACCTGCAGCTCATACCCCTGATTATTCAACTGTGCCCATGGATAGGCATCCCTCTGCCCGCTCCGGCCCAGCCCCTTGTCTCTTCCTGCATCCATTTCTGACTGAGCCCCCCTGACTGATTTGACACTGGCTTTGCCCAGATGCCTGTGGCAGGATCTCTGTAGTTGGGCTGGTGTCCTAGTCCCTGGCCTCCCTCAACCCCACTAGCCAGCCCTGTTGCTGAAGACTTGGCATGCCTTGTATCCAACCCCACTCCTTAGGACCCCAAGGGAAATCACCTCCTTTTCCCCTCACTGCCCCAGAAAATGGAGAAGGAAGAAGGGGGAACAGAAAGGAAGGAGGAAGGCTTGCCGTTTTATTCATTCATCTTTATTACTTTATTTAATCAACTCTTCCTAGGGGCTTAGGGCAGAAATTTTACAGAAAATGGGTTTACAGCTCCAAAACACTCGAGCCATTTAGGCAGATACAAGTCTAAATCCATCTCCTGACCCACTGGACGGTGCTCGGCCTGTGAATAACCCACACTACCTATAATCTCTTTGAAAATCCCACCTCAGGGGGCTTTGCACTTGATGTTCTCTCTGCTGGAACACTCTGCCCCAGATATTCCCATGGCTTCCTCTGCCTCGGAAGAGACAGAGAGGCCTACCTGATCACTCGCTCCAACTAAAGTTGAGCTGCAACCCTGGGTATGTTCTATATCACCTGCTTCATTGCCCTCAGAGCACTGATTGCCCTTTGAAATTATTTTCTTTGTCTATTGCGTGTTTATAGTATGTCTCCCCATAGTAGAATATAAGCTCCAGAAGGGCAGGGACTGTGTCTGTTTGTGTGCTGCAGCATTTTGAGTGTCTAGAACAATGCCTGCCACTAAACGGTGTTCAAAAAATACCTATTCTGTGAATGAATGTTTTCCCTTGCTGCCCTCACCCACTCTGCTCCTATGTACAACGGCCCACAGAAAGGACCTCCACTCCTTTCTCTTCAAAGGCTTTGGAGAGTCCTGGAGAATCTGGTATTAGAAATCCAGCCTCTATACCCAGCCTTGTTCATGATGTTTGTCTAGCCGCTCTGCTTAGCAGGTAAAGATGGTTCTTTTCCAGTTGCATCTAGGTCTCCCCCAGATATGTCCCTCTGCATAGCTCAGGGAAGGTCGTGGAGGGAGAAGGGAGAATAAGAAGGAAAAAGGTGGCCCTCCCCATGCTGCAGAGAGAAAGAATGAGGCACAACTTTCAGGGATGGGCTGCAGGAGCAGGGTTCGGGGTCTACCACCCAGCCCCACATAGGTCTCTTCACTCAGACTTGCTGGGCCCCAGCTCCCTTCCCAGCTAGGGCCATGTACCCAACAGGCATTGGAGGAGGTTCCTCCTCCTTCTCCAGGGCTGCCATAGGCCCTTTGAGACACAATTCAGCCTGATCAGCCTCACTCCTTCATGCCCCCTAATTGCAGGCATGGCCAACTGCTTCCAGCCTTTTCTCAGCTATCTCTTCCTTTTCTGTCAACTGAACCAATTCTTAGGCTGTGCTGCCTTATCATTTCCACTTTTCCCCTCTCCTGAAAGTCTCCAGGGGCCTTCTTTGGAGAAGACTGCACACTGCTGAGAGAGAGGACTTCTAGGACCAGAACTCCTCTAGGACCCGAACTCCTCTAGGACCCTCGTTAGGGGCAGCTGGTGAGCAACTGTGGCTTCTGGGTCTTAAGCTAAACTGTTTTGAGTCCATATCCCAGGTCCACCACTTACTAGACGTGTGGCCTCAAGGAAGCCTGTTTGCCTCTCTCAAGTTCAGTTTCCCCATTTTCAAATGGGAGCAAGAGTAGTCCCTTTCTCATTGTGATGTTACAAGGACTAAGATAATGCAGGTAAAGTATCTAGCACAGTGCTAAGGGTTAGCTATTGCTAACTAGGGAGAAACTACTTAAATGCATGAGACTTGGAGACAGGGAGAGGATCTCTAGACAGCTTTGGGCAAAGGCTGTAACTATCCATACATGACTTGGTTTGGATCGGAAATGGGTGGTCTGAAAACTCATCTTTTTCACGCATGCAGGAATTTCTGTTTGCCTGGGCTTCTTTTGAAGACCTCCCACACCCTAAGCGTACCAAAGACAGCAGAGCAAAGACCTGGTAGCCAAAGATGGTGGCACCTGAGAGGACTAGAGGACCTTGATTTGCAGACTCCCACAAACCCCTGTAGCCAGGGTTAGTGGTCTCTCTTGTAACTCCAGGGATCTGGAAGGGAAAGCCAGCAACCTCATAGCTGGGTATTGGAAAGCCAATCATCCACCTCCATCCATTATGTCACAACCTACCTTTATGCCCATGAGCAATTTGTGTTATCTGCCTGAGCCTCAGTTTTCTCATCTGTAAAATGGGATCACAATACCTACCTCCTTAGCTTGCGGCAATGAGTAACTAAGCTGACCTATCCAAAGAAACTGCACATATGTCTCTATATGTTGGCTTCTTTTGACTTTAGCACCAAAGCACCTTCTTTCATTTGTATGTGATTTGGACTCGTGCTGCCCTAGCTTCCAGGATGCTCTACACCTGAGCCTGCCAGGGCCATCAAAGAATAGCAGGTAGGAGCCCAAGCCCATGGCAGGGGTCCACTGGGCAGGAGTTACTCAGCCTGGCCATACCAATGACCTTTCTTACTCTCTGGCCCAGGCATCTGGTCCCCTCTTGGTGTCCAGAGCTTGGGACAGCCTCCTGGATTAGCACACTGTCCCGTAAGCTCTCTGTGTGAGCTGAGACAGGGGCTTCTAGCAACAAGGCCTGAGCCCTCCTTCTGAGCCTTTCCCACAGGAGAGTCCAGCACAGGAAGCCAACCACGAAGGCTGGCTGGTTGGCTGACTGCCAGGTTCACGTCGTGGCACCTCCCACCCCTCAGCTCTGCCTGAAACCCTGCCTGACCTTCAAGGATATCTATACCTCTGCTCTCTCTGGGTTTCAGAGAAGACAGCCAGGAGCTAAGGGACACAGCATGAGAGCACATAGAAAAGGCAGCTCAGACTGCAAAACCCCTGTCCTCCCAACCTTAAACCCTCTGCTGCTGCACGGGTGTACTCTCTTCCAAGAGGCCTTCCCCTAAAATTGCCCTCCCATCAATCCCAGGACACCACAATTGCCAGCTCCTCTTGGGTCTCATACCTCTATTCCCCACAGTAGGGTAAAGAGTTGTTTGTAAGCTGTGAGTTCCTTGAAGGCCAGGATTCAGGGGATCTATCTCTGTATGAACACACATGGCATACAGTAGGTGCTCAGTGAGTTCAGGGTCAGCAACTGAGCCATCAAGGAGTGCCCCACAGCTAAGGCATAGAGAAACAGGGAGAAACAGGGGAGAAAAGGAAGGCGATGACTCCCTGCAGCTGGACCAGAACTCCCCAGCAGATAGAACCGCTACAGCATGATGTGGCTTTCCTAAAGAGGTGGGAGTGTCCCGTCCAGGGAGGCATGCAAGCAGAGGTTGAGGACTGCTTTGCAGGATGGTACAGAGTGCATTCAAGCACTGAATACATTGAATACATTTCAGACCAGACAACCTCTGGTGCCTTTCAACTCTGAAGTCTAAGGTTAGGCTCCTGAATACCTACAACTGTCCAGACCCAGTGTTAAGCGCTTTAGATGTTTTTCTTCATATAATCCTCACAACTATCCTTTGCAGTAGGCACTATTATTACTCCCATTTTACAGGTGAGGAAACTGAAGCTTAGAAATGTAAAGAAAATTTCCCAAGGTCACATAGATGGTGGAAGAAGGATTTGAATCTGAGTCTGGGTCCAGGCCTGACCAAGGCCTAGGCTGAACAGAATACTTTTATTTTTTATTTTATTTTATTTTATTTTATTTTATTTTATTTTATTTTATTTTATTTTATTTTATTTATTTAGAGACAGAGACTCGCTCTGTCGCCAGGCTGGAGTGCAGTGGCACGATCTCAGCTCACTGCAACCTCTGCCTCCCAGGTTCAAGCAATTCCCCTGCCTCAGCTTCCCGAGTAGCTGAGACTATAGGCCCGTGCCGCCACGTCTGGCTAATTCTTTTTTGCATGTTAGAAGAGACAGGGTTTCATCATGTTGGCCTGGATGGTCTCGGTCTCCCTGACCTCGTGATCTGCCCGCCTCAGCTTCCCAAAGTGTTGGACTTACAGGCGTGAGCCACCGTGCCTGGCCTCAGAGCACCTTTAAAGTAGCATGTCTCCCTGACCAAACTGGTCTGAGGAGGCCAATAGGTGGACCCCAGTGTGCCCTTTCTCATCACTCAGCCTCAGGAAACCTTCCATCTCTGTCATCTCTTCCTCATACACAGCTATACACTGCCCCAAGACTGTTCATTCACAAATTAACAGGTGTTCAGCCAGAGGCAAATTACACAGCCACGCAGTCATCCATACACAACTTACGCAGCACCTGACCTCATCTATATAGTCACTGTCACGCTGTATACCCAGACCCACACAAACTTGTTCCTATGAGGGTTCATACACCTCATGTGCATTTCCATCCGATAGATCCTTTTTCCTTTTTTTTTTTTTTTTTTCGAGATAGGGTTTTGCTCTGTCACCCAGGCCGGAGTGCAGTGGCACTGTCATGGCTCACTGCAGCCTTGACCTCCCAGGCTCAAGCAATCCTCCTGCCTCAGCCTCCCAGGTAGCTGGGACTACAGGGATGTACCACCGTGCCTGGCTAATTTCTTATTTTTTTGTAGAGACAGTGTCACTATGTTGCCCCAGCTGGTCTTGAACTCCTGGGCTCAAGTGATCCTCCTGCCTCGGCCTCCCAAGTGCTGGGATTATAGGCTTGAGCCACCGTGGCTATCCATCCAATAGACTTTGATGTTTGTGTGCATAGAAGCTGCACAGATACAAAACCTTAAATACATGTCCACATGTTTATCCCCATATGACAGAAATACATGTTCATTTCACAGCATTTAGGCACCCACATCTGCTCAAGGTCATTCATTAAATCCTCCCCAAACAAGAACTTTATCCATTGTTCCCAGATCCAGTACTAGGCCCAGGTGAGCCATGATGCTCCTTCTCTCTGGGGTTGGCCAGGCAGTCCAGAGAGGGGAAGAAGGCTCAGCCTGCCTGTGATGGATGGAATTAATCTACTGAGCTGGAGAAACTAAATAATTAAATCCCTAATCACCCCCCAAGCCAGCCCAGGCCAATATAGCTGAGGGAGGGAGGGGGCTCGGAGGCCCAGACCAATATCCTAGAGAAAAGGAGGGGCTTGGGAAATGAGGCACAGGCAGAACCCTCAGAGGGGGGGTCTCTCAGAGGAACTCTGCCAGCCAGGCATACAGACAGACAGACAGACAGGCATGGTTCTCTAGTGCCACAGGCTCCCTTTCCATGTGGAAATGAAGCAGCTTGGGAAGACAGCCTGCCACCATCCACTGACACAGGGAGAGAGGAGAGGCAGAATCCTCCTTCCACCCTTCCGAAGTCCTTCCTGCCTCACCTCGAGGTGTGCCCTGGGGGTCTATGGGGATGGCAAGCAGGACCCTTACAGTGCCCAGGGTGGAGGCAGACAAGGGGGTCTGCTCAATGCGGAGCTGATGTGGTCTCAGCCAGGCCTTGGCCCACCCCTGCCTCACTGAGAACAGACTCAGCCTGGTGCAGATGGCAGGGGAGGACCCCTCCACACAGGTTCACCTGCTACCCTTAGGAAGTGGGTCCAGCACGTGGCTAATAGGCTGAGGATGGGGCAGAGGCCCGGGCAGGGGGGCTCAGGAAATCAGCCGGGGAACAGGCCCCAGTCCGATTGGCTGAAAAGTGGGTCATTTTCCTTTTGAAAAATAGTGAGAAAATGGAGAAGTAGGTCGGGCTCTTATCCCCTCAGCCCCAGGCACCATCCCCGACTTGAGGGGTAAGGAGAGAGGGAGACGCCTGAGCATGCCAAAGCCCCATATACCCTAGGACCCTGGCCAGGGCCCCACAGTGCAGGAAGCCAAGGTCATCATTACTCAGGACATCCAAGGACATGCACACTCCGAGGCCAGAGCTGGAACACCAGCCCCACCCTGCCCCAGGGGATCTGGGGTGAAAGGAGCTAGGGCCGGGGCCAAGCTAGAGGGGTGGGGGCTTCCACCCGCAGGACCCTGAAGAGCCCCTCCCATCCTCGTGTCTGCTGTGATGCCTCCTCTCCTCTCTTCTCCTCCCTTTCCTCATCGTCCACGTGGGCAGAGTCGTTGCCATGACACCGCGGGCAGGTGGGCGGCTCTGGCGGCTGTTTCGGCCCAACCCCCATGCTCACAGCCCAGGTGGGAGGGGAGCGGCTGCAGCACCCTGGCCCCTAGCCCAGATGAGAGAGGAGAGAGGCAAGAGGCCCCCCTTCACCCCTAGAGCCTGGAAGGGGCTCTATCACTGGCCTCTCGACCCAGCCCCATGCTTGCAGGTCCGGGGGAGGAAGTGTCAAAGAGGATCTTAGGCCTTGACCACTCCCCTCCACCAGAGGTCCCTGGAGTGGCATGGGGTGGGGCAGACCCCCAACTCCCACTTCCTCCTTTTCTTAGCAGCTGTCCTCCCAGCTTTCCCCACATACTATGCCTTAGTCTCTTAATGCTAGCAGCTGATTGGTCCTGCCTGAGGTTTAACCTCAGTTGCTCATTTTGCAACACAAGCTCAATTCTCCATGCTCTCTTGGGAGAAAGGAAAACAACCAGGCCGGGTGCAGTGACTCATACCTGTAATCCCAGCACTTTGGGAGGCCGAGGTGGGCGGATCACTTGAGGTCAGGAGTTCGAGACCAGCCTGGCCAACATGGTGAAATCCCCATATCTACTAAAAATACAAAAATTAGTCGGGCGTGGTGGCAAGTGCCTGTAATCCCAGCTACTCAGGAGGCTGAGACAGGGGAATCGCTTGAAAGCAGGAGGCAGAGGTTGCAGTAAGCTGAGATCATGCCACTGCACTCCAACCTGGGTGACAGAGTGAGACCCCATCTCAAAAGAAAAGAAAAGAAAAGAACAAAAGTTGAGACACTCAGAGAAATTACTCCCCTACTGCCAGACCAAAAAATGTGTTATACAAATGGGGACCCCTTCCTCCAGGTCTCCCCATATACCTGAATTCACATCACAACCCTGGGGACAAATCATTCCTAAGTCCATACTTGGCTAAGGCATCCACACCACCAGGGTAGAGGACCAGAAGTGGAGCAGGAGAAGAAGGGAAGAGGTTGGGGCCAGGCATTAGAAGCTGCCTAAGTATGCTGTCCCACCCCCACCACATCTGGCTTCAGGAAGTCTGGGCCATGCCTGAGCTCTCCATCTCTGAGCTCTCCGCAGCCATTCCCCTTCTCTCTACTCCTCTCACAGTCCACGTGCCTCTCTCCAAGTGTCTCTAAGTCTCTGTCTGTGGCTCTGACCTCCTAAGACCGTTCCCTTTGTTCAAGACCTGGCTCCCAACTCCTGTTCCCTATGGCAGGAGCCCTGCATCACTGACAGGGTGGAACCACAGAGACCCCGCATGGCAGCCCTCTGCAGCCTGGCTGGCAGGAATGAACATACATGGGATATTGGTGACAAGATCCAAAAGGAAGGGAGAACTGCAGTTGGCATTAGCTGGAGGGTGTCCAGCCTGTCATGAGGTGTTCATGACATACATACCACACATACACATAAAGACACTTTTACTTTCCTCCTTAGCCTTCCCCTACTAAAACAGCAGATGTGATTAAAGTACAAGCACATGCATGTACATTTGTGCATGCATGTGTTTGTACATTGTGTCTCTTTTTCTCCACTCCCACTGCTGGTGTTCTACATCAGGCCACTCTTATCCTAATTGCTCACCAAAGCTATGACAACAGGTTCCTAACTGGTCTCCCTGCCTTGCATCTTGTTCACCTTGATCCTTTCTCCTCACTGGCTGCCGGCTAGCTAAAATTTCTTTATTCAACAAATATGTATCGACTGCCTACTCCAAGCTGAATACTCTTCTGGACACTGTAGATACAGCAATGAACAAAACAGATGAAGCTCCCATGCTCATGAAGTTTATATTCTAGTGGAAAAAGAGGGATGATTACCAAATATATAAAATAATGGTGGTGGCAAGTACTGAGATAAATAATAATAGTAATAATAATGGAGTGAGGAGATAGAATGACAATGGGCTATTCAAGATAGACTGTTGGGGAGGTCTTTCCAAAAATGTGACTTGAGCAAAGACTCGGATACAGTGAGGAAGTGAGTTGCCTAGAGAGCATTTCAGGCTGAGGGGAAAAGCAAGCGCAATTGCCTCCACAAGGAACTGTGCTTTTTATGAAACAGAAAAGAAACCCACGTAGGAGTGGCCCCTGAGATCCAGGAGGTAATAGGGGGCTTTGCACACGTAGCACTCACGTTGCTCAGGACGCACTACACTTTGGATTTCACTCTGAGTGAGATGGAAAGCCACTGGAAAGGCAAGACCTCATTTTCCTCTGGCTGCTTTTTGGGAAAGAGTCTACGGAGGTGGGGCTGGCAAGGGTGGAAGTGGGAAGACCATCTGGAACATTTCCTGTCACTGAAATACCTGTTCCCACAGTTGCTCACCTGGTAAGCACCTGTTCAACTTTTAAACCTCAACTCAAAAGCCTCCCCTTCTATGGATCCTTTACCAAACCTTTCCCTTCCTCACTCCAGAGCCAACCTACCTCTCTTTAGGTCCCCACTCCCTCCAATGAACACTTATGTGTGTCTACCCTCCTTAACACTCTCCTTATTTGGTTCCAGGTCCTTTGCTCTCCCAAGATTGCAAGTTATCTGAGGTCAAGGACCATCCCTAGTGCCCAGCACAGCATGTGGCAGATTAGAGGCATAAAATACATGCTGGTTGAATGAATGGATGCATTGGGTGAGGCACTTGCGATGGGGAAGGGTATGTTTGCAGGCTATTGTTAACCCAGATGAGTGAGATGCACATATATATGGCCATAGGTTGTAATCAGACAAGTGTTAGCATATGCCCACATATTTCTGTAAATTCTGTTCACAAGTATACGTGTTAGCATGTATGTGCATGCTGACAAATCCCCGTGTTGGTATAGACACTCCTGTAGATTTGTTAATGGATGTGCATGTTAGAAAGTGCACCTATGTTGATATATGCCTATTATGGCACAGACAAGTAATATGCACATGTACCTGTACACGTGTATTGTCACATCTTGTATGTATGAGGCTTATGCATGCACTTGGGCCCCCCTCTTACTCACTACCCCTTTCATCCACTAGGACCAACTTGTTGAATTTTGAAACTTCTGTAGCAATGCCAATGTTTAAGCCCTGATCCTCTTTCCCCACATACAGCCCTGAGCACCATAGCATCTGAACAGCCTGGAGCCTGGATTTCTTACTTGGCTATCCCCAAGGCCTTATAGGTTTTCCCTCCACAAACTTCTTTCATATGATGGAGAACAGTTGGCTCCCAAGGACATAAGAATTTGAGAGACCTCAGGGAGCCTACTTTCTGGAGAAGAGCTACAAGTAGCAGGGTGATCAAGCTCAAGCTGTTGGGAAGACACTTTTGGGTAGCCCAATGTTCAGTCAGAATCGGTCTCTCTCTTTCTTACATTTATTCACAGGTTTGCCTCAACTTGTGTACATATATTCATATGTGGTTGATACGGTACGTATATGCATGCCCCACATACATGCTCACATGCATGCTTACACTCACACAAAGGCATTACTGGATAAGCACACCACACACACACACACAGACATGCACACATTGGTTTAATTCAGTAATTTCCTTCACATTCACATATATACATGAATGCATACATAGAGTCATATATATATACACACATCCACACTTATACAAATAGATGTGCTTATACACATATACACAGCATACTCACATATACTTATGTACATATACACAGTCATATACTCACTCACAGGCAGAAATACGCATGCATGTGTACTGGAGTCCCAGATCTTGCAGAGATATCCAGCCCCTCCCCTGGCTTCTATCCTTCATATTCTCTCCAAGTACATCACAAGTTTGCATTTGCTCTCTCCTCTTGCTAGTCTCCCACTTCTCTATTTGGAAAGTTGTTCCTGTTATCAATGAGATATACCCACTCCTGGACACATCCCATTCCCACCCACTCTCAGTGGGAAAAAATCGTCATTTTTTTTTTTAAAAGGGCCCTGTCATGTCCTCATCCCATGCCTAGAGAAACGAGTATTTCCTCAGACAACCTGGGTAGGAGTAACAATAAAGTAGGTGTACCTCTTCAAACCCAGGAGACAATCCCCCCGTATATGCAACCCCTTAACTCTAAAAAAGAAAGAACGAAAGAAAAGAAAGAGAAAATATCAAGGCCAAAATCCTTCCTCCCAGCACCTCTGGGTAAAGGTCTAACACTCTCAAACTCCAAAAGTTACTGGGGCAGAGGAAGAAATAGTAAGGAAATTAACTGTGGGTGCTAAAACCTCCTAGAAAACACCCCTTTTCTTCCCTAGAGGGGAGCTTCATGATCAGTGAATCCCTCCCTTCCCAGCCTGTGGGCCCTACAAGGGAGAGGGTAGACCAGGAGGCTTAAAAATGTAAAGGTGGTGACCTGGGCTCAAATAACAAAAGAAGCAAGTATTTTGAAAGCAGAAGCTGGGAAGGGAGCAGGGAGGCAAGCTGCAGACACCTCCTGGCAAGGAAGCAGCTGCTGGAACAGTGGATCAGGAAGAGCAGGACTCTCTAAGGGGCCAGGGAAAAGGGGGTGGACATCTAGCATTTCATGTGGGGGTGGAGGGGTGACTGCTTCAGGCAGTAGCAGCAGATCCAAAGTAAAGTCTTATCAAAGCTGTTATGTAACCAAGGGAGCTGAGTGGAGCACAAACACCTCCCCTCCCCAAACAGGCACCCACACCCACACCCACCACCTCCCAGCACCCACAGCAGAGGAAAACTCAGCTCCTCCCAAGCAGCTAGAGAAGGCAGGAATCATCTTGATGAGTTACATCAAAAACATGATGGGTGAGGGGCTCCTTATGAACTACAAGTCACATGTGGGAAGGGATCAACTGGTTCAGTTTGAGATCCCTAGATACCTCTCCCTTTTCTTGAACTCCCTGCCACACCCAATTTTTGCCCAGTATTATCTGGAAACTGTCTCCTTCCTCCCCTCACAGGGAGGATCCCATTTGAATATTTGATTGTGCTCTTGGGGATGGGAAGTGAAGCCACCATCATCCCTTCCTGCCTGTTGTTCCCCTACAGACTCATCTGCATGTCCTGACATTTGGCTCTCATCCCCCTGGGATGACAAGGGAAGGGACCTTAAGAAACTCCTTGCTCTATTCCCTTCATGGTTACAAAGACAGTGCATAAGAATACAGATACTTGAAATGACCCTGACTCTAAGCCATAAGGAGAAAGATATCCAAGAGAACTAAAGACTGAAACCCAGACCTCATCCCTCCATTTGAATATTTTTTACTCCCCCAGATCTTCCTCTTTTCCCACTGCCCTGTCTCCAGTAGCCTCCCCCTTCTCTTCTCCATGGCACTGAACAACCCCACCCACTCCTTGAATCCTTTGCTTAAAAATCTTCCTCCCCAACAAAAGTCTCTCCCAAATGCTGCTCTGAGCTAGGTTTGGCAGTGGGCAGAACACAGGACAGGCTTGCAGAATATTTCAGTGTCCCTGTCCCAAATCCCAAAGTATGATGGGCAAGGGAATATCAAGTTGTCAGTCAAGTTATCCTGAACTCCTGAGCTGTAACCACCCCACACCTAACCAGGAAGACCGGCGTTCTCTTAATCCAGAACCACCTTGAGCCTGAAATTCTGGGACCCAGTAGGTGAAAGGCTGGTATCAATATCTCTGAGCTTGTTGCGCTAAAAAAAAGTTCCCAGGAGATGAGATCTCACAGGCACAATATCATTCTCCAACTCTACCCCGATAATAACAGTACAATGGTTTTGGAAGGGAGAGAGGGAACTGAAACAGCAAAAGGGGAGAGGGGCCCCTTGGGGGAAGGGTTCCTAAATACCACTAACAACTGTGAAACCTAAACCATAGGGAGAACTCCAAATCCATATTTCCATCCATGCCCTTGGAAAGTGGGTCATCTGGGAGAATTTTTCTAGTGAGCCCTCCCCACTGCCCTCCGCCTTTCCACCATCGGGACCGAACGAAGCCTCATTCAGCACTCGGGACAGCTCCGAAGGAGCAAATCCCCGCCGAATCCCACTCAGCACCCGGGACAGTTCCCAGCGACATTGCCGGCCCCGGTAGCCAGAAACCCAGGATGCCAGGAAGGAACAGGTTTACCCCACCACACACCCCCTTTAGAACAGAAGCCCCTCTCCCCTGCCCCTCCCACTGTCGCTCCCATCCACCGGGGGCACCTGACAACCCCCCCCCCACCTTCCCTCTATGTCCCAAGAGAGAAAAGAAACCCAGACATGGGGCTTCCCTGAGGGAACCTTGAGAGAGGACCCCACCCACCTTCCTTCAGCCCAGAGCCTCTCAATGCCACTCACAGCTGGTTCTAAAAACCACTTTCCTTCTTAACCACCACCCCAAAAATAAAAGAAATACTCACGTGGGGGCTCCCAGCCCTGCAGACAGATGTGGTGGGGGGAGGCAGAGAGAGGTAGCTCCCCACACCCTGTTCTGAGCCCCCTTTCTGAAGGAGCCAGCTCCCATCTGGACTGGGGGGAGGAGAGACATGTGGAAGCACTGAGTGAGGGGAGGGGAGAGGGGAGAGGGGAAGAAGCAGGAGCGAGGGACTGCGGGGCGGGGGTGTCGAGATGGGGGCGAGGGAATCCTTTTTAATTTCATTCTCTCCCCATGTCTACATCAGCCCTGCAGGCTCAGCTCTTTAATATTTACACACAGGAAGAGGAGAGGATGAGAAAGAACAGACAGTGAGGGGGGCAGGGGCTACCTGAGCTCAAAGGGCATAGAAGCAGGGGCCTTTGGGAGCTGGGAGCTTGGGCCCCCGACACCATCCCCAGCCCACTTCCACTCTGAGCTCTTAACTGGAAGGAAGAAGAAGGAACCCTGGGACCATTCTGTCCCTTTGTTAACAAGACACTTTGAAGCTGCATCAGAAAAAGATCAGATCCCCACCCACATACCTGGACACCCCCACAAACCCAGATTTCTTGGGTGCCTTATGTGCAGATGGTAGAGACAGTATTCAGGCACAAGCATGTTCTGATGCTTGGAAGCATGTTTGCCTGTGGGCTGCTGTGTAAAAACACATGAACATGTCAGCTAGCCTGTATAAGTTTATACAAGCATGTTCTGAGTGTTTTCACATGTTAACAGCCCACGCAATCATATGCAAGCCTATGTAACCATATGTGTAAACCAGCTTCCAAGCAGCCTCCCCGCAGCTCTCCAGCTACAGCCCCAGGGACAAGGCCACCCACTTCTCCAGACTCCCTTATTCCCAGACCCCTCCATCAAAGCCTTACTTTTTCTGTCTGTGACATGGGAAGAAGGGCTGGTAGGAAGAGATGCTGCATGGAGCCCAGGGGCCTGACAAGTTATTAGCAATGATGAGCTGGCACCTCGTTACCATAACGATGGTGCCACTGCCTCACCCCAGCTCAAACCCAGACTCCCCAGACGGCAGGAGGCCCGCTGAGCCAGCAGCCTTCAGACTGGGGAGGGGCAGGGTGGATAAAGAGGAAATCAAGACATAATGCTTGCATAGTGGAGGGTACGCAGCTGTTCTTCCAACCCCCACTGAGTGACAAAGCTTTGACTCTACCAAGTGGGAATGAAATCAGAATCTGGGAAGGTTTCCTGACCGTGGGGATGGTAAGACCAGAAGGGGTCTTTGGAAGCTCCTCTAGGCAAAAGTTTTTGTCATCATTTGCTCCCTTCATCACCTCACCCCCAAAAAACTAAAAAACAACCAAATACGGGGCCCCTTGCTGAATTTCAGTCTCCCCACCTGTAAAATGGGGGTAATCCCTTTATCATTTGTCCTAGACTCCTGGAAGATTTCATTAGAAAGGGTTTGGGGGTAACTACAGACCCTTCCTAAATCAGACAAGCCCCAGAAGTTTCTCTATTCATTAGGAACCCAATAAGGTAAGGAATGGTCTATCCAGCTAGAGGCAAAATGCACTGGAAACTGGGGAGGATGAAGGAAAACAAGCTTAGCCAGCTCGAGCCCCAACATCAGCTGGAAGAGATGATGTTAGGTGTCAGGCAGCCGCTGAAAGCAGGTACTAACATGAGAAAGTCTGGGAGTCTGGCCTGTAGCAGCTCCAGCCCCTCACCAGCAGGAATCAAGACAAGACAAGCCCATGGCCTACCTCGGTGGTGGGTGTGGCTAGGAATCCCTATCCCCAGCGACATCTGTAGCGCCCTCTCTTTGGCAAGGAGTCCCAAGCTGAAAGATGTACAGCCTTAGGCTTTTTGAGTCTTCATTTCTTTTCCAAAAATCCCCTGTACTCAGCTCTGATGGGGGTGGGGAGAGTTCAGGAATAGAAGGCAACATGGAGGATTGCAAAGTTCCTCGTCTAAGATTAGCCTAGGAACTCACAAATTCGTTGTGTGACCTTGGGCAAGTCCCCTCCCTTCTTGGGGCTTCAGAGTCCCCGGTTTGTAATGAAGAGGTTGGACCAAGTCAATACTAAGGTTCCTCTCCTGGCCATCATTCTACAGCTACATACAAGCTCACTCGTTGGATGTGAGCCCCCTGGCACAAAACTCAGCGGGCCCTGCCTGCCAGATCAGTGGGGCAGTGGCGGGTGGGAGATGCGGGGGCTGTATGTGAGGCCGTTCATCCTATGTTCATGTTCCTTTTAGAAACACCTGCCACCCTAGCCCTCCCAGCTCCCTTTTTAGACCCTGATTCACTGCCAACTCACGAAGCCTCTCCCTCCCCTCCCTCCTCTCTTCTCCCCCCACCCCCCACTCTTTTAGGCATTGGCAGCTGGGTGCAGAAGTAGCCCCAGCATTCAGGGAATGCTGCGCAGTGGTAGAGGGCAGTGCCCCCAGGGTCAGAGAGAGCACACCAGGAAGTACCACTCTCTAACCTTGGCCCAGCCCAGTTCTTTGGGTCACTGAAAGACCTGGGCTGAGGTCTTTCTGTACCACTAACTAGCAGTGTGTGGTTGTGGAAAATGCAATTCATTTCTCAAGCCTCAACATCTTCATCTGTAAATCGGCATTATATTTGGTTGAACCATATGAAATTGCTGTTTTTGTAGGTTAAATAAAAACAGTTGAATATTGCAGTTGCATATGGCTTAACGTGATACCTGTCCTGCCTGCTTCCCAAGGCTGTTGGGGAAATAAGAAGAGTTCAGAGGGCAGCATTTTCAAAAGCCCTGAACTAATATGAGGGCATTATTTTATTATTATTACTTCAAAGAGCTTAGTACAGACCCACCCGGAGCCAGTGGACTGAACCAATAACCCAGAACTTGAAGGTTTGGGACTTGGAAGTCTGGGAGAGCGCCACCTGCTCTGATGACTAACAGGGCAGACGCTTCCACCTGGCCTCCTCATCTCCTAGCTCTAAAAGGCCCTTGGTGAAACATTATTGAGATGACACAAGTTCCCAGGCCCCCAAAAGGAGAAGCAGCACACGCAGGCACATACTCCAGCTCGCCCCAGATCCCCCCTCCCACCCACCAGGGGCCTTAGCATGCAGGAAGGACACGACCAGCAACATCCCAGAGGGCACCCCCTGAGGTAGGTGAAGGTAGAGACCAAGCTGGGGAGTGCCACAAAGCTCTTGCCTGAATCAAGGGTCAGGGGTCCCCAGAGAAGTGGGGAATGATCTGACCTCGGAAAAGTCTCATCTCCCTGTCCCATATCCCACCAGGAATGGGGGGACAGTGGGGGGGACAGAGCCCAGGTGTGGGTGATTCAGAGTGAACCGCGCTCAGATACACTCTCTCTCACACAGCCAACGCACGCGCGCGCACACGCACACACACACACACACAGTCACACAGGGCAGATACCGGGACCCACTCACAGAGACAGTCACGCCGGCACACACATCCATTCACACACTCACAGACACACACAGGCACACATGGGGACAACACACACTCATTCACTCACATGTCCACAGATGCATACACAGTACCACCCTCCACACTCACGCTGCATACACCCACTAACATGCACACACACTCTCGCCCACAGTGACACACGCACACACTCACGGCATACACTCACCGGCACACACAATCGCCCACAGACCCACACAGTGACACACTCGGCACAGACACACAGCGACACGCACTCACATTCACACACCTGCAGAGGAAACTTCTCTCCGGATCTCCCCAGCACCACGACTTCCCCCACAACCAGCTGGCTACTCCCTCCCAGACCCGAGCCTCCAGCCGGGCGAGGGCTGGGCCGGGGCTGGCCTGTCCCCGCGGCCCTGACCGGGAGCGTGGGTCCGCGGTCCGCGTGGTCCCCTGCCCGCCCCTCGGGTCGGGCCCGCGGGCAGCCAGGCCGGGGCAGGAGCGGGGGCAGCTGAGGAGGCCCAGCCCCTCCCCCCTCCCGGGGCCGGGAGCCGAGCGCCGGAGCCCGGGGCGTGGGCGGCGCCGGGGCCGCAGCCGGGCCGTGCCTGGGGGGCGCTGCAGAGGGAGCCGCGAGCGCGGCCCCGTCCCCACTCCTCCCCGCGGCTTACCTGGCCCGGCTCGGGCTCCGGCCGGGTTACATGGTGCCGGCGGCCCGGGCCGGGGGCGCTGCGGCGTTGGGCAGGCGGGCAGGGACCGGGGCCCGGCACTGCGGAGCCCCCAGCTGAGGGGCCGCGCCGGCTGCGGAGCCCCAAGCGAGCGCCGAGCGGCAGCGGGCGCGGGAGCGGGAGGCGGCCAAGCCACGGAGGCTGGATTTCCCGGGGACCGGGAAGGGGAGGCGGGGGGATCCCGCCCGCGCGCTCCGCCCCCGCCCCCGCCCCCGCGCAGGGCAGCCGAGCAGGGAGAGGGAGAGGGAGAGGAAGAGGGAGGGGGACCGAGCTCCCCGCCCCCGCGCGGACCCAGGAGGGCCGAGGTCGCCGCCCGCGGGCGGCCGCCGGGGTCCCGGAGGAGCGCCCACCTCGCTGAGCGACGGTGCTGGGGGCGCCCAGCGTAGGGGCAGGAATGAGATCCCCCTCCCCGGGGACCCAGGAACAGGCACCCGAAGTGTCACGGCCACGCACAGCCGACCTGGGTACAGGGACCCAAGCCCGGCGGCGGGCGGGCGGTCGGGGACCAGCTCAGCCTCACGGACCGGGTCTCGCCCCCCGCCGAGGGGCAGTCACGCCCTGAATGTCACACACAGCCCCCAGGCCCGTCCGCTTAGGAGACTCTCCTTCGGGCTTTCCCGGTCGGCCGCCTGACCTCAGCTCCTGGCTTGGGGTCAGGGAGCCCCCCTCTTCGGCCCCAGCCCCTGCCAGGATGGGGCGCTGTGCCCGGCCTCGGAGCCGCTGGCAGGCGTCCCCCACCCACAGTCCGCACAGCCGAGGCATCCCCAGTGTGGAGGGAGAGCCCCGCTGTACCTGCCGCCTGTGCTGGGCCCCCGCCCGTGCCCACTGTGCCCGCCCGCCTCTGGGCCCTGAGCCTGGGATTGTGCCATGGCGGGGTCGGGGTGGGGGGAAAGGGACTGTCCGAAGCACAGCTGGAGGCTGCGGAGCCCGGACACAGGCTGCGGGAGCCGAGAGGCGGAGAGCGGACTGCAGCAGTCCCCTGGCTTGAATCCGTCTTGGCGCCCAGAGCGATGCTGTAATGGGGGGGAGGGGGCCACGGTGGGGAAGCCGCAGGGGGAGGGGCTGAAGACGTGGGGGAAGGGGTGGCTCCGGATTCCGGCTTTCCAGGGTAGGTGTGAGGAAACACTGCCTCCGGCGCTGAAAGTTGGGGGTGGAGGTTCAGTGGGCATCCTTAAAGCCCTCTTCCCTCCTCTACCTTTTCCGGTCTTGAAAGCTTGGGATGGTGAGGTGTGGGCTTGGGAGGCTTGAGACTGCCCACCTCTCTAGGAACATACCTTGGAGTTGTTCTGATTCAACGGCCCCCACCCCGCACCCCAACAACTCCCTGCTCTCTGTTTCCTTGTGGGGCCACCGGCTCTCCTCCCTGTATAAAGGGGAAAGTGAGGCACGGAAAGGAGAAGCCAAAGGCCCAGAAGAGCTAGAACTGGGAGCCAAGACCTCTTTTCCCCAGGGAGATGATGTTTTAAGATGCCACATTACATTAAATAACATAAGGGGCTTGGAGAGCCCTCTTCCCAAGGGATACCTAGAAGTCTGGTAAGAGACTAGTAGATTGGTCACCTACCCTGCTGCTCACAAGAACGGTTCATTGTCTCTTCAATCATGAAGTGAGGTTGCAGACCATTTCCAGCCCAGGGTTCAGTCAAGAGCAGATGTCATGAAAATAAGAAAGTTGTTCCCAGGAACCCACTTTAGAACTGAAGGAAACATCTCACTTTCCGTGGAGCATAAGAACAGCCGTTGGGCCGAGCGCAGTGGCTCATGCTTATAATCCTAGCACTTTGGGAGGCCAAGGCGGGTGGATTACCTGAGGTCAGGAGTTCAACACCAGCCTGGCCAACATGGTAAAATCCCGTCTCTACTAAAATTACAAAAAATTAGCCGAGTGCAGTGGCACGTGCCTGTAATCCCAGCTACTCAGGAGGCTGAGGCAGGAGAATTGCTTGAACCCGGGAGGCACAGGTTGCAGTGAGCTGAGACTGTGCCACACTGCAGCCTGGGCAACAGAGCCAGATTCAGTCTTAAAGAAAAAAAAAAAAAAGGATGAGCTGACGGCCGGGCACAGTGGCTCACGCCTGTAATCCCAGCACTTTGGGAGGCTAAGGCAGACGGATCACCTGAGGTCGGGAGTTCGAGATCAGCCTGGCCAACATGGTGAAACCCTGTCTCTACCCGAAATACAAAAATTAGCCCGGTGTGGTGTTGGGCGCCTGTAATCCCAGCTACTCAGAGGCTGAGGCAGGCGAATCACTTGAATCCGGGAGGCAGAGGTTGCAGTGAGCAGAGATTGCACCATTGCACTCCTGCCTGGAACTCCGTCTCAAAAAAAAAAAAAAAAAAAAAAAGAACAGCCGTGATAGAGGATGTTAAAAAGCACCACCGTGTTTTCGCAGTTCTAAGACCTGTATTTTGTAAACTATTCTGAAACTGGAAAGCATCTTACAATAAACAGGGACATTTAATATGGCTCTTCTTACCTTTCTGTTAAAGCTATTAGAGTTGGTGCATTTTAGAATTGAGAACATAATGTTATTTTCATTTGTTCATTCAACAACCCTTTACTGATTATACCTGGCACCTTGCT
Source organism: Homo sapiens (assembly GCF_000001405.40). Classification (NCBI taxonomy): domain Eukaryota; kingdom Metazoa; phylum Chordata; class Mammalia; order Primates; family Hominidae; genus Homo; species Homo sapiens. The sequence continues at coordinate 34,932,092 of NC_000001.11, forward strand.
AGCCTCTTGGGGGCATACAGGTTAATCAGACAGGCTTACCTTAGACAGTGTTCTCCCATAGCCATCCAGTGATTAATAACTGATTAATAAGGGAGATGGAGATGTAAACCAATAATTACTATCAGGGCCAGCTTCATGGGAGTGTGACCTGTGCAGTCGTACAGAGCCCCACATGTAGAAAGGCATCACTCTTGGTAGAATATTCTGCTGTCACTGTCTTAAAATTGTTAATAATTTTTGGACAAGGGGCTCACCCTGGGCCTAGCTCTGCCTAGGTGAAGAGGACAGTCAAAGAAGCACAAAAAGCTGGGCGCGGTGGCTCACGCCTGTAATCCCAGCACTTTGGGAGGCCAAGGCAGGCAGATCATGAGGTCAGGAGATCGAGACCATCCTGGCAAACACAGTGAAACCTCGTCTCTACTAAAAGTACAAAAACAAAATTAGCTGGGCATGGTGGCGGGCATCTGTAGTCCCAGCTACTCGGGAGGCTGAGGCAGGAGAATGGCATGAACCCAGGAGGTGGAGCTTGCAGTGAGCAGAGATCACGCCACTGCACTCCAGCCTGGACGACAGAGCAAGACTCCATCTCAAAAAAAAAAAAAAGAAGCACAAAAGAAGCATTTGAATGGAGTCTCAAAGATTGGGAGAGAGACTTTCAGGTAGAGAGTCACATGTGCAAAGACAGAGACTCAGTGTCAATCAGTATGACAGTTGCCTTAGTTGATCTTCCCACTGAAAGCATGATAAATAGCAAAAAAAAAAAAAAAAGATAAAATATTTTTATTAAAACACAATAAAGAAGAGAATATATATGTATAACTATGTACATTTTTAATATTCTTAAATGTATCAATGTGCTGGCAAGAAAATAAGAATCACTCCAGCCAAAATCTAGGTAAAGGCAGAACCAGAGAAGTAAGCAGAGCACTGAAGCCAACTTTAGCCTTGGGGGCTGTGAAAGATGTGTTGCAAAAAGGGCACCAATTCTCTACCTCCACCCGAATCCATCTCCTTTGCCCTGTGACTTTGCAACTCCCTGCATCAACAGGTGGACTCTTTGGAACAAGGATCTCTGAGGAGAAAAAAAAAAAAAAAGAGGCAGACCCTACTTTCCCACCCCTTAAATCTGAGTGGACTTGTAACTTGCTTTCGCCAATGGAATCTGGAAGAAGTCATGTAGTGCCAGTTCTGAGCTTAGGCCTTCAGAGACATGAATACTTCTACTATTTCTCTTGGTCTCCTGCCTTCACTATAAGAACAAGCCTCAAGCCTGAGACAGCTGGAGGATGAGTGACAAGGTGGAAGAGAGCTATACCATCCCAACTGTCCCAGCCAAGATCATCATGGACCCGCCTATAGCCAGCAGATCTCCAAACATGTGAGAGAGCCCAGGCAAGAGCAGCAGAGATATCTACCTGTCCACAGCTGACTGCAGACACATTAGTGAGACCAGCTGAATGAGAAGAACTGTCGAGCCAATTTGAAGACTCTTGAGCAATAATGAATGCTTATTAATTTAAGCTACTGAGCTTTGGTATGGTATGGTATTATGCCGCAATATTATGGCATTTAATAACTAATACAGGGTCATTTGCTGACAGATGAAATTTAACTTCAGTTTTCATGATCTCTCAGGGCACCAGAGATAAAAGATAAAACCCGAGTCTGCCCAAGATGGTCACATACTCCCCTGCATAAGCTTAGAACCCCAAAGGGCTGTACTCTCAATGTACAGGAGAGCTAGAAAAAACCTCATCCCCAAACCTAGGAAATTGTAAGAAAATTGCAAGCTTTAAACCTTGGCAGTAGTAATGAGTGTAGGAAGGAAGAATCACCTCCTGAGTATCCATTACTACGAGTTAAATTTCACATCACATGCAGTCAGATCCACTCTACCTAAAGGATCTGGAAAAACTCAAGCCAAGAATTTGGTATAAAATGTACCAGATTGGTAGTGCCTCAGGTGCCCAGCAGAAGCAAATGTAAATCTTTGTCTCAGGCCTCAAATAATTTCCACAGATAAAATTCCAAAGAAAATGAATAACTCACAGTTAAATGTCTGTCACTGAACACACAAGGAAACATGGCACTGTAAATAAGAAACAATGTGATTGTTCATTTTTATGTGTCAACTTGACTGGGTTAAGGGATACTCAGATAGCTGGTAAAACATTATTTCTCGATATGTCTGTGAGGGTGTTACCAGAAGATATCAGCATTTGAATCAGTAAACTGAGTACAGATCTGACCTCATCAGTGTAAGCAGGCATCATCCAATCTATTGAGGTCCCAAATAGAGCAAAAAAGGCAGAGCAAGGCAAAGTTGCTTTCTTCTTGAGCTGGGACATCCATCTTCTCCAGCCCTCGGACATCAGAGCTCCTGGTTCTCAAGCCTTCAGGCTCAAACTGAGAGTTATACCATTGTCTGCCTCAATTCTCAGGCCTTTGGGCTCAGGCTGAATTACACCACTGGCTTTCCTGGTTTTCCAGCTTTCAGACAGTGTATCGTGGGACTTCTTGGCCTTCATAATTGTGTGAGCCAATTCCCCTGATAAATCCCCTTCCATATGTCTACATATAGACCACTGGCTCTATTTCCCTGGAGAACCCTAACTGATACAACCAGCAAAAACAACACATAGTAGAAAAATACCTGCAAATAACAACTAATAGTATTATGAGACACAGAATATAAAATAACTATGTTGAGTATATTTAGAGAAATAAAATAATCTTGCTCCTTTGACTTATTTTTCTTGTCTTATTGTGCTGGCTGGGTCCTAGAGTACAATGTTGGATAGAAGCAGTGATGGTGGGTGTATTTGTCATGTTCATAACTTTAATGTTTCTGACAGTTCTTCTTTAGGATGACATTTATTATAGGGTTTTTGGAGACCCGTCTTGATCAGGTGAATGAAGTTCCACTTTATTTCTAATTTACTGAGAGTTTTTGTCAAATGTATGTTGAAATTAATCAAAGGCTGGATCTTTTCACTTGATCATATAATGTGTTCAATTATATTTAGAGATTTTCCTAATATTAAATTTTACTTTCCTGGGATAAACCCAACTCACTCATAGAGTGTTATGGTTTATTTTACATAGACAATATCATCAGATTCAATCAGCAAATATTTTGTTTTGGATTTTTGCATCTATATTAATAAACAAAAATAAGCCTGAATTTTCCTCTTTGTTTTCTGTGATTTGGCATCTAGGTTAGTCTAGCCTTGTAGAATGAGTTAGGGGAGTATTACCTGTTTTCTTTTCTTTTCTTTTTTATCTTTTTTTGAGACAGAGTTTCAAAGTTGCTCAGGCTGGAGGGCAATGGTGCAATCTCGGCTGACCACAACCTCCGCCTCCAGGGTTCAAGCGATTCTCCTGCCTCGGCCTCCCTAGTAGCTGGGATTACAGGCACACCACCACGCCCAGCTAATCTGTAGCCGTGCCCAACCACCTCTTTTCTTTTTCTCTGAAAAAGTTTGTATAAGACTGGAATTATCTGATATTTGTAAGTTTTTGTGAGATTTGTGTAAGACATGTGTTTCATCTGTAGAACTGGTGTTTATAATTTTTTTTCCTAGTGCTTCTATTTCCTTAACAGGATGTATTAGTCCATTCTCACACTGCTGTAAATTATCCAGTTCTCACCCAAGACTGGGTAATTTATGAAGAAAAAAGGCTTAATTGACTCACAGTTCTGCAGGCTGTACAGAAAGCATGACTGGAAGCCCGCAGGAAACTTCCAATCACGGTAGAAGGCAAAGGGGACTTGAGCACGTCTTCACATGTAGGAGCAGGAGAGAGAGAGCAAAGGGGGAAGTGCTATACACTTTTAAACAGCCAGATCTTGTGAGAACTCACTGTCATGAGAATAGCAAGGGGGAAATCCACTCCCATCTTCCAATCACCTCCCACCAGGCCCCTCCCCCAACACTGCGGATTGTAATTCAACATGAGATTTGGGTGGGGACACAGAGTCAAACCATATCACAGGACTATCTAAACTACTAGTTCAGGCTTTCTATTTTTTAACCACTTCTAATAGGTTATATTTTTAAAGGATATGTCTATTTTGTCTAAGTTTTCAAATGTATTGCCATAAAGTTATTATAAAATTATTTTATCATTTAAATCTCTGCTTTACCTATAATTATGTCCTCCTTTATAATATGTATTTGCACCTGCTTTCTTTTTCTTGATTCACATTGCCAGAGATCCATATTTTAATCATTTTAAAGAATTAGGCCAGGTGTGGTAGCTCACGCCTGTAATCTTAGCACTTTGGGAGGCCAAGGTGGGTGGATCATTTGAGGTCAGGAGTTCGAGCCCAGCCTGGAGAACATGGTGAAACCCCCGCCTCTACTAAAAACACAAAAGTTAGCAGGGTGTGGTGACAGGCACCTGTAGTCCCAGCTACTCGGGAGGCTGAGGCAGGAGAATCGCTTGAACCCAGGGGACAGAGGTTGCAGTGAGCTGAGGTCACACCACTGCACTCCAGCCTGGGTGACAGAGCGAGACTCCTTCTCAAGAAAAAAAGAAAAAAAGAATTAGGTCAAGTGTGGCGGCTCATGCCTGTAATCCTAGCACTTTGGGAGGCTAAGGTGTGAGGATTGATCGAGCTCAGGAGTTCAAGACTAGCATGGGCAACATAGTGAGACCCTGTCTCTATTCAAAAAGAAAAAGAAAAAGAATCAAATGCTTAGCTTCTTAACTTTGTTGATCTTCTCTGTTGTATCTTTTCTAATTTGTTGATTCTGCTCCCATTTTTATTATCTACTTCCTTCTACGTTCTTTGGGTTTACTCATTCTTTAAGTAACTGCTTAAGTTGAAAATATAATTCCTTAATTTTCAGCTTTTCTTCTTTTTTAATATAAATATGTAAGGCTATAAACTATCTTTAAAGAACAGTTTTAATTCCTTAATTTTCAGCTTTTCTTCTTTTTTGGTATAAATATGTAAGACTATAAACTATCTTTAAAGAACTGTTTTAATTCCTTAATTTTCAGCTTTTCTTCTTTTTTAATATAAATATGTAAGGCTATAAACCATCTTTAAAGAACTGTTTTCACTGCATCTCATATGTTTTCATTATCATTTAGTTCCAAGTATTTTTAAATTCATATTATGATTTTTTTGACCTATGAGTTATTTGGAAGTGTATTTTTCATTTCTAGATAGTAATATTTAGTTTATATTTTTGTTGTTAACTTCTAACTTAATTGAATTGTGATCAAAGAATCTTGCCTGTATGGTACTTATTCTTTGAAGTTTGTTGAAACTTGCTCTGTGACTAGTATATGATCAAAGTTTGTAAATGTTCTGTGTGTGTGCGTAGCTGTCCGTCTCCAAGGTGGCTTCATTTACTCTCATCTCGTTGTATGTCTGACCTTGGGTAGCCTCCTCCCACATTGGATAATAGGGATAACATGTACAAGCAATAGAATTTGCAGAAATGACAGTGTATGACTCCTTAGGCTAGATCATAAAATACATTGCAGCTTTCACCTTGCTGTCTGAGGTAGCTCAATAGCTAACTCTGGGAAGCCAGCTGCCATGTCATGAAGACATTCAAGCAGACCTACATGGGGAGGAAGTGAGCCCTCCTTCTGAGGTAGGAGGTGGGACTCAACTCCAGAGGTGGGGACACGGGACCAAATAGACAACTAGCTAAAACAGGGCTGCGGTAGAAGCAGCTTTCTATAAGACATGCCCCCCGCAGTGTGCCATGTCAGTTTACCATTGCCATGGCAATATCCAGATGTTACTGCCCCTTTCCATGGCAATGACCTGACCTGGCAATGAATCCAGAAGTTAACACCCTTTTCCTAGAAATTTCTGCATAACCTGCCCCCTAATTTGCATATAATTAAAAGTAGGTATAAATATGAGTGCAGAACTGCCTCTGAGCTGCTACTCTGGGCACACTGCCTGTAGGGTAGCCCTGCTCTTCAAGGAGCAGCAGCTCTGCTGCTACTGTGCACGGCCACTTCAATAGAAGTTACAAGTTGCTGTCTAACCACCACTGCTAGACCTTGAATTCCTTCCTGGGTGAAGCCAAGGACCCTCCTGGGCTAAGCCCCAATTTGGGGGCTCATCGGTCCTGCATCACCTCCAGCCATTAGCACCAACCTGGTGATTATGTGAGTGAGTCAGTTTGACAGCAGATCCTTCAGCTCCAGTCAAGCCATCAGATGACTGCAGCTCCTGACAACATCTCTCCGAATTTCATGAGAAATCTTAAGCCAAAATCACCCAACTAAGCCACTCCTAAATTCTGACCCACAGAATCTGAGAAATAATAAATACTTGTAGTTGTTTTACACTACCAAGTTTCTGCAGCAATTGGACAACCAAGACAATTCTGAAGATTTTGTAGTCTCCAACTGTAAGAAGCAGAATTATGTATATGTTAAGTCTCTGTTTTTCAATTTCATTGTTCATATCTTCAACATATTTACTAAATTTCTATCTGTTTGACCTATCAACAACTTTTAAAATGTATTGAAATCTCCCACCATGGTGGAGGATTGTCTACCTCTTGTCTTTTGTAGCCCTATCAAATTTTCTTTATATATTTTAATTCTATTTTATTAGGTGCACACATATTGGGATTAAAAAGGCAAAAATAAAGCTATCATTATTTTCAGATGACATAATAATTAACTAGAAAATAAAAAAGAATCTAAACAAATTGTTAGAGTACTTGTATTTAGCAAGGAGTCTGGATAAAATATCAATATACAAAAGTCATTTGCATGTTTATATTTGCACAATAATAAAACATAATTTTAAAAGTATACCATTTACAATCATTACAAAAAATTATATATTAATAATAAATATAATAAAAGATTAATAAAATTATGAATATTTACTGATATTCATTTTAAAAGACTTAATAAATGGAGAAATATTTCACATTCATGGATTAAAAAATTATAATTTGCAATGATGTCAGTTCTTCCAATATTAATCCCTAGATTCAATGCAATTTCAATCAAAATACATGCAATTTGATAACCTGATTCTGAAATTAGTATGAAAAAGTTAAGAATCAAGAACTAAGTTACAATTTTTTAACTTTTTATCATGACAAGTTTCAAACATATTTTTTAAATAAAATAGAAAAATATCTCCCCATGTATTTGTTACCCAGATTCAATTATTATAAACTCTTAGCCAATGTTGTCTAATCCATATATATATATATATATAGTTTTTGAGATGGAGTCTTGCTCTGTTGCCCAGGCTGGAGTGCAGTGGTGCTATCTCGGCTCACTGCAACCTCTGCCTCCCGGGTTCAAGCGATTCGCCTGTCTCAGCCTCCTGAGTAGCTAGGACCACAGGTGGGCACCACCATGCCCAGCTAATTTTTGTATTTTTAGTAGAGACGGGGTTTCACCATGTTGGCCAGGCTGGTCTCAAACTCCTGACCTCAGGTGATCCACCTGCCTTGGCCTCCTAAAGTGCTGGGATTACAAATGTGAGCTACCATGCCCAGCCGTAATCTATACTTTCTACTCTTCCTCTCTTTGTACTATTTTGAAGCAATTGCTAAACATTGTACTTTATCAATAAATATTTTAGTAGCTATCTCTATAATAAAAAAATTTTTGATAAACATAATCACAATACCATTACATCTAAAAATTTTAATAATTTCTTAATATCATAATAATCATTAAATATCTAGTTAAATATCCAATCAAATTTCTCTGATTTTTCTTATACATTATAATCAATTGATGTAATCTAAGCTTTTTTTTCTGAGATGGAGTCTCACTCTGTTGCCCATGCTGAAGTGCAGTGGTATGATCTTGGCTCACTGAAACCTCCGCCTCCTGGGTTCAAGCAATTCTCCCACCCCAGCCTCCAGCGTAACTGGGATTACAGGCACACGTCACCACACTCTGCTAATTTTTGTATTTTTAGTAGAGATGGATTTCACCATGTTGGCCAGGCTGGTCTCGAACTCCTGACCTCGAATGATCCACCCACCTCGGCCTCCCAAAGTGTTGGGATTACAGGAGTGAGCCATGGCTCCCGGCCCACTTAAGTCTTTTTTAATCTGTAGATTCCCTCCTTCTTTTTTATTCCAGCAATTGTATTTGTTGAAGAAACCAAATCGTTTATCCTGAGAATTTCCCAGTTTGGATTTTGCCTCTGAAGTTTTATCATATTTCTCTATCCCCTATATTTCCTGTAAACTTGTAATTAGTTTTAGTGGTTTGCTCAGATACAGGTTCAATTTTTGGGCAAGATTTCATTAGTAGTGTTGTATATTTCCATTAGTAGATATATACATCTTTTGAGTAATGGTTACATAGATATACATACAGGTAAATTTTCATCAATCAATACATTTAAGGTTGTACATTAGGTTGTATATATTAAGATCTATACCTTTAAGATGCACTTTAGTATGTGTCTTTTTTAACTCAATAAAAATGAAATAAAAGTAATAATTTGGTTCCCTTGCATATTACAAAGGTGACTAATAAGGATTTTGTGGGGTTTTCTTTGGTAAAGTTATAACTTTTTTTTTTTTTTTGAAACAGGGTCTTACTCTGTCGCCCAGGCTGGAGTACAGTGGCACAATTATGACTCACTGAGGTCTCAACCTCCCAGGCTCAGAAGCTCCTCCTGCCTGAGTCTCCAGAATAGCTAGGACCACAGGCACATACCAACACCTCCAGCTAATTTTTGTATTTTTTGTAGAGACAGGGTTTTGCCATGTAGCCCAGGCTGGTCTTGAACTCCTGGTCTCAAGTAATCCACCCACCTCAGCCTCCCAAAGTGCTGAGATTACAGGCATGAGCCACTGTGCCCGGCCTTTGGTAAGATAATGAACTCATGCATTTAAACATGTTTGATATATTTTAATCCATTGAAGGTATTCTTCTATTATGCTCTATTTTTCCCAAATTTGACCAAAGGTAGCTTAAGTTGGCTGCTGGGTCCTTCACAAGCCCATATTTGGTAGTTTCCTTGCTTTTTAATACAAGAAAGCATTTCAATTAATTTTGTGCATTTTCTGTACAAAATAGCCATTTTTTCCAAGGATTTAGAATGCTTTTAATTCAAAATGGTATTAAAAGCTCCAAACTGGGTACTAGGAGATCTCATTAATTAACCTAAACACTTCTGAAGAAGAATAAAGAGGTGTTATTTGCCTTATCAGGATCAGGACTTATTAAAAAGATATAGCATCAAGACCATGTGATGCTGGCTCAGAGAGACAACATGATCAGTACAATAGACTAGAGAGCTCAAAAACATATTTATATGGAGAACTTAGATATGTAACAGAGGCAGCATGGCAGATAAGTGGAAAAAGTAGGGGAAAGGATTACCCATTTGGAAAAGTAATTAATTGAATTCCTACTTCACACAATACACAATTCATCTCCAGTTGGATTGGGTTAATGATTTAAATGTCAAATGCAAAACTCTTAACAGAAGTTGCGGGCAGGCACAGTGGCTCACGCCTGTAATCTCACCACTTTGGGAGACCAAGGTGGGTGGATTACTTGAGGCCAGGAGTTTGAGACCAGCCTGGCCAACACAGCGAAACCCTGTCTCTACTAAAAATACAAAAATTACCTGGGTGTGGTGGCGCGCACCTGTAGTCCCAGCTACTCGGCAGGCTGAGGCACGAGAATCACTTGAAGCCAGGAGGTGGATGTTGCAGTGGGCCAAGATTGTGCCACTGCACTCCAGCCTGGGTGACAGAGGGAGACTCTGTCTCAAAAAAAATTAATAAATAAAAAGAAGTTGCATTTGTCTGGGTTCTTTTGACAAAGAGAACCAACAAAGGTGTGTGTGTGCGTGTGTGTGTGTGTGTGTGTGTGTGTATGGATGGATGGATAGATATAGACAGATAGATAGATAGATAGATAGATAGATAGATAGATGATAGATAGATAGATAGATGATAGATAGATAGATAGATAGATAGATAGATAGATAGATAGATGCATAGATGCATAGAGAGACAGACAGGTAGATAGATAAGTATAATGAATTGGCTCACACAGTTACGGAAGCTGAGAAGTCTCAAGATCTGCAGTAAGGCAAGCTGGAGACCCAGGAAAGCTAATAGTAGAGTTCCAGTTCAAGTCAAAAGATGGAAGAAGAACTGATGTCCCAGCTTGAAGACAGTCAAGCAGAGAAAAAGAATTCTTTCTTACTCAGCTTTTTTATTCTACTCAGGGCTTCAATGAACTGGATGAGGCCCATCCACACTGGGGAGGGTGATCTGCTTTCTCAGTCTGCAATTTAAATGTTAATCTCATTCAGAAACACTCTCACAAACACACACAGAAATAATGTTTAACCAAGTATCTGGGCACTCCATGACCCACTCAAGTTAACACATAAAATTAACCATCACAGAAGTATAGGCAAATGTCTTTCTGACCTTGAATTAAGAAGATTTTCTTAAACAAGTTGAAAAAAAGAAAAGGACTATCTAGGAATGAAAAGCTGGATACCTTTGACTATATTAAAGTTAAGAACTTCTATTCATAAATCATCTTAAAGAAAGTGAAAAGACAAACTATAAATGGGGAGGAGATATTTGTAACATACGTAACTGACCAAGAATCAGGATCTAGGATTTTTTTTAATATGAACTCCTTCAAATCAATAAGAAAAAGGCAATCAAATAGAAAAATGCATGATACATAAGATACATAAGCAAGATACATAAGCAGGCACTTCTCAGAGAAAACACATATAGCAGATACATGCTTGAGGACATGCTCAAATTTATTAGTAACAAGGGAAATGCAAATGAAGACCAGAATGAGAAACCAATGTGCTCTCATCAGATTGGCAAAAATTAAGAAATCTGACAATCTCAACTGTTGGACAGAATGTGAATCAACAGGATTTCTTACACATTTTTTGGTGGTGTATAGATTAGAATAAGCATTTTAAAATAATTTGGCTTGCAAAGTTTGCCATTCATAGTCCCTCAAGGATAACATGCAAAGTTTTAACAACCAGTACCACACGGGACTGACCAAGCAGAACAGATCCAGCCAAACCAGATGCTAGCCGACTACTAATCTTTCATACACTTAAAACTTAGCATTTCACCCCTAGTTATTAATATGTACCCAATGGAACTTCTGCTCATATTTAATCAAGAGACAGATACAAGAATATTCATAGCAAGATTGTTCGTGGTAGGGGAAAGAAAACTAGAAACAACCAAATGCCTGCTAACAAAAGAATGGATAAAATAGTCACAGAATAGTCACACAATGAAATATTATATAGAGCATGCAAAAATATGAATAAATCTAAGTGAATATAACATTGAGGTTTTTTCTGAAAAGTCCTAGAAGATTATATATACCATAAAGTGACTAAAACTGAATAATATTTAGGCCACATATACATTTGATAAAACTATAAAAACAAAGGGAATGTAAATCACAAATTTGGTAAAAGGCGAAAGATTTATACAATTTGAAGAGAAACCAGAGTGTAAATCACAAATTTGGAAAGGAGGAGGCAGAGTTGTAGGATAGGGGAGAGTTGGGGAGAGTACTCTTGCAGCTCTTGGGTTGGGTGGTGGGAATCTAGGCATTTATTACATTCTTTTACAAATGTCTGCAGATATATACTCATACACAAATAAGAGGTCCATGTGCACTGATGACAGTGAACCATAAACCAAGAATTATGATTTATCCAGTTCTATGAATCTTAAGTCCATTAAAAAATAAAAGACAAAATATGAGCAGAAAACAGAAAATTTTAAAGAATGACCAAGCAAATAAGGAAAGGACCTAAATGGAACATCTAGAAGTGAAAAATATAACTGAAACATAAAACTCAATAAATTGGTTTTACAGCCAACTGGAAGCAGGTGCTAATAGAATCAAAGAGCAAGAAGAGAGAGCTGAAAAATACACACAAAAAGCATCCTAGAGAGAGACTGTGAGAGACAAGTTAAGAAGGGAACATGAAACAGTCCAAGGTATGTCTAATCGGAAGCCCAAAAAAGAGGGAGAGAATGGAGCAGGAACAATACGTGGAGAGACAAGGGCTGATGATTTTCCAGAACTGATGAAGATATCAAGCTATGGACGCCCAACAAATTTCAAGTAGAATAATTAAAAGGAAATCCAGATCAGGCACAGTGGCTCACGCCTGTCATCCCAGCACTCTGGGAGGCCAAGGTGGGCAGATCACTTGAGCCCAGGAGTTTGAGAACAGCCCAGGCAAGAAAGCAAGACCTCATCTTCACATAAATACAAAAAAAAATTAGCCGGAGTGGTGGCATGCACCCGTAGTCCCAGCTACATAGAGGCTGAAGTGGGAGGATTGGTTGAGCCTGGGAGGTTAAGGTCGAGGCTGCAATGAGCCATGATTGCACCACTGTACTCCAGCCTGGGTGACAGAGTGAGATCATGTCTGGAAAACACACACACACACACACACACACACACACACACACACATACACACACACATACAAATAAGTTCTGGTGGATTTCATAAACACACACACACACACACATATACATAAAGCTTAGATTATATATATATTATATATTTTATACATCACAACCTATGAGGTCAATTCCTATATCATTAACCTCATCTTTTACCACTATCCCCACACAGTTTAATCATTCTGAAATGGTACTTGGATTTCCACTTCTCTTGAATGTCTCTTATTTCAAATTTCCTACAACTATTTTGGAATTTATACATTCTTTCTATTCTTTTAATGATTGCTCTAGAAATTTTAGCATATATACTTAACTTATCAAAGTCTGAAGTTAATCAGACTCCAAAATACAAGAAACTTAGACACACTGTAACTCCATTCTTTCCTCTCTCTATATATATATGTATACCTACACACACACACACAATTGTCTGTTTTAATTCTACCTTTGAAAAACCCACTAGACCTTATTATTACAATTTTATACACTCAAGATCTACTTATATTTATCTTTTTTTTTTTTTTGAGACAGATTGTCTTGCTCTGTTACCCAGGCTGGAGTGCAGTGACACAATCTCAGCTCATTGCAGCCTCTTCCACCCAGGCTAAAGCGATCCCCACCTCAGCCTCCCAGGTGGCTGGGACTACAGGCACACACCACCATGCCCAGCTAATTTTTGTTTAGTTTTTGTAGAGATGAGGTCTCACTATGCTGCCCAGGTTGGTGTCAAACTCCTGGACTCAAACAATCCTCCTGCCTTGGCCTCCTAAAATGCTGGGATTATAGGTGTGACCCACCATACCCGGCCCTATTAATCCACATATTTACCATTTGCTTTTTTATTATTTCTTGCATCCTAGACTTTCATTCTGAGGTATTATAAAATCTCACAAAGGTTTGGGTGCAGGGGCTAGTTCTGAGTAGTCCCAGCTACTTGGAAGGTTGAAGCAGGAGGACAGCTTGAGCCCAGGAGTTTGAGGCTTCAGTGTGATATGATCATGCCTGTCAATAGCCACTGAACTCCAGACTGGACAACATAGTCAGACTCCATCTAAAAATATAAAAAATAAAAATTTCATAAAGGTAAGCAGAAATCTCAAACTTTCTGAGATTTTTCTTTTCTTCTTCTTCTTTTTTTTTTTTTTTTTTTTTTGATACAAGGTCTTGCTCTGTCACCCAGGCTGAAGTGCAATGGTACAGTCTTGGCTTACTGCAACCTCCTCCTCCCAGGCTCAAGCAATTCTGCCTCAACTTCCCAAGTAGCTGAGACAACAGGCACACACCACCAGGGCCAGCTAATTTTTGTATTTTTTGTAGAGACATGGTTTCACCATGTTGCCCAGGCTGGTCTCAAACTCCTGAGCTCAAGTGATCTCCCTGCCTCAGTCTCCCAAAGTGCTGGGATTACAGGCATGAGCCACCATGCCTGGCTAACGTAGAATTTTTGCAAGCAAGCAAAATGTGGAGGCTTTAGGCCATGGCTAGCCAAGCCATAAATCTGCATACTCAGAACCCAACCATTCAGGGAAGGGCCTCTCCACAGTGGCAGTTGACTCCAATCATTGCCATGTGCCATTGTTAGTGGAATTGAAATGCTGCTGCTTTGGCTTGATGCCTGAGATTAAAGTTATCTCTTGTGAAATGGAGAGAATGATTTTTCTGTGTTATGCTCAGTTGGAGAAGTCCTGCAGTGAAATTGCCTGAGCTGTTAGTTATATGGCTCTTTTTCTCATTGCCATGGACATCCAGGCAGGGACTCCATAACCTCAGGCCCTAATAATTTCACAAGAGTCAAACTCCTGCTGTAACTCTATCCCTGCTGATGTTATCACCACCACCACCACTACGAACCAATGAAGCAAGAACGCAGCCATGCCACATGCAGGTGGAGCGGGAATTCGGCCGTAGCCTGAAGGCCATGGAACTTGGAGGCTGCATTGCATTCAAGGGAGAAGGTTTGTGTTTTTGCTCCTTGGAAGTAAGAAAGAGATGCTCCCTTTGAGGAGTACTCAGTGGAAGAGAGGAGGGGATCGTAGTAAGGTTGACTGAACCTCATTACGTTTTAGAGATCAGTGGTTTCATTCTTTCAACTCAAACTCATAACCCATGTCTCCCAGGGTGCACATCTACCACTGGAGTGACCAAATTTAAATTATCTCCAGTATCAGCCTCTGTCTTACACCTGGAACCAGCACTCCGTTCCATTACTTACGATCTATTGCTAGAGTTGGTTCATGTGCCAACTCCTTCTATTTATAGTGAGTCTCCCTCACTGACTTCTGATCTCCTTCTCTGCCCGCCGGCTTCTGTTGGGGTCACCCGCAGTCCATAGTCATATTTGTATATGTCTGAAATAGGTCAGGACTTCTCTTCAGAGATTACTCAGGTCTTATGTAAATCGTAAATACAAATGGATACAAAGGGAAGAGATTTGCCTAACTTTTCTCCGAAAGACCTGAGCCCTAATTTGTACCTAATCATGGCATTCTGTTACATTTATATAATTTAAAGCAGTTTTAGAGGTACATTTTTAAAGTACATTTTTCATTTTTAATGAATTAAATTTTTAAAATTTAGTTTTATTAAATTGTAATTGCATTGTATATGTATATAGATGTGTATATATATCTGCATACAGTGCATAAATTAGAAGTGTACAATTTGATAACTATGTCACAAAGTAAACATATGCCTGTCACCAACCCTGATCAAGAAACAGAACATTATCAGTATGCATGTATATGTTCAAATAAGAAGGACTTGGTGGTAGGAGAAAGAAGAGCCCAAGATCATCCCAGAGTTTGGCTTGGATGACTGAGCGGATTGTGGTGCCATTCACTAAAATAAGAAACACAGGAGGGAAAGGAGGTATGGAGGAGAAAATTATAAGTTTGATTTTGAACATGAGTTGAAGATGCCTATGGAACATGTAAAATAATATTTCTAGTACTCGGTTGGAATTATGGGATTAGAACTCCAGGGGAATGTTGGGGCTGGATAGGTAGATTTGATGACAAACACGTTTTTGTGCTTCTCCCAGACTTAAGAGAGACGGGGTTTCGCCGTGTTGGCCGGGCTGGTCTCCAGCTCCTGACCTCGAGTGATCTGCCCGCCTCGGCCTCCCGAGGTGCCGGGATTGCAGACGGAGTCTCGCTCACTCAGTGCTCAATGTTGCCCAGGCTGGAGTGCAGTGGCGTGATCTGGGCTCGCTGCGGCCTCCACCTCCCAGCCGCCTGCCTTGGCCTCCCAAGGTGCCGAGATTGCGGCCTCTGCCCGGCCGCCACCCCATCTGGGAAGTGAGGAGCGTCTCTGCCTGGCTGCCCATCGTCTGGGATGTGAGGAGCCCCTCTGCCCGGTCGCCCAGTCTGGGAAGTGAGGAGCGCCTCTTCCCAGCCACCATCCCATCTAGGAAGTGAGGAGCGTCTCTGCCCGGCCACCCATCATCTGGGATGTGAGGAGGCCCTCTGCCCGGCCCAGTCTGGGAAGTGAGGAGCACCTCTTCCCGGCTGCCACCCCATCTGGGAAGTGAGGAGCGTCTCTGCCTGGCCGCCACCCCGTCCAGGAGATGGGGGGCAGCCCCGCCTGGCCAGCCGCCCCGTCCGGGAGGTGGGGGGGCGCCTCTGCCCGACCGCCGCGTCTGGGAAGTGAGGAGACCCTCTGCCCAGCCGTCACCCCGTCTGGGAGGTGTACCCAACAGCTCATTGAGAACGGGCCATGATGACGATGGCAGTTTTGTCGAATAGAAAAAGGGGGAAATGTGGGGAAAAGAAAGAGAAATCAGATTGTTACGGTGTCTGTGTAGAAAGAAGTAGACATAGGAGACTCCATTTTGTTCTGTACTAAGAAAAATTCTTCTGCCTTGGGATGCTGTTAATCTATAACCTTACCCCCAACCCCGTGCTCTCTGAAACATGTGCTGTGTCCACTCAGGGTTAAATGGATTAAGGGCGGTACAAGATGTGCTTTGTTAAACAGATGCTTGAAGGCAGCATGCTGGTTAAGAGTCATCACCACTCCCTAATCTCAAGTACCCAGGGACACAAACACTGCGGAAGGCCGCAGGGTCCTCTGCCTAGGAAAACCAGAGACCTTTGTTCACTTGTTTATCTGCTGACCTTCCCTCCACTAATGTCCTATGACCCTGCCAAATCCCCCTCTCCAAGAAACACCCAAGAATGATCAATAAATACTTAAAAAAAAAAAAAAAAGTATTCTGGACAATTCGCCAGTCAGTTGTTAGACTGTTGGTAGCTTGGCCCAGCCACGGTGCAATATTTACACCATGAGCATTGGCAATGGCTACGGCTCAGAGCTCTGAATTTTTCTGGAGAGCTGGTTTGTCACCTCACCAGGCGCTCACCAGCCATGCTATTCTGTAGCCACTCACTCATCTGGACGTCCCAGTGAGGACAAGGTCCAGTGCGTATGTGAGGTGGACACAGCAGGCTGCATGCTGCGGATTGTGGGGAAAACAGAGCGAGTGTTAGAGTGTGTGTGTTTAGATGTGTGTGGAAAGCCTCTTAGAGGAGACACAGTGCCCAGGACCGGATGCTGCCTTGGAACGCAAAGGCAGTGGGAATGAGCGAGAGAAACTCACTTTTTCTATATATCCTTTTGTAGTCTTTGAATTGTTTCCACATTCCAATTTTTTTTAATGTAAAAGACAATAAAACAGAAAAATCTTTTTTCAGAAAAAAAAACAAAAACAAAAACAAACAAACAAAAAAAACAGATGAACCCAGCCAGTAGCCTCTTTGAATTGAGGCAAAAGGAGTCTATCTCTGGTTCCTGTGCTTTAGAGGGCCTTACATCACACACACATACACACACACCACAATTTATTAAAGAACACATCGATATCTGTCTCTCTGAATCCAGAGCTGTTGAAATTGTATCTAATAATTATATCTAAAAAAGGCTTAAAAATAGCAACAATTGAGAGTATTAAATGAATATAAGCTTTGATATAAAACGTTGCCATGATATTCTTAAAAGAATAATGTTATGTTTTGATATTTAGCCAACAAAAGCACATTATTTCCAGGAAAGAAAAATATCTATTTTCTAGCTTTAGTGGAAAAGATTTTGAAATTTGATGATAGAATGGACAAACATGTAAAATGGATAAAAAAGTAATGATAAACAATCACTGTCTGAGATGGCGAGTTCAAAATGAAATTAATAGTTTAACGGGCAACATAGTGAGAGAAGAAATAACAGTCGGCCCTCTGTATCCACAGTTCTGCATCCGAGGATTGAACCAACCAAGGATCGAAAATATTCAGGAAAAAAATGAATGGTTGTGTCTGCACTGAACATACACAGACTTTTTTCCTTGCCATTATTACCTAAACAATACAATATAACAATTATTTATATAACATTTACCTTGCATTAGATATTATAAGTAATCTGGAGATGATTTAAAGTACACAGGAGGATGTGCATAGGTTACATGCAAATACTATGCCATTTAATATCAGGGACTTTCGCATTTGCAGATTTTGGTATCCAAGAGGGTTCTGGAACCAGCCTCCCACGGATACCAAGGAACCACTGCATACGTAAAATTTCAAAATGTAACTATTACTCCATTCAACTAGATTGTGCAGGAACCAGAGTCATGTTGAACAACTAACTTTAATATATATAATGTGAACTACCAGAAGAAAATATGGAAGTCAAAAATAATTAGCACATCATTAGTTTTATGCTTGCTGTAAGAAATACAAGAATTTTTAAAATTGGGATGTAATTTATAGGCAACAAAGTGCACAAATCTTGAGTGTACAGATCCACTGTTACATATGTAATTTCCATCAGATAAAGATATAGGAATTTTCAGAACCCCATAATGTCTCCTTATGCACTATATCAGCTAATACCCCTCAAGAAATATTATCACTATTCTGAACTCTATCATCATACAATATTTTACCTGAACTTTATATAAAAAGAGAACCCAAAGAGGGTAATTTTTCATGTCTTCTTTTGCTCAACTTTATGTCTGTGAGGTTCACCCATGTTATTGCATCCAGTTAATCATTTGTCATTGCTGTGTAGTATTCCAGATACAACTATACCACAATGTATTCATTCTACTGTTGACTAACATTTGGTTCACTTCAAATTCGGGGCTATTACTATTAATGCTGCTATGAGTATGCTATATACATGTCTTTTAGTGGACATATGCATTCATTTCTCTTGGGTATATACTCAGCCCAGGAGCTGAGTTGCCCAGTCATGCATTATATGTTTGCTTAGCTTTAGTAGATGCTGCCTAGTAGTTTTCTAAAATGTTTATGGAAATTTATACTCACATAAGCAATATATGAGACTCCTAGTTTCTTTATATCTTCACCAACTCTTAGATTTCTCAGCCTATTCACTTTAGTCATTCTAAAATTAGATGGATATGAGGTGCTACCTTATGGTAGTTTTAATTTGCCTGTACTTGATAGATAATGACGTTGAACACTTTTAGAAATGTTTATTAGCCATTTGGATATCTTCTTTTGCAAAATGCCTATCCAAGTCTTTTGATCTTTTTGAAACTTGTGTTGTCAGTCTTTTTAAAAAATTGCTCTGAAACGGTTCATGATATAGTCCAGTTATGAGTTCTTTTTCCAAAATATGTATTGCAAACATTCTCTCCCCAGTTGCGGTTTGCCTTTATACTGTCTTAAGTTTGTGACTGGTTGAGGAGAAGTTTTTTATTTTAATGAAGTCAATTACTAGTCTTTCTTTCAGTTATTCTTATGCCCTGTTTAAAAAGTCTTTGCCTCGCCAGGCGCGGTGGCTCACGCCTGTAATCCCAGCACTTTTGGAGGCCAAGGTGGGCAGATCACCTGAGGTCAGGAGTTTGAGACCAGCCTGACCAACATGGAGAAACCCCGTCTCTACTAAAAAATACAAAACTAGCCGGGCATGGTGGCCCGGAGAGCAAAACTCCGTCTCAAGAAAAAAAGAAAAAGAAAAAGAAATCTTTGCCTACCTGAAGGTTATGAAGATATTCTCCCATGGTTTGTTTTGAAAGCTTTATCCTTTTACACATACGTCTATGCTCCATCCCCAATTAATTTATACGGATGATGTAAGGTAGGGATATAGTTCATTTTTTTCTCTACCATTTATTTAAAAGATCTTCCTCCTCCCACTAAATTGCAGTAGGACTTTAGTAATAAATCAGAGGACAGTATATGTGGGGGCCTGTCTCTTCCTCTCTATTCTGTTCCATGGGCTATCTTGTTTTTGGGTTTTTTTCTTTTTTTTTTTTTTTTGTGATGAAGTCTTGCTCTTGTCAACCAGGCTGGAGTGCAATGGCACAATCTCGGTTCACTGCAACCTCTGCCTCCCGGGTTCAAGCCATTCTCCTGCCTCAGCCTTCTGAGTAGCTGGGATTACAGGCCCATGCCACCATGCCTGGCTAATTTTTGTATTTTTTTAGTAAAGACGGGGTTTCAGCATGTTTGCGTGGCTGGTCTCGAACTCATGACCTTGTGATCCACCTGCCTCAGCCTCCCAAAGTGCTGGGATTACAGGCATGAGCCACCGCACCCAGCCTAATTACACACTCTTAAAGCAATACACGTCTTGACTTTCGCTTTGAGCAATGATGGAGTAATAGGGCCCATGCTTATGCTTCTACCAAAATAACTAGGAAACATGACAAAATATGAAACTATTTTTTTCATACATCAGACAAATGGTACAGAACTGTGAACTTGAGAAAAGGAAAATAAGCATAGTAAGCCCTATGAATCCTAAACTTTCTCCCTGAGGATACATTCTGGACCATGGTGCAGGATAACAGATCCCAGGAGAGTATGGAAGTCTTGTTTAGTTGAGGTGAACAGAAACTGGCACTCATGGAGCCTACAGTAGTTGCAAATAGCAGGGCAAAGTTATACATAAGAAGAACTCTATAGAAAAGGAGCTTCAGAAATCTGTTTAGGGGTCCCCTTGAGTTTATGCCAAAGTCTAAGCCATGCACAAAAGGGTGAACACCACAAAGCTAGATAAAGAACATGTAGAGAGTTGTAAAGTGGAAATTTATCAGAGCTCACACAAGGTTAGGACACATTCAAGCTCTGACCAGCCAGAGTGAAGAGTCTTCATTAAACACCCTTGGCATTTAGTAAAGAACAGAAGGGTCATGTATTAGTAGTAGAGCAAAATTATCTGTAGATCTGGCTGAGCACAGTGGCTCAAGCCTGTAATCACAGCATTTTGGGAGGCCAAGATGGGTGGATCACTTGAGGCCAGGAGTTTGAGACCAACCTGGCCAATATGACAAAACCCCATCTCTACTAAAAATACAAAGCTTAGCTGGGTGTGCTGGCGCATGCCTGTAGTTCCAGCTACTCAGAAGGCTGAGGCATGAGAATCACTTGAACCCGCGAGTTGGAGGTTGCAGTGAGCCAAGATGGCGCCACTGTGCTCCAGCCTGTCTGGGCAACAGAGGGAGATTCTGTCTCAAAACAAACGAACAAACAAAAATCTGTAGAGTAGAGACTATTCCAGACCAGCTCTCATAAAACTTAAAAACAAGACTCAATCCTCAATATCAAGAGGATCAATATGATCTTAAAGTAACTTAGCTGCCTCACGGGACAAAGGCCAAATTTCTTTAGAGAAAGCCACTAAAATTCTGTAACATACATTTCACAATGCCTAACATCCAATCCAAAAATAACAGATACACCAAGAAACAGCAAAATGTGATCCATAAACAAAAGAAAAAATAGTCAATAAAAACAACATCAGAAATGAGAAAGATTATGGAATTAGAAAACAAAATAGCTATCATAGATATGTTTAATATATTCAGGAATGTGAAGAAAAATATGAATATAATGAAAAGAGAAATGGAAGATTTAAAAATAACTAAGCCAGGCATGGTGGCTCACACCTGTAATCCCAGCACTTTGGGAGGCCAAAGCAGGTGGATCACCTGAGGTCAGGAGTTCAAGACCAGGCTGGCCAACATGTTGAAACCCCGTCTCTACTAAAAATACAAAAATTAGCCAGGTGTGGTGGTGGGCACCTGTAATCCCAGCTACTTGGGAGGCTGAGACAGGAGAATCACTTGAACTTGGGACACGGAGGTTGCAGTGAGCTAGGATGACACCACTGTACTCCAGCCTGGGCAACAGAATGAGACTCGTTTCAAAATAAATAAATAAATAAATAAATGGAACTTCTAGGTATGAAAAATACAACATGAAAAAAATCACTGGATGGAATTATTAGCAAATTAGAAACTGGAGAAAAAATATCAGTGACACAATAAAAACTACTCAAAAGGAAGAATAGAGAGAGGAAGAAAGGGTGGGAAAAATAAACAGAGACTCAATGGAACAATTTCAAGTGGTTGAATATATTTGTAATTGGAGTCACGGAAAAACAGGAGGAGGAAGACAAAATACTATTTTAAGAAACAATCCAAAACTTGTCCAAATATGGTAAAACCTCTCAAGTTGTTGATCCACAAAGCCCAAAGAACCCAGAGCAGCATAAACACCAAAAAAAGCACATAAAGGCACATCATACTTAAATTCCTAAAAAGTGGTGATAAAGGGAAAATATTAACAGCAATCAGGACAAAACACAAAATACGAATAAGAGAAACATAAATAAGGATGGAAGCAAATTTCTTATCAGAAACACAGCAAGTTCCAGAAGACAAGGAATAACATCTTGAAAGTACTGAACAGAAAACAAAAGCAAAAAAACTCCATCAACCTAGAACTCTATATGCAGAGAAGATATTCTTCTAAAATGAAGAAAATGAGCGAACTGATGGTATGTAAATTACACTTCAATAATGCTGTTTTGAAAATCAAGAGAAGCTGAAGTTTGTTTCAGACCAAAATAAACTGAGATAATTCATAGTCACCAGGCCTGCACTTGCAGAGATATTAAAGGAAATTCTTAAGGTAGAAGAAAAATTATCCTAGATGAAAACATGGATCTACACAAAGGAATAAAAAGTGCTGGAAACAGTGCCTATGAAAACATTTTTATTATTTTTTAAAGTCTGTAAACCATAATTAACGGAGGGGACATGGGGAGTTATTCAGCGGATGTAGAGTTTCAGTCATGCAGAATAGGGAGGTTCTGGGGATTTGTCACACAACAAAGGGCATGTAGTTGATAATATTATAGTTTATACTTGGAAATTGTTGGGAGGGTGAATTGTATGCTATGTGGTTTTTTTCTGCCACGATAAAAAAAAACATAACTGATGTTTAAAGAAAAAATAGTAATAATTTGTTATAGGAGTTTATAACATATGTAGAAATAAAACGCATGGCAACACTAGTACAAAGGATGGGAGGGAGGGCACAGAAGTATACTCTTGTGAAGTTCTCATATAATAGGTGAAATGTGAAGTAGAATAATATTAGTTGGAAGTTAATAGAAATAAGTTTATATATATATATATGGTAAATCCTAGAACCCACTAAACAAACAAAACAAAGAATGTAGCTAATAAGCCAGTAGTGCGTGGAGATTAACTAAGAATTTTAAAATACTAACTCCAAAAGAAAATGGGAGAAGAGGATAAAGGAAACAAAGAAGAGATGGGAGAAATAGCTTACCAACCAAAAAGAGTCCAGGACCAGATGGATTCACAGCCGAATTCTACCAGAGGTACAAGGAGGAACTGGTACCATTCCTTCTGAAACTATTCCAATCAATAGAAAAAGAGGGAAACCTCCCTAACTCATTTTATGAGGCCAGCATCATTCTGATACCAAAGCCTGGCAGAGACACAACCAAAAAAGAGAATTTCAGACCAATATCCTTGATGAACATTGATGCAAAAATCCTCAATAAAATACTGGCAAAACGAATCCAGCAGCACATCAAAAAGCTTATCCACCATGATCAAGTGGGCTTCATCCCTGGGATGCAAGGCTGGTTCAATATACGCAAATCAATAAATGTAATCCAGCATATAAACAGAGCCAAAGACAAAAACCACATAATTATCTCAATAGATGCAGAAAAGGCCTTTGACAAAATTCAACAGCCCTTCATGCTAAAAACTCTCAATAAATTAGGTATTGATGGGACATATTTCAAAATAATAAGAGCTATCTATGACAAACCCACAGCCAATATCATACTGAATGGGCAAAAATTGGAAGCATTCCCTTTGAAAACTGGCACAAGACAGGAATGCCCTCTCTCACCACTCCTATTCAACATAGTGTTGGAAGTTCTGGCCAGGGCAATTAGGCAGGAGAAGGAAATAAAGGGTATTCAATTAGGAAAAGAGGAAGTCAAATTGTCCCTCTTTGCAGACGACATGATTTTATATCTAGAAAACCCCATTGTCTCAGCCCAAAATCTCCTTAAGCTGATAAGCAACTTCAGCAAAGTCTCAGGATACAAAATCAATGTACAAAAATCACAAGCATTCTTATACACCAACAACAGACAGAGAGCCAAATCATGAGTGAACTCCCATTCACAATTGCTTCAAAGAGAATAAAATACCTAGGAATCCAACTTACAAGGGATGTGAAGGACCTCTTCAAGGAGAGCTACAAACCGCTGCTCAAGGAAATAAAAGAGGATACAAACAAATGGAAAACATTCCATGCTCACGGGTAGGAAGAATCAATATGGTGAAAATGACCATACTGCCCAAGGTAATTTAGAGATTCAATGCCATCCCCATCAAGCTACCAATGCCTTTCTTCACAGAATTGGAAAAAACTACTTTAAAGTTCATATGGAACCAAAAAAGAGCCCGCATCGCCAAGTCAATCCTAAGCCAAAAGAACAAAGCTGGAGGCATCACACTACCTGACTTCAAACTATACTACAAGGCTACAGTAACCAAAACAGCATGGTACTGGTACCAAAACAAGAGATATAGATCAATGGAACAGAACAGAGCCCTCAGAAATAACGCCCCATATCTACAACTATCTGATCTTTGACAAACCTGAGAAAAATAAGCAATGGGGAAAGTATTCCCTATTTAATAAATGGTGCTGGGAAAACTGGCTAGCCATATGTAGAAAGCTGAAACTGGATCCCTTCCTTACACCTTATACAAAAATCAATTCAAGATGGATTAAATACTTAAACATTAGACCTAAAACCATAAAAACCCTAGAAGAAAACCTAGGCAATACCATTCAGGACATAGGCATGGGCAAGGACTTCATGTCTAAAACACCAAAAGCAATGGCAACAAAAGCCAAAATTGACAAATGGGATCTAATTAAACTAAAGAGCTTCTGTACAGCAAAAGAAACTACCATCAGAGTGAACAGGCAACCTACAAAATGGGAGAAAATTTTCGCAACCTACTCATCTGACAAAGGGCTAATATCAAGAATCTACAATGAACTCAAACAAATTTACAAGAAAAAAACAAACAACCCCATCAAAAAGTGGGCAAAGGACATGAACAGACACTTCTCAAAAGAAGACATTTATGCAGCCAAAAAACACATGAAAAAATGCTCATCATCACTGGCCATCAGAGAAATGCAAATCAAAACCACAATGAGATACCATCTCACACCAGTTAGAATGGCAATCATTAAAAAGTCAGGAAACAACAGGTGCTGGAGAGGATGTGGAGAAATAGGAAGGCTTTTACACTGTTGGTGGGACTGTAAACTAGTTCAACCATTGTGGAAGTCAGTGTGGCGATTCCTCAGGGATCTAGAACTAGAAATACCGTTTGAGCCAGCCATCCCATTACTGGGTATATACCCAAAGGACTATAAATCATGCTGCTATAAAGACACATGCACACGTATGTTTATTGCGGCACTATTGACAATAGCAAAGACTTGGAACCAACCCAAATGTCCAACAATGATAGACTGGATTAAGAAAATGTGGCACATATACACCATGGAATATTATGCAGCCATAAAAAATGATGAGTTCATGTCCTTTGTAGGGACGTGGATGAAATTGGAAATCATCATTCTCAGTAAACTATCGCAAGAACAAAAAACCAAACACCGCATATTCTCACTCATAGGTGGGAATTGAACAATGAGATCACATGGACACAGGAAGGGGAACATCACACTCTGGGGACTGTTGTGGGGTGGGGGTAGGGGGGAGGGATAGCATTGGGAGATATACCTAATGCTAGATGACGAGTTAATGGGTGCAGCGCACCAGCATGGCACATGTATACATATGTAACTAACCTGCACAATGTGCACATGTACCCTAAAACTTAAAGTATAATAATAAAAGAAAAAAAAGAAAAATAAAATAAAATAAAATAAAATAAAATAAAATGAGTGGCACTTACATATACACCATGGAATACTATGCAGCCATAAAAAAGGATGAGTTCATGTCCTTTGTAGGGACATGGATGAAGCTGGAAACCATCATTATCAGCAAACTATCGCAAGGACAAAAAACCAAGCACCACATGTTCTCACTCATAGGTGGGAATTGAACAATGAGAACACTTGGACACAGCAAGGGGAACATCACACACCGGGGCCTGTCGTGGGGTGGGGGAGGGGGGAGGGATAGCAGTAGAAGATATACCTAATGTAAATGACAAGTTAATGGGTGTAGCACACCAACATGGCACATGTATACATATGTAACAAACCTGCACGTTGTGCACATGTACCCTAGAACTTAAAGTATAATAAATAAAATAATAAAAAAATAAAAGAAAAAAAGCAATATGGTAAATTTAAAATCAACCATGTCAATAATTACATTAATTGTAAATAGAACACTCCAATAAAGTGCCAGAGATTGTCCACTTTATTTTTATTTTATTTATTCTTTATTTATTTATTTTTGGAGAGAGAATCTTGCTCTGTCACCCAGGCTGGAGTGCAGTGGTATGATCTCGGTTCACTGCAACCTCCATCTCCTGGGTTCATGTGATTCTTGTGTCTCAGCCACTTGAGCAGCTGGGACTACAGGCAGGCACCACCACTCCCTGCTATTTATTTTTATTTATTTATTTATTGTATTTTTAGTAGAAATGGGGTTTTGCCACGTTGCCCAGGGTGGTCTTGAACTCCTGAACTCAGGCAATCTGCCCGCCTTGGCCTCCCAAAGTGCTAGGATTACAGGCGTGAGCCATATTTATTTATTTATTGGAGCTTTGTCATCCAAGCTGGAGTGCAGTGGCACAATCATGGCTCACTGCAGCCTCAACTTCCCGAGGCTCAAGTGATCCTCCCACCTCAGCCTCCTGAGTAGCTGGGACTACAGGCACATGCCACCACACCTAGCTAGTTTTTGTATTTTTTGTAGAGATGAGTTTTGCCATGTTGCTGAGCCTGGTCTTGAACCCCTGGCCTCAAGTGATCCTCCCACCTCGGCCTCCCAAAGTGTGGGGATTACAGATGTGAGCCACTGAGCCCAGCTAATTGTCCATGCCTGGCGCAGTGGCTCATGCCTGTTAATTCCAACACTTTAGGAGGCCCAGGTGGGCAGATCACTTAAGGCTAGAAGTTTGGGACCAGCCTGGCTAACATGGCAAAACCCCATCTCCACTAAAAATACAAAAATTAGCCAGACATGGTGGTGGCACCTGTAGTCTCAGCTACTTGGGAGGCTGAGGCACAAGAATCGCTTGAACCTGGGAGGCGGAAGCTGCAGTGAGCCGAGATCATACCACTATACTCCAGAAAGCGAGATCCTGTCTCAAAAAAAAAAAAAAAAAAAAAGGCAGGCTAAAAGTAAAAGGATTGAAAAGATACAGCATGCAACAAAATAAAGTGAAGTGACTATATTAGTATCTAACAAAGTAGACTTCAAAACAAGGACTATTACCAGCAATAAAGAGCTACATTTCATAATAGTAAGGAGTTGATTAAACAAGAGGGCATAATAACTCTAAATTTACATTCATCTAATAAAAGAGCTTTAAGCAGCATAAAGCAAAAACTGAGAGAAGAGAAAAACAATAGACATATCTGCAATTATAGTTAGAAATTTCAATACTCCTCTCTCAGTAATTGATAGAACAAGGAGACAAAAATTAGTAAATACGTAGAAGACTTGAAAATTATCAACCAACCTGACCTAATTGGCATTAATAGAAGACTCTACCAACACAGAAGAATAAATATTTTTCTCAAGTGCATAGGGAACGTACACCAAAATAAGACCATACACTGAGCCACAAAATAAATCTCAATAAATTCAAAAGGATTTCAATCATACAGAATGTGTTCTCTGGTCATAACAAAATTACATTAAAAGTAAAAAACAGCCATATATTAAAATAACTTGTGTCTAGGAATTAACATAGTTTTAAATAATTCATGGTCAAAGAAAATATCACAAGAGAAATTAGAAAATACTTAAAACTGAATAAAAATGAAAGCACAACACATCAAAATGTGTAAGGGTATGGCTAAAGTAGTGCTTAGCAAAGAATGTGTACTTTTTTAATTTTTTTTGAGACAGAGTCTTGCTCTGCTGCCCAGGCTGGAGTGCAATGGCGTGATCTCAGCTCACTGCAACTTCCACCTCCTGGGTTCAAGCAATTCTCCTGCTTCAGTGCCTGGGATTACAGGCACCTGCCACCACGCCTGGCTAATTTTTGTATTTTTAGTACAGACAGGGTTTCACCATGCTGGCCAGGCTGCTATCAAACTCCCGACCTCAGGCAATCTGCCCGCCTCGGCCTCCCAAAGTGCTGGGATTACAGGCATGAGCCACCGAGCCCGGCCAAGCTTTCTAATATAAGCTTCTAAACGCTTATATTAGAAAAGAATACAGGTCAAAAATCAATAATCTAAGACTCCACCTTCAGAAAAAAAAAAGAAGCATATATTAAACTCAAAGAGAGTTTCCTTCTACTTATTAGTAGAAAGAAAGAAATAATGAAGATAAGAGCAAAATAAAAAAAGTAGAAAACAAATAATAGAAAAATCGCCGGGCACGGTGGCATGTGCCTGTAATCCCAGCTACTCGGGAGGCTGAGGCAGGAGAATTACTTGAACTCAGGAGGCAGAGGTTGCAGTGAGCCAAGGCCAGCCACTCCAGCCTGGGTGACAGAGCAAGAATCTGTCTCAAAAAAAGGAAAAAGAAAAAAATCAATGAAATTTAAAGCTGTTCTTTAAAAGGTCAATAAAATTTATAAACCTTTAATTACAAAAAGAAGACACAATTTATTGATGTCAAATATGAAAGGGGAAACATCATGATCCTACAGGGATTAAAATGATAACAAGATAATCTTATGGCGATTTTGTCTAATAAATTCAACAATTTGGACGTAATTGACAAATTCCATGGAAGAAACAAATAGCTAATACTGACTGGAGAAAAAATGGAAAACTTCAATAGCTCTATATTCTTGAAGCATTGGGCCAGGCACGGTGGCTCACACCTGTAATCCCAGCACTTTGGGAGGCTGAGGTGGGAGAATCACTTGAGTTTGAGACCAGCCTGGGCAACACAGGGAGACCTCATCGCTACAAAAAATAAAAATAAAAATAAAAAAACAATCCAGGTGTGGTGACACATGCCTGTGGTCCCAGCTACTCAGGAGGCTGAGGTGGGAGCATCGCTTGAGCCTGGGGGGTCGAGGCTGCAGTGAGCCATGATCGCAACACTGCACTCCAACCTGGGCAACAAAATGAGATCCCATTTAAAAAAAATTGATTTTCTAATTAAAAACCTTCCCACAAAGAAACCTCTCAACCCAGATGAATTCTGGTGAATTCTATCATTGTTCCATCCAGCTGAACCCATAGCTAGAGTTTCCCCAAAAGCAATGGCAGGGGAATTCCTTCAAGGGTCTACTCCAGAGCTTCTGGATATGGGGCTGGTTCGAATTCCAAAGAAAGAGGCACTAAACACCAAGGTGATCAGTCCAAAACATGTATTAGGGCAATTTATAGCCTGATGCAGTGATCATTGCATTGAACAGTGAGAGAAAGAGAGGTTCTGCCTAAGTATGTCTGCAAGGAAGGGGATCAGGTTATGGAGTTGATATGAGGGTTTAAGGAATTTGGCTCAGAGTAAGAGCTAGTTTTTTCTACATGTTTAGCAATGTGTATTTCAGGCAACAACCTAAACAAGTTTATCAGTGTCTGGGAATATTCAAGGCCCAGGTTTGGGTTCAAACCTGCATATGATAAAACATGCAGCTGGCCAGGGCACAGAGCAGTCAAGGCACTCTGTGTTTCTCTGTCCGAACAAGAGGAAAAATGGGAAGAACTGAGGGACCCTAGAAACATCAAATAAGAAATAATACCTTCTACACAAAACGTTTTCAGAAAATAGATAAAAACGTTTCCCAACTTGTTTATAAGATCAGCATTACTGTATTACCAAGGTCATACAAAAACCTCTCAAGAACAGAAAGCTATTGGTCAATACACCTCATGAATATAAATACAAAAAGTCTACAACAAATATTAGCAAACTGAATCAAGCATGAAATTTAAAAATATGTCTTGATACCTGAAGTGTAAGTATTCCAAATTAGTTCTTCTGTCAAGACTGCCTTGGCTATTCTAGGTCTTTTATATTTCTAATATGAATTTTCGAATCGGCTTGTCAATTTCCACAAAAATAACCCTGTTTGGATTGTTACTGGATTGTATTAAATCTATGGATCAATTTGAGGGGCACTGGCATTTTAAAAACATTGAGACTTCCAATTCATGAGCATGGTATATCCCTTCATTTATATAAATCTTCTTTAAGAATATCTTAAACATTTTGTAGTTTGCAGTTTATAAGTCAAGAACATCTTTCACTGGCTTTGTTCATAGGATTTGTGTGTGTGTGTGTGTTTGTGCGTATGAGTGCATACACTATAGTGACTGATACTATTTTATTTTATTTCCTAATTATATGCTTCAATACCATTGTTTTTGCACATTGATCTTATATCCAGTGGCCTTGGTAAATTCATTTTTAAATTCTAATAGTCAATTCTTTGGATTTGTACACAATTATCTACAAGTATTGATAGTTTTATTTCTTCCTTTCCCATCTTTTTAATATTTATTTCTTTTTCTTTCTTTATTGCACCAAGCAACGAAACTAAACCTCATAGGCACATAATAGTCAAACAGCCGAAATCCAAAGACAGTAGGAAGTCTTAAAATCATACAGAAGAAAAGACACATTTCAGTCAAAGGAGTAACAAGACTGATAAATATTTTTCCAAAGGAAATATGCAAGCCAGAAGACAATATAATGACATCTTTAAAGTGTTGAGGGGGGAAAAAACTGGAAACCTAGAAAAAATTCTTCAAAAATAAAGTTAAAAAGGTAAGGTGAGATGGTTCATGCTTGTAATCCCAACACTCTGGGAGGCTGAGGCAGGAGGACTGCTTGAGGCCAGGAGTTCAAGATCAATCTGGGAAACATAACGAGACCTCATCTCTATAGAAAATTTAAAAATTAGCCAGGGGGATAACACATACCTGTAGTCCCAGCTGCTCAGGAGGCTGAGGCAGAAGGATTGCTCCTGCCCAGGAGTTTGGGTGGGATTGGGCAATGATCACACCACTGCACTCCAGCCTGGGTAACACAGTAAGTGAGACTCTGTCTCTAAATAAATAAATAATTAAGGTGAAATAAGAAATTTTTCAGAGCTAGGTTGGGTGCTGTGGCTCACGCCTGTAATCCCAGCACTTTGGGAGGCTAAGGCAGGCAGATCACAAGGTCAGGAATTCGAGACCAGCCTGGCCAATATGGTGAAACCCTGTCTCTACTAAAAATACAAAAATTAGCTGGGCGTGGTGGTGCACACCTGTAGTCCCAGCTACTTGGGAGGTTGAGGCAGAAGAATTGCTTGAACCTGGGAGGCGGAGGTTGTAGTGAGCTGAGATCGTGCCACTGCACTCCAGCCTGGCTGACAGAGCAAGACTCTATCTCAAAAACAAAAAATTTCAGAGCTAAGAATAGTCTTCATTAATAGATCTGTAACACAATAAAAACTAAGGTAGACCATAATAAGTCAATATTGTAATCTCTAGGGTAAACATTAAAGGAATTATAAAAGAATATATAACAAAAGAGTTAATAGAAGTGAAAAAAATTAAGAATATCTGATTAATTCAAAAGAAGGCAAGAAAAATACATAAAACAACAACAAAAAGGTGAGACGAAGAGAAAACAAATAGCAAGATGGTAGATTTAAACCAAAGCATATTAGTAATTACACTAAGTGTAAATGAACTGAACAATCAAATTAAGAGATAATGTTGATCTAATTAGATAAAAAACAAAAACCAACTATTTGGTTTTTATGAGATTCACTTTACATAAAATGAGGCAGAAAGATTGAAAATAAACCATGGAAAGGATCTACATTATAAAGTATATTGCTTCCAGCAAGGGCTTTCATACTGCTTTTTCATAACATGGCAGAAAATCAGAATGGGAAGCGAACACATGCACAGTAGACCAAACATGAGAGGCAGCCTCACTCTGTAACCAGCCACTCTTGGCCAGGCGTGGTGGCTCACACCTGTAATCCCAGCATTTTGGGAGGCTGAGGCAGGTGGATCACTTGAGGTCAGGGGTTCGAGACCAGCCTGGCCAACATGGTGAAACCTGCCTCTACTAAAAATACAAAAATTAGTCGGGCGTGGTGGCTCACACATAATCTCCACGACTCGGGAGGTGGAGGCAGGAGAATTGCTTGAACCAGGGAGGCAGAGGTTGCAGTGAGCTGAGATCGCACCACTGCAGTCCAGCCTGGGCAACAGACTCCGTCTCAAAACAAAAACAACAAACAAGCCACTCTCATGGTAATGGATCCAGTCCTGAGAGAGCTGCAGAGTCCCCAGGACCAAAACACCTCTTAAAGGTCCCACCACTTCTCAACACTGTTACACTGGGAACTAGGTCTTCAGTACATACATTTTGGCAGACAAATCATATTAAACCATAGCAATGCCTTTTATCAGTTTTGAAAAGTTCTTGGCTTTCATTTCTTTAAATATGCCATCTGCCCCATCTCTCCTCTCTTCTGGCACTACATTTACAAGCATAATGGCATTTTGATTGATCCCACATGTATTTTATGACCTATTCTTTTAAAAAAATAATAATAATAATGCTTGGCTTGGCATGGTGGCTCACGCCTGTAATCCCAGCACTTTGGGAGGCCACAGCAGGCAGATCACTTGAGGCCAGGAGTTGGAGACCAGCCTGAACAACATGGCCAAACTCATCTATACAAACAATTAGCCAGTATTGGGTACTAGGCTTAATACCTGAATGATGAAATAATCTGTACAACAAACTCCCGTGACATGAGTTTACCTATATAACAAACCTTCACATGTACCCCCAAACCTAAAATAAAAGTTAAAAAAAGAAATTAGCTGGGCATGGTAGCTCACACCTGTAGTCCCAGCTGCTCAGGAGGCTGAAGTGGGAGGATCGCCTGAGCCAGGAGGTCAAAGCTGCAGTGAGCTGTGATCGCACCACTGCACTCCAGCTAGGGGACCAGAGTGAGACCCTGTCTCAATAAATTAAATCAATAAATATAAAATAAACAAACAAATAAATAAATTTATTCTTAATTCTCTTTACATTCTGTTTGGATATTTTCTAATGACCCGTCTTCAAGTTGGCTAATTTTATTATTATCTACATTGAGTCCTCTCTTAAGTCCATTCAAGGAATTCCTAATTTCAGATGTACTTTTTAGTTCGAAATGTCCATTTGGTCCTTTTTTTTTTTTTTTTTTTTTTTGGAAAAAGGAGAAACTCAGTCTTATTTTTTGTTTTCTTGGCAAATGGTGATACCTGGGGAGTTTAATCAGAGTTGGGCTGTAGGCTCAGTTTGGAAGCCCAACTCTGACCAGTCATTGCCAATCACAGTCTTTGCTAAGAAGTAGTGTTAGAAGGGGACCCTTCTGGCAAATACCATTCTCTGTTCCATTTGCAGTGGAAATCTGTAAGCATTTCTTTTAGCAGGGGGTATAAGCTGCTGTTCCCATTTGCTCAAGTTTGTCCCACCTTGTGATAACAGCAGGCTTTTCAGAATGGTCATTCCTCTGAATTAGCCAGAGGAATCTATTTTTTCAGCACAGCCTCTTGTTTTAGTTAAAATTCACAATGCAGAAGATAAATTATAGCACAGAATTTCAAACGTCTCCGCTTCTGACATTTGTGCTGCTAATTAGTTTCTGCTCATTGTTACATTCCATCTTCTCTGTTTTACTTTGGAAAAAATACATAAATGTAAATACATTTTCACATATTCAAATTTCCACTTCAATATTCAGAAGTAGATGTATAGTTTCAGAGTCTGTTCAGAGCATGTGACATGTGTTTAGATGCCACATTTCATATTCAATCATATTGTATTTTATTTATACAGCACCATAGAAGCAAATCTGCTCAAACAAAGCCCAATTAAGAACAAAATCTTACTTGGGAGGCTGAGGTGGGAGGATTGCTTGAGCCCAGGAGGTCAAGGCTGCAGTGAGCCATGATCACACACACCACTGCGCTCTGGCCTGGGCAACAGAGAGAGACAAAAAAAAAAAAAAAAAAATCCAGCATTCCATAACCTCCATTTTTTAACTGGAGGTTAAAAAAAAACTCAAAATAATGAGTATTTTATCTCCAAATATCAGTTGCATCCCATTTGTAAGAATTATCACCACTACCAATTGACCCCTGATATATCCAAGCACCATATGAAATGTCTTATGGATGCTGCCTCCTCCTTTACACCTGGGAAAAACTGGGCATGTGGAAGGGCAACATTTTGCTAAGAGTCTATAGTTGGAGCATGATGGAGCTGAGATTTTATCCTAGGTCTCTCTAACTCCAGATCCCATGCTTTTTCCCATCTGTATTCCAGGCTTTCACCATGCCTTAATTTCCAAGCAGAATTTGACAATCCAAGCAAAATGATTTTAATTAATTGGAATATTAGACTTTCCATTTTCTTTCAAACCAAAATGATATCTAATTTTTTCTCAGCTGACATTTTTACAAAGACAGTTTTCTCCTGTGATTCCCCCTTGCCTCCGAAAACTGCTGCTGTACTTAGAGTGTTCAAGGGTAACCTACCCCACCTCTAACTTCCTCTAATGCCCCAGGATAAAAGCCCTGGTAGCTTACAGGATGTCGGGAGGACCTGGAACACTCATCCTCCTGAATGGCTGAAGCCAATAAAATATTTGATAGCAGACTTTTCTTACTTTGTTTCCATCAGTGTTGAAATGCTAGTGATTCCTTCTTCCCAGATATCTCTGGTGAAATTTTACCATGTAACATAAATTACTAATGTTTATTGATAGATTTGCTTCTGGCAAGAGGTCAATTAATTTGTTGTACTTTATAGGGTTTGGACTGAGAGAAATTATACAACATCGAATTCTGTTTATTAGCTGTTATTGTATTGTAAAAGAATCCCACATCCTGCTAATGTTATCTATAGTTGTCAAATCAATAATTTTATTCCTTTTTATGAATTCCAATTGTTAAAAAATATCCATTTTTCACTCATTTGTTAATATTTTCCTCTATTTTAAAATCACTTTATTTGTTTATTTATTTTTTTATTGATCATTCTTGGGTGTTTCTCGCAGAGGGGGATTTGGCAGGGTCATAGGACAATAGTGGAGGGAAGGTCAGCAGATAAACAAGTGAACAAAGGTCTCCGGTTTTCCTAGGCAGAGGACCCTGCGGCCTTCCGCAGTGTTTGTGTCCCTGGGTACTTGAGATTAGGGAGTGGTGATGACTCTTAAGAGCATGCTGCCTTCAAGCATCTGTTTAACAAAGCACATCTTGCACCGCCCTTAATCCATTTAACCCTGAGTGGACACAGCACATGTTTCAGAGAGCACAGGGTTGGGGGTAAGGTCACAGATCAACAAGATCCCAAGGCAGAATAATTTTTCTTAGTACACAACAAAATGAAAAGTCTCCCATGTATACTTCTTTCTACACAGACACGGCAACCATCCAATTTCTCAATCTTTTCCCCACCTTTCCCCCCTTTCTATTCCACAAAACCGCCATTGTCATCATGGCCCGCTATCAATGAGCTGTTGGGTACACCTCCCAGACGGGGTGGTGGCCTGGCAGAGGGGCTCCTCACTAACCAGTAGGGGCGGCCGGGCAGAGGCGCCCCTCACCTCCCGGACGGGGCGGCTGGCCTGGCGGGGGGCTGACCCCCCCACCTCCCTCCCGGATGGGGTGGCTGCCGGGCGGAGACGCTCCTCACTTCCCAGACGGGGTGGCCGCCGGGCGGAGGGGCTCCTCACCTCTCAGACGGAGCGGCTGCAGGGCGGAGGGGCTCCTCACCTCTCAGACGGGGCGGTTGCCAGGCAGAGGGTCTCCTCACTTCTCAGACGGGGCGGCCGGGCAGAGACGCTCCTCACCTCCCAGACGGGGTCGCCGCTGGGCAGAGGCGCTCCTCACATCCCAGACGGGGCGGCGGGGCAGAGGCGCTCCCCACATCTCAGACGATGGGCGGCCGGGCAGAGACGCTCCTCACTTCCTAGATGTGATGGCGGCCGGGAAGAGGCGCTCCTCACCTCCTAGATGGGATGGCGGCCGGGCAGAGACGCCCCTCACCTTCCAGACTGGGCAGCCAGGCAGAGGGGCTCCTCACATCCCAGACGATGGGCGGCCAGGCAGAGACGCTCCTCACTTCCCAGATGGGGTGGCGGCTGGGAAGAAGCTGCAATCTTGGCATTTTGGGAGGCCAAGGCAGGCGGCTGGGAGGTGGAGGCTGTAGCAAGCCGAGATCACGCCACTGCACTCCAGCCTGGGCTCCATTGAGCACTGAGTTAAAATCACTTTAATTATCATTATATCATTACATTATTATAATTATTTAATTATAGTTTGGGTTTTTTTTAAATAGTTTGGGTTTTTTTTTTTTTTTTTTTGGAGACTGTCTCTGTCTGTTGCCCAGGCTGGGGTGCTGTGGTGCAACCACAGCTCAAGTGATCCTCCCACATCAGCTTCCTGAGTGGCTGGGACCACAGGCGTGCACCACCACCACACCCAGCTAATTTTTAGATGTTTTTCATAGTGACAGGGATCTCACCATATCGCCCAGGCTGGTCTCAAACTCCTGGGTTCAAGTGATCCTCCCACCTTGGCCTCCTAAAGTGCTGGGATTATAGGTGTGAGCCACCACGCCCAGCCTATAATTATTTAATTACAGTTACTGAAAATCCTTGTCTTATTACTTCAACATCTGGATCATTTATGGGTCTATTTCTATTGTCTCTCTATTCTCTTGATTATCAGCCACATTTTCCTGCTTCTTTGGATATCTAGTGGCTTTTTATTTAAAAAGAGCTGCAGAGACCCGTATATGAAAGACCTGTAGAGGTTCTGCATGGTATCTCCCACCAAGTTCCACCTTTCCTCTGTTAGGCAGATAGGTTGAGGGACTGATCACCTCAATCCAATCAGGAGTTAACTGAGGCAGAGCTGGGCTGCAGTTTTAATATGATGCAGTCCATGGCTGGGCGTGGTGGCTCACGCCTGTAATCCCAGCACTTTGGGAGGCCGAGGTGGGAGGATATCTTGAAGTCAGGAGTTCGAGACCAGCCTGGCCAACATGGTGAAGCCCTGTCTCTACAAAAAATACAAAAATTAGCCAGGCATGGTGGTGCACGCCTGCAGTCCCAACTCGAGAGGCTGAGGCAGGAGAACTGCTTGAATTGCTTGAACCCGGGAGACAGAGGTTGCAGAGTCAAGATCACACCACTGCATTCCATTCCAACCTGGGCAACAGAACGAGACTCTGTCTCAAAAAAATATAGATAGATAGATAGATAGATAGATAGATAGATAGATAGATAGATAGATAGATGCAGTCCACCTGCAATGCATTCCTGTTTTCATGTGAGGGCTTCCTAGGCTTTTGATTAAAAGTCTTGTGGCTCTCTGTCTCCTCAGCCCTGTTAGACACAGGAGATTCCCTTGGAAGGTTCTGAGCTTAGCACTTTAGCCTTTTTCCCAAACTCCTCTTCACCCTCGGAGCTATAAACTGGCTAATTTTTTGAAGGGGATACCATCATGTTTTTGTATCAGGCCTCATTCCTCTAGTGGGACTTTGTGTTCTAAGCATTTCAAGATTAGTGGGGATATCACCCCAGCTTTTAGAAGCCCTCAACCTAGCTTCCCAGCCTTCCACACTCAATCTCAGGACCTGGAAAATGTCATACGGCTACAACCAGCTGTGTTGTTGTTGTTATTGTTGTTGTTGCTGTTGTTGTTGTTGTTGTTGTTTGAGATGGAGTTTCGCTCTCGTCTCCCAGGCTGGAGTACAATGGTGCGATCTCGGCTCACTGCAACCTCCGCCTCCCAGGTTCAAGCAATTCTCCTGCCTCAGCCTCCCAAGTAGCTGGGATTACAGGCATGTGCCACCACGTCTGGCTAATTTTTGTATTTTTAGTAGAGATGGGGTTTCGCCATGTTGCCCAGGCTGGTCTTGAACTCCTGACATCAATTGATCTGCCTGCCTCGGCCTCTCAAAGTGCTGGAATTACAGGCATGAACCACCATGCCCAGCAAGCTGTGTTTTTTGAGACCCCAACTTTTCGCAAAAGCCCCACTTAACTACCAAAAGTCTTGCAATTGTAAAAGCCCTCTGTACGAATTAAGCCCAATACTCAGTTCATACACAGAACAAGCAAATGTTCCCAGGAAGAAAACATCCCATGACCATCAGCTCAACTCAGAAGGGATACTCCCTGTCTGAATTCCAATTCTAGTCATTGTTGTTTCCACAGCTCTCCAGTATCTTAAACATATGATTTTTGTCATGTATTTGGCTTTTTCTCGTTATTGCAAACAAGAGTGCAGTGTTAGGGTGCTACCTCCTATACAAATCAGAATCTCAAAGTACAAGTATGATTTGAATGAGGAACTGAAAAAAAAAACCCCAGCTTTCAATTGTCAGCAATGATTTAAAGGATTGCCAATGACAAGCCTACAGTCATGATGCTAATGTGATGAACAAAGAAAGGTATGCCGGGCAAAATTCCGGCCAAAATTCTAGAAGTATTCTTTGGCCATGAAGACATAGTTTCAACTGTGCTAATACCAATGGCATTTTTGGGTGTAATCCAGATTATACACAATATTTTCTGGATATACCCAAAGATGGAACATATTGATGAAACACGTCAAATCTGACCTCGGAACTACTCTCAGACACATTATGGCAATCCCAACTAAATGCTGCTAAATAAATTAAATTGAATGTATTTAAGATATGAGATGTACTGAAAAAGTTAAATGAGACAACCAACATTCTCAAATAACAAATTATGGTCTTTGATGGAAAAACATATTAATTTTAGAGATGTATTATTGTTAGTGGATTTGCACTATTGTTTGCTATTTAAAATGTTAGTAAAAGCTTATGTAAACAATTGACTAATGCTGTCATTTGGATGTTTGTCCCCTAAGCCTCCTGTTGAAATTTGATCCCCAGTGTTGGAGGTGGGGCCTAATGGAAGGTATCTGGATCACGGGGGCAAATCCCTCATGAAAGGCTTGGTGCTGACCTCGCAATTACGAGTGAGTTCTCACTCTGTTAGCTCCTGCAACTGCTCGTTACAATGAGCCTGGCACCTCCCTGCTTCTCTCTCTTGCTTCTCCTCTCACCATGGGATATCTGCACAGCCAGCTCCCCTTCACCTGCCGCCATGAGTGGAAGCAGACTGAGGCTTTCACCAGATGCCCTATCTTGAACCTTCTAGGCAGCAGAATCATAACCCAAATAAGCCTTTTTTCTTTATAAATTACTCAGTCTCAGATATTCCTTTATAGCAAAACAAACAGACTTAGACAACTAAGTTTAACTACTTTACTTTTAAAATTAAAAAATATTTCTGTAGGTATCAGAACATGGATTTTCTAGTTTGGAAGAAAACTGCATATGAAATATACAACCAAAGTGAAATTTCAATGAAATATAAGGCAATTAGGACAATGAAAGGAAAATGTTTGCAAGACAGTGACTGAGTTCACAGTCAAATAGTCTCAAAACTAATTTCTACAGAGACTATTTTTTGACTGTTACAGATTAAGGTATTAATTGATTGAAGAGAAATTTGAACAAGTTTAACAACAAACTGTCATTATACAACAGTGAATTTCTGTTTTTTAAATTAATAGACCATCATTGAAGATTTTGAAAAAAATAAGAAATACTGTATGAATATAAATATGGCTTGAAGAAATAGTAAAAAAAATCACATTACGGATGATAGTAATTTATATGATGAAATTCAAATATTTTATATTTTCTGTGATAATCATGTATCATATATGACCCAAACACAAAGTTTAAACACAATATGTAAAATTGAAGGCAGTCGTCTTTGATAATTTGCTTACTTTCAGTCCTGAAAACCACAGCTTCCCACATATTTTTCTATTTTGTCATCACAAAGGTAGATTTGTCAATGCAGAAGGATGAAATGCATTTTATTCAGCAATGTGTTAGCTTGACTTATAATTTTTAAATATATAGACATAGAGTATGTGGGCCACCATTCATACTCTTGCCACAGATGCTACGGGTCAACATGAGTCCAGCATCCCAACCACAAATACATTTCAGAACTAGGCTGGTGAGCACTGAGAATAAGGGGTGAGGAAGCCTGATTTAATGACAATAGTTCCCTGTCAGGGCTAGGTGATTGGCACGTGCCATACCAAAGGCAAGAAAGGGCAGGCATAAGAGAGGCCTAGGAATGGTTGATCAAGAAAGGAGGCTGCTGTCCCTGAAGCTGGAATATAGTTCAAGGAGGTGGTTTCAAGGTCAGCAAAGGACAGCTGCAGCCCAAGGGAGATCTGCAGGACCCAGAGGGGCAAACACTATCCTCCTCCTACGGCCAGAGGAGAGGGAGACAGATGTCAAGGCAAAGAATCAGCTGCAGAGAATGCCTTGAGGCCCCAAGACAGAGATCAAGCTTGACTCTGGCAGGCTTCCCTACAGAGGCCTGGGGAGCAGGTGGCACGGGGGCTGGAAGTGAAGGTCCCAGCAGGAGCAGGCAGGGTCACAGAGGATGCATGGCTGGTGGAAGGGCCCAGGTGGGTGTGTGCACAGCCAAGGACCTGGGCCAGTCCTGGCCAAGGTCAAGAACTGGGTTGGGCTGGGTTCAGAGACCTGGACTGTGACTGAGCTGAGGGAAAGAGTAGAGTCCAGTAGAGAAAGGGAATTTTGTTCTTTGTGTGCCAGGAGCAGCTTCCCTGGACCATGTCTGCACTTCACAGCCACAAGGTGTGGCCTGGGTGGGTAGGAGCATGGATAGGGTATTTCTGGCCCTGCAAGACTGTGGGGGAGTCTGGGGCAGACTAATTGGTAGCTACTGAGAACAGCTGCAGATGAGTTTTCCCTGAATCCTTGGAGAAAGTGGGTGTCCAGCATCTATCTAGTCAAGCTCCTTTCTTTTCTTTCCTAGAGGAAGGGAGCTCCCTTCTCCAACCAACCTGAACAACCTGGACTCCATTCTCTTCCTTGCTAGATTGAGGAAGGATCTTAGGTCAAATTCGTGATGGTTTGAAATAAGTATAAAGACTGAGAGTCCAAAAGGACTGCCAGTGCAAGGCAGTCTGTTCTCTCTCATTCCTCGGGTTCTTCACCTTTAGGTCCTCACCCAAGGTTCCTCCTTCCCTGAGTCAACGCAGAGGGAGGAGGGGACCCCCACACACTGTCACTCTAGACAGAGGCTTCTTTCCATCGTGTCTGACCTGCCAGAAGCAATCGACTCTCAGGCTCTTTTTCCCCAGGTAAGACACAAAAGACTAAGTTAGACATTTCCCAAAGGAAACTGACTACTAGGGGAAAAGTCACATCAAAAGCATGATAGTACAAGACTGCAGGGATGGGATGCGGCCATAAGGAATTATTTTTTATTTGGGTAGAACCAAATTCCGCCTCAGGAGATTCAGCTGGCTCTAGTGTGGATGCCAGGTTATTTCTCAAAGACCCAACCTTGCATGGCCCCTGGGGCTGAGCGACTCATTCCACCACAGCAAATGAATTCATGATGTGGGCCCAGGCTGCCTCCTGGCCTTGGGCTGAGATGCTGGTCAGTGCTGCATGGCATGAGCCAGCCTAATTCCCAATGAAGGGGAGGGAATTAATTATTAAGGACCTACCAGTTTGCATTTGGGTTTTCATTTAATCCCTTCAACAAGCAAGACAGCTAAGATTTGGCTGGTATGATATCTTAGTTTGACCCAGTCAGGTTTCAAATAGCTATGGAGGAAACTGAGAAGTCTTCTAGGAAAAAGAAACAAATTGACCATGCTCACAATTAGAATGCAGATATATTCAGATACATCTAGAGGAACTAGGGCACCAACAGAAGTCCAGACTCAAGAAGGGGCAGGTGATAATGCCCAGTGCTGGTGAGGGACGATTACATGCTTTTGATGTGTATAATTTGGTGCAGTGTTTTTTTTGCTATTGTTGTTGTTTGTTTGTTTATTTTGAGACGGAGTCTTGCTCTGTCGCCCGGGTTAGAGTGCAGTGACACGATCTTGGCTCACTGCAACCTCTGCCTCCTGGGTTCAAGCGACCCCAGCCTCCCGAGTAGCTGGGATTACAGGTGCCTACCACCGTGCCCGGGTAATTTTTTTGTACTTTTAGTAGAGATGAGGTTTCACCATCTTGGCCAGGCTGGTCTTGAACTCCTGACCTCGTAATCTACCCACCTCGGCCTCCCAAAGTGCTGGGATTACAGGCATGAGCCACCGTGCCTGGCCTGGTGCAGCGTTCTTGAAGGCAATTTGCTGTCATTAAACATTGGCACACAGATATTCTTTGACAGCAGTTTCGTTGCCAGGAATTTATTCTACAGATTTACAAGTATGCAAACATTTGTTAACAAGAGCATTCACTGAAGCATTGTTTATAACAGTAAAATAATGGCAACAAATGCCCATCAGTAGGGGACCAATTGAGTAAAACGAATACTCTGCTTCTATTGAAAAAACGAGATGAATCTATCTATATGTGCTAATATAGAACAATATATAAGAAACAATGAGAAAAGTAAATTGCAGAAGAACCTTGCAATACTATCCCATTTGTAGGTTTTTAAAGAAAACTGATGACATGTGGACTTACAGTGGAATCGAAAATATCTGGAAAGCTACACAAATGAGAAGCTGTGAATAGTGGCTATCACTAGGGGACTTTTACTTTCTTTTTATTTCTTTTTTGACATAGGGTCTCCCCTGTCTCCAAGGCTGAAGTGCAGTGGCGCCATCACGGCTCACTGCAGCCTTGACCTCCTGGGCTCAAGCAAGCCTTCCACTTCAGTCTCCCGAGTAGCTAGGACCACGCCCGGCTAATTTTTGTATTTTTTGTAGAGACAGGGTTTCGCCACGTTGCCCAGGCTAGTACTTCCTATCTTACATTTTTCTCTACTGCTTTGAATTTACTTTTATGAACCTATATTGCTTTTAAAATGGAAAAGAAAAAAGTTAAAGAAGGAATTAGGGACCAATAAGAGGTAATTCATCAAGAAAAAAAGGAATTTACCAAATGTATCCTTAGAAGTCAAACTCAGCAATAGGACCTAAAGGCAGGTAAGACATGGTGGCTGATTGATGGACCCTTCCTGACAAGCTGACATGGCCAAATGAAGAGGGTTTGCTCTCATTCATTAAGCTCGATTTCCTTGAGACCCAAGCAGTCTTGCTGTGGGGCCCCAATAATGTGGCTGAGGAGAGTGGTGCCCTTTCCCATTAGAAGCAGACTGCAGAGTTGTCAAAGCACAGAAGGGGAAGCACTGGTAGCCGGAGCCCCTGGCAGAGATTGGCGCTCATGAAAGAGTCTGGAGGCAGCAGGCATTGGATCTCCAGCAGCCTGGATCTCCAGCTTACTTCCCACCAAGTCTTGGTACAGTGGAGGTGATGGCAGAACTGCAAGTATCCAGCAACAGCAGAAGGAGACAGTCATCAGGACTGGGCTAGGAATGCATGGTCGGGGGTGGGTAAGACAAGCTTGGAGAATCTCAGAAACACTTGAGGAAAAGCTATCAGAGACTGGAATGTCTGAGTGAGTACTTAAGCAATTTAAATTAATGATATTCAGTTTTCACTCACGCATCTGATACACTGAGCTCTTATTATATGCAAGGCACAGTACCAACCACAGGAGATACAGCAGTGAGCAAGGTAAACACAGAATTTATTAAGTTGAATTGGGTGGAAATAAAATTTCCAATATTCAACTTTTGGGGACTTATAAAAATGATAATGTCTTATGGGTCAACATGAATACATTCTGGCAAGAGAGAAAGAAAACAACAACAACGCATTACCCAATTAATTGCTTGATTACAATTATGAAAAGAGCTATCAAAGAGCAATCCGATCTGATTCAGTCGTGTGTGTATGTGTGTGTGTGTGTGTGTGTGTGTGTTGCCAGCCAAGAAAGGCTTCCCTATAAGGAGTTACTTTAGAGGAAGTGAGGGTGAAGAAGAACTAACTTAGTGAAAGAGAGGAACAGAGATCATTCCTGGCCAAGTCAGGTACAAAGGCCATGAAGAGTAGGAGACCGGCATTTTCCCGGGCCTAAGAAGGTGACTGCCTGCAGGGAGACGCAGGGGTGGTGGGTTAGGGAGAGAAAGGGGAGCCAAATCAGACAGGGCCTTGTAGGCCATGATAAGGACTTTGGGTTTTATCCCAAGAGGTTTAAAAAAAACACAGTGGTATATTATTTGTATCCAAAAGCTGGCAACATCCAGGGAACATTCGGGTTACAAAGAATGTTCTATGTCCTTGGTACAGATGAGCCCGGAGGTTCACAGCTACAGGGGTAGTATGTGGTTGCGTCAGGATTAGAATCTAGGTCTTTCCAAA
Source organism: Homo sapiens (assembly GCF_000001405.40). Lineage (NCBI taxonomy): Eukaryota > Metazoa > Chordata > Mammalia > Primates > Hominidae > Homo > Homo sapiens. The sequence continues at coordinate 34,976,394 of NC_000001.11, forward strand.
GAGCTTTCTCCACCCTGGATGCCACTGGGAGGGTGACAGGGGGGTGAGACAGGAGGGGAGGCCAGGAGACTCTCCAAGAGGAGGCCAAGGAGGCCCCATGCGCCCTGGGCGCCCCCTTCACCAGGCGGCAGCTCAGTGCCCAGCAGCAGTCCTGGTGGAAGAGGCGCACGAAGAAGCAGCAGATGAGTGGGTCCAGGCAGCTGTTGAGGCTCAGCAGCGCCAGGCTGAGGGTGTGCAGGATGTCGAGCGTGGAGGCGGCGCGACACCGGTCTCCGTTGTCTTCCCCCCCAGCCACCTAGGGCGCCAGCAGCAGGTGGTTGGGCGCCAGACTGAGGGCGAAGACCAGCAGGAACCCCAGGACCATGGTCTTGGCCGCGCGCCGGTGCGCGCCGGCGGTTGCAGGGCCCGGGCCCGGGCCAGAGGGCGCCTTGAGCGCCCGCGCCAGGCTCACGTTGGCCGCGAGCACCAGCAGGAAGGCGGCCGCGAAGGCCACCGTGGCGGAGGCCAGCCCCGAGCTTGCCCAGCGGTGCTCCAGGCAGGGAGGGGCCAGGCCCGCCAGCCAGGCGAAGGCGCAGGCAGCGCGCGCGGGGCGCCGTAGGCACCGGGCCAGGCGGGCAGCCGCCCTGGGCCCGGGACCGCGTACGAAGCCGCAGCGGCACACGCTGATGAGCGCGGCGAAGACCACCGCCGCATAGGTGGACACGTAGTAGGTGGCCCCGGCCGCGTGGCAGGCGGCCTCCGGGCCAGGCCCAGGTAGTAGGTGAGCCACAGCTGCAGCGTGAGCGTGAAGAACTCATCAACCAGAGCCAGGTTGAACAGGTAGAGAAGCAGGGCCTGGCCCAGGCGCCCGCCGCTGCGGATGAACATTGCCAGGGCCGCCACGTTGGCTGGCAGCCCCAGGCCCAGTGCCAAGGCATAGGCCGCGGGCACCACGATGAAGCGAGCAGGGTCATCCCAGAGGCTGCAGCCGCCAACACCCAGGTCCCCAACACTGCTGTTCATCTCTGACCTTGAAGTGGCAGAAGAAAGGTTACTGCGGAGGCTAGCGACAAAGGCAGCCCCCATTCCACCTTCTCCCACCCCAGTCTCCTCTTCTTCAGCCCTTGCTGGGAGGGGACACTAGAGGCAGAGTCCATGTGAGAGGGAATGAAGACCGAACCTGGCCAGCAGCTGCTGAGAGGAGGGTATGGACTCCAGAGTTTTTGGTGACAAACTGTGGGAAGCGAGGAAGAGGCAGGAGTCCTAGATAACTTGGAAATTTCCAACCTTAGTGACTGAGAGGGTAGAGATGCCCCTCACAGATGGAGTATGGTTCATACATGTTGGGCCACAGACCTGTGCAGTAAACCCACGTAGGACTGAGCCAACAGGGAGTTCTGGAGAAACAGGCTGAAATATAAAGAAGAGGCCTTTCCAGAAAAAGCCCCAACACCCGCCCCCCCCTCCCCGCCCCCATCCCTGTGCCACCCAGATGAGAAGCATGGATGGAGGAATGGGCTTGCGGTGCAGTGCCTATGCACACTGACCTCAGACTTGCCTTGGTGAAGGTCCTCTCCCAGAGAGGTGCCCCAGCGCTTGCCTGGAGCACCCTTGGCTGGGCTGAAAAGCTTTTGCCACTCTCAAGCCTTTCATCCTGTTTCCTCCCCCCTCACTTTTTGACCACAAAGAGGTCCTGGGTCAGACTCAAACCTCTGGACAGAAAAGCAAAAAGTGCACAGACCCAGCAATCAGGCAGATTCTAGATAACACACATCTATTTGCCATGTGACCTTGGGCAAATTACTCAGCTTCACTGAGCCTGTCTTTGCTGCAGTAAAATGGAGATGAAAATACCTACCTCACAGGGTTGTTGGGAGGATTATGAGAAAACCTAAGTAAAACTGAGCCCTGTGGCTGACACTGGGGAGATACTTCATTACTGTTAGTTCCCTTCCCTTCTAGGCAGCACATAGATAAATGTGTACACTCACACAGGCACACACAGTGTGTCAGAGACACAGACACCCCAGGCACACAAAACAACACAAAAACATCTGGGCATATTCCTACCCTCTTCCCAAGGGAGTAAGTGCACAAACCAATGTCCTGTTACTATTTGTGACACACTTACACACTCCTAGGATGTCCTAAAACTCAGTTCTTCCAAAATCTGCATTTTTGCCTTTGAGCATCTCAGGCTCCAATCCTTTCTGAGACCCTGGGTAACTGTATTTCCTTTCCCACCTTCCTCTATTCTGTTCTCCATGCCTGTAGCCCCACCCTGACCCATCCCCTGCCATCCTACCAGACTGTTCCTTTCTTGCCTCTTGCTATAATGGCTGCTGGAGTTCTCTCTGGGGTCCTGACTTTAAGGATCTGAGACAGGGGAGAATCCCCTCCCACCCACACATCCCAGACCCTCCTATCGCCAGCTAATCCCAAGAAACGACATGAAGAATGGGTCCGACAGCTGGAAGGGCTGGAGCCCACCTGTGGCAGCTATGAGCTGGGTTTTTGGGGCTGCAGTAGGGCCCCAAGGGAAGGGAGTGTCATCGGAGGACAAGAAAGCCTTCAGCACAGGGAGGGAGATAAAAATGTATTAGGAAGGGCAGGCAGCTGAACGTCATCGTGCTGAGCTGACCTAGATTTAGGCTGTAGTTTGGGGGGCACGTTTCCTGAGGCCTGGCTTCTCCTTGGGCTGCTAAGGAGGCACTGCTTGGGCTCAAGATCCTCCTGCTGCTGTCAATCCCAACTGCTCGTACACACCAGCTGCCCAGCCTACTCCTCTAGCACCCTGACTTTCCTGCAGCTGCTGGGCAGTCCTACAGCCAAGCTTGGGGGGCCCAGTAGCTGCTTATCAGCCTACAGACCCAGACTTGGTAAACAGGAGCCCTCAATCTAATGCTAGCTGCGAGAGGTTTTACTCAAAGTCCATCCTGGCAGGAGACGGGCTGGCGGTGGCATCCTGGAAGGGGTGGAGAAAGAATAAGGCCAGGATCCTCGGGGCTCCAGGCTCTACTTTCAGGGGCTTCAAAATTTTCAAGCAAGATGGGCACAGTGGCTAATGCCTGTAACCCCAGCACTTTGGGAGGCCAAGGCAGGTGGATCACCTGAGGTCAGAAGTTCGAGACCAGCCTGGCCAACATGGTGAAACCCCATCTCAAAAAAAAAAAAATTCCAATCAGAGGGGAAATGCTGGGAAAGCAGAGCAGATTTCATCACCCCAGACAGGTCATCCCATCTACCCTCAGATTGAAGAGAGCTGGGGTGCCATGCCTGTCCATTTTCAGCTTTGGCAGCTGGTGCAGTGAAAAGTTTGAGTTCTGGAATCAATTAGGACTTAGTTCTAGTTCCAGGTCTGATATATAGGCACTCAAGCTTTCCAAATGCATTTTCTCATCTGTAAAACAAATCAATATTTAATAATGACTAGCATTTACTGAACATTTACTATGTGCCAGGCTATGAAATAGTTACTATCATTATCCATAGTTTTCAAATAAGCTAGTAAGTGACAGAAACCATTGTCTACCCCCTCTTCTTCCTTGCTGACCAGTGTGGGTAAATCTTAGTCTAAGTCCATCATGGGAATTCCATTCTCCTGCCAGTCATTAGTCTAGGAATGGAAATGGGACATAGCTCTGCCCAGTGAGATCCATGCGAAAATCTAGGGTCTTCTTTTTTTTTTTTTTTTTTTTTTTTTTTTTGAGACGGAGTCTCGCTCTGTCGCCCAGGCCGGACTGCGGACTGCAGTGGCGCAATCTCGGCTCACTGCAAGCTCCGCTTCCCGGGTTCACGCCATTCTCCTGCCTCAGCCTCCCGAGTAGCTGGGACTACAGGCGCCCGCCACAGCGCCCGGCTAATTTTTTGTATTTTTAGTAGAGACGGGGTTTCACCTTGTTAGCCAGGATGGTCTCGATCTCCTGACCTCATGATCCACCCGCCTCGGCCTCCCAAAGTGCTGGGATTACAGGCGTGAGCCACCGCGCCCAGCCAAATCTAGGGTCTTCTAAGGCACCCTTCCTCTCTTTTCACCTTTCAATATTATAGCAAATGCACTGTCTGGAGCTGCTGCAGCTATTTCGCAATTCTGAGGGCAATAGCCAATACACTGAAAGCAGCAGAGCAGAAAGTTTAAAGAATGTTGATTCTTGATGCCATCATTAGGCAAACTGACCAACATTGAAACTGAAGTGGTTATCTCTGGACCTCTTACATGAGAGAAAAGGTTTCCTTATTGTTTTGACACTACCATTTATTTAGTGTAATCTATCTATCCTTACTATAGGCAGACTACACCACTATGCTTTCAGACTCAGAAGAAAAAAATCCAACTGAGAGTGTCACCTTGCCTGAGGTTCACACTAGTCAGAATGGGAATTAGCATTTTGTAGTGAACATGAAATGGAGTAATAGAGACTTCTTTTCCACCCTCAAAGCAATCTGTAGGCTGATAGCTAGAATATTTGCATAAATAAGTGAACTGTTTCTCACTATAGTCCCTCATGGGAGGTACATCACTTCCCAAAAGCCCACAGCCCTGCCAACCTAAGATAAAGATGGTGGTGACATAATAGCAGGTGCCCTAACGTGTTGTCCACTTTTCCCCTGAGAACTGTCACACATATGCACCCTTCCTACCCCCAAGGACCTCTGGGATTCCTCCCAGGCTTTGGGCCCTGCTGTACCATTCAGCATTTCATGGAGTTGGCTGTCCCTCATCTCCACGTAGGTGTCAAGGAGCACTGGACTGGGTGCCACAGATCACCACCAGAGCTTGATTTCAGGTCCTGTCAAATGACTCAATGCCTACCTGTTAGCTCTGCACATCTAATATGTCAGAGAAAAAAAGGAGTGGGAGGGAATCTCTAATATGTCTCAAAGGGCATAGGCAGAAGCAAGTACTTAAGCTCTGCATACAGAACCTGTACGTTTTAAATATGTATTAAAAACCTTAAAAACATGCATGTGTTTTGAACCAGCACCCTCACTTCTAGGGGAAGAAAATAAGTATGCAAAAGTGATTTACTGTGAGGCTTACGAGAGCAAAAAATTGAGAATAACCCAAATGTTCCTCATGGGGGATTAAATACATTATAGTACATCCTTGCAATGGAATACTATGCAGCCATTAACAGCAATGAGGCAAAAGAGACATGAAACAGTGTTATAGTTTATAAGGTTTTAAAAGGAGGAAATAAAATAGGATATATGGTTTTATTTTCATTTAAAAAAAATATATATCTGTTTAAAGGCACAGAAAAAAGTTCAGAGGTATACTTACACCAAGGCATTAAAAGTGGTTATTTGGGGCATCAGAATTTTGGTTGATTTAAATTTCTTTTCTGCTTATTTTGTATTTTCATATGACATGAGGAATGTTAATATGCATAACATGTACTCCTCACAAAAGAGTAGTAAAGCTAAAAAGAGAAAGCAGTGCCAGGTAGACAAAATGTCTCTTTCAACACTGGCTGACCCTGGATATTATACTGGTAACAAGATGATAGACTCTGTGTTCTACCATGTTCCTGCTGTGACAGCTGCATGGCATAAAGAGACAGAGATGCTCTACTTCCAGGATTCCTTGAATGTACTTAGAGTCTTCTTCCTAGTGGGTCTGACCACCTTCTTAGTCTGGGCTAAGAGCTGGCCGACATTCAGCAGCAGCAGGAACCCCAGGCAGACAATGGCTGGGATACAGGTGCTTAGTGACTCTTTCAGAGCTGCCAAGGTGAAGATAGCCCCTGGAATGGAAAGTGAGGTCCCTGAGGCTCCTTGGAAGAACCCAGGAGATCCAGGAGCTCAGGGCTCTCTAGTTTAGGCTGACCCACTCCAGCCCAAGCCCTCCCATTAAACACCCCCACCACTCCTAACGCACATTCCCAAAACTAGCGGCATTCATCTCTAGCCTCCTGGAGAAAGCAGGACCAGGAAATTAGAAGCCTCTTGAACAACAGCAGCAGTGGCAACAGTTGCCCCTCTCAGAGGACAAGAAAGAAACGGGAATGACCCAGCCAAATAGGGCAGTGGCTAGAGTGGATAGATTTTAGAAAAAAAAATCTCCCTGATCCTTCTCCTTTCCTTTTTTTTTTTTTTTTTTGAGGCAGAGGCTTGCTCTGTCACCCAGGCTGGAGTGCAATGGCGTGATCTCCTGCCAGCCTTCTGAGTAGCTGGGCTACTGGGTTCTGGGTACTGGCTTCAAGCGATTCTCCTGCCTCAGCCTCCTGAGTAGCTGGGATTACAGGCGCGCACCACCACGCCCGGCTAATGTTTGTATTTTTAGTAGAGACGGGGTTTCATCATGTTGGTCAGGCTGGTCTTGAACTCCTGACCTTGTGATCCGCCCGCCTCGGCCTCCCAAAGTGCTGGGATTACAGGCATGAGCCACCGTGTCTGGCCCCTTCTCCTTTCTTAATCCTACATCTACTAAGATTAAGATGGAGGGAAGGACTAGCCCAGGGGCTGTTGGTTGGAGGTATGGGAAAGATCTGAAAATGGGAGAAGCTCCAGAGATGGAAGCAAGCCTGGTAGCAGTGGCAGCAATGGTAACAGATGCCAGGGCATATAGAAGAGCCTGAAGATATCTGGCCTTTGAAGCAACAGCTGTCTTTGTACATCAGCAGTTCCTGTGGGCAGAGCTACTTGAGGGGGACTCCCTAGGGAAATTCTCTGCCTTCCTGTTCAAGGTTCTCCAGCTTCCCTGCTCTCTACACCAATCTGCCAGACACATGCATCAAATGGCAGCTGCTCCTCCATCCCCTCATCCTAGGAGTGGATGTGTGGAGGAAGGAGCAGAGGCGCTGAGCTTGCAATATATCTTCACAAGGCAATACTATGCAGCCATTAGAATTGAGGAGGTAGAAGGTACACTTAACATGTGATAATGTTCTAGCACATTAAGTTTAAAAAGTACCTGTGCTAGGCCGGGCATAGTGGCTCAAGCCTGTAATCCTAGCACTTTGGGAGGCCAAGGCGGGCAGATCACGAGTTCAGGAGATCGAGACCATCCTGGCTAACATGGTGAAACCCTGTCTCTACTAAAAATACAAAAAAATCAGTCGGGCGCTGTGGCAGGCGCCTGTAGTCCCAGCTACTCGGGAGGCTGAGGCAGGAGAATGGTGTGAACCCAGGAGGCGGAGGTTGCAGTGAGCAGAGATAGTGCCACTGCAGTCCAGCCTGGGCGAAAGAGCGAGACTCCATCTCAAAAAAAAAAAAAAAAAAAAAAAAAAATACCTGTGCTAGTTTGAAGACCATGGAAACTGTGGTAGAGCAGAAAGTGCTCTTGATCCCAGAGAAAAAAGAAGGGTGGCAACAGTAAGGGGGAACAGCCAGGTCTTTCCATAATCCTCCCCCAGAAGACCCCATTTTCTCAGGCCAGTTGGCCCCCTTACCCATCATGAGCAGAATCAAGAACAAGTTACTGATCTCTTGCAGCATCGGTGGGCCCATGACCAGCAGCAACCCAGCCAGCAGTTCCAGAAAGCCCACAGCTATTTGGTAGTTCAGGGGATCTGGCTGGTAGCCAAATACCTTCAGCGGGAACACCTCAGCAAACTGCACGAACAGGGCATTCTAGGGGTGGCAAGGAATGCCTGTTAGCCTCATTGTTCAACAAGGATGAGCTCCCCAGATGCTCCATGGCATATCTATGCCTGTGCCCTCAACTTCCCAGAGAAAAGAACTACTACTCTAGGTCAGGTCCAGGGCTGAGGTCAGCCTGAAGAGGAGAGGGCTGCCCTGTGGCGCTGAGCTTTGGAATCAGGAAACAGGCTCCATGCTCCAAGTGGTACAGAGATTGATCTTCTCACTAGACCTCTCAAGAGATTACAACCCAGCCCCAAATCCCAGGAGGAGGGGGCTGGGCTTGGCTCCCTAGTGCCAAGGCCTGGGGAATTCCACAGTTTCCTTCTTTGTGTCTGGCCTGGTTTCTCTTAAGGCTGCTGTACAGGGAATATTTGGAGGTGAGGCAGAGTTAGGTGGGCTCAAAGTGACTCTTCTTGTCAAGGCAGGCCCTCCCCTGAGCCAAATGACAACTTCATCCTTACTTTCGGGGATACTTTTTCCTGTTCCCACTCCTCAGCTCTACCTCCCCTCCTCAGCTCTGCTGGGAAGCAGCTCTAAGCTGTCTGTCTCTGGGGATTTATCCAGGCCTTGGAGAGAGATGCCAGCAGAGGTCTACAAGTCTGGCTCTTTTGAGGGACTGGGGAGATTGGTGAACAGGATATGAAAGCTTTCCCATGAGTCTGGAACTAGACAGAAGGCTGAAAGACGACTTCAGGGCATCCCTCTCAGGCTTCCGAGAGAGGCTTCCCTCTCTGGGTTCCGAGTTAGGAGTGTCTAGCTTGTGTCCTGCTTCCTGACTAGATGTGCAATCTTTAGCAGATATACTTGCCCTTCAGGGCGGGCTTCCTTCCCTGCAAAGCCAGGATTACTACACCCCAACCCCACGAACCTCCCAAAAACTGAAGCAAACGGCGAAAAGAGGGAAGAGAGCGGGAAGTGAGCTCATTTTCCCACCGCATCATCCTCCCCCAGGGTCCGGGGGGGTGGGAGGGACCTCCTAAGGCTCTAGATTTGCCTGGGGCCACCAATATTCTGCAGGAAGGGGAGGTTCTGTCCCCTTCCGTCTAGGGAAGATCCAGAGAACTCGAGGAACTCCCCAGGCAGGACCTGCGCCTCAGTCGAAAGCCAGGCGCTTTCCCCCAGCTCCAGCTGAGCCTCGGAAGCCCGAAGGCGGCCTGCCGGGCCGGGGGCGAGGAGCGGCAGGGCGGAGCACACGCCGCCGCGGGCCCGATCCCCTGCCGCCCGCCCGCGCCGCTCACCATCCGCTCCGAAACTGGAGCCGAGATCTCCTCCGAGAGCTTGGCCAACCCCACGAGCGCGAAGAAGCCGCCCAGCAGTACACGCAGCACCGAAAGCAGGAGCGCCATGGCCGCGCTCCCCCCACCGTGGGTTGGCCCCGCCGAAAACCCGCCCCTGCCGCCGGCTCATTTCCTCCCTCCCCGGGGCAGCCGGAAGACTCTCGCCTGAGCTACCGTCCCCCACCCTCCAGGGGGTCGCGAGGCTGCAGTACTGGGGCAGGGCGCCCCCATCTTACAGGTGGGGACACTTGAGGACCACTGGCTGGTAACTGACTAAACAGGCACCTTTGGATTCAGGGAGTGTTTCCCAGCCAATACGGAGTGCTGGCAGACACGGGTGGGTGTCTGGGTGCGGTTCAGCTACCATCAAAAGACCCCGGGCTTCGTTCCTGCCTGTGCCACACTAGCTGTGGGATCTGAGCTGTCACCCACCCCAAAGGGCCTCAGTATCTGCATCTGTATATGGGGATAACTCAGTTCTCCAGAGTTTGTAACAGGCCTAGCACAGTGCCTGCACATGTAAGAGCTCAGAAAGTTATTTGTAAATTAGTAAATTAATTTATAAAATTGTAATAAATCAATAACCATTAATTATTAAATAAGTCTCTTTGCCTGAGATATCTTTTCCCTCTAATTTATCTCGGCTGACAATGAAATGTGAAAGGTGTTTGAAAATTCAGATACTTGCATGGATAGAGAGGCTTTCACTGAACCAAGCCCTACAGTCCACTCCTGGCCCATTTGCTCTTACCTGGAAATCTGTCTAAAGCTGGGATGGGCAAACCATGGGCCAAATTTGGCCAGATGTCTGATTTTTTTCCATGCTTCTCCCCTTCCCCCAAGCTAATAATGTTTGTTTACATTTTTTATGATAAAAACATTTTTTAAAGAAGCTTGTGTGACATAGGAAAATTATATGAAATTCATATTTCAGTGTTCATGAATAAGTTTTATTTAAAAACAGCCACACTTATCTGCATATTGTCTATGGCTGCTTTTGCACTGCAACTGCAGAATTGAGTAGTTGTGACAGTATGGCCTGCAAAGCTGAAAATATTTACTATCTGGCTCTTTATTTAAAAAGTTTGCTAAGCCCTGGTATATTGGGCCAGAAAGGCCCCAAGCAGGGGTCTCAAATCCCCCTGCTGCTTCCATTTATAGTTACCCAAGCTGCTTAGATCTATCTTTTTCCAGCTGGGCACGTTGGCTCACACTTGTAATCCCAGCACTTTGGGAGGCCGAGGCAGGTGGATCACTTGAGGTCAGGAGATAGAGACCAGCCTGACCAATATGGTGAAACCCCGTCTCTACTAAAAAAAATACAATAGACGGGCATGGTGGCACATGCCTGTAACCCCAGCTACTTGGAAGGCTGAGGCAGGAGAATTGTTTGAACCTAGGAGGCAGAGGTTCCAGTGAGCCAAGATCACGCCATTGCACTCCAGCCTGGGCAACAAGAGCAAAACTCCATCTCAAAAAAAAGATCTATCTTTTCCACCTACTCACAACCTTGCAGGGGTAAGTAGCTGGTTGGCTAGAAGACTGAAATGTTCCACTTGCTTCTAAAGGCCAAGCTGTTTCAACATCCAGGTTGTGCTGTTACATTATAAACTGGGCTTCTCATTACCTGCAGTCTTTGTCACTAGTCCAAATTTAATGAAATAACTAAATTTTCTACCCTAGATTATAATTATACATAATTATTTATAACAATCATAATTATTAAATTCCTCAACAAAAAGGGAAAAATTATTAAAACATTTAATCACTGAAAACACAAATCCACATTAGGAAATTATCTTTTAGGATACTTATACAAAACTTAACACAGGATTATTGACTTCACTGTTAAGCAATGTGCATATTGCTACTCTTTCTCCTTCACTAATTTTTCTATCCTTGGAATTAAAGATGTGACTGCAAGTCTTAGGGCAGGGCCAGAACCCAACAGATTTTTTTGTTTTGACTCAGTCAAAGCTGAAAAGGCAGCATCACATAAATAAACAGTTGAAAAGGGTAATAAAAATTTCATTGCCCTTTCATGGAGTTCTGGGTAACTTGTCTTTGCATTTATCCAAAACTGAGTTACAGACACTGATTTAAATAGTGCTTGTAATCCTAAATCTGAAGATAGCTCTGTTAGCTTTTCTTCTTCGAAGTCGGTGAGATTATTATTTTGGTGATTCATAAAAGGGTGAATTATCCACAAATTTCCTGAACGCAAGTCTTGTTCTGGTGGAAAACAGTCACTGAACACTTGAGAAAGTCCTTCCAGGTGCTCAAAAATAATCCTTGTGATGTCTGTCATATTTAAGCCTGATGAATTTGAGAATTCAGAAAATGAAGGGAACATGTCATAATCATTCTCTTGTGTGCGCTTCAACCACATTTTTAACTTTCTCTTAAATACATCAATTTTATTACACAAATTGAAGAAAGTAGTCAAAGTTCCTTGGAGACTTAAATTTAATTCATTTATAAGTGAAAATATATCTGATAAGTAGGCCAGCTTTCCAACCCATTCCTCATCATGAAAATACTTGGCCAAATCTGAATGCTTTTGACTTAAAAATATTTCAATCTCATGTCGTAATTCAAATAATCTTTTTAACATTCTCCCTCTTGATATCCAACGTACTTCAGCATGAAGCGGTAAACTCACATGCTCAGATCCCATCTCTTCACACAAAATTGTTAACATACGTGAATTTAATGCATTGCTCTTTATAAAACTTAAAATTTGTGCTGACTGCAAAAGAATTTTATGTAAACATGGAGACAACTTTTCTGCCACTAAACGTTCACGGTGAATAAAACAATGTGTAAATGCCGCTGTATTCATGGCAACTTCTTGAATTTTTGCTTTTAAACCAGAATACCTGCCAGTCATGCTTGCAGCCCCATCGGTACAGAGACCAACACAATGTTTCCAATTCAGAGATTTACTATCAATATATTTATTTATTAGTTCAAATATTTCAAAGCCAGTTATTTGAGTAGGCATTTCAATGCAAAATAATAATTCTTCTTTTACATCACGACAATCATAATCAATGAAACGAATATAGCACAAAAGAAGTGTGATATTTGAGATTTCTGATGACTCATCTATCTGAAGGGCAAACCACTTTGACTCTCTGACCTTTTGAATCAGCTGGTCTTCAATGTCTGCAGATAGTTCATCAATCCTGTGTTGAATTGTAACATTAGAAAGTGGAATAGTTTTCATTTTGTCTCCAGCACTTGAACCCAAAACTTCTGAACACATTTCTACTAAATATGGTTTAATTAATTCTTCAGCAATGGAGAATGGCTTCTTGCTTGCAGCAGTTTGGAAAGCAATTAAATAAGAAGCTTTCACAAGTGACTTTTCAACTAGTAAACACTTTTTTAAAGAACTATTTTGACATTCCATTTCTAAAGATTTTTGTTCAAAAAAATCTACTGGTTTGTTTTCTAATTCTGAATGTTTTGTCTTCAAATGATGAGAAAGATTTGCTGGCTTCATGTTTTCACTGGATAAGATCTCTCCACAAATGACACACTGTGGCCTTGGTGAACTTTCTTTTGATCCAGGACAGATAATAAAACCAACTTTTAAATATTCTGTATCATAAGTCTGGAAAAAACCTAATCTTTTTTTCTTTGAAGGTGGAGAATCAAGTTCTGCATCATTTTTTTCATTAGGCATAGGTAAATCTGAATGAAATATTTGAATCACTGTTATTTTCAAGAACAAATAAGCAATGTTCTTTATGTATCTCCCCACATATTTAAAATTCATATTTTGTTACTATTTCTATTTATCAAAAGAATGCACTGGTAAAAGTTTAAGCACAAGTCATAATACTTCCAATGATGCTACTGAAAACTGAATTTCTCCTTTGCCCAAAGCTTGATCACTAGGTATAATAAAACTGTAGGATGTGGTACATGTACAAGTAATCCCAAGCACCCAATAGGTTATTGAAATTAGGGCTGAAGACCATGATACACATCAAATTAACAATAAACTTTTTGGCTGAGCAGGGTGGCTCACACCTATAATCCCAGTGCTTTGGGACACCAAGGTGGGTGGGTCACTTGAGCCCTGGAGTTAGAGACCAGCCCGGGCAACATGGCGAAACTCCATCTCTACATTAAAAAAAAAAAAAGAAGAAGAAAAAAAATTGGCTGGATGCAATGGCACACACCTATAGTCCCAGCTACTTGGGTAGCTAAAGCAAGAGGATTGCCTGAGCCCAGGAGGTTGAGCCTGCAGAGAGCCATGATCACACCACTGCACTCTTGAGACTACGTCTCAAAAAAAAACAAAAAGAATAAATTTTTTATTGGTGAGTGACACTGGTGTCAAAAAATTTTTTTAAAGAAAAAGAAAAAAAAGGCCAGGCATGGGGCTCACACCTGTAATCCCAGCACTTTGGGAGGCCAAGGCGGGCAGATCACCTGAGGTCAGGAGTTCGAGACCAGCCAGGCCAACGTGGTGAAACCCCGTCTCTACTAAAAACACAAAATTAGCCAGGCATGGTGGTACATGCCTATAATCTCAGCTACTTGAGAGGCTGAGGCAGGAGAATCGCTTGAACCCGGGAGGCGGAGGTTGCAATGTGCCGAGATCATGTCATTGCACTCCGGCCTGGGAGACAAGAGTGAAACTCCATCTCAAAAAAAAGAAAGAAAAGGAAGAAAAAGAGACAGAAAAATAATGTTTTACTTTCAAACAATCCAGAAAAAAAAAGAAAATAAATATTGCAAAAAGTTAACATTTCATTAATCTGGATGAAGAGTATACTAGTATTGACTGTACTGTATATTCAACCTTTCTGAATTTTGATACTCAGTGTCAGTGAGGTTGTAGAGAAATGGATCCTCCTGAACACTGCTGGTTGGAGCATACATTGATGTAACTTTTCAGGAGGGCAATTTAGGCAACAGGTATCAAAATACTTAAGAATAGATGATAGGCCGGCGCGGTGGCTCACGCTTGTAATCCCAGCACTTTGGGAGGCTGAGGCGGGCACATCATGAGGTCACGAGTTTGAGACCAGCGTTGCCAACACTGTGAAATCCCGTCTCTACTAAAAATACAAAAGAAAATTAGCTGGGCATGGTGGCAGGTGCCTGTAATCCCAGCTACTCAGGAGGCTGAGGTAGGAGAATCGCTTGAACCTGGCAGGTGGAGGTTGCAGTGAGCCGAGATCGCGCCACTACACTCTAGCCTGGGTGACAGAGATAGACTCTGTCTCAAAAACAAAAACAAACAAAAAAAAAGATGATAGTCTTTGAATCAACACTTCCACTGATTAGGATTTATCCTAAGGACATAATTAGGCAAGTGGACAAAGATCCATTAACATAGCTTAACCCAACATTGCTTATAATACAAATATCTAAATTTCCAATCTTAACGGAGTTGGTTATATTATATACACTGAAATCTATGTTAAGAATCTCATACCCAGGTAACAAATCTGCACATGTACCCCCGAATAAAATAAAATAAACATAATAAAATAAAAATTGGAAAAAAATAATCTCAATGTATATTTAAATTTATATTGTTGTGGAATAATGTTTCCAATGCAATGTCAAATGAAAAAGTAATTTCGATTGTTAGAAAACATTCGAGATTTATTCTTTTAAAAGAGACGGAGTTTCACTCTTGTTGCCCAGGTTGGAGCACAATGGCGCGATCTCAGCTCACCGCAACCTCTACCTCCCAGGTTCAAGCGATTCTCCTTCCTCAGCCTCCTGAGTGGCTGGGATTACAGTCCTGTGCCACCATGCCCAGCTAATTTTGTATTTTTAGTAGAGATGGGGTTTCACCATGTTGGTCAGGCTGGTCTCAAACTCCTGACCTCAGGTGATCCGCCCATGTTGGCTTGCCAAAGTGCTGGGATTATAGGCATGAGCCACCACGTCTGACCAACAATTCAATATTTAATCTAGAACTCAAAACATAAGCACACACACACACACAAACATACACACACACATACACACATATAGATGCCCACAGATCCTTTAGTACTCTCCATGTGTGAACGTGTATATAATATAAATTCAGGTACAAATAATATATTGTTTTAATAGGAATATAAAATAAATTTCCTGAGGAAGGAAAACAGGATTCTGCTTGACTTCTACCAAAATAAAGGTACCCTACATAAAAACTTACTACTTGTTGACAGACTAAGCTTTTAAATATAGTGTATTCTATGAAGTAAAATTATTATTAAAAACAAAAATCAGGCCAGGGGCGGTGGCTCATGCCTGTAATCCCAGCACTTTGGGAGGCCGAGGCAGGCAGATCACCTGAGGTCAGGAGTTCAAAACCAGCCTGGTCAAAGTGATGAAACCCCGTCTCTACTAAAAATACAAAAATTAGCCGGGCATGGTGGCAGGCACCTGTAATCCCAGCTGCTCAGGAGGCTGAGACAGGAGAATCGCTTGAACCCAGGAGGCAGAGGTTATAGGGAGCCAAGATCACGCTATTGCACTCCAGCCTGGGCAACAAGAGTGAAACTCCATCTCAAAAAAAACAAACAAACAAACAAAAAAAAACCCAGTGCTTTAGGCACAGTAGACTATTAAAGCAATTGAAAATCTAAGGGTAGTGGGATTAAAAGTAATACTTCACAACTTTTTCAAGTAAAGCTCAAACAATTTTCATCGTCACCAATACCTCAGATAAATTAATTGTACTGTTAGCAACTGACAACTGAATTCGCAGTATTTAAAAAAAAAAACAGGTTAAATCACTAATGCTTTTAACTAAAACTGTATGTTAGTAATTATAATAGCTTGTTATGATAGCTGGTTATTAGTGTTAATAATTATGAAAGCAATAAATTAAGTATTCAAAGCATGTGATCCAAGAAAAGGAATGTTTTCACATTTAAGACTCTGTCAATTATTTTCTTTTCCTTTCTTAAAAAACAAAAACAAACAAGCCAGAAAACAAGCTTTGTACATGGGAACGCACAAGGATACATACCTGTCTGACATTCTTTGTGCTGTGTATGTGGTTTGCAAGAAGTGGCCTTGGTCTGTGTGACGGGTTTGCATGATATGCCTTTGTTCTTTAAAAGCCTGGAAGGCTGGGAAGATTGGGAAGATGGAAATTTCATAGCATCTTCCTGTGTACTTTCCTAGTTAAAAGCAAATTCAGAAACCAAAGAAAGATTTTTTTTAGTACCTTATCACTGACTATAATTGCTATCAATTGAAAGTTCATATACATCAAGAGAAATATAATTCCTCTGAAAGAGTGGTTGCAATAAAAAAGTCACCTTGGAAAATACACACAGATTCCTACTTCTCCCAATCAGTATTAGTTTAATTTACTGATTTTAAAAAACATTTATAAATATAAATATAAAAATATATTTATAAACTATAAATATAAAAATATATTTATAAACTATAAATATAAAAATATATTTGTAAATATAAAAATAAAAATATACTTATAAACTATAAAAATAAAAATATACTTATAAACTATAAATATAAAAATATACTTATAAACTATAAATATAAAAATATACTTATAAACTATAAATATAAAAATATACTTATAAACTATAAATATAAAAATATACTTATAAACTATAAATATAAAAATATATTTATAAACTATAAATATAAAAATTATACATATAATATATATTTTTAAAATAAGTATGATCAAAACAATGAAAACAATTGTTAATCTTGCTGATTAGGACAACTGGCTACTCAGAAAAATTAGATCCAACCTCAGACCATACACAAAAATATATTCCACATCAATTAAAGATCTCAGGGAAAAAAAAAGAACTAAAGTCACTAGAGAACTTTCAAATAAACAGATCACAAAGTATTCTTTTCTTTTTTCTTTTTTTTTTTTTTGAGACGGAGTCTCACTCTGTCACTCAGGCTGGAGTACAGTGACACAATCTCAGCTCACTGCAACCTTCGCCTCCCAGGTTCAAGCAGTTCTTGTGCCTCAGCCTCCTGAGTAGCTGGGACCACAGGCGTGCGCCACCACGCCTGGCTAATTTTTTATATTTTTAGTAGAGATGGTGTTTCACCATGTTGGCCAGGCTGGTCTCAAACTCCTGACCTCGTGATCCGCCCACCTCGGCCTCCCAAAGTGCTGGGATTACAGGCGTGAGCCACCACTCCCAGCTGGGATCACAAAGTATTCTTAAATAAAACACAAAAGAGTAAATCAAAGTAGAAAAGACTGATACATTTGACTACCTCAAAATTTAAAACTGCTCAGATGATCCAGGATAATCTCCCTATTTTAAGGTTAGCTGATTAGGAACCCTAATGCCACTTGCTACCTTAATTCACCTTTGCCATGTAATGTAACATATTCACAGATTCTGTGGACAAGGACATGGACATCTTTGGGGGGCTACTATTCTGCCTATCATAATAAAGCTCTTAAAAAGTAAATTAATTTTTTTTTTTTTGAGACGGAGTCTCGCTCTGTCACCCAGGCTGGAATGCAGTGGCATGATCTCAGCTCACTGCAACCTCTGCCTCCTGGATTCATGCCATTCTCCTGCCTCAGCCTCCTGAGTAGCTGGGACTACAAGCACCCGCCACCACGCCCGGCTAATTTTTTTTGCATTTTTAGTAGAGATGGGATTTCACCGTGTTAGCCAGGATGGTCTCAATCTCCTGACCTCGTGATCCACCCACCTTGGCCTCCCAAAGTGCTGGGACTACAGGCGTAAGCCACCGTGCCCGGCCAAAAAGTAAAGTTTTTTAATCCAAAAAAAAAAAAAACTTCTGTAAACAAAGGTCTTTATAAAACAAAGTTATAGGGCAAACAACAGAGTGGAGGAATGTACTTAAAACATGTGTATTCACTCAATATTTATTTCCTGAATGTTTACTACAAGCCAGGCACTGTTCTAAGCCGTGGAGATACCGCAGAAAACAAGACAAAGTTCTGCTCATATGAGCCTTACATTCTAGAGGAAGACACAAAAAATAAACAAGTAAAACAAATAATATATAATTCTAGGTAGTGATAAGTGCGATGAAGAAAATAAAGCAGCGTACAGGAATGGAGAGTGATGGCATGGAGGAGGGGCAATTCTGAAGTAAACATCTGAGCAGAGACCTTTTGAATTATTCAAAAGAGTAAGCCATGCAAAGGTCTAAGGTCTGAAGAGTCCAGGCAGGCAGACTATAGGTGCAAAAACCCTGAAGTGGGAGAAAGCTTGGCATGCTTTAGGAACATCAACAAGAACAAGGCTGAAAGACAGTAAGCAAGGGGAGAATGATACATTTGGAGAGGTAGGCAGAAACTAAATTGTATAGGATCTGGAAGGTCTCAGTCAAAAACAAAATTAGGATTGTATTTTAAATGTGATGGGAAGCCATTGGAGGTTATATTTAAATTTAATTTAAACAAAAGTAATACATGAACTCAGTGCAAAATTCAAAATGTACAGAAGTATTGCGTTGGTACAAAAATAATTGTGGTTTTTGCAATTAAAGTAATATACACATGAATGACTGCCGTCCACCCAGACTCAACCTTGAACACAACCACTGTTCCCAGTTTCTTATACAGTTGTTCCCCCTTATCTGCCGGGAATATGTTCCAAGACCCCCAGTGGTTGCCTGAAACCATGGATCATACCGAAGCCTATACACACATGTATATATGTGTGTATATATAGACATATATATATATATGTATACATATATCCATAATATATCATAATATGGATATATACATATCTATATGTATATATGTATACATATATACTTACATACGTATATATATGTAATATATATACTTACATACGTATATATATGTAATATATATACTTACATACGTATATATGTATGTATATACGTAAGTATATATGTATACATATACATATATACACACACACACATACACACACACATATGTATGTGTGTATATATATATATAATTCCAGGTAGTGGTAAGTGCTAAGTGCTCTCTCTCTATATATATACATATGTATATATGTATATAGGGTTTGGTATGATTCATGGTTTCAGGCAACCACTGTGTTGCCTGAAATATGTCTACAGGATTGTATACACATATACAATATATGTATATACGTTGTATATGTATATATGTTGCCTCTATGTATATAGGGTTCTATATATATATACACACACACACACAATGTTTTTTCTATACATATATACCTATGATAAAGTTTTATTTATAAATTAGGCATAAGAGGTTAACAGTAACTACTAAATAGAACAATTATAACAATATACTATAATAAAAATTATGTGAAGGTACTCTCTCTCAAAATATCTTAATGTGCTGTACTCATCCTTCTTCTTGTGACCTGATAACTGAGATGGCTACTGACTAGTGATGGGTAGTACACACAGTGTGGATATGCTAGACAGAGATGATTTACATCCCAGGCAGAATGGCATGAGATTTCATCGTGCTACTCAGAATGGCACACAATTTAAAACTTACGAATTGTTTATTTCCGGAATTTTCCATTTAATATTTTCAAGCCACAGATAAGTGGCACTACTATATATCCTTCTAGAGATGGTGTATGTAATTAAACAAAGTTGCTTCTGACTACAAAGTGTAGCCTATTATTACCAAGATTCAGAACCTTGCTCTTGTCACTTAGCAAACTATCTTGGAGGTCCATTTACATAACATTGTATAAAGCTGCCTAATAACAGCTTGTATAGTATTCCATTATTAAATGTACCATAAGTAATCTGAAGAATCCCTGATGAACATATCTAGGATGTTATAAATATTTTACTATTATAAACAATGCTATGATGAGTATATTTAGACATAAATTAATTCTACATGTGCTAGTTTATCTACAGAATAAAGTCTTAGAAGTGTTGTTGGTGGGTCCCAAATATATAATTTTAATTCTGATGGTACTGATAGACATTATATCAAATTATGTGACCATTATCAATAGATGTGGGCCTTTCCCAGTATCCTAGTCAATAGAGTATTACCATTTTGTTATTTCTCAATGAGTGAAAAATTATTTTACTTTAGTGTAGTTAGATATTTTTCACATGTAAGCATTATTTGTAGTCCCTCTTCTGTGAACTCTCTATTCATATTCATTACCACTTTCCTTTATCTTTTGAAAAAAAAATTCTATGAATGTTTCTTTAACAGATGTGCCAAAAAATTCAAAGATTCACGTAATACACAATGAAAAAATAATTTTCCCTTTTAAAATTCTCCCCTAGTCATTCAATTATCCTTAGAGGCAACCACTATTACCCATTTATTAGTTGTCTTCCAGGGATAGTCTATACATATATACAAGTGTGTGTGTGTATGTGTGTGTGTGTGTAGCACAAATGGCACCATGTTACACAATTTTGTGTCTTTTTTCACTTATGATATTTGAGACTGCTCTATGTCTGTATATACTGAGCTGCCACATTCTTTTTTAACAACTGTGTAATATTCCATTGTTATGGATATATACCTTGTTCAGTTTTAACTACAGCCTGAACAAGGCCACTGTGTATGCCTGCACAGCAACTCTACTTGCCAGGCCACATAAATAGGTGTGAAATTCAAAAAGGGTACATTTCAGACCCTGCCCATGTAGAGCTATTTTTTTCTAATTCACACAATAACTCAGAGTGAATGCACCATGGCCCTGACCACTGGTGAAATTTAAATTAGGTTGTTTTCAAGCTTCTGCTACTATAAACAATGCTATGATTAAAATCCTTGTACATGCTTCATTTCATAAATGTACAAAATGTATCTGGAAGATAAATTCCTAAAAATGGAGTTCCTGGGTAAATGGAAGTTAAAATTTTAACAGGTTCTACTAAATTGCCCTCTGCAGCACTTTTATCAATTTACACTCCTACTGGCAATAAGAATACCTTAGCAGTGTTATCCATCGTTTTTCTTTGCCAATCTAATTAAGCCATAGTTCTAACCAGCATTTCTCTCATTTTGAAGTTAAATATCTTTGCATATGTTACTTTTGCCCATTTTCCTACTGGCATTTAAAATGATTCATAGAAGCTCCTTGGGGATTTTTTGTTTTTGTTTTGTTTTTTGAGACAGTCTCACTCTGTCACCCAGACTGGAGTGCAGTGGCGTGATCTCGGCTCACTGCAACCTCCGCCTCCCGGGATCAAGCAATTCCTCGTGCCTTAGCCACCTGAGTAGCTGGGATTACAGGCATGTGCCAACACATTCAGCTAATTTTTGTATTTTTAGTAGAGAGAGGGTTTCACCATGTTGGCCAGGCTGGTCTTGAACTCCTGCCCTTAAGAGATTTGCCCACCTCGGCCTCCCAAAGTGTTGGGATTACAGGCATGAGCCACCGCACCTGGCCCATAGAAGCTCTTTACATATTAAAAAACACTAGATTTTTGTAACATGAGTTGTATGTAACCTTTTCATTTTGTCATTTGTCTTTTGATTTTGAAATATGGTTGAATTTCCCCATTGATTCTTTTATGGCTTCCGGGTTTTGTGACATATTTAGAAAGACCTCTACACCGTTAAAATTTTTTCCTATATTTTTCTGAGTACATACTTACAATTTCTTAAGTCTTTCTCCATCTGAACTTTATTTTGGTCTAAATTGTGAGGTGCAAATCTATATTTTCTTCCATATGTCTACTCAGTTGTCACAGCATTATTTATTAAATAATCCATATTTTTCCTACTGATCTGAAATGCCACCTCTATCATTACTAAATTCCCACATTTTAAATATATGTTTGGGCCAGGTGCTGTGGCTCATGCCTGTAATCCCAGCACTTTGGGACACCGAGGCAGGCGGATCACAAGGTCAGGAGTTCAAGACCAACCTGGCCAAGATGGTGAAACCCTGTCTCTACTAAAAATACAAAAATTAGCCAGGCGTGGTGGCACGCGCCTGTAATCCCAGCTACTCAGGAGGCTGAGGCAGAGAACTGCTTGAACCCAGGAGGCGGAGGTTGAAATGAGCTGAGATTGTACCACTGCACTCCAGTCTGGGCAAGACTCCGTCTCAAAAATATATATATATGTTTGGACCTATTTCTGGATTTCTCTTCTACTGGGTTGTCTGTCTATTCGTGCACCAGTACCAATTGTTTTAACTACGTAGCTTTATATCTGTAGTTTTCCTATAATTTCAATATGTGGAAACTTGCTCTTTGCCTCCTTTATTCTTTTCAGAATGTCATTGAAGGTTTTTGAGCGGAGGAATGACATGATCTGATTTGGGTTTTTAAAAGATCATTCTGGTAACAGTGTAGAGAAAAAACTGCAAAGGACAAAAATGGAAGCAGGAAGACAGATAGGTCACTGCAATAATCCAAAAGAATGATGATGCTCAGACTAAGGAGGCGGTAATGGAGGTGGTAAGAAGTAGGGATCACTGAAGAGAAGTCTGGAGGGATAAAAGGGTTCTGTTTTAGATATATTATTTGAGATGGCTGTTAATCATATAAGTGTAAATGTCAAGTCGGCAGCTGGATACAGGAATCTGGAGCTCAAAGGTCAGGGTAAGAGAAATAAATCTAAATAAATCTAGAAGGAATCAATCACCATCTAGGTGGTATTTAAAACCACAGGAGTGGGCCAAGAGAAATGGCTCACACCTGTATCCTAGCATTTTGGGAGGCTGAGGCGGGAGGATGGCTTGAGTCCAGAAGTTTGAGACCAGCCTGGGCAACATAGCGAGACCTCATCTCTACTAAAAATGTACAAAGTTAGCCAGACATAGTGGCATGCCGCTGTGGTCCCAACTACCAGAAGGCTGAGGTGGGAGGGTCTCTCAATCCCAGAAGGTGGAGGTTGCAGTGAGCTGAGATCATGCCACTGCACTCAAGACCCTGTCTCAATCAGTAAATAAATAAAACCACAGGACTGCATGAATTCACTAAAAGTAATGTAGACTGAGAAAAGGGCCAAGTATGATGTCCTGGAAGTTGAATGAAGAAAGTATTTCAAGAAAGGAGGAAAGAGTGACTGTGTTAAATACAGTAAATTGACTACCAGATTTGGCAATATAAAGACTGATAGCAATATTGACAAGAACAGTTTCAATGCAGTGGTGCAGACAAAAGCCTGACTGGAATGACCTAAGGAGAGATTACAGATAAGGAGACAGAGGTGGCAAGAACAGGCTACCTTTAGAGGAGTTTTTCCATAAAGAGAGCAGAGAAAAGGGATAGTTGCTGGAGGGCCATGGTGTTAAAAAAGGATTATTCTCAGATAAGATGTAGGACTGCATATTTTTGTGTTGATGAAAATAATGAGTTGAAAAGGGGGAAAATCCAGATTACAGAGAGACCACCTAAAAATCATTAAGAAAAAGATAATTCAACACAAAAATAGGGAAAAATTAAAAACAGGAAATTCAAAGAAAATTCAAATGACCAAAAAACAGAAATATAAGCAAACCTACTGGTAATCAGTAACACATAAAATAAGATAACAATAAGATACCACCAAACAGATTAGCAAAAAAAGTTTAAATTTGACAACACTAAATGATGGTGAGGCTGTAATATATGGGTACAGTCATAACTGTTGGTAGGGATAAAAGTTGGAACAGCCCTAAAAATGAAAATGCTCTTTGACCTAACAATTCTACTCTCCCATTTCTACACATCTACACACACAGGAGACATATACAAGGATATTCACTGTAGCGGATATTTTTATTTATTTATTTATTTAGAGACAGGGTCTCACTCTGTCACCCAGGTTGTAGTGCAATGGTGTGATCTCAGCTCACCGCGGCCTTGACCTACCTTCTAGGCTCAAGCAACCCTCCCACCTCAGCCTCCCAAGTAGCTGAGACTATAGGCGTGCACCACCATACCCAGCTAATTTTTTGGTATTTTTTTATAGAGATGAGGTTTCATCATGTTGCCCAGGCTGGTCTCAAACTCCTGGACTCAAGTGATCCTTGGCGTCCCAAAGTGCTGGGATTACAGGCGTGAGCCACCACACTTCGCCCCAGAGATTTTTTTTTTCTTTTTTTTTGTTTTTGAGACAGGGTCTCTGTCACCCAAGCTGGAGTGCAGTGGTGCAATCAAGGCTTACTACAGCCTTGAACTCCTGGATTCAGGTGATTCTCCCATCTCAGCCTCCCAAGTAGCTGGGACTAGAGGCACTTGCCACCACCTAGCTAATTTTTTGTATTTTCAGTAGAGATGGGGTTTTGCCATGTTGTCTAGGCTGGTCTCAAACCCCTGAGCTCAAGAGATCTACCTACCTTGGCCTCCCAAAGTGCTGGGATTACAGACGTGAGCCACCGCGCCTAACTGCAAAGATTTTTAATAGCAAAAACCTGGAAACGATCTAATGTTCATCAATAGGACAATGGATAAATAAAATGTGGTACCTACAGGCAAAACATTACTATAATCAACAGGAATGTACCAAACCTACTCAGTATCAACATGGATAGGTATTTTTTAAAACAATATTAAATATTTTCCATTTAATATTAAATATTAAAGATTGTCTAAAAGAACACATGCTAAACTCATAATAGCAGTTGCTTCCAGGGATGTAAAAGGGAGACTAACTGGTAGTAGTGGTTAATTTTTTAAAAAAGAAGAAAAAGGTAGGGGAAAGAAACTGAGCAAATAAACCAAATCTAACAATGGTTAATTCTGGATAGTGGGAATATCATAGAGCAGGGGTTGCCAAACTATGGCCTGTGCACCACGTCCAGCCCACCATCTGTTTTTGTAAATAAAATTTTACTGGAACACAGCCACACTCACTCTTTCATGTATTATTTATGGCAGCTTTTCACTACAATGGCAGAGGTGACAGAGTCTACAATTGCAACCATAGAGCCTGCAAAGTTTAAAATATTTACTATCTAGACTTTTATAGAAAAAGTTTGCTGAGTTTTACAGATTTTCCTCTTTGTAATTTTCTGTATTTTTCACCTTTCCCAAAAATTTAAAATCATTTAAGTAACTTGAGGGAGATTCACAACAAAGTTCTCAGAGAAACCAAGAAAAGATTCTAAAACTGTCAGGTGTTTTTTTTTTTTTTTTTCACATTGTAAGAGCACTACATTATTTATTATACTTTTTATAGACTAAAGTAAAAATATTAATCAAAACTATTCTGTAACATAGTTTAAATGACTGGTGAATTATAGAAATACTCCACATAGGGAAAACATATATAGGGCAGCTACATGAAATATGAGGTATATGTTCCTAAAAAACTAAATAATTCAAAACTAACATAATTCAAGACTAATTATCTCATATATACAGAGGAAAGAAGCATTCTCAGAGTACATAAATCTACAACTAATATAGAATGTTTTTATGAATACATGTTAATACTTACTAATATATAATACATTAATACCTTGATTATACAATTGTGTGGTTAATAATGTACAACACAGTGATTTATTATGTAATTTTAAAATATAATTTAATGCAAAATACATAATATTCAAATAAATACCAAGTTAACTTAATGACAGTTAATTATCTAATGTGGTATACTGCTTGAAAATAATTAAGGAGAAATTACTATCATCTTCCAATAACACAAATAATGAGAGAGTTACGAGACACTAAATTAGGATAAGCTACCTCTCCACATTACAGTGAAGGCTGGTCTGATTCCTTGGAAGACTTTTGCTAAAGAATGACTCTAATGTGGTTTGAGAGTTTTTTCTTTCTTTTTTTTATCACTGAGGATTTCTTGGTATGCAGACACATTTTTCATCTTTAGACTTGCCACCACGAACAGCAATCCACATTTAGATCACCTTCAAAAATAGTAATTGCTGCTAAAATATGGTCAAAAGCCTATGGCAGTCACTTTACTGTTAGTTGTGCCCAAGGCCCGGATTGACTGCTAGGACCCTCTTCCAGTTGCTTTTGTTCTTCTAATTCTAGCAAGACTTCCTTTATTAATCCATGGGGGACAACCCAAGCAAATATTCAATATCCTCTTCAGGAACTCTGTGCAAATCTACCTTCTGTTCTACTTACACAGATTCCTTATTAGCAGGTGTTATGTTGTCTTCCAAGTTAAAGCCTCTTTAAATTATGGTAAAGCTGAAATGTTTTCATAGCTTTGGAGTTAGCAGATACAGCTTGCCAGTGCATTTTTATATTCCTAAAACCTTGGTGGGCTTTAAAATTGGAGAACCAGCCATAACTTGTAGTAAACCTTTTGTCTCACTGTCACCTCTTTTCAAATCAAAATGAAAATACTGATGCCTTAGCATAGATGATAGATTGCCCTCAGGGGTGCATTATGGCAGCACTGATCTTGCAACTTGTGTTACCAGAATTTTTTTCCATTTATTCCATTATCATTGCCTGGTTATAATTTTTGTGAACTAAGAGGCATACCTGCTTTAATACTGCTTTCAGTTTTTTGAGCACTACTGCTAATATTCTGCTGGGTACACTCTCCTAAATTAATAGCATGAGATATCACAGCAGTGGTTTGGTCATCTTCATAGATTTTTTATCACATCTAACTTTTGTTCTAAAGTTATTAAATTTGGGGCACATTTTTTTAGCACTAGCACCACCACTTAATATAACACTTAAATGGCATTATTCTACGATATAAAAAAAGAGTTTTAATTATATCAAGAGCAAATGTTAGGACAGCAGCACAAGCTGGGCACCATCGGCTCATGCCTGTAATCACAACAGCTTGGGAGGTTGAGGCGGGAGGATCACTTGAGGCTAGGAGTTTGAGACTAGCCTGGGCAACATAGCAAGACTGAGACCCTATCTCAACAAAAGAAAAAAAACAAAATAAGCTGTGTGTGGTGGCAGACACCTGTGGTCCTAGCTCCTCAGGAAGCTGAGGTAGGGGACTGCTTGAGCCCAGAATTTCGAGGTTGAGTGAGCTATGATCATGCCACCGCACTCCAGCCTGGGCAACAGAGCAAGACCCTGTCTCAAAAAAAAAAAAAAAAAAAAAAAGCATAACAGTCATCAAAAACATTAACCCAAGACCTGATACAGTATCATGTGATACTAATAAAGGATGATGGGAATTTTGTTTTCCTGCTAAAGTGATGCTGATACAGGGCAACAATGCCATAATTTGCAATCAGCCGGCCAGACTTGAAAGTATGCATTTCTTGAACGTTTCTTTTAATTTTGAGAAGTCTCACAATATTTCAAATTTGAGACATAAAGTGAAAGTCTAAATATATTTTTACTTTGCACTATTTTCAGTCTCACATAATTCAAAGTTGCATAAAACAGGACTACACTGAACTTTCAAAACTTAAAGGAAAATACTTGAATATAGTAAAAGAGAAAAATAATGTAGTTTTGTTATTTCCAACCAGGTGGAATTAACAAGAATTTAAATAAATTAAAGAACCTGAATACAAATAATAAAATAAATCAAGAATGCATTCTTACTAATGATCTAAGATTAAACTGTAAGATTCAAAACAAAAGCACACCATCTATTACTCCACTTTTTTAAAGACTAAGCTTGCCACTATGAACAGCAATCCACATTTACATCATCTTCAAAAACAGTAATTGCTGCCGAAATATGGTCAAAAGCCTATGCCAGTCACTTTACTGTTAGTTGTGCCCAAGACCTAGATTAATGACTAGGACCCTCTTCCAGCAAAAAGAAAAGTATTCAGATATATTAGAATGCCATATCCAAAGTGAAAATAAGCCCAAGTGGCATTATCAAGAAAAGTATTAACAATTAAACTCACATCTTGAATGATCTTTGCTGCCTCTTTAGTAACTGCACCTGTTGTAAATTAAAACAAATATTATTATCCTTAGAATATACAGAAGTAAACACTGAAATCAAGAAGTTACTTTCCTCCCATTAAGCTGGGCTAGAGTCTAAACCAGAGTTTCTCAGAAAAATGGTACAAGGAAACTGCATCAGTATCACCCAGGGTGCTTAATAACGGTAAGGATTCCAGGGCCCCAATCCCATCCAACTGTATTAGAATCTCTGGCAGTAAAGGAGTAGGTATATTAAAATCATGTGGGCTCCTAAAAAAATATCACTTCCCAGGGAGTACCTCTGAGCCTTCTATGGCTCAAGAGCCTGCCTGATTAAAAAGAAAACAAACAAATTAGCCCAGTGTGGTGGCCTGTAATCCCAGCACTTTGGGAGGCCAAGGCGGGAGGCCAGGAGCTCTAGACCAGCCTGGCCAACATGGTGAAACCGCATCTCTACCAAAAATATAAAATTAGCTGGGTGTAGTGGCAGGCACTTGTAAACCCAACTATTCAAGAGGCTGAGACAGAAGAATCGCTTGAACTCGGGAGGCGGAGGTTGCAGTGAGCCCAGATTGCGCCACTGCACTCCAGCCTGGGTGACACAGTAAGACTCCGTCTCAAAAAAAAAAATTAAAAATTGAAAAAACAAAAATAAAAACACTTCCTTTCCCATCCACACCACCTTGCTTGCTACCCACTCCCCTGAGGCGGGGGTGGGGAGGCGGTGGGAGGGGGTGCATGTTCCCCTACATCACGTAAAGAAAGATATTACCAGTAAGAACTACTGGCCAGGCACGGTGGCTCACACCTGTAATCCCAGCTATTTGGGAGGCCGAGGCAGGTGGCTCACCTGAGGTCAGGAGTTTGAGATCACCCTAGCCAACACGGTGAAATCCCGTCTCTACTAAAAATATCAAAATTAGCTGGGCGTGGTGGCAGGCACCTGTAATCCCAGCTACTCGGGAGGCTGAGGCAGGAGAATTGCTTGAACCCAGGAGGCGGTGGTTGCAGTGAGTTGAGATCACGCCATTGCACTCCAGCCTGGGCAACAAGAGTGAAACTGTCTCAAAAAGAGAGAACTACTTAGGCTAGACAACACTCACTTCTATGGCTTAGCCAAATGCCATTATATCAAGTCATACCTTTTAAAACACTGTTAGTGTTCCCTGTAGATAAGGTAGCAGGTATTTTTGCCAATGACATCACACTGGTTATAACTGGTGTTGTATCTGTCCTTGCAGAAGGGAGCTCCGTCACAGCAGTTTTTGCTTTAGAAATATTTACTGATTAAAATAAAAAGTTAAGATCTGGAATAAGCAAAAGGGTCTCTCTCTCATACACACTCACACTCACACACAAAACCCTGTTTAGTAACTAGGTTTTCAAGAAGCAATATAAATATCTGATTCTGTATCATGTTAGGTTGGGTGACTCTGGTCAGATTAGTGTTCTTTAGGACTTAAAGAGAGTCCAATTCTATAAAGTCATAAACCTCAAATGACATTTAACAGGTAAAAATACAGGTATTGGATACAGTGGCACCAGCCTGTAATCCCAGCTACTTGGGAGGCTGAAACAGGGGGATCACTTAAGCCCAGGAGTTCAAGACCAACCTGGGCAACATAGCAAAACCTAGTCTCAAAAAAAAAAAAAAAAAAAAAAGACAGGTATTAGCTTCAGGATTCACTGGACTGTTCTATTAGTGACTATTAAAACTCCTAGACCTAAGCATGCATCAGATAAAAACTTAACATGACAATTTTTATAAATAAGTTAATGAGGGAGCTGTCCAACCCCATAACACTAGTTTTCTTAACCCATATTATAAAATGAATATTCTACTACCAGCCTGACTGGTTCTGGGGAATGGAGGGCTAACACGAAAGATTAGCACAAGGCATTTATAATTAAGGTAATCATTAATAAGACTGCAGAGGTAGGCAATGGCCAGACTGCAAAGAGCCAAAGCTCTGTCAATCAGGTAGCACTCCAGGCTTTGAACAGAGAACATAATAGCAAGTGGCTTTTTTTTCTGAGAGAGAGAATATCGTTCTGTAGCCCAGGCTGGAGTGCCATGGCATGATCTCGGCTCACTGTAACCTCCATCTCTTGGGTTCCAGTAATTCTCGTGCCTCAGCCTCCTGAGCAGCTGAGCTTACAGGCACACACCACCACACTTGGCTAATTTTTGTATTTTTAGTAGAGATGGGGTTTCACCATGTTTACCAGTCTGGTCTCGAACTCCTGGCCTCAAGTAATTTGCCCATCTCAGCCTTCCAAAGTGCTGGGATTACAGGTGCGAGCTACTGCACCTGGCTACCAAATGTTTTTAATCTAATACTTAGAAAGAAATACTTAGGAGAGCTACTTTATGAATATATCATGGATCTATCTACTCACCTGGATATTCTGACCATATTAGCTGTCCTACTTGCAAAATTATTTTATTCTTAGCTAGGATAAACTTTGCTACCCATGAAGAACTGTTCCATTTTATATTTTCTGAGATAATTAACGTGTTGTTCTTTTCTCCTTGCCTATAAGCAAGCTCTGAAACAAATTTTACACTAGTCACAGCAACTATATTAACTATACTCTCCCTTTGTTTGCCCTGATTTTCTGTTTTTATTTCTGGTTTATTAACTAAATAGTATATATCCCTAGTTTAAGTTATTTATGTACAGATACATTCAATCAAAAAGCAATCAAATCTAAGTTTCCTATAAAAATTAGTGCATATACATTATTGGCCTTTTGGTGTGCTTGACTATCAGAGCAAAAAGTATTAGAATTACTTTTCCCTCAAGGGGAAATCTTAAAGACTTCTTAAAGAAAAATTTAAGGAAATTCAGGCTATTTGAATCCAATGAAATTTTGTTTTTATTATATTATTTATAACTGTATATGCTGATAGTGTCCTAGCACTGACATAAAAATCCCATTAGCTAAGTTTAATTTTACCTTTATTTTGTGGAAGACAGTCATTCATAATTTGCTGATGACAAAACTCCAAGACACAAAATAGGTTACAGAAATGTTTAATGTTGCCTCGCCACTTTATGGACTCGCTTAGTTTACCCTGTCGTTTACAACCATCACACTTGGCCATCTGAAAAAGAAATGTTAGACAAGATAGGCTTAAAACTATAAAATAATGAAAAGATAACATTAATCATAAAAAGAGGGACTACGAAAACAGGATATATGAGTCAGTTGAGACTACAAAATGTAAGGTTCTTACCTTAAAATACTGATTTTATTTAATTATTTGTTTTATATAGATGCCCTAAATCAAGATAATATAAAAACTGTGGCCAGGCACGGTAATTGTGGGATCACGCCTGTAATCCCAGCATTTTAGGAGGCCGAGGTGGGCGGATCATGAGGTCAGGAGTTCAAGACCAGCCTGACCAACATGGTGAAACCCCGTATCTACTAAAGTACAAAAATTAGCCAGGTGTGGTGGCGCACGCCTGTAATCCCAGCTACTTAGAAGGCTGAGGTAAGATAATCGCTTGAATCCAGGAGGCAGAGGTTGCAGTGAGCCGAGATCGCGTCACTGCACTCCAGCCTGGGTGACAGAGTAAGACTCTGTCTCAATAGAAAAAAAAAAAAATGCTCTTCTGTTTTCAAAATTACCAATAAGGGAATCTATCTAAAGATAGGTTCATAACTGGGCATGGTGGTGCCCACCTCTCCTGGTTACTCGGGAGGCTGAGGCAGGAGAATCACTTGAACCCAGGAGGCAGAGGCTACAGGGAGCCAACATCGCCCACTGATCACGCCACTGCACACCAGCCTGAGCAATAGAACAAGATTCTGTCTGGCTGGGGGATGGGGGGTGGGCAGGTGGGATGGGGGAAGAAAAGATACACAATGAAAAAAGTAAGTAAAAAAAAAATAAAGATAGGTTCAACTTCTAAAAAATTAAGCAGCAGCTTACAGTAGTTGATATAATATGGGCTTTGGAGTCATAAAGATTTTGATTCATTCAGCAAATATTTAATTAGACATCCTTTGTCTTAAGCACTGTGATTGGCCCTAATTATATAATCATGAAAAATATATTACCCTCCCCCAACAATAAAATTCTATTTTTTTAGAGGTAGAAAAACAAACAGTGATTTACCAGAGTGTTATAGATGCTGTCTTGCTGTCACCTACCAGCTTCCTCAAGAGCATATTACTTAACTTCCCTGGACCTCTCTCCTTTTCCTTATTTATAAAATGGCAGTAATATACTTACCTCTTGGGACTATGGTAAGGATTAAATGAAATGACACTTACAGAGCACCAGACATGTATTAGTGGTTCAATTAACTGTAGCTACCATTGTTAGCCTTTCAAAAAGTTAATCTTTTTAAAAATGAGGTAGGAATGGTTGCCAGCTATTGTCCTTTGACCTATGAAGTGAGACAAGGTCTAACTTCAAATTCCTCAGAGTAACCTGAATGAGAGAGCCACTTCAGGCAACATTATGTGAAGTTCTAACCTGAAAGAAGTCAAATAAGGGCAAAGTGCCTCATAAGAAGGCAAAAATAAAAGGAACATATCCAACCAACAACAAAGTCTGCAGAAATCCTATACTTTTTATCCCAAAGATTTCCTGTTTATATTCAATTGAATTTTTCTATTATAGCCCATAACTTATTTTATCCAGTGCTAAACACCAAATTTTTCTTCACATAATTTGAATACATTTTAAATAAAAACAATTTGCACTGATTTCAGAAAGCCAAAAAAAGTATATTATCACATTTACCTGATAAAACAGAACTGTAAATTTGGACATACAATCTTCACAACAAAACTCTTCTAACTTGCCCTCCAATCGATTTTCTACCAAATTTGGGGATGTCTGTGAACAGTAGCTGCACATCTTACAGTAGTTTCCCCATCGTTCTCCAAAGTCACGGGCAGAGAGGAATTTGCAAACTGAGGA
This sequence comes from Homo sapiens, assembly GCF_000001405.40. Taxonomy (NCBI): domain Eukaryota; kingdom Metazoa; phylum Chordata; class Mammalia; order Primates; family Hominidae; genus Homo; species Homo sapiens. Next base: position 35,008,932 of record NC_000001.11, read on the forward strand.
TCAGAGGGATGAAAGGAAGAAAAATCAAATTTACATTAACTGAGGAGGTATAATAAGTTTCTGTGGTCTTAGATATGAAACTTTAAGCTAATTTCTAATACACAATTATTTGCCTCTAGATTACAGGACAGTCTCTATATTCACAAACCAAACTCATACCACCTTTTATTTTATTTTATTTTTTGAGACAGAGTCTCACTCGTTTTGCCCAGGCTGGAGTGCAGTGGCACAATCTCAGCTCACTGCAACCTCTGCCTCCCAGGTTCAAACGATTCTCCTGCCTCAGCCTCCTGAGTAGAGCAGCTGGGATTACAGGTACCTGCCACCACACCCAGCTAATTTTTGTATTTTTAGTAGAGATGGCATTTCGCCATGTTGGCCAGGCTGGTCTCAAACTCCTGACCTCAGGTGATCTGGCTCGCCTTGGCCTCCCAAAGTGCTGGGAATACAGGCGTGAGCCACTGCGCCCTGCCACCACCTTTTAAATATACTCTAAATATTAGGCCATTTATATTCAGAAACATTAGAGGTATAAAAGTTTTTTAAGCCAAGAAGCAGCAACTGTTTTAAGTTCCTCTTCGCAAATGAGTGCAAGAACAAAAAGATCTCTGATGTCATAGCTAAACTTATGAAGAGATTTTCTTTATTAATACCACTGATGTAATCATTTTTACAGTTTTTTATTGCAATTACTGCAACATTTAAAAAGACTGACTTTCAGCCAGGCACAGTCGCTCACGCCTATAATCCCAGCACTTTGGGAGGCCGAGGCAGGAGTACCACCTGAGCTCAGGAGTTCAAGACCAGCCTGGGAAACATGGTGAAACCCCCCGTCTCTACCAAAAATAAAAAAAATTAGCCAGGCATGGTGGCACGCTCCTGTAGCTTCAGCTACTTGGGAGGCTGAAGTGGGAGGATCCCTTAAACCGGGGAGGCAGAGACTGCAATAAGCCAAGATCATGCCACCACACTCCAGCCTGAGTGACAGGGCAAGACCTTGTCTCAAAAAAATAAACAAACAAAAATAATAAATAAAAAGATTGACTTTAAAGTGAATTAACTATAAACACAATTCAAAAAAACCTTTTTTTTTTTGGAGACAAGAGTTTCGCTCGTCGCCCAGGCTGCAGTGCAATGGCATGATCTCAGCTCACTGCAACCTCTGCCTCTGAGGTTCATGCAATTCTCCTGCCTCAGGCTCCCAAGTAGCTGGGATTACAGGCGTGCGGCACCATGCCCGGCTAATTTTGTATAGAGACGGTGTTTTTTAACAGAGATGGGGTTTCACCATGTTGGTCAGGCTGGTCTTGAACTCCCAACCTCAAGTGATCCACCCACCTCAGCCTCCCAAAATGCTGGGATTACAGGCGTGAGCCTCCATGCCCGGCCTCCAAAATACTTCTAATTACACCTTGTAAGACAAAAAGAATGTGAAAACTAATCATGGCTTAATTGCCCAAGTCGTCATGAATTATAACAACCCATGCTCTGTGAATAAAACAACTTTGTCTTTACCTTCACTACAGAATGGCTTATCAACCCCTGAGAATCGCACAGTCTCCTTTATAATTTTCTGCAGTTTACAGTAGTCACACATTGCCACAACTTTATTTTTCTTCTTGTATTCATCAGAGCAATTCTTGCCACAAAACAGAAACATTTTACCCTGCAGAGAAACAACAGTCCATTAAGAGCCAACTAAACAGTTGCTTTATCTTTAAGAACTCCTTTTCATGTCAAAGCAAATTGAGTGATCAAAATTGAAAACACAAAAGTGTTTCTACTGGATGAGTTTATATACAATCCCTTTCATGATCTCTCTTTACCTTGTAAAAAAGAAGTTCTGGTTTTGTGGCAAATAGATGGTTACAGTGCTGACACTTGAGTTTAACAACTGTATGGGTTAAAGCAACTTGCTGGGATTGTTCAGCAAGAGGTTGGAGGCTGGCTGCAGCAGAGCCACGGATGGAGCTGGGGGAAACGGCAGAGGTGTTACCTCCTCCTATTGACACTGCTGACCTGGAGGAGGGCGGGCTTACAACCACTTGGCCCTGAGACAGGGGCACCGCCGAAGAGTTTGTTCCTTTTGGCTTGCTAAATACATTCTGAATGAAAACAAATAAGGTAAAGATTTTATCAACTGAGAAATAAGATAACTTTGTACTTTTCATTTCCTCATTTTAATAAATCAAGTCTCCCACAAACATTTTTTAAAATTTTCTATCTCACAGAAAGAGTTTAAATGGTATATTTCCAGAATAAAAGGACTGAGAAATACAACATTAAAAGGTCAAGGACTGGAATTCAGGCTTTCCTGACAAAGACCTCCAGTATATGCCTCTAATAAATTAGAGCAGGCCTCTCCTTCCCCCTAAAACTTCCCCCTACCTGCACTCCCATCATCAACCAGCTTCTGATGGCTACTACGACACAATAGCTACCAGCAGTCTCTTTCTCCCTAATGCCAGGGATACTACATCAGGCATGTTCCTACCCTGGAGATTACTAAACTCTACTCTTTGTGTATGTATTGCAGAGAGGGAGGAGAAAATGGGACAAGTGGATGCTTACAATTCCATGCCAGGAGTCACTGTGTTTCTGACACAGGATGAGAGGAAGGGGTATGTGAATCCCATCAGGCTACTGTTCTTCACCATACCACCTACCCAAACCACAATCCTAGCTTCCATCTTTTTGAAGGGGAGAGACCCAAGGGAGAAAGTGGGAGGGAATGACAGTTTAGGCTAGGATCCTAAATAAAGAAGAAACTGCTGAGACCCAATATCTGGGTTCAGATATTTTGTAGAAATGACCTGGTTGGGCCCCTGGATGAAACAAATTTTTTTCTTTTTAATTCAAATTTAAACTTTCATAAGAACAGGCCTTCAGCAGTTAACACTGTGCCACAGATCGATGCCTAACAGAACCACATGCATAATGTGCTACCTTAGATCATACCTGGAAAGCAACCACACAACTGGAGCTGCAGAAGCTGTATATAGTTCCATTTGACATGGCTAGGTGATACTGAGGGATTGCTGAGGTTTTACAACTATGACATGAAACCTGGACACCTTGGTGACAAAAAATTAAAAACAATGATTAAGTTATACCAATGAACAAACAATACAAAAATGTATTGGGAGAATGAAAAAATTAAATAATCAATAATATACCAAAAAAATCAAGGAACTTTATAAAAATCTGAAATCTAACCACAACTAACCTCTATTAAGTCCCACTTACACAAAAACTAACTTGGAAATTTTAAGTGTTTTTTCTTTCCTCTCACATATGAAATTATAAAATACTGTATATATTGCAACCAAGAAAATCGGGGAAAAACTATTTTCACATAAAAGTCAGTTATTTAAAAGTCAGTCTTGGGTTTTTATTTAACTAAATAGATAAATTTAGCTTGTAACAAAATCAGAGAAAAGCAGTTACGTTTTTCTTCAATAGTTATTAAATCTATAAATTTATCAAATTTAAACATTACCTGAAGAAGTAACAGTCTTAACTCTGTAAGCAGATAAGCAATTAATAGAGCAGAAAAGCTCTGTTTTTCCTGAATCATTTGTAGTCTCAATCATTTCAGCTGAGGGCCTCAATGACTTCCCCAGGGCATATGGAGGAATTTGGGCAGAATTCTATTAAAATAAAATAACATTAGATACCTAGTACAAACATACATATTTACATATTGTTCAAAAAAGTAAAAAGAAAAGCTACCTACAACCACGGTCCTTGGTTGAAATATTTGAGCATGATGATGAAACCACACTATTGGGAGGTGGGAAAATAAGTTCTTCCAGACAACAATAAAATAGAAACTGAAGAAAATTAGTAACTATTCAGATAGAGATCTTAGCAAACAAAACACATGAATTCAAACACAAGTAATGAATTAAATAGTCATTACATACTTTTTAATCACCAATAACCAGAGAAGACCAGCTAACCCATGAACCAAAGGGTCATTCTTGGTATAGTCTTGTACATCAATCTAGAAGAGTCTACCACCTTTAAGGTTACTTAATTTGTGAGATTCTTTAGCAGGAGATAGAAATGATATTTAATGTATATTAATAGAGATCCTACACAACTACCTATTTTTCAAGCTGAGTTTCATAATAAAATCTGCTTATAAGTTTATTCATGTTTTAAGAAATAATAAAAATAGCTACCATTTACATAACCAATATTATAACTTACTGAATGCTTACCATGAGTCAGGCCCCAGGCTAAGAAATTTATATATAGTGTATCACAGAAACCTTTCAACAACAGAGTGAGGCGCTCTCAAAAATTACATTAACAAAAAGTTTAAATTAACAGATGAGCAGAAGAAGTAGGAAATTAAACTCATTTCATCAGGCTCCAAAGTTCAGGCTCCTAACCACTACACTATGCTGTCAGTGATACATTATAAGGTCTCTCAATATGAAAAGAAATTGTAGGAAAATATAAATTGTGAGGTTTCACTACATAATCTTCCTAGTAAAAAGACAGAGTACAATACTAGTAACAAAATTAGAAATGGAACTGATTTTGGGATCATATATAAAATAACATGGATTCTTTTCCTGTGAAAGTAGAACCAGACTGCCAAAAATGGCAAATCTTAAAAAAAGAGATTCTTTTCAGTGATGAATGTCCATATGTCCATTACCAACTGCTCAAAGGAAGCAACAAATCAAACTTGCTAACTGAAAAAAAGTTTAATTATCATTTACAAGATACATCTTTGTTTTTTTTTTTTGTTTGTTTGTTTGTTTTTGAGACAGTCTTGCTCTGTCACCCAGGCTGGACTGCAGTGGCACAATCTCAGCTCACTGCAACCTCCACCTCCCGGGTTCAAGCAATTCTCCTGCCTCAGCCTCCTGAGTAGCTGGGATTACAGGCGCCCGCCACCACGCCCAGCTAATTTTTGTATTTTCAGTACAGACAGGGTTTCACCATGTTGGTCAGGCTGGTCTCGAACCCCTGACCTCGTGATCCACCCGCCTTGACCTCCCAAAGTGCTGGGATTACAGGCGTGAGCCACCGCGCCGGCCTTACAAGATACTTCTTTAAGAAAAACTTTTTAAAACCACAAATTAGTAATAATTAAATTGACACAAGGTGATAATATTTAGTAACCGGCTTAATCCATTATTCATTACAATAAATAAAATTACTTGAAGTATTCTCATGAGACAGTGTTGACCAAATAATTACAATTCATTCCCAAACACATTTTGAAATGAAAAAGACAAGCTTTGTTTAGATTCACTGATTTTATCATCTTAACTCTTGCTTATGGTTTATTTATAATATGGTTTTCTTGCTATCAATACATCACAAAATATTTCATGCTCACAGAAAATCATGAAATTACATTTATGAGGCCGAGGTGTGGTTGCTCATGCCTGTAATCCCGGCACTTTGGGAGGCTGAGGCGAGTGGATGGCTTGAGCTCAGGAGTTCAACACCGGCCTGAGCAACATGGCAAAACCCTATCTCGATTTCAAAAAAAGAAAAGAAATCACATTTGTAAATTCTTAGCTATGAAGGGAGCCTTAAAAAAGGGACCTATTTTACCTATATCAACTTACCACCACAATCATCCCTCACACCATCAGAATCTATCCCATTTTCTGGAAGGGAAATCACATATCAGGATGGACTAATGGGAGGAGCTCACTCTCATTTTGTAGTTCATCCCTGTGCAGCCAAATCAGAAGGAGTGGGCCTAAGTACATGCAACAAATAGATATTCATACCTGCTTGTATGCCGTGACACTTGTTGAACTAAAAACCTTCTGGGATTGGCAAGGACCAGAGCTACTATAGCAATAGCTCCCACAGTTCTCACAACAGTTCATGGTGAGGTTGTTTGTAGAGTGAAATTTTGAAAAACAGGCATCACTACAAAGACCATGTACCACATTTTGATATTTAACTTCAAATCGAGTCTAGGAAATAAACACACACATACACACACAAAATAAGCAGAGCCAGTTAAAAAAAAATCTCTTTCAGCAGAATCCCAATAAAAGTAAAATGTAACTTACATCAGCATTCTTCTGACACATACTGCACTTAGTTGAAATGCTTTTGGTATATATGGTAACAACAGGTTTTTTCTTTAGCTCATAAGATGACAAGCATGATTGGCTGCAGAAATCTTTGCTAGGATAGGAATTCTCAAAGCGAGTTGTGATCACATCCTTAGGATTTAAAATGTCTCTAAAAATAAATAACAAAGGTAAAAATGAAATGTATTCTTCACAACTGTAACTTCCTCCTCTTTGTGAGGTGAAATAACACTTACTAAGGGCAGGTACTGTATGGTAGAAAAAGGATAAGGAATCTGCAAACCTGGGTTTGATGAGTTCTGCTATTTATCAGGTGAGTGACAATGAATGATGTAATTACTATCTCAATTTCTTCATGTATAAAATGGGGCTTATAATATCTAATTCATAAATTTGTCAAGAGTGAATTATATTTAAAATATAGCCAGCCAGGGCCAGGTGCGGTGGTTCATGCATGTAATCCCATCACTTTGGGAGGCCGAGGTGGGCGGATCATGAGGTCAGGAGTTCGAGACCAGCCTGGCCAACATGGTGAAACCTCGTCTCTACTAAAAATACAAAAACTAGATGGGCGTGGTGGTGGGCGCCTGTAATCCCAGCTACTCGGGAGGCTGAGGCAGGAGAATCACTTGAACCCGGGAGGTGGAGGTTGCAGTGAGCCGAGATTGTGCCACTGCACCCCAGCCTTGGCAACAGAGCTAGACTCCATCTCAAAAAAAAAAAAAAAAAAAAATATATATATATATATATGTGGCCAGCCAGATGCTGAAGACAAAAATAGGAAGGCTTCCAGCCCCAACCAAGTTTCATCTGCTATAGCCAATGGGACCAGTGTCCATCCCACAACTCCAGACCACAAGACACTGGTTCTCTCATTAGCCAGAGGCTGCCCAAAGTAGAACTGAAATGAGACAATAAATGAATTTTTTCTTTCTTTTTTTTTTTTTTTTTTGTGAGACGGAGTCTCGCTCTGCTGCCCAGGCTGGAGTGCAGTGTCACGATCTCGGCTCACTGCAATCTCCACCTCCTGGGTTCAAGCGATCCTCCTGTCTCAGCCTCCGGTTCGAGTAGCTGGGACACCAGCACGTGCCACCATGCCAGGCTAATTTTTGTATTTTTAGTACAGACGGGGTTTCGCCATATTGGCCACGCTGGTCTCAAATTCCTGACCTCGCGATCCGCCTGCGTCAGCCTCCCAAAGTGTTGGGATTACAGGCATAAGCCACCGTGTCCAGCCAAGACAATAAATGAATGTTTAAAAATTAAAAGTGCAAGATTTTGAGAAACAAATGAGCTAACAGAAGACAAAAAATAAGCATGATATATGACAAAAGGGCTGTTAAGGCTTTGTATCAGAGGACAGATGGAAACAAGAACGAGACAGGAAGAACAAAAATAATTGGGTGGTTCTGTGAGACTCCTAGAGCCAATTTGTAAGAGCTAATTATTGCAATAAGCACAAATAGCAATACCCTGGTAAAACAGAGGTTAAGTATTGCCATTCTTCTGACAAGTATAAAAACTAAAGGAAATAGTCACTAATTATAAACACTAGTGCAGGCCACAAAGTAAATAATAATGGCAATAATATATACTACAATAAGTGTGTTGAGTAATTACTATGTGCCAAGCATTATTCTCTTTACTCAAATTACCCAATTTAAATACCACAAAAATGATGGAGTGCAGTGGCTCACCCCCATAATCCTAGCACTTTGGAAGGCCAAGGCAGAAGGATTGCTTGAGCCCAGGGAGTTCAAGACTCCAGTGAGCCATGATCATGCCACTGCACTCCAGCCTGGGCAACAGAGCAAGACCCGATCTCTATAAAAAAAATTTTTTAATTAGCAGGGCATGCTGGCTCATGCCCATGGTCTCAGTTACTCAGGATGCTGAGGTGGGAGGATTGCTTGAGCCCGGGAGGTAGAGGCTGCAGTGAGCTGGGATCACGCCACTGCACTCCAGCCTGGGTGACAGAGTGAGACCGTGTCTCAAAAAAAAAAAAAAATCCCCAAACCACTATAAGGTTAAGTATTACTGTAACTGCCACTTTACAGATGAGGAAACTGAATGAGAGGTTAAATAGCTTGTCAAAGTCATATTGCTAGTAGGCAATAAAGCTGAAATACTAATCCAGGCAATCTGATTCTAGTCTATGGAATTAATTATTCCACTATCCTGCCTCCCATCCTGCACCTTTATTATACAGGTATATTCAATGGTAAACCATGAGAAAATAACAACAACAAAAATTATTTTAATTCTTTAAAACTCAACTTTAAAAATATGACAGCAAATCTTAGAAACCAAAAGAATATGCTTATACACAGATGAAGTATTAATTTTGAAAAGTGATTTTTCTACTGAAAACAGAGCAATAAAGAGTTTCACTTAATAAGGTGAATCTGCCAGTGGCATAATAAGTACAAAAATAGCAAGTAAAAATATGTAAATCAAAGAGAATGACTTTATAATGAAAATCTGTGCACATAAATTATAAGTGTACTCTGAACCTTACACATGCAAATGAGTGTTATATCGTAACATTTACCGTAGAAAAACCACACCTTCCAACAATAACATAGCTCAAAACATTTTTCTAATTTTTTTAAGATAAAACTTAAGATAAACCCTTAGACTATTTTTTAACTTTTAATTTTATAAATATCATGTTTTAACAGTATGACTTAATTTAATTAGCTAATATATTGGCCTGATTAAGGTATCAAGCAGCCTTTGAAAATTTGTAAAAATCAAATGCATGCTGAAAAGATAAGAATCTGTCTCCTAACCTTATGCTAAAAAGTCACTGACGGGGGTGACTACTTTTAAGAAAACAATAGGCATTTGGATGTATAAGTTGTGTTATGTTCTTTAAAATTATTTAATTTTATTTTGGTATTTGGTATGTTGAAACAATATCTAAAAATAGAAAACTAAGTTTACTCTTTCAGATTAGTTTCATGAGAATGACATAAAAGCATTAATTAGAATGGTATTTTGCAACAAACTAATTTAGAGTATATAAATATTTTAAAATTCCTCTCTCCTGGCCACATGTGATGGCTCACACCAATAGTCCCAGCACTTTAGGAGGCTGAGGCAGGCTAATTGCTTGAGCCCAGGAGTTTGAGACCAGCCTGGGCAACATAGCAAAACCATCTCTACAAAAAAATACAAAAATTAGTCGGGCATGGTGGTATGCGCCTGTGGTCCCAGCTATTTGAAAGGCTGAGGTGGGAGGATCATCTGAGCCCGGGGAGTTCAAGGCTGCAGTGAGCTGTGATCACTCTACCATGGGCAACAAAGAAAAAAAAAAATCCTCTCTCCTCTTTACTTGGAAATTTCCATATAGCAGGATCTACTTTTAAATAGTTTAAGTCAAGACACAAAGCAGATAAACACAGCCAAAGACAAAATAGGGGCCTACAAGTGATATGTTAAGTATACATAGTAATATGTATTATATACACATATATTTATTATATTTATTTATGTTAATTATAAATAATCGCACGATATAATTTTTATTATTAATAATAACAGGATTCCATTTTTTAAGTACTTGCTATGTGCTAGGCCATTTGCTAACACTGTCTCATTAAAGTCCTAGGAAGCAACTATTATTTACTGATGAGAAATGGAGGCTTAGAAAGTTAAACATCTAGCCCGAAGTCACAGAGATAAATGACAGAGCCACAATTTAAAAGCAAGCTCTTACTGTTTTTTGCCTGTAGTGACTATTAACAACACACTGTATTCCTCAAATTACACTACCACAGAAATAGGCAAAATATGCCAAATCCTTCAAATGTACTAAGTCAGGGAAAGATTTATGTGACTTTGTTGCTGTTTTTTCCTCTCTCTGCATCTAAGCATTATTGTAAAGCAACAATGACCCCACAAGGACATTAGAAATAAACACATTTTTGCGACCATGTAGAGTTTTTACTTTTTAAAGAATTAAATAGCTTTTGTATACTATTAAAAGAGTGATATTATTTTATGCTATACCCAATAGCTTTCAAGATAACTGTTAAATAAATTTAAATGGTGGGTGTCTACAATTACAGGATAGTCCTGCAATTCCCACATGTCATTTGTTATTTCTTTCCATAGTAAAATTTAAAGTGATAGAAAACTGGTTTAGGCAATATTCTAACACCAAGTCACTTATTTAATGTTGCAAAACTTTAAAATTGGTGAATTCTTCCATTAACTAAAAAGTTATTTCTACAGATACATGCTGAAGAGATTTAAAGTATCAACAGTATGTTTGAACTAAACAATATACACACTAAAAAAAAGGTAAAGTAAAAAGGGATGTTAAGAATTTTATACTTCGAGCAGTTTGTGCAGGTTTTCTTGGGAGGAGGTGGCAGGCAGGCAGGTGAAGAATGTCTGGTGATGCATCGTGTGGAGCAGAAGAGCTGAGTAGATCCTGTCTTATGATATGCAGTTTGGCCCTTATAAAGCATTTTTTTACAACCAGAACAAAAAACCTTAATAGCAACAGCTGGAACTGAAGGAAGCAACACACTTGGGCCAGATGATGCAAAAGAAAGCTGAAAGCCTGGGTTCAACTGCTGGGCTATCAAAACAAAATAAAAAAAGTTTTAGTATCAATACTAATGCATATACAGTCTCAGTCTCTCTCTCTCTCTCTCTTTTTTCTTTTTCTGAGACACGGTCTCACTGTCACCCAGGCTGGAGTGCAGTGGTGCAATCAAGGCTCACTGAAGCCTCAAACTCCCAGGATTAACCAGTCCTCCCGCCTCAGCCTCTTGAGTAGCTAGGACTACAGGCACATGCCACCACACCCAGCTAATTTTTTTTTAATTTTTAGCAAAGATAAGGTATGTTGCCCAGACTGGTCTCAAACACCTGAGCTCAAGCGATCCTCCTGCCTCAGCCTCCCAAGTTGCTGAGATTACAGGTGTTAGCCACTAAACCCAGCCCAGTCTCTCTTTTTCAGGACAAATTCCCAATCTTGAAATCCAGTTAATGAGGCAATAAGAGCTCTAAAACAGAGGTTTCAATTTTTTTTTAACCATTACTCAACGCAAGAAATACATTTAATATTATAACCCAGTTCTCACATACATATGTTTGTAAACGTGGGGATGTATGTACAATTTAATCACTGAAACAGAAGTTTTATGAAACAATATGTTTCCTTACTACACATATCATATTCTGATATAATCTTACTCTATTTTTTAAAACGCTGCTGAAAACCAGCTACTCACAGTTTGAAAAAACACAGCTCTAAAGAAAGAGAAAGACATACATGAAAAGATGCTTTCCCTCAATTTTAAAAGTCAGAATAAGCAAATTAATTGTAACTAACTTATACAGTTCCATTTCTTACCAATAGGTCTCTCATTAACTGAAGACACACCACCAATTTTCAATTTACTTTCTTGAGTTTTTGGCTGTTGGACACATCCATACTCCTTTAAAAAAAAAAAGAAAAGAGAAAAGAGCAATGAATACAATGTATGTAAGTAAACTAGAAATTCAAGCAAAAAAAAATTATTCTATCCTATTCATCTCCTTTTTTTTTTTTTTTTTTTTTTGAGATGGAGTCTCACTTGGGTGCCCAGGCTGAAGTGCAGTGGCGCGATCTCAGCTCGTTGCAACCTCTGCCTCCCAGGTTCAAGCGATTCTTCTGCCTCAGCCACCCGAGTAGCTGGGACTACAGGTATGTGCTACCACACCCAACTATTTTTTGTATTTTTAGTAGAGACAGGGTTTCACCACATTGGCCAGGCTGGTCTCGAACTCCTGACCTTGTGATCTACCCACCTCAGCCTCCCAAAGTGCTGGGATTACAGGCGTGAGCCACCACACCCGGCCCTATTCATCTCTTAAACAGTCTAATCATAAATACCTTCACAAGCACCTCAAAAGTCAAAATTTACAAGTTATTACACTAATCTTTACAAAGACAATCTTTCAGAATTAGAGAATCTTTTAAAATACTTTTATCTACTTTTCAAATGAAATTTTGATATATGGGAGTAATACATAGCTATTCCAAATGCTGAGCACTACCTATTTTTTAGGTAGTGTGTTTAAAAGGGGGTAATAAATGAAAAAAAAAATTTTTTTTTTTTTTTGACATGGAGTCTCATTCTGTCACCCAGGCTGGAGTTTCATTCTGTCACCCAGGCTGGAGTGCAATGGCGTGATCTTGGCTTACTGCAACCTCCAACACCCAGGTTCAAGCGATTCTCCTGCCTCAGCCTCCCAAGTAGCTGGGAATACAGGCTTGCGCTACCACACCCGGCGAATTTTTGTGTTTTTTTCCAGTAGAGAAGGGGTTTTGCTATGTTAGCCAGGCTGGTCTGGAACTCCTGACCTCAGGTGATCCGCCCACTTTGGCCTCCCAAAGTGCTGGGATTACAGGTGTGAGCCACTGCACCCGGCAAAAAGGAGCAATAAATGAAATTAAATCTGGCTGGGCGTGGTGGCTCACACCTATAGTCCCAGCTACCCAGGAGGCTGAGGCAGGAGAATCACTTGAACCCGGGAGGAGGAGGCTGCAGTAAGCCAAGATTGTGCCACTGCACTCCAGCCTGGGCAACAGAGCGAGCCTCTGCCTCAAAAAAAAAAAGAAAAAGAAAAAAAGAAAAGTTAAATCTGAATGATTTAGAGTTTGGATTTCAATCATTTTAGATTTACAAGCTGCCTTTTCTGTTAATGGCAGAAAAGATACAAGAGTGTCAATGCAATCTGCTCATTATACATAAAATCATCACAGACAAAATCCTATTTATTCTTACCACATTCTTTAAAACGTTTTAAAACAAAATGTAATCATGAAACATTTTTAAAATGTAAATGCCTATCTTTATTCTGAAATTGCAACCATCCTTTTTTTTAATGTTAAAATACCCTTACATATTTCAAAACAGGAAGTTTTTTAAAAAGTCTTACTTTTCTGAATCAATGATGGTAATAAATGGCAGTTGTATTTTTAATCTCTCCACACATAGCAAAATAAATGAGTAGCTATGTTAGTTCCAAAGTTACTTTAGAAATTTCTTTAGACTATTAAATGCCAAAAACTAGGAACCATTGCATTAATTCACCACTTCCCATGATATGTATTATGAGCACCCAAAGAGGTGCTCTCTATAAGATATGCCTTCTTTATAGATGAGGAAAGTGAAGCTAAGAGATGTTCAGCAACTTGCCCAAGGTCACAAAGAGACTACGTGCACAGATGGGAATCAAACCCAGTCTCTCTGTTTTGTTTTTTTTTTCTTTTTGAGACGGAGTCTCGCTCTGTAGCCCAGGCTGGAGTGCAATGGTGCCATCTCGGCTCACTGCAACCTCTCCCTCCCGGGTTCAAGTGATCCTCAGCCTCCTGGGTAGCTGGGATTACAGGCACTCACCACCATGCCCAGCTAATTTTTGTATTTTTAGTAGAGACAGAGTTTCACCATGTTGGTCAGGCTGGTCTTGAACTCCTGACCTCAGGTGACCCACCCACCTCCACCTCCCAAAGTGCTGGGATTACAGGCATGAGCCACCGCACCCAGCCAGTCTCTCTGTTCTAAAACCCAAGATAGCACTGTCATAGATGTGAAAATATAAAGTAATTACTACAATGAATTCAAACTCTGGTCCAACTGAAATTAAGTTCCCCTGTTGCAGTAGTCTCTCCCATCTCCTTTCTCTCACAGCAGTTACCATAGTAAATCATTTCATTGCTTATTTGGATAATTTGATTAATGCTTAACATTCATCCTTCCCCCTACACACACATTAGACTAAAAAGATCACATCCATTATGGACAATACCTGTTTTTCTCACCCCTGTATACCCAATCGCCCAACACAGTCAACATAACAGTAATGACTATAGGTTCTAACAGCAGACAGAAACAGATATGATCTTGACTCCTAAACAAGCTATTTAATCTTTCTTAGTTTCAATTTCTTTATCTGTAAAATAAAGATAATATTACCTAACCCATAGGGCCAACGGGGAGGGAGGGGGCAAATGACTTAATATAAATAAGGTATACAGAATGACATCTTACAGTTAGTCAAAAGCAAGCACGATATGTACACAAAATGCTAGTTCTTTTTTTTTTTCTTTTGAGATGGAGTTTCGCTCTTGTTGCCCAGGCTGGAGTGCAATGGCGGATCTCAGCTCACCACAACCTCCACCTCCAGGGTTCAATCGATTCTCCTCCCTCGGCCTCCCCAGTAGCTGGGATTACAGGCATGCGCCACCACGCCTGGCTAATTTTGTATTTTTAGTAGAGACGGGGTTTCTCCATGTTGGTCAGGCTGGTCTCGAACTCCTGACCTCAGGTGATCTGCCCGCCTTGGCCTCCCAGAGTGCTGGGAGTACAGGCGTGAGCCACTGCACCTGGCCAAAATGCTAGTTCTCATACTTATTTATTAGTTTCATAACTGGCATTTAATAAATACTTGCTAAATGAAGGAATCTAAGTCTATTCAATCCAAAGTGCATGTTCTTAAACATTATACTTAAATAACAATATTTATTGACACTTGCAAAATGAAGAGGACATTAAAAATATTATATACATCTTCAAATTACCAAAATGAGTGTTTAAGATTCAATAAAATTTTTTTTTTTTTTTTGGAGACAGAATCTCGCTCTGTCACCCATGCTGGAATGCAGTGGACGATCTCGGCTCACTACAAGCTCCGCCTCCCAGGTTCACGACATTCTCCTGCCTCAGCCTCCGGAGTAGCTGGGACTACAGGCGCCCACCACCATGCCTGGCTAATTTTTTTGTATTTTTAGTAGAGACGGGGTTTCACCGTGTTAGCCAGGATGGTCTCGATCTCCTGACCTCGTGATCTGCCCGTCTCGGCCTCCCAAAGTGCTGGGATTATAGGCATGAGCCACCGCGCCCGGCCAGATTCAATAAAAATTTCTTTGCCTTATCAACTCAATTTCTAAAATTTTTCTAGTATTTCTGTTATATTTCCCTGACCAGTTTCTTTTACCTCACAAAGTAATTTTTCTAAACCTTCATAGCTCACGAGTCCCAACTCCACATCTTTCCTGCTCATTGATGTTTCAATTGCACCAGGTAAAAACAAGTAACTAAGAACTCCCTCAACATCCCTCAGCCCCCTCCACCTTACCTACAAATTGCTCAGCAAACTGTCCTGCTATCTTACAGGAAAAGGAAACCTTCTTTTTAGCTATAGCTGAAATAGTGCTATTTTAGAATAATTATGTTCCAAGTATTGCAAGCAATACACTTATAGTAAAAATCACCATTGTTTATTTGATAGTCAAATTTAACCTGGCATCCTGTATTTTATCTGGAAGCCCTACATCTCCAAGTAGATAACTTTCTAATCTCAAATCCCAGATTTTTATGTGCAAATGCCTCCTTGTGCAGTTTACCACTTGAATGTCCCACAAGCCCTTTAAACACAACAGACCTCAAACTGCACTTAGTACTTCCTCCAAAATCCTGTTCTAACCCCTCAGTAAATGGTATCACCATAAACCCCAAAACCTGTAAGTATCCTTGGACTCCTCTTTGACCTTCACACCCATAAACAATCTCTAAATTTGATCAATCCTACCTAACCATTTTTAAATCTATTATCTTTTCCCACTTTATTGTTGATACTCAACTATTAAACACACCACATTCTCTCACCCCTCCATGACGTGGCTATTTTCTCTGCTATATTTTCTCTGTCTGAAACTCTTAGTCAATTTTTATAATACAATTGCTACCTGCTATGTGAAACCTTCCTCTCCTTCCCATATAGATTTAGGGCTCCTTCCCCTATGCTCCCAATGCACCTCACACAATTTTAAAGCACTTACCTAAGACTGTGATTTTGTATTTTTTTTTTTTCAGATGGAATATTGCTCTGTTGCCCAGGCTGGAGTGCAGTGGAGCAATCTCTGTTCACTGCAGCCTCCGCCTCCTGGGTTCAAGTGATTCTCCTGCCTCAGCCTCCCCAGTAGCTGAGATCACAGGCATGTGCCACGAAGCCTGGCTAATTTTTTTGTATTTTTAGTAGAGTTGTGGTTTCACCGTGTTGGCCAGGCTGGTCTTGAACTCCTGACCTCAAGTGAGCCACCTACCTCGGCCTCCCAAAGTGCTGGGATTACAGGTATGAGCCACCACTCATGGCCTTGATTTTGTATTTGCACAAAAGGTGGCACAGGCCAGGCACGGTGGCTCACGCCTGTAACCCCAGCACTTTGGGAGGCCGAGGCAGGTAGAGTTCGAGACCAGCCGGCCAACATGGTGAAACCCCGTCTCTATTAAAAATACAAAAATTAGCCAGGTGTGGTGGTGGGCACCTGTAATCCCAGCTACTCGGCAGGCTGAGGCAGGAGAACTGCGTGAACCCAGGAGGTGGAGGTTGCAGTGAACCGAGATGGCGCCACTGCACTTCAGCCTGGGCTACAAAGCAAGACTCCATCCCAAAAAAAAAAAAAAAAAAAAAAGAAAGAAAAAAAAAAGGTGGCACAAAGCAGCAGAAAGCATACAAGTTTGAAGACAATTAGGTTTAAATGAGAATGCATAAGATATGCTTAGCATAGCTTCTCACAAGGCACAGTCACTCAACAAATATTACTTCTCTCATTCTCATAACTTTTCTCTCCATTACACTATCAATTACCTTGAGAGCAGAAGTCCTATCTTTTCATCTCTGTAGCCTTTCTGAAAACAAAGTAACTAATACAGTTTACCATCCTGGTTAAGGGTTTGGGCTCTTGAATCAGACTGCTGGAGTCCAAATCCTGACTCAACCATTTATTAATTATGTGACTTTTAACGGGTTACTATCTAGGACTCAGCTTCCTCATGGGTAAAGTGGGAAGAGAAACAGTACTTAACTGAGGGTTGTGAGCATCGAATGGATTAAGGTATGTAAACTGCTCACAACAATGTTCAAGTATTATGGATTACAGCAGGCAGGAATAAAAACTCACTGAATGAATATGAATACTCAACATATATGAATATAAGGACTAAACTGCAACTTTTTTTTTTTAGATGGAGTCTCCCTTTGTCGTCCAGATTGGAGTGCAGTGGCGCAATCTCAGTTCACTGCAACCTCCGCCTCCCAGGTTCAAGTGATTCTCATGCCTCAGCCTCCTGAGTAGCTGGGATGACAGGCGCCCACCACCGCGCCCGGCTAATTGTTGTATTTTTAGTAGAGACAGGGTTTCACCAGGTTGGCCAGGGTGGTCTTGAACTCCTGACCTCAAGGGATCTGCCCACCTCAGCCTCCCAAACTGCTGGGGTTACAGGCACAAGCCACCGCGCCTGGCCTTCAACTATAATTTTAATATCCAGAACAAACTCTTAGAAAATCAGAAAATAAAAAACATTTTTATTTATCTCTTATTTTCCAATATTCAAAGGAGATTCATCAATGCAACATAGAAAATAATACACAATTTGTTCAATTGGCTTTTCAATCATAGTCTATACCCTCAATCATGAAAAAATATAGCCTATTCACCTGAAAACATTAATATAAACCAAAGACAACTGAGCAGTTCCTACCCTCTTAAATATACAATCTAAGCTGCTAGGGAGATTTCCATTATCACAATTTTTATATTCAGAAAGAACATTGAATTAACTTAAAGCACATTATTTGTTAAGTGTATAGGCAAGGTATAATGAAAGAAATATTGCATCTGGAGTAACAACAAACTGTTGTATCCCAGTTTTACCATGAGACACTGGTGAAGTCACTTATTCCTTCAGGTTCAGCTTCCTTATATGTGAAAGAGGCTCTTTTATTCCAATTATTGAACATGTACTTTGTGCCAAATCCTGTGCTAGGAATTGGAGATTCAGGTCAATAAGACCAATTTCTGACTTCAGAGAGACTGCAGTCTAGTGTGTCAATGAAAGATGAGGAGGAGATGGCCAGATTAGTATAATCAGTATGAAGACAAAATTCATTGACCTGTAGATACCATAATAAAAGTGATTGCACTATACAATTAAAAAAAAGAGAGAGAGAACAGCTCATTCTACTTGTGAGTGAGAAACTTCATCTTAAAAGAGGACAAAATTTTGCCAGCCTACCTAGCTTATTTCTTCTTCCACCGGCACAAGAAATGGCAGGTGCAAAGGCAGGGAAATAAAATGCAACCGAGTTTTAGAAGATAGTTTTGAGTGAACTGCAAATAGCTGGCAGCAGCATAGATTTGAAAAGGTGGAAACAATGAATGATGACACTGGAGAGGGAAACAAAGGCCTAAACATGGATGGTTTGGATGTCACATTGAAAGATCTTTGCTTCATCACACTGGAGGAAACAGGGTCTTTAAAGGGAGAAATATCACTCGATCTATACAGTACAATGGCATCACTGTAGAGTGTTTTGATGGGATATGTGACTGAAGGAAGGAGAATAGGTAGGAAACTATTATAAAAGTCCAAATGAAAAATAATGAAATAGTTCAGGCATGATGGCTCATGCCTGTAATCCCAGCACTTTGGGAGGCCAAGGCAGGAGGATTGCTTGAGGTCAGGAGTTCAGGACCAGCCTGGGCAACATAAGGAGACCCCGTCTCTACAAAAACTAGCTGGGTGTGGTGGAGCATGTTTGTGGTCAGCTACCTGGGAGGCTGAGATGGGAGGATCGTTTAGAGTGCAGTGGCCATACTCACACCACTGCACTCCAGTATGGGCAACAAAGTGAGACCCTGTCTCAAAAAAAGGAAACAAAAAAAAGAGAGAGAGAAATAATGAAATATAGAAGAACATCATGGGTCAGATACAAAAAATATTTAAAAGCTAAAAACCACAAAACCTGGCAAAGAAATGGTTACTTTAGGCAGAGAAAGAGTAAGAATTTACCATCTGGAGGGAAAACAAGTAGCATGGATGCCACCATCCCCCACTCCACATCTAACAGACACTACCTCAGAACTCTTCTTAGCCCAGCACTCTAGCAAGGCATAGAGTTCATGAGTGAAACAAAACCTACCTGACATCCCTGTCTTCTTATGATACTGCCTGTGGCTGGGCATGGTGGCTTACAACCATAATCCCAGCACTTTGAGAAGCCGAGGTGGGCAGAGCACTTGAGGTCAGGAGTTTTGAGACCAATCTGGCCAACATGGCGAAACCCAGTCTCTAACAAAAATATAAAAAATTAGCCAGGCGTGGTGGCGCACACCTGTAATCCCAGCTACTCAGGAGGCTGAGGCAGGAGAATCGCTTGAACCTGGGAGGCGGAGGTTGCAGTGAGCCAAGATCGCGCCACTGCACTCCAGCCTGGGAGTGACAGAGCAAGACTCCATCTCAAAAAAAAAAAAGGAATGATACTGCCTGTGAGATGGTGTGAAAAATAAAATTGTTTTTTATTATTTTAAAATATAATTGCTTTGCTGATACAATAAAGTCAATAACTTTGAGTGTAAAGCGAAAGAACTGTCCCAGAAGAAAAATTCCTTGCCAAAACAACTAACTCATCTCTCCCATTGATTTTATTTTATTTTTTTTTGAGACGGAGTCTCACTCTGTCACCCAGGCTAGAGTGCAGTGGCGCAATCTTGGCTCACTGCAAGCTCCGCCTCCTGGGTTCACGCCATTCTCCTGCCTCAGCCTCCCAAGTAGCTGGGACTACAGGCGCCCACCACCACGCCCAGCTAATTTTTTGTATTTTTTGTAGAGACGGGGTTTCACCGTGTTAGCCAGGATGGTCTCGATCTCCTGACCTCGTGATCTGCCTGCCTTGGCCTCCCAAAGTGCTAGGATTACAGACGTGAGCCACTGTGCCCAGCCTCCACATTGATTTCCGTGCTCTCCATTCTGGGTCCCTATGGGGTAGCCAGAATGATCTTTCCAAACACAAATCTGTTTCATCTTACTTTCTCACTTAAAACCCTACAATTGGCCAGGTGTGGTGGCTCACGCCTGTAATCCTAGCACTTTGGGAGGCTGAGGTGGGTGGATCACCTGAGGTCAGGAGTTTGAAACCAGCCTAGCCAACATGGTGAAACCCCGTCTCTACTAAAAATACAAAAAATTAGCCAGGCGTGGTGGCAGGCGCCTATAATCCCAGCTACTGGGGAGGCTGAGGCAGGAGAATCACTTGAACCCGGGATGTGAAAGTTGCAGTGAGCCACCAAGATTACAACATTGCAGCAAAACTCCATCTCAAAACAAAAACAAAAAACCCTATAATGGCTATCTACTGCTCTTAGGATAAAAACCAAAATTTATAACAAGGTCTGCTACGTCCTACATAATCCAGCCTTAAACTATATATACAGCCTTATCATAGAGAAGCAGAATAGCACAAGTTCTGGAGTCTGACCACCTGGATTTGAATCCAGTCTTTGTCATTTACTACTAACTGTGATCTGTGGTAAACTATTTGGCTTTTTTGAGCTTTGGTTTCCTCATCTGTAAAATGGGGATAATAATATGGTGGTAAGAATGGTGCCTGACACACTCTTAAGCATATATAAATATTAAGTTAATAATGTCACATATGATTATGATATAATATATACTACATACTGATATACTAATGCCAGCTATTTTTATTGTTGTTGTTTTAATCATTATCATCATCACCATTTTCATACCTTTTCTGTTCCAGGCTCACTGTTCCTGCAGGTCTTAAAAAGAACCATGCATCTTTCCAACTCAGGGCTTTCCTATTCACAGTTCCCTCTGTCTGTAATACTCTTCTCCATACCCTTTGCCTAATCAATTCATTCTTCATAATTCAGCTTACACATCCTTCCCTTAGAGAGGCCTTCCCTAGCCATCCCCAGGCAGACCACAACCAAAACTAGGTCAGATTCCCCATTTTAGGCTTTTCTTCCAGAGTACTTGTCATAGTTTGTAATTATATATATTACTTGACCAATACTTTTGTAATCTCTGCCTCCTCTACTAACATATAAGCTCTACAAGGGAAGGGACTAAGCTGACTTTGCTCAATCCTGGATCCCCAGAGACTAGCACAGACCACAAATTCTTAACAGAATAAAGGAAAGTACTACCAGATACAAGAGAATTTTTTTTAAGTGACAAGTATGGAAAAATGGTAAATATATTACTTTCCTTCCACACACAAAAAAATCATGTAGTTATAGCTTTCATTCAAAGAGCAAAAAACCAGCCAGGAATGGTGGCTCATGCCTGTAATCCCAGAACTTTGGGAGGCCAAGGTGGGTGGATTGCTTGAGCTCAGGAGTTTGAGACCAGCCTGGGAAACATGGCCAAACCCCGTCTCTACCAAAAATACAAAAAAATAGTTGAGCATGTTGGTGTGTGCCCTGTGGTCCCAGCTACACAGGAGGCTGAGGTGGGAAGATCACTTGAGCCTGGGAGGTGGAGGCTGCAGTGAGCTAAGGAGATCGCACCACTGCACTACACCCTCAGCGACAGCGAGAGCCTGTCTCAGTTTGGGTTATTTTAAACTTACAAACCAGAAGCCGTTTAACTAAAATTTTTCAGTTGACCAGATGGAAAAGAAGGAATTTTTTTAAATTTTTAAATGAAGATGAAATGCTTACTTGAGCATTGTCTGGTTCTTCTTTAATTTTGTCCAGAAGCTCCTGCTGTGGTACCACTGCTTTGCCACATTCACCATCCAAAGGTTCTTTCATTCTAATTTTTTACCTCAAAGAGTGTCTCAGGCTCAAACGAATAGATTTCTTCTTGGTAATGGATAGTTGGACACCTAAAATACATACTCAGGCTTATTCTTTTTTCTTCAGGCTTATCTATATGAAAGAAAAACTTTGTGTTGAGTGCATGAGGCTTCACGGCTCGGCATTTGAAAAACAACTCTTCTGGGGCCACAACTAACTTTTTTCTTTCTTCCTGCTTTCTGTTCCTTCAGTAGCTACATAAGAAAACAGTTTTGGGGCAACAGCTCCCACTTCTCTAATATCTTTAAAGACACACAACACACTCTGGTTTTTTCCTATGTTGAAGGTTATTGAAGGGAATTAGACCAGCAGACCAAGACGTGGGAGGAAGTAATAAACTCTGAGAAGAACGGACTCAAGAAATAGTTTCTGACCCCATAAGAATCAGTACTTAGAGGCCCACGTCGGCTTTTATTTCTCAAAGAGGGGCACAACAACCTCCCGGCCCTGACCTATAACTCAACCTTCACTGGAAGCCTCCCTAAGGGCCCCATTTCTCGGCCTAACGCTAGATGTGAGCTCAAGATGCCATCCATCGCAGGCGAACAACAGGAACGCCCTTACTGAAAGTGAGTCACCTGCCTCTTTCAAGGTCTCCGTGTGAGGGGTGGGGGGCATCAAGCCCCTCAGAGCCCCGCTTCACAATCGCCTTCCTGTAGAAAAGAAACTCAATTGGCCATTCAGTAAATTCCCTTCCCCTAAAAGTCAAAGAACTAAACGGGACGAATTAAACCTAAAACAAAAAGCTCTTCAAAGTTGTCTTTATCCGAATAGTCCGGGATGGAAACGGACAACTGGTTGAAAAGCCTGTTCCAAAGAAGAAATGAGAACTTTTGCGCACTCGCCACAAAATATCTACGGGCGCTCATCCCTCCTCTGAGAACCGCACGCTTTCCGAAATTCTCCTTCCCACCAAGAATTCCCACTCCCATCATTGAGGACTAACGAGGCAATGTGGTCTCCGACTGAGAGCGGTGGACTAGCCAGTGAATGTCAACGCGTCCCTAAGGCGATATCCGCAGCCGCCCCAGCCGCGTAGCCCACCTGGCACCGCCCCCGCCGCAACGCCTCGTCACGTGGTGTGGCCTCCGCCCCGCCGTCCCGCCCACTACCACTGCGGCCGCACCCACCTTCTGTCGCCTCCCTGCTACCGGAGGAGCACTGGAATAGGAACCAAGTCCTCTGCATCTAGACAGGGATTATTTTCTCTTCTGGAATTCCGCCTGATCCATCCCAACGCAACGACCGGCCAACCACGCCTGCGCAGCCTTGGTCTCCGCCCTCTTTTCCCGTCAGGCTCCGGACCTGAGCTGAGTAGAACTTCCCAGCATTCCTCTTTCCTCAATTATGGTTCACTTCTTAAAGAGACCGAGGCTCAATAGTGAAAAGGTGGAGATGGCGTTAGAAGGCGCTGTAAGTGCTCTATAGCATTCTTTTTTTTTTTTTTTTTTTTTTTTTTTTTTTTTTTTTTTTTTGGAGACAGAGTATCACTGTGTTGCCCAGGCTGGGGTGCAGTGGCACAATCTCGGCTAACTGCAACCTCCGCCTCCTGGGTTGAAGCGATTCTCCTGCCTCAGCCTCCCGAGTAGCTGGGCTTACAGGCACGTGCCACCACACCTAGCTAATCTGTAGCATCCTTTAGTGCCCATTTCCTGAAAGGTGGCCTACTGAGAGAGCATGATATTAAATAATACTTGGCTTGCTGAGCACTTCACATGCACCATCCCACTTAATCCTCACCATTTAACCCTAAGAGGTATAATTTTTTAATCTCTTGAGATATAAATGAAAAAACTTGCTCAAAATTGAGATTTGGTTTTTTTAATTCAACATTGTTTCACAGATACGTGTATGATTTGTGACTGTTCATTCATTTTGACTGCTGTATAGTATTCTATTTTATGAATATGATACAATTTTAATCATCTACTACTGATGGACATTTGAGTTGTTTCCAATTTGTGGCTATTAGGAATAATGCTTCTGTGAACATTCTTGTCATTGGTGATGTTAAAAGACAAAATTACAACAAATTTAATTTAAATATCTCAATTAGCTTTATTTGTGATTCTAGAATCTGGCAGCACTTCATTCCATAAAATAGAACAAGTGTTCCAATGAGCTGAGCAGAAGAGGTAGGTTTTATAGACAGAGAAGGGCTGGAGAAAGCAGAAGTAAAGAACAAAAAACAGATTGGTTCATTTCAAAGTAACTTTCCAAAAAATAAATAAATAAGTTAATTTCCTTGTAAAGCAGAACCAAGAAACAAAACAATAGAGAAATAACTGATTGGTTAACATCAGGTAACTTCAGTTTATCTTTTTTTGGTAACGATTAAAGCAGAAGAAATTTCATTATTATGCTAATTGAAACTGGCACTCAGGGGAAATTAGACTCTTATTATCTCTTTTTCCTGACTTTTCAGAACTTCAAATAACAACGTAGTTTCCATTTGATGACATGGAACCTCAGTGTGAGTGACTCCATTTTGATTTTTAGTCTGGTTCATTGAGACCTACTGCAGGAGCTTAGCCCGAAACAATGGCCTACAAGTTTTATTTAACAGTGATACATATGCACACATTTCTGTTGGGTTCATACCTAAAAGTGAAATTGCTTGTTATGTATATGTAAAATTTAGGTAGATAATCTCAGGCAATTTTAGAAAATGGTGGTTTCAGTTTATACTCCCTTCAGCCATGTATGAGAGTTTCAGTTTCCCAACATCCTTGCCAATAATTACTGCTGCATATCTTTTTAATTATAACCATTCTGATGGGGGCATAGTGGTATCTCACTGTGGTTTTAATTTGCATTTCCCAGATTATTAATGAGGATGAGCCCATTTTCTTGTTCCTTGGGTATCTGGATATCCCCCATAAGTGCCTGTTCAAGTCTCTTGCTCATTTTTGTATTGGATTGACATTTTCTTATGGGCATATATTTTAGATATGAATCCTGCTATGGTTTGAATGTATGTGTCCCTTCAAAATTCATATATTGGAACTTAAACATTAAGGCGATGGTATAAGAAGTGGAGCCTTTGGGAGGGGTTAGGCTATGAGGACTCCATCCTCATGAATGGGATTCATGCCCTTACAAAAGAGGGCATTCATGCCCTTCACAAAGATTCATTCCTTTTGCCCTTTTAACCCCTCACTGTATGATAACAATGTTCCTCCCAGCAAGAGGACAACAACAAAGTTTCATCTTGGAATTAGAGAGTAATTCCAAGACAACAAATCTGCCAGTGCCTTGATCTTGGACTTGCCAACCTCCAGAACTGTGAGAAATAAATTTCTACTATTTATAAATTACACAGTCTGTGGCATTTTCTTTTGGCAATCAGGAATACACTAAGATAAGTCTTTTTTGAATATACACTAGCCCCCCTCATCCACGGTTTTGCTTTCTGAAGTCGTAGTTACCCACACTCAACCACGGTCTGAAAATATTAAATGGAAAATTCCAGTAACAAATAATTCATAAGTTTTAAACAACTTTCATTAAAGTCTATTGTTATAATTGTTCTATTGTTAGTTGTTAGTCTCTTTCTGTGCCTGATTTATAAATTAAACTTTATCATAGGTATGTATGTATAGGAAAAAACATAGCATATATAGGGTTTGATACTACTGGAGGTTTCAGGCATCTGTGGAACATCTTCGAACATATCCTCATGGATAAGGGAGGGACTACTGTATATATTGCAAATATCTTCTCCCACTCGGTAGCTTGCCTTTTCACTCTGTTATTGGTGTCTTTTGATGAACTTAAAAGACCTTTGTGGCCGGGTACAGTGGCTCATGCCTATAATAGCAGCACTTTGGGAGGCTGAGGCGGGCGGAACTCTTGAGGCCAGGGGTTTGAGACCAGCCTGGCCAACATGAGGAAACCCTGTCTCTACTAAAAATACAAAAATTAGCTGGGCATGGTGGGCACCTGTAATCCTAGCTACTAGGGAGGCTGAGGCAGGGGAATCACTTGAACCCCAGAGGCAGGGGTTGCAGTGAGCCAAGATCGCACCACTGCACTGCAGCCTGGGTGGCAGAGCAAGACTCTGCCTCAGGAAAAAAAAAAAAAATTAGCCGGGTATGGTGGTGTGCACTTATAGTCCCAGCTGCTCGGGAGGCTGAAGCAGGAGAATCACGTGAACCAGGAAGCGAAGGTTGCAATGAGCTGAGGTCATGCCACTGCACTCCAGCCTGGGTGACAGAGCAAGACTCCATCCAAAAAACAAACAAACAACAACAACAAAAAAACCCTTTGTGCTTAGTGCTTATTGTATTCTCTTAAGAAATATTTTCCTACCAAATGAAGAAAATTTCTAGAAGTGTTATTAGTCTTTCACATTTAGTTTTATAATCCATCTGTGGTTGGGTTATGTGTATAGTGTAAGGTAAGTCAGATTTCAACCTTTCCATGTGAATTTTGCATGGATTAAGCACTATTTTTTAAAAAGACTGTCCTTTTCCCCACTGTTCTGCATTGACACCTTTGTCATGTATCAGTTGTCTATATATGTGTGGGTTTATTTCAGGACTATGAAGGCTGTTCCTTTTGTTTCTCCTTGTGGAAATACCATACTGTCTTAATTTCTGTAATAGCTTTATAATAAATCTTAGTATATGATAGAAAAAGTCCTCCCTCCTATTATGTCCTTCAAGATTATCTTGGCTTTCCTTGGTCCTTTGCATCTTCATGTAAATTTTTGAATCAGCTTGTCAGTTGTGACAAAACTTTCCTTACAAATTTTAGAATCCATTGGGATTTTGTTTAGTATTATACTGAAGTGGTATGCCTGTTTTGGAGAATTGGTATTTGTTATTCATTATGTTGAATTGTGTCACCTAAAAAGATATGTTGAAGTCCTAACCCTTAGAATGGGACCTTATTTAGTCATATAGGATTGTTGCAGATGTAATTAGTTAAGATGAGGCCACACTGAAGGAAGGTGGGCGCTTCATCCATTATGACTGGTGTCCTTAAGAGAGGAGAAGATATGAAGACATACACATTGGAGGAGAACCCCATGCGATGATGGAAACAGAGATTGAAGTACTGCAGTTGCAAGCCAAGGAATGCTAAGGATTGTTGATAACACCAAAAGCTAAGAGAGGCAAGGAAAGATTCTCCCATATAGGTTTCAGAGAAAGCATGACCCTACCGATCTTTAATTTTAGACTTCTAGCCCCAAGAATGGTGATATAAATTCTGTTTGTTTTTTTTAAACCTAGTTTGTGGTACTTTATTAAAGCAGCCTTAGGAAACTAATAACAGCATTCTGTGGGGTTGAATCTTTCAATCCATAAAAATGATATATTCCTCCATTTATTTTGGTGTCTGTAATTTATCTTGATGCTTTATAGTTTTTAAGTGTAGATATTGCACACCTCTTTGTTAGATTTATTCTAGGCATTTAATATTTCATGTCATTTTAAATGTAAATTTTTATTTTCTAATTGTTTTCAGTGTAAATATAGAAATACAATTATTTTTGTATGTTGGTCTTGAAGCTAGCACCCTTGCTGAATTATTAATTAAACTAATTAATTCTAATAGTCTAGCCATTTTTCTTACTTTCTGTTTCCAGCTATGTAGAGAATAATGACCATTTTATTTCTTTCCAATTATATAACTTATTTCTTTTTCTTGCCTATTGCAGTGGCTAAAACCTGTAGTAATATGTTGAATGGAAATGGTGATATTGGGCATCTATATCTTCCTGTTATGTTGCTTTCAACATAAAATTATTGAATATTATATTTACTTTAAGATGTTTGTAGTTACCTGTGGAAGGTTAAATATGGCCATAAAGTTGTTACAACTTTTCCCATCAAGAGGAGTCTTTAGTGTGCAGATGGCAGATTTAAAAACAAAGAGAGAGAGAGGGAGTCTGTGATAGTTAATTTCATGTGTCAACTTGAATCTGTAGGCTCAGTAAAATAGAATGTCCTCCCAATATAGAAAAGCATTATCCAATCCACTGAAGGCCAGGCCAGAATAGAACAAAAGGTGGAGGAAGGAGGAATTTGCCCTCTCTCTCGCTCTTTTTTTTTTTTTCCTGCCTCACTGTCTGAGCTGAAACATCCCCTCTTATCTTCTCCTGCCCTCGTACTAGGATTTATACCATCAGCTCCCCTGCTTCTCAGACCTTTAGACTCAAATTGAATTACACCACTGGTTTCCCTGGGTCTCCAGCTTGCAGACAGCAGATTGTGGGACTTCTTCGCCTCCATATCATGTGAGCCAATTCTTCATAATAATAAATCTTCGTATCCTATTAGTTCTGTTTCTCTGGAAAACCCTGACTAATACATAGTCTTTTTTCCTACCTGTTGTTTCTTGACTGGGCTTGTGAATTATTTTGACTGACAAAATGTTATAGAAGTGATACCATATGAGTTCCTAAGCATAGGCCTCTATTGTCCTTGGGGCTTCTGCTTACGCTGTCATAGAACACTCCTACCACCATGTCAAAGTTAAATGGGATAACTGCTGACTGATGAGAAGTCACATATGGAGAGTGACCCCATGGCCAGCACCAAGGCCCCATACATATGAGTGAAGCCATCTTATATCCTCCAGATTACTAGATGATTACAGCATCTGTTGTTATATAACAAAACACCCCTTTGTAGATAACTGTTAGAGAACTGATATCTAGAAATGGGATACTGCCATAACTAAAACATAAAACATGTGGCATTGATGTTGGGACCAGGCAGCAGGCAGAGCCTGGAAAGACAGCAAGGAGGCTTTGAGTGGAGGTTAGAAGAGCAGTGAGGAAACTTATTAAAGCCTGGAGAGAGAACAACCAGTGTGATGCGTTGGCAGAATGTTTGGCAGCACTGTCATCTGTGATAACTTAGAAGCTAGGAGACATACTTAATGACCTTCTGGATCTGCCTTAGGAGATTCCCATGCAGAA
Source organism: Homo sapiens (assembly GCF_000001405.40). NCBI lineage: Eukaryota > Metazoa > Chordata > Mammalia > Primates > Hominidae > Homo > Homo sapiens. The sequence continues at coordinate 35,037,616 of NC_000001.11, forward strand.
TGTTAAAAGCGTTTGCTGATTTCTTTTAACCACGTAGGATGTTGTATTGCAAAAGAGAAATAAGCCAAAGAAGAAATTATTCAATTTTCAAGCAGAAATGAGACAAAATGTAAAGGACTTAGTGAGTAAAGGACTAAGGACTTAGCAAAAGATCACCAAAATAAGAAATGGCTTCAGAGCAAAGATCAAATTTAGGAAATTGCAAGTTAAATGAGGCCTCAGATCAAATCAAGAGTGCAGCTGTAAGACTTCGTAAGGAATTAGGCAGTGCCTTGTAGACCATCTCACCTAGACAGAAGGACTTCGGAGAAACATAAGGGCATTGCACTACAGCAATCAGACACATCCAAAGTAGAGAGACTTCTGTCTCAGAAAGAAGTATGGATGTGGTTTGGGGGGTATGGTGTGAATCCAAGTAATATTCATAAAATACCCGCAAAGTTTTAAAGAGAAGTATATTGGCAAAAGTGAAACTATAGATTGTAAGGGGCAAAGACAGTTTGAAACAAAAAGGATCCCTGGGCCCTCAACTTTCTGTGGGTGGAAAGAAACTGAAAAAGCTACTCAACTACAAATATGGACTGTTTCTTATGGAAAATGCTTTCTCAGGGTGTAAAGCCAACATCTCAGAGGGCAAAAGGCAGAATTAAAAGCTTCTGAAAATAAAATGGATCATGAAACCATTCCTGCCAGGGGCAGTGGCTCACACCAGTAATCCTAGCAGTTTGGGAGGCCAAGGTGGGCAGATCACATGAGTCCAGGAGTTCGAGACCAGCCTGGGAAACATGGTGAGACCCTGTCTCTACAAAAAAAATACAAAAATTAGCTGGGCGTGGTGGCACGTGCCTACAGTCCCAGCTGCTCAGGAGACTGAGGTGGGAGGATCACCTGAGCCCAGTGGCCAAGATCATGCCACTGCACTCCAGCCTGGGCAACAAAGTGAGACTCAGTCTCAAAAAAAAAGCCATTCAATAAAACAAATCAAAGAACAATTCCTATCCTCAGAGTAGGAGAACAGGTGCCCAGGTAAATTTCAGAATTATTATGAATCAATAACTATTAATGTACCTTCTATTCTTCCCTTTTTTGAATAGGAGTATTCGGTGGAGTCATTATGTCTCTATATTATCAAGTGTGTTGGTGTGTGGGTGTGGGGAGTGAGGAATAAGGGGAGCAGGTAAGTCATCTATTTAGTTCACAGGTCTCTGGGTTGAAGAAGTTGTACCTGTACACCCAATAAACTATACCACAGGAACTTCTTCTTCATGGGCCTTATTTAGATAGTGAAATGCTGGACTTTGATCCAAGGCCATAATGGTTTGAGACTTTTGGTGGAGTGGATGAGTGTGTTTTGATTGGGAAAGGATGTGGATTGCTATGGCCAGAAGGTGAACTATGAAAGATTGTTTCTGGGCTGGGTGTGGTGGCTTAACACCTATAATCCCAGCAATTTGGGAGGCCGAGGCAGGAGGATCACTTGAGCTCAGGAGTTTCAGACCAGCTTGGGCAACATAGTAAGATCCCCATCTCTACAAAAAATACAAAATTTAACCGGGCATGGTGGCGTGTGCCCGTGGTCCCAGCTACTCAGCAAATGGAGGCAGGAGGATCCTTTGAGCCCAGGAGGTTGAGGCTGCAGTGAGTCAAGGCTACAGTGAGCTATGATTGTGCCATTGCACTCCAGCCTGGGTGACAGAGTGAGACACTGAAAGAGAGAAGAAAGAAAAGAAAGAAGGAAAGAGACAGAAAAAAAGAAAGAAATAAAAGATTATTTCCAAAGATGCTGTCAATAATCCCATCTTTGATGTGCATGATGCTTCTCCCATCAAGAGGTGGAATTAACTACAGGCCAATATCTCTGATGAATATTGATGCAAAAGTCCTCAATAAAATACTTGCAAAAAGAATTCAATAATACATTAAAAAGAACATTTACTATGACCAAGTGGGATTTATCTCTGGGATCCAAGGATGGTTCAACATGTGCAAATCAATCATTGTGATATATCAACAGAATGAAGGACAAAAACCATATAATCATTTCAATTGATGCTGAAAAAGCATTTGATAAAATTCAACATCCTTCAAGATGAAAACCCTTAAAAAACAGTATAGAAGGAACATACCTGAGCATAATGAAAGCTGTATCCAACAGACCCACAGCTAGTATCATATTGAATGAGGAAAAACTGAAAGACCTTCCTCTAAGATCTGGAACATGACAAGGATGCCCATTTTCACCACTGTTATTCACCATAGTAATGAAGTCCTAGCTAGAGCAGTCAGACAAGAGAAAAAAATAAAGGGTATCACTGGGCACAGTGGCTCATGCCTGTAATCCCAGCACTTTGGGAGGCCGAGGTGGGTGGATCACCTGCAGTCAGGAGTTCAAGGCCGGCCTGGCCAACATGGTGAAACCCCGTCTCTACTAAACATACAAAAATTAGCTGGGCATGGTGGCACACACCTGTAGTCCCAGCTATTCCGGAGGCTGAGGCAGGAGAATTGCTTGAACCCAGGAGGTGGAGGTTGCAGTGAACCAAGATCATGCCACTGCACTCCAGCCTGGGTGACACAGTGAGACTCCGTCTCAAAAAAATAAAAATAAAAATAAAAAGGGTATCCAAATTGGAAAGGAAGAAGTCCAATTATCTTTGCTTGCAGATGATAGGACCTTATATTTGAAAAAACCTAAAGAGTCCACCAAAAAATTATTGGAAATGATAAATTCCTCTGGGCATGGTGGCTCACACCTGTAATCCCAGCACTTTGGGAGGCCAACGCGGATGGATCACCTGAGATCAGGAGTTCGACACCAGCCTGGCCAACATGGCAAAACTCCATCTCTACTAAAAATACAAAAATTAGCTAGGCATTGTGGCGCGCACCTGTAATCCCAGCTACTCGGCAAGCTGAGGCAGGAGAATCACTTGAACACAGGAGGCAGAGGTTGCAGTAAGCCGAGATCGCACCACTCTGCACTCTAGTCTGGGCAACAAAGCAAGACTGTCTCAAAAAAAAAAAAAAGTGATAAATTGCTAGCTACGGTGACTCACCTGTAGTCCCAGCACTTTGGGAAGCCAAGGTGGGCAGATTGCTTGAGCTCAGCAATTCAAGAACAGCCTGGGCAACAGGGTGAAACCCCATCTCTACCAAAAAGACAAAAAATTAGCCAGGTGTGTTGGTGTGCACCTGTGGTCCCAGCTACTTGGGAGGCTACAGTAGGAGGATTGCTTGGGCCTGGGAGGTGGAGCTTGCAGTGAGCCAAGATCATGCCACTGCACTCCACCCTGGGTGACAGAGTGAGCCCCCATCTCAAAAAAAAAAAAATTGATAAATTCAGTAAAGTTGTAGAATACAAAATCAATATACAAAAATCAGCAGGATTTCTATATGCCAGCAGTGAATAATCTGAAAAAGAAATTTAAAAAAGTAATCCCACTTACAGTAACAACAAATAAAATTAAATACCTAGGAATTAATCAAAGAAGTGAAAGATCTCTGTAATGAAAACTATAAAATACAGATGAAGGAAATTGAAGAGGACATCAAAAAATGGTAAGCTATTCCACGTTCATGAATTGGAAAACTCAATATTGTTAAAATGTTCATACTACCCAAGGCAAGCTACAGATTCAATGCAATTTCTATCAAAATGCCAATGATATTCTTCATAGAAATAGAAAAAACAATCCTAAAATGTATATAGAACTGGCCAGGCACAATGGCTCACACCTGTAATCCCAGCACTTTGGGAGGCAAAGATGGGAGGATTGCTTAAGGTCAGGAATTCGAGACCAGCCTGGCCAACATGGTGAAACCTCGTCTCTACTAAAAACACACAAAAAATTAGCTGGGTATGGTGGTACCTGCCTGTAGTCCCAGCTACTTGGAGGCTGAGGCACAAGAACCACTTGAGCCCAGGAGGCAGAGGTTGCAGTAAGACGATGCACTCCAAACCTAAAAAAAAAAATTTTTTTTTTACGTAGAACTACAAAAGACCCAGAATAGCCAAAGCTATCTTAAGCAAAAAGAACAAAACTGGAGGAATCACATTACCTGACTTCAAATTATACTACAGAGCTATAGTAACCAAAACAGCATGATATTGGCATAAAAACAAACACATAAATCAATACAACAGAATAGAGCAACCAGAAACAAATCCACACACCTACAGTGATCTCATTTTCCACAAAGGGGCCGATAACATACACTAGGGAAAAGACAGTCACTTCAATAAATGGTTCAGGGAAAACTGGATATCCAAACCCTGAAGAATGAAACTTAAAACTTGACCCCCTTCTCTCGCCATATACAGAAATCAAATCATAATCCCAGCACTTTAAGAGGCCAGGGCAGGAAGATCACTTGAGCCCAGGAGTTCAAGACCAGCACGGGCAACATGGCAAAACCTTGTCTCTACAAAAAATACAAAAATTAGCCAGGTGTGGTGGTGCTTACCTGTGGTCCCATATACTTGGGAGGCTGAGGTGAGAGGATGGCTTGAGCCCAGGAGTCAGAGGTTGCAGTGGGCTAAGGTCGTGCCACTGCCCTCCAGCTTGGGCAACGGAACCATACTTTATCTCAAAAACAACAAAAAAGAAGTCAAAAGATTTGAATAGACATTTCTCAAAAGAAGGCATACAAATGGCAGTCATGATGAAAAGGTGGACATGAAAAGGCGAAAAGATTAACATCATTGATCATCAGAGAAATGCAAATAAAAACTACAATGAGATATCATCTCACCCCAGTTAAAATGGCTTTTATCCAAAAGACAGGCAATAACAAATGCTGGCGAAAATGTGGAGAAAAGGGATCCCTCATACGCTATTGGTGGGAATGTAAATTAATACAACCACGGTGGAGAACAGTTTGGAGGTCCATCAAAAAACTGCAACTAGAGCCACCATATGATCTAGCAATCCCACTGCTGGGTTTATACCCAAAAGAAAGGAGATCAGTATATTGAAGAGATATCTGCACTCCCATGTTTGTTGCAGCACTGTTTACAACAGCCGAGATTTGGAAGCAACCTAAGCACCCATCAACAGATGAATGGATAAAGAAAATGTGATATTTATACACAATGGAGTACTATTCAGTCATAAAAAAAGAACGAGATCCTGTCATTTGCAACAACATGGATGGAATGGAGGTTATTATGTTAAATGAAATAAGCCAGGCACTGAAAGACAAACATAAGATGTTCTCACTTATTTGTGAGATCTAAAAATCAAAACAATTGACTTCTTGGAGATAGAGAGTAATGGTTACCAGAGGATGGGAAGGATAGTTGGGTGGTGGGAAAGTAGGGATTGTTAATGGGTACCAAAAAAATAATTAGAAAGAATGAATAAGACCTAACATTTGGTAACACAACAGGGTGACTATAGTCAATAATAATTGTACATTTTACAATAACTAAAAGTATAATTGCATTGTTTGTAACACAAAGGATAAATGCTTGAGGCAATAGATACTCCATTTTCCATGATATGATTACTACACATTGCATGCCTGTCTCAAAACATCTCATGTATCTCATAAGTATATATACTTGCTATGTACCCACAAAAATTAAAAATAAAAATAATTTTTAAAAGAGGTGGGAAGGCCAGGCCTGGCAGCTCACACCTGTAATCCTAGCACTTTGGGAGGCCGAGGCAGGTGGATTGCCTGAACCCAGGAGTTCAAGACCAGCCTGGGCAAGATACCTCAAAAATTAGCCGGGCCTGGTAGTACATGCCTGTGGTCCCAGCTACTCAGGAGGCTGGGAGGCTGAGGTGGGAGGATTGCTTGAGCCCCAGGAGGTGGAGTTTGCAGTGAACCGAGATCACACTGCTACACTCCATCCTAGGCAACAGAGTGAGACCCTGTCTCAAAAAAAAAAAAGAGAAAAGAAAGTGGAATTAGTTTCCCACCACTTGAATCTGGGCTGGACTGTGACTTACCTTGACCAATCAATTGCAAGGGAAGTGACCCTGTGACAGTTACAAGTGTAGGTTTTAAGAGGATTGGCAACTTCTGCCACCACATAAATAGGTCTGGCCAACCTGCTGGAGAGACCGCATGGAGAGAGAGGGAAAAAAAAGTCCCAGAACCTCCCTGCCAATGTCCCAGGCTCATGAGTGAAGCCATTCTGGATGTTCCAGCCAAGATCCTAGAAGAATGTAGCCACAGAAATAACCCCAGTCAACATGAAGTGGAACAGAACTCCCAGGTTGAGCCCAGCCAATCACCGAATCGTGAGAAATAACAAATTATCATCTTAAGTCACAAAGTTTTGGGGTACTTTGCTATATAACAACAGACAACTGACACACTAAAATAGTTTGCAGCTTTTAGTCTGATGTTATTAACAATTTCCTCTCAGTATGCGTGTTCAGTTTCAAGAATGTTTTCTTTGTCCTTCTATGAAAAATTCCCAGTTGCAATGTTATGTTGTATTTAGATTTCACTGTATAGATTACAGATTTATTATTACTCTTTCTTTTTATTTTCTCCTACCTTGAAAACTAGTTAGAGTACTCTTTCAATTACTTTTCTCAGATAAAGTTATGGATGATATACTGCCTGAATCCCTGATTATTAGTTAATGACTAAATTTCTATAACAAAGAAACCCCAAAATGCAATAGCTCAAGCAAAATTGAAGTTTATTTTTCTCTCATGTTGCATTTCAGAGCATTGTTTTAGGACATTCGCAGTTATGCTGCTACACAATCATTTATGGACATAGTATTCCCCCATCTTGTTTCTTTATCATTGAAACTGAGTCACAGGCACATCTTCCTGAGAGTGTGAAGAGGGCACACACTGGTCTTAAGTCACTGGGCTCAGAAATGGCACATAACACTTCTGATCACATTCTATTAGAGACAGCTTAGTCCATGTAGCCACGTCTAACTACAGTGGGGGCTGGGAAATAGAATGTCATGTTTGAGGCTACAATTATAATCCCACAGGAAAGGAGAAGATTGAATTTTACTGGAAGGCTAGCAATCTCCCTAACATCTTGTACAGTATTCACAAAACTGTCATCAATTTGCCCAAGAATGATAGCTATGCATAAGATTCTTGGATTTTAGTTTCTATCACAGTACTGTAGAACAGAAATGCAAAGCTAGTCTAATTCTCTTTCCTTTATAAGTAAAATGTTCTTTTTAATGCCTGGAATCATATAAGCCTTTTTTCTTTATCCTTGTTTCAGTTAGGATTTTCCCCAGTTACTACTCACCCACCCTGCACTATGCTCAGTAACTGGAGAGCTGCCTATCACTTTCCAGCAACTCTTTTTTTTTTTTTTTTTTTGAGATGTAGTCTCGCTCTGTGGCCCAGGCTGAAGTGCAGTGGCACGATCTTGGCTTACTGCAACCTCCACCTCCCGGGTTGAAGCGATTCTCCTCCCTCAGCCTCCCAAGTAGCGGGACTACAGGCACATGCCACCACGCTCAGCTAAGTTTTGTATTTTTAGCAGAGACGGGGTTTCACCATATTGGTCAGGCTGGTCTTGAACTCCTGACCTCAAATGATCCGCCTGCCTTGGCTTCCCTAAGTGTTGGGATTACAGGCGTGAGCCATGGCACTTGGCCTCCAGCAACATTTTAAAAACATTTCATAACCCAATATATTATTTTTTCAGCAAAACTTAGTGATTTTTTCTCCTAAATAGAGTAAATAAAACTAAACATAGCCTCACATCAGTTCTGGTCAGGCTTTGCTGCTAAAAGAGTTCAGGTGTAGTTATATTATGCCACCAACTGAATTATGAAAAACTTTCATTTTTAGAGCCTTTCAAATTTCAAGATTGTTAAGTAAGAGACTGTGGACCCGTAAATTTAAGTTTAAACTTTTCCTACTTTCTCATGAAGTTTCTGTTTATGATGGTAAGAATCAAGGAAAAGGTTTTGTTTTGTTTTTGTTTTTGTTTTTTGAGATGGAATTTCACTCTTGTTGCCCAGGCTGGAGTGCAATGGCGTGATCTCAGCTCACTGCAACCTCCGCTTCCCAGGTTCAAGTGATTATCCTGCCTCAACCTCCCAAGTAGCTGGGATTACAGGCATGCGCTACCATGCCCAGTTAATTTTGTATTTTTAGTAGAGACGGGGTTTCTCTATGTTGGTCAGGCTGGTCTTGAACTCCCGACCTCAGGTGATCCACCTGCCTTGGCCTCCCAAAGTGCTGGCATTACAGGCATGAGGTTTTTGTTAATATGCACTTTACATCACCCCTTTTCTGGTGATTTGGGAGCACTACCTTGGTCTGCATATGTGGCTTAAACAAGATGGAAATTTATTTCTCTTTTACATACATAGAAGTTCACAGGTTGTTGGTATGGCAGATCCATAAACATAAAAAAAGTACAAATTATAAGTGTAAAACTCCATGAATTTTGTTATTATTATTATTATTACTGTTATTATTGAGACAAGGTCTGACTCTGTCACCCAGGCTGGAATGCAGTGGCACAATCTCAGCTCACTGCAACCTCTGCCTCCTGGGCTCAAGTGATCCTCCTGCCTCCGCCTCCTGAGTAGCTGGGACTACAAGCATGCACTACCATGCTTAGCTAATTTTTGTATTTTTATAGAGACAGGGTCTCACTATGTTGCTCAGGCTGGTCTTGAACTCCTGAGCTCAAGCGATCCATCTGCCTCAGTCTCCCAAAGTGCTGGGATTACAGGTGTGAGCCACCATACCTGACCAGCTCCATGAATTATTACAAAGCAAATATAGTATTTTAACCATTAACCAGACCAAGATATAGGACATTACTAGCCCTCCAGAAGGCCTACTTCTGAGGAAATGAACTTTGGAATCCTTCTGTGAGTGCCTTATTTTATTTTATTTTATTTTATTTATTTGAGACAGGGTCTTGCTCTGTCACCCAGGCTGGAGTGCCGTGGTGCAGTCATAGCTCACTGAAGCCTTGAGCTCCTGGGCTCAAGCAATCCTCCCACCCCCAGCCTCCTGAGCAGCTGGAACTATAGGGACACCCTACCATGACCAGCTAATTTTTAAAAAAAATTTTTGTAGTGATAAGGACTCACAATCTTTTCCAGGCTGGTAATGATAAATTTTAAATTGGGAGGATAAATAGTCTTCTGGCAACCAGATGAGGGGGTGGACTTAGGGGAAAATTGGGGGAACAATGGTGCCAACACGAAGTCACATGACCCATAGCAAGACCAAGCAAGAACCTGCAAATAGAGGTAAAAGGGCCCAGCTTTGTATCGTGCCAAAACCAACTCCAACACCAAGCTTCTGGGTTCAGGGCAGAAAAACAAGTCAATGCAAGGGCTGTACCCAGAGGCATCTGGAGAAGAGTCAGACAGTGAATATGAACTATCCCAGGAACGTGAGCCCACACAGGATAGTGTTCAGCCAATATTTCAGCATGCCTCCGCTGTAGGTTTATTTCAACCTTCAGAGATTTGATGCAAGTCCCTTCCTCAACCCAGAATGAGGACAAATGCATCCATGGAATTACGTGGACTGAAGCCCTGGTTTGGCCTTGACCACATGCTGGTCCCAGACCTGAGAAAAACTCTCTTGCTACACCTCAGTAGCTACCATCTGACTGCCTTGGGCTCCCCCTCTCTCCAGCAGAGAGAACAATACTCAATCACTGCCCCCACCCACAAACACTCTGGTTATGCCCTAATTCTGTGGGGCCAGAACTGGTTCAGGCTCTAATCCAGAAACTGCTGCTTCCCAGAGACCATAGAAATATTCTCACTCTCTCACTCTCCCTCAGCCTTGATCATAGGTCTCCCACCCATGGCCAGAGCTGACCCAGCTCCTCAGCTCTGCACACACCTGCACACACTGGCCCTGCATCCTCTGACTGGACCCACTCTGGCCTCGATTCTCACCCTCACCTCCAGCTGTTGCTCCACAGGCCTCAGAAGTGAGGTCTCTTTCATTTTTCTTCCTTCACGTCAAGGCTTGACTCACTCTGTCTGCTGGGCTTCTCTGCACTTGGCATTTCCTTTTTCTCTGGTTATAGGAGGAGGAAGACAATTTCTCCCATGGGTCCCAGAATTCCTTTGTGGGATTAAATTGTCCTTATGTGACTCAGAAACCACCAGCTTGCCTCTGTTATCTGACCTCTAGGAATGGAACTTCTATTTTGTAACTCTGCTGGCCAGAAAGGGTCTCAGGAGGCTCTCTCTGGGACTTCCCCTTCTGGTACTCTGGTGCTTTACCTGCCTCTAAATTGAGCATGTCCTGTAAATGGCTCTCATGGAATGGTTTTCTTCTTTGAAAAATAAGTTTATAACAGCTTTTTTGAGATACATTTCACATACCATACAATTCACCCATTTAAAGGGTACAATTCAATGGATTTTTGTTTATTCACAGAATTCTGCAACCATTACCACAATTGATATTACAACATTTTCATTGCTAAAAAAAAAAAAAAAAAAACAAAAAAAGGCCAGGCACGGTGGCTCATGCGTGTAATCCCAGCACTTTGGGAGGCCGAGGCGGGCGGATCACGAGGTCAAGAGATCGAGACCATCCTGGCCAACATGGTGAAACCCTGTCTCTACTAAAAATACAAAAATTAGCTGGGCATGGTGGCGTGCGCCTGTAGTCCCAGCTACTTGGGAGGCTGAGGCAGGAGAATCACTTGAACCCAGGAGGTGGAGGTTGCAGTGAGCCGAGATCGCGCCACTGCACTCTAGCCTGGCAAGAGAGCAAGACTCCATCTCAAAAAACAAAAAAAAAAACAAAAAAGCCCTGCCCATTAGCAGTCACTCCCCATTTCCCACTGACCCCTAGGCAACTATCAATCCACTTTCTGTCTCAATGGAATTGTTTGTTCTGAACATTTTGTATGAGTGGATTCATACAATATGTGGTTCTTTGCGACTAGCTTTTTTCACTTAGTATAATGCTTTCAAGGTTCATCCATGTTGTAGCAAATATTACTATTCCTTTTTTTCCTTTTTTTTTTTTTTTTTTGAGATGGAGTCTCACTCTGTCACCCACGCTGGAGTGCAGTGGCGCAATCTTGGCTCACTGCAACCTCTGCCTCCCAGGTTCAAGCGATTCTCCTGCCTCAGCCTCCAGAGTTGCTGAGATTACAGGAGCATGCCACCATGCCCGACTAATTTTTGTATTTTTAGTAGAGATGCAGTTTCGCCATGGTGGCCAGGGTGGTCCAGAACTCCTGACCTCCAGTGATCCACCAGCCTCAGCCTCCCAAAGTGCTGGGATTACAGGCATGAGCCACCATGCCAAGCCTCTTTTTATTGCCAAATAATATGGATGGATTACCATATTTTATTTATCCCTTGTATGGATATACCACATTTTATTTATCCATTCACCAATTGATGGACATTTGGGTTGTGTCTACCTTCTGGCTATTATGAAAAATGCTGCTATGAACAGTCATGTACAAGCTTTTGTGTGGACATGTTTTCATTTCTCTTAGCTATATACCCACGAGTGGCATTGCTGGGTTATATGGTAACTCTATGTTTAACCATTTGAGAAACTGCCATACTGTTTTCCAAAGTGGATGCACCCATTTGACATTCCCTCTAGCAGTGTATGAGAGTTCCATTTTCTCCTTGCCCTCAAAAACATTTGTTGTTATCTCTGTTTTTTATTATAGCTATCTTGGCACAAAGAGGTATCTCTCTCTCTCTCTGTGGTTTTGATTTGCATTTCTTTGTGACTAATGACGTTGAGCATCTTTTCTTTTCTTTTTTTTTTTGAGGCGGAGTCTTGCTCTGTCACCCAGGCTGGAGTGCAGTGGCGGGACCTCGGCTCGCTGCAAGCTCCGCCTCCCGGGTTTCACGCTATTCTCCTGCCTCAGCCTTCCGAGTAGCTGGGACTACAGGCGCCCACCACAACGCCCGGCTAATTTTTTTGTGTTTTTAGTAGAGACGGGGTTTCACCATGTTGCCCAGGATGGTCTCGATCTCCTGATCTCTTGATCCGCCCGCCTCGGCCTCCCAAAGTGCTGGGATTACAGGCGTGAGCCACTGCGCCTGGCCGATGTTGAGCATCTTTTCATGTGCTTATTGGCCAACTGTGTATGTTCTTTGAGGAAATGTCTATTTAGATTCTTTGTCCATTTTTATTGGTTTATTTGTCCTTTTATTATTGAGATGTAAGACTTCTTCTTTTTTTTTTTTTTTTTTTTTTGAGATGGAGTCTCACTCTGTCACCCAGGCTGGAGTGCAATAATGCCATCTCGGCTCACTGCAACCTCCGCCTCCTGGGTTCAAGCCATTCTCTTGCCTCAGCCTCCCAAGTAGCTGGGATTACAGGGACATGCCACCATGCCTGGCTAATTTTTGTATATTTCGTGGAGACGGGTTTCATCATGTTGACCAGGCTGGTCACAAACTCATGACCTCAAGTGATCCTCCCACCTTGGCCTCCCAAAGTGCTGAGATTACAGGCGTGAGCCACCGCGCCCAGCGGAGATGTAAGAGTTCTTTGTATATTCTATATACAAGTCCCATATCAGATATAGAATTTGCAAAACTTTTATCCCATTCTTTGGGTTGTCTTTTCGCTTTCTTAATGGTGTCCTTTATTAAAGCACAAAAGTTGGCTGGGCAATCCCCTGACCTCTGCCTCCCAAAGTGCTAGGATTACAAGTGTGAGCCACTGCAACCAGCCTATTCTATTAAATTTCTAATATTAACTACTGTATTTTTAATTTCCAAGAGCTCTTTCTTACTCCCTAATTCTGGTTTTGTTTTTTTTTTTTTTTTCATAGAATTGCTTCTTGTTTTATCCATATGAAAAGTATAGTAACTCTTCAGGTATATTAACTAATGTTGGTGAGCTTTTTAAGTAATTTTCTTTTTTTTTTTTTTTTTTTGAGACGGAGTCTCACTCTGTCCTCTGTCTCCCAGGCTGGAGTGCAGTGGCACGATCTTGGCTCACTGCAACCTCTGCTCCCGGATTCACACCATTCTCCTGTCTCAGCCTCCCGAGTAGCTGGGACAGCTGGTGCCTGCCACCACGCCTGGCTGATTTTTTTTGTATTTTTAGTAGAGACGGGGTTTCACTGTGTTAGCCAGGATGGTCTCGATCTCCTGACCTTGTGATCCGCCTGCCTCAGCCTCCCAAAGTGCTAGGATTACAGACATGAGCCACTGCGCCTGGCTTAAGTAATTTTCTTAAATAATTTTCTGTTTCTTGTATTGTCCTTACTTACTCCAGGTTTCTTTTTCCTGCTTCTTATTAATAATTGTAGTCTCTCTTTCACCTTTAAAGTTTCCTTAAATGTCTATGATCCCTGCTGCTTTACTCATTTTTTAGTAAAGCACATGGAGAAGTGGGCTCCACTGGCTTTTTCATTGAGGGATCACCAAATGGCCCATCTAAAGATCTTTACTCTAGAGTCATTCGGTTTCTCCAAAGAAAAATCCTTCAAGTTCTTGCCTTATGACCACGGATCTGAGAACAACATGGAGGAAGAGGGCTGCAAGCCCTATCACTCTGTAGACTTCCACTCTTTTCATTCCCTATTCCCCCCATTTTCATTGTCTCTACTCTCCATCGTGCCAGATATCCCCAAACATGAAGTCTCTCTGGTTGTTTCTCCAAAATGAAAGAGTCTGGTCTAGGTTGTTGTCTGGCTGTAATGGATGCTGGAGAGATTACTAGGGGATCTAGCTGATCCACATTTAGAGTTTCTACCAATTCCTATGTTTTCATCCCGATGTCACCACTCACCCTCTGAGACGCCAAATGCCTCTGCACCTTGAGCCTTTCTGGAGTTCTGTGGAATGGATTGACTTCCTTCTAAGGTACCTACCTCTGCAGGTACATAGTAGTTTTCACCTTCTGTAAGTTTTCGGTCTTCAAAAATGTGTTGAACTCTTTCATTCTTTGGTATCTCCTTTCCCATTCTTCTTGCCCTTCTGTAGCTTTAAAAAAAAATTCCTTTAATGTCATTTTACTCAGGTTTCAGGAGGAAGACATTTTGTTTTTGTTTTGTTTTTTTCTTAGATGGAGTCTCGCTCTGTCGTCCAGGCTGGAGTGGCGTAATCTCAGCTCACTGCAGCCTCCATTTCCTGAGTTCAAGTGATTCTTTTGCCTCAGCCTCCCTAGTAGCTGGGACTACAGACGCGTGCCACCATGCCTGGCTACTTTTTGTATTTTTAGTAGAGACTGGGTTTCATCATGTTGGCCAGGCTGGTCTGGAACTCCTGACCTCAGGTGATCCACTTGCCCTTGGCCTCCCAAAGTGCTGGGATTACAGCCGCGAGCCACCTCACCCAGCCAGGAAGACATTTTAAATCAGAATTTAGTTCTTGTCAATTCTACTATCAAATACTTATCACTATTTTTATTTTACTTTTTGTTTTTCTTTTGTTTTTTTGTTTGTTTGTTTGTTTGTTTTGAAACAAAGTCCCACTCTGTCATTCAAGCTGGAGTGCAGTGGTGCTATCACAGCTCACTGCATCCTCAACATTCCTGGCTCAAATGATCCTCCCACCTCAGCCTCCCAAATATCTGGGACCACAGGCGTGTGCCACCATATCCAGCTGATTTTTATTTTTTGTAGGGTCTCACTGTGCTACCTAGGCTGGTCTTGAACTCCTGGGCTCAAACAGTCCTCCTGCTTCAGTCACCTAAAGTGCTGGGATTACAGATGTGAACCATCACACCCAGCCTATTTTACTTTCTGAAGGGAGCCAAAGAATCTGTGTAGAAGACATCATCTCCTGCCATTCTGCCAAACCAGAAAATAGGCCTGTCACTACTGAGAGCTGGGGATCCCAGGAGGAATGTTGACCCTATGCCTGATGAAACTCAAGGTTCCAGGCAATTTGTGAGTCCTGTATACTATTTCTACTATTCCTATACACTCCCAGGATGCTTCCCATGGAGGGGCAGGAAGGGCTCTGGGGAGGGCTGAAGAGGGCCCAGACCCTCCTAACACCCTGTTTTAGTGGATGATGGGAGGCTTTCTTTCCAGGGCTTCTCCATTTCCTCTTGGAAAGAAAGATTCTGTGGCGCTAGCGAGGTGTATCTGCCTTCCTGCCTACCTGCCTACTGGTTTTCCTTCTGGCCTAAAAGGTTCTGTCTGTGCCACTCTTCCTAAGTCCCTCTCCATTTCTAGGATATTGGTCTGGGCCTCAGAGCCCCCTCCCTCCCTCAGCTATATCAGCCGTGCTGGCTTAGGGGTGATTAAGAATTTAATTATTTTGTTTCTTCATCTTAGAAGATTAATCCTATCCATCACAGGCAGGCCATGCCTTCTCCTCTTGTTCCTTTCTCAGGGCTACCTAGCCAATTCCAAGAGGAAGAAACTCCATGGCTCTCTAGGTCTAGAAACAATGGATGAAGTTTTAGTTAGGGTGAGGGGGTGTGTATCAATGTAGACAAGTGAGTGTTTGTTTAGTGTTGAGTATAGGTTTTAACATGTTTGCCTGTGAAGACATTCAAGCCTTTTGGTTTTCTGCTCAGAGGAGGCCAAGGTGCAACTTGCTTTTTTTTTTTTTTTTTTTTTTTTTTGAGATGGAGTCTCACTCTATTGCCCAGGCTGGAGTGCAGTGGCACAATCTTGGCTCACTGCAACCTCCGCTTCCTGAGTTCAAGCGATTCTCCTCCCTCTACCTCCTGAGTAGATGGGCTTACAGGTGTGTGCCACCACGCCTGGCTAATTTTTTGTATTTTTAGTAGAGACAGGGCTTCACCATGTTAGTGAGGCTGGTCTTGAACTCCTGACCTTCTGATCCACCCACCTCAGCCTCCTAAAGTGATGAGATTACAGGCATGAGCCACCATGCCTGGCCTAAGGTGCAACTTTCTTCCGTCATCTCACATCTGGGTACATCTGACACCAGCCACCTCCACCGTACTGCCTAAGTTCAACCCCAACAAGATTAATGTTGCAAACCTTAGGTGTACCGATGGGGAAGTCAGTGCCATTTCTGCCCCGGCTCCTAAGATCAAGCCCCTGAGTCCATCTCCAAAAATGGCTGGCAATGACATCACCAAGTTAATGGGTGACTAGAAGGGTTTCAGGATTACAGTGACATTGACCCTTCAGAATAGACAGACTCAGGTTGAACTGGGACCTTTTGCCTCTGTCCTGATGTTACAGTAGGTAGCTAGCCTGGTATGAGCAGAGCAAGAAAGGGCTCACACACACACCAGGAGTGCCAGGCAACCATCAGGTGATGGTCAGGCAGCTGTTAACTGTTTCTCTAAATAATTGGTCACAGCCAGCGCCGGGGAAAGGCAGTCTCCTAATAGATAGAAAACGCCTGAAAATTGATCATCAGCTTCCCAATAAGATCTCAGGGGTGGGGAGAAGTAAGGCACGATCCCAGAAGTATGCCAATGTATAAAACCCCAAGTCAAGAAGTCAAGCTGCACACTTGATTTCTCAAGTCGCCCGTTTGCCCTATTCCAAGTTGTACTTTCCTTCTTTTCTTTCCTTTTGTTAGATGTGAGTTCTAAATTTCTTTTCAAAGAATTAATATGTCAGTATGTTCAATTCTTTGCCTTCTACTTTTTTTCTTTTTATTTGTTTATTTATTTTACTTTAAGTTCTAGGGCACATGTGCACAACGTGCAGGTTTGTTACGTATGTATACATGTGCCATGTTGATGTGCTGCACCCGTTAACTCATCATTTACATTAGGTATATCTCCTAATGCTATCCCTCTCCCCTCCCCCCATCCCCCAGCAGGCCCCAGTGTGTGATGTTCCCCACCTTGTGTCCATGTATTCTTATTGTTCAATTCCCACCTATGAGTGAGAACATGCAGTGTTTGGTTTTCTGTCCTTGAGATAGTTTGCTCAGAATGATGGTTTCCAGCTTCATCCATGTCCCTATAAAGGACATGAACTCATCCTTTTTTATGGCTGTGTAGTATTCCATGGTGTATATGTGACACGTTTTCTTAATCCAGTCTATTATTGATGGACATTTGGGTTGGTTCCAAGTCTGCTATTGCGAATAGTGCCACAATAAACATACGTGTGCATGTGTCTTTATAGCAGCATGATTTATAATCCTTTGGGTATATGCCCAGTAATGGGATGGCTGGGTCAAATGGTATTTCTAGTTCTAGATCCTTGAGGAATCGCCACACTGTCTTCCACAATGGTTGAACTAGTTTACAGTCCCACCAACAGTGTAAAAGCATTCCTATTTCTCCACATCCTCTCCAGCACCTGTTGTTTCCTGACTTTTTAATGATCGCCATTCTAACTGGTGTGAGATGGTATCTCGTTGTGGTTTTGATTTGCATTTCTCTGATGCCCAGTGATGATAAGCATTTTTTCATGTGTCTGTTGGCTGCATAAATGTCTTCTTTTGAGAAGTGTCTGTTCATATCCTTCCCCCACTTTTTGATGGGGTTGATTTTTTCTTGTAAATTTGTTTAAGTTCTTTGTAGATTCTGGAGATTAGCCCTTTGTCAGATGGGTAGATTGTAAAAATTTTCTCCCATTCTGTAGGTTGCCTGTTCACTCTGACGGTAGTTTCTTTTGCTGTGCAGAAGCTCTTTAGTTTAATTAGATCCCATTTGTCAATTTTGGCTTTTGTTGCCATTGCTTTTGGTGTTTTAGTCATGAAGTCCTTGCCCATGCCTATGGCCTGAGTGATATTGCCTAGGTTTTCTTCTAGGGTTTTTATGGCTTTAGTCTAACATTTAAGTCTTTAATCCATCTTGAATTGATTTTTGTATAAGGTGTAAGGAAGGGATCCAGTTTCAGCTTTCTACATATGGCTAGCCAGTTTTCCCAGCACCATTTATTAAATAGGGAATACTTTCCCCATTGCTTGTTTTTCTCAGGTTTGTCAAAGATCAGGTGGTTGTAGATGTGTGGTATTATTTCCGAGGGCTCTATTCTGTTCCATTGGTCTATATCTCTGTTTTGGTACCGGTACCATGCTGTTTTGGTTACTGTAGCCTTGTAGTTTATTTTGAAGTCAGGTAGCGTGATGTCTCCAGCCTTGTTCTTTTGGCTTAGGATTGACTTGGCCATGTGGGCTCTTTTTTGGTTCCATATGAACTTTAAAGTAGTTTTTTCCAATTCTGTGAAGAAAGTCATTGGTAGCTTGATGGGGACGGCATTGAATCTATAAATTACCTTAAGCAGTATGGCCATTTTCATGATATTGATTCTTCCTATCCATGAGCATGGAATGTTCTTCCATTTGTTTGTGTCCTCTTTTATTTCGCTGAGCAGTGGTTTGTAGTTCTCCTTAAAGAGGTCCTTCACATCCATTGTAAGTTGGATTCCTAGGTATTTTATTCTCTTTGAAGCAATTGTGAATGGGAGTTCATTCATGATTTGGCTCTCTGTTTGTCTGTTATTGGTGTATAGGAATGCTTGTGATTTTTGCACATTGATTTTGTATCCTGAGACTGCTGAAGTTGCTTATCAGCTTAAGGAGATTTTGGGCTGAGACGATGGGGTTTTCTAAATATACAATCATGTCATCTGCAAACAGGGACAATTTGACTTCCTCTTTTCCTAATTGAATACCCTTTATTTCTTTCTCCTGCCTGATTGCCCTGGCCAGAACTTCCAACACTATGTTGAATAGGAGTGGTGAGAGAGGGCATCCCTGTCTTGTGCCAGTTTTCAAAGGGAATGCTTCCAATTTTTGCCCATTCAGTATGATATTGGCTGTGGGTTTGTCATAAATAGCTCTTATTATTTTGAGATACATCCCATCGATACCTAGTTTATTGAGAGTTTTTAGCATGAAGGGCTGTTGAATTTTGTCAAAGGCCTTTTCTGCACCTATTGAGATAATCATGCGGTTTTTGTCTTTGGTTCTGTTTATATGATGGATTACGTTTATTGATTTGTGTATGTTGAACCAGCCTTGCATCCCAGGGATGAAGCCAACTTGATTGTGGTGGATTAGCTTTATGATGTGCTGCTGGATACGGTTTGCCAGTATATTATTGAGGATTTTTGCATCAATGTTCATCAGGGATATTGGTCTAAAATTATCTTTTTTTGTTGTGTCTCTGCCAGGCTTTGGTATCAGGATGATGTTGGCCTCATAAAATGAATTAGGGAGGATTCCCTCTTTTTCTATTGATTGGAATAGTTTCAGAAGGAATGGAACCAGCTCCTCTTTGTACCTCTGGTAGAATTCAGCTGTGAATCCGTCTGGTCCTAGACTTTTTTTGGTTGGTAGGCTATTAATTATTGCCTCAATTTCAGAGCCTGTTATTGGTCTATTCAGGGATTCAACTTCTTCCTGGTTTAGTCTTGGGAGGCTGTATGTGTCCAGGAATTTATCCATTTATTCTAGATTTTCTAGTTTATTTGCATAGAGGTGTTTATAGTATTCTCTGATGGTAATTTGTATTTCTGTGGGATCAGTGGTGATATCCCCTTTATCATTTTTTATTGTGTCTATTTGATTCTTCTCTCTTTTCTTCTTTATTAGTCTTGCTAGCAGTCTATCAATTTGTTGATCTTTTCAAAAAACCAGCTCCTGGATTCATTGATTTTTTGAAGGGTTTTTTGTGTCTCTATCGCCTTCATTTCTGCTCTGATCTTTGTTATTTCTTGCCTTCTGCTAGCTTTTGAATGTGTTTGCTCTTGCTTCTCTAGTTCTTTTCATTGTGATGTTAGGGTGTCAATTTTAGATCTTTCCTGCTTTCTCTTGTGGGCATTTAGTGCTATAAATTTCCCTCTACACACTGCTTTAAATGTGTCCCAGAGATTCTGGTATGTTGTGTCTTTGTTCTCATTCGTTTCAAAGAACATCTTTATTTCTGCCTTCATTTCATTACATACCCAGTAGTCATTCAGGAGCAGGTTGTTCAGTTTCCATGTAGTTGAGCAGTTTTGAGTGAGTTTCTTAATCCTGAGTTCTAGTTTGATTGCCCTGTGGTCTGAGAGACAGTTTGTTATAATTTCTGTCCTTTTACATTTGCTGAGGAGTGCTTTACTTCCAACTTTGTGGTCAGTTTTGGAATAAGTGCAATGTGGTGCTGAGAAGAATGTATATTCTGTTGATTTGGGGTGGAGAGTTCTGTAGATGCCTATTAGGTCCACTTGGTGCAGAGCTGAGTTCAATTCCTGGATATCCTTCTTAACTTTCTGTCTCATTGATCTGTCTAATGTTGACAGTGGGGTGTTAAAGTCTCCCATTATTATTGTGTGGGAGTCTAAGTCTCTTTGTAAGGACTTGCTTTATGAATCTGGGTGCTCCTGTATTGGGTGCATATATATTTAGGATAGTTGATCTTTTCAAAAAACCAGCTCCTGGATTCATTGATTTTTTGAAGGGTTTTTTGTGTCTCTATCTCCTTCATTTCTGCTCTGATCTTAGTTATTTCTTGCCTTCTGCTAGGTTTTGAATGTGTTTGCTCTTGTGTCTGTAGTTCTCTTAATTGTGATGTTAGGGTGTCAATTTTAGATCTCTCCTGCTTTCTCTTGTGGGCATTTAGTGCTATAAATTTCCCTCTACACACTGCTTTAAATGTGACCCTCCGAGCCATGTGCAGGATATAATCTCCTGGTGTGCCATTTGCTAAGGCCGTTGGAAAAGTGCAGTATCAGGGTGGGAGTGTCCCGATTTTCCAGGTGACGTCTTTCATGGCTTCCCTTTGTTAGGAAAGGGAATTCCCCGACCCCTTGTGCTTCCCGGGTGAGTCGATGCCCTGCCCTGCTCCGTGGGCTGCACCTACTTGTCTGGCAAGCCCCACTGAGATGAACCCGGTACCTCAGTTAGAAATGCAGAAATCACCCATCTTCTGCGTCGTTCACTCTGGGAGCCACAGACTGGAGCTGTTCCTATTTGGCCATTTTGGTGCCACCCCCCTGCCTTCTACTTTTAAACTTAACTTCCTTGTAAAGCAACCTTTTCCGATTACCTGCTCCACCCTGACTCATTCCAATCACCTGCTCCACCGTGCATTCCAATCACCTGCTCCACCCGCACTGATTACCTGCTACCTGCTCTGCCCTGACTCCTACCAAAGCACTCACCCTGTCATTCTCTTTAAATTAGCCAATCGGAATTAGTTTAGCCTGTGCAGTCTAACCCTAGCCAATAGGGGAACAACACAGCAGCAGGGGCCACATGTGTCAGGGATAAGAACCCCTTCCGCTCCCTTGTCCAGGTGTGCGCTCACCATTGTTCCATCTGTAAGGGCACACCCTTGACTTGCTGAGAATTAAAAAGAAATTTTTATATTCGAGTGCTATTTCTTTTGCAGCACCAAAACTTTATAACACTTTTCTTCCTTTCCTTGCTGTTCCAAAGCTTTTTAAGAAAGTTTCACTCCTGCTCTGAAACCTTGTCTCGGTCTCTCCTTCTGCCTTATGCCCCTCAGTTGAATTCTTTCTTCTGAGGAGGCAAGGACTGAAGTTGCTGCAGACCTGTACGGATTTGCTGCTGGCATAACTCGGATACCTGCCACCAGTAACACTGATCCTTTAAGCCCTCAAGGAACCTCCAAGAGATAGAAACAAAAATATTAAACACAGTGGAAATGTCACTTTTGATGAGATAATCAACATTGCCCAACAGGTGTGGCACCAGTCTTTGGCCAGAACCATTAAAGAGATCTTGGGGATTGCCCAGGCTGTGGGCTGCAATGTTGATTGTCACCCGCCCTCATGACATCATAGATGACATCAACAATGGTGCAGCAGAATGTTCCACTAGTTAAAATGCACAAAAAAGATGTTCAATAAAAGATAATTTGACAGCCCAAAAAAATTTATTGCAACATGTATATACAGGCAGGTGATTATGTAAGTTTTATGTGACTTTTTTTTTTTTTTTTTTTTTTTAGAGACTTAAAGACTTTAGAGACTTTAGAGTCCTACTATGTTGCCCAGGCTGGTCTTGAACTCCTGGCCTCAAGCAATCCTCACACCTTGGCCTCCCAAAGTACCGGAATTATAAGCATGAGCCACTATACCCAGCCAGTTTTTTTGTTATTTAAATTGTTGTGAATATGTATTTGCATGCAAGGGATAGAAGGAGTAGAGGCTGATTAGCCTGTGACATTATCCTGAGTGTCCTCCCAGCAACCTTAACCTTGACAAAACAGATACATAATCTTCTGAGTCTTTGCATCTCTGGGACTAGTCTTGTATTCAGACTAGTGTATTCAGAGTTGCAATGCACCTTGGTGGTTACATGATCTCAGGTTTGTGTCGTACTTGAATCCCCACGGCAGCATTCTTATAGGAGTCTCCAGCCTCTCTTTGCAGTTTTCAAGACAGGAAGTTGACTTCTTCCTTGCAGCTCCTTCCACAGTGAACAACTTGGCTGTCAGAGAGGTTCTGATTACAAAACCCAGTCCAGCCACAAAAAGGTATTTCGTTTCTCTCTCTTGCCCTCACCCTTACTTATATAATTCATCTCTAGGGTGCCACCTTTCCTTTTCTAGATCACTGAGTCTCAAGTCATTGAGTATCATTGAGCCAGAGCCAGTGCTGAGCACTAGATACATATAGATGGATGAAATAAATGTTGGCCTTTAAAGTTTACACCCTAGTAGAGAGACAAACATGGGGGAAATACTATTTGTTGTTATTATTATTATTATTATTATTATTATTATTATTATTATTTTGAGACAGAGTTTCGCTCTTGTTGCCCAGGCTAGAATGCAATAGCGCAATCTCGGCTCACTGCAACCTCTGTCTCCCCAGTTCTCCTGCCTCAGCCTCCCAAGTAGCTGGGATTATAGGCATGCACCACCATGCCCAGCTAATTTTCTATTTTTAGTAGAGACGGGGTTTCTCCATGTTGGTCAGGCTGGTCTCGAACTCCCGACCTCTGGTGATCGACCCCCCTCGGCCTCCCAAAGTGCTGGGATTACAGGCGTGAGCCACCGCGCCCGGCTGGAAAAAATCTATTAACAAGAATAGAGGAGGGATTGATTAACTTGGCCTAGGGGAAAGAGAGGTGGCTTCCAGGAGGAATTCCTGGAGGAAGGAAGACCTCTGAACTAAGTCAGAGGGCAAAGGCAGGCAGAGGTAGCTCTCAGTCTGTGCTGCCTCCTTCGCCCCTCCTCTCCTGCTGTGTCCTCAGCTCCCACATTTCTTTTCTCCTGCTAAGTCCAGAAATCTACAAAGGAGGGCAGGGGCTTGGACATCCCTGAGGCTGGAGCAAGATCAGGCAGAGTTTCAGGCAGAGCTGAGGTGGCACCACATTAACCCAGAAGTCAGCCAACCAGCCAGCCTTTGTGGGACCTCCTAGGGCCCAGCCCTATGCCTGACTGTCCTATGAGAGAGGCCCAGAAGGAGACTGGCCCTGGTGCTTGAAACTCCTGTCCTAGCTCACACAGAGAGCTCACAGGACAGTATGCTAACCCAGGAGGCAGTCCCAAGCTCTGGGCCCACCTGGAACAGGGTAGGAAAGGCCATGAGCCTGGCTAGGCTGAACAGCTCCTCCCCAATGGACACCTGCCATGGCCTTGAGCCCCTAACTACTGTTCTCTGGCAGTCCTGCCAGGCCTAAGTCTGTCAGCACCCCCAAAAGCCAGGACACACCTTGGATTCTATGGTCACATCAGCCTAGTCTAACACTAGTCATGGATTCTTAGACTACAGAAGGCTCTGGGACACTAGAAAGGAAGAAAGGAAGCAAGTGAGTTCCTCCTGTACCAGGCACCACGCTGGGTGCTTCACACAGATTAATCTTTTAATCCTCACCATAACTCAACTTCAGCATGTTCATAAAGAAGGACACATACTACTAAACTGTTAATAACATTTAAATGTGATGGGGAGAATATTAGGGGATTTTGTTTCAATGTTTAACCCAATCATGTATCATCAGAAATGAAGTATTTCTAGCAGCCAAAACATTATCTGTCAATCAAGATAGATAGATATAGATAGATAGATACATAGATAGATAGAAATATAGACATCTTGGCTGGGTGCGGTGGCTCACGCCTGTAATCCTAGCACTTTGGAAGGCCGAGGCAGGCAGATCACAAGGTCAGGAGATCAAGACCATCCTGGCTAACATGGTGAAACCCCGTCTCTAGTAAAAAAACAAAAAATTAGCCGGGCATGGTGGCAGGCGCCTGTAGTCCCAGCTACTTGGGAGGCTGAGGCAGGAGAATGGCGTGAACCCAGGAGGCAGAGCTTGCAGTGAGCCGAGATCACACCACTGCACTCCAGCCTGGGTGACAGAGCAAGACTCCGTGTCAAAAAAAGAAAAAAAGAAATATAGACATCTTATTTCCCTTTTATTTTTATTTATTTATTTATTTATTTATTTGAGATGGAGTCTCACTCTGTCACCCAGGCTGGAGTGCAGTGGCATGATCTCAGCTCACTGCAACCTCCACCTCCCAGGTTCAAGTGATCCTCCTGCCTTAGCCTCCCAAGTAGCTGGGACTACAAGCACGCGTCACCATGCCTGGCTAATTTTTTTGTATTTTTAATAGAGATGGGGTTTCACCATGTTGGCCAAGCTGGCCTCGAACTCTTGACCTCGTGATCTGCCCATCTCGGCCTCCCAAAGTGCTGGGATTACAGGCGTGAGCCACTGCGCCCAGCCTTATTTCCCATTTTTTTTATGTAAAGCGTCAATTATTCGCATTCTAGTCCTGACTCCTGTCCACCCTCTCATTCTTACCCAGTTGAGGTAGTGACTTCTCTAAATGGAAACTTTGGAAGAAGAAACTCATTGTGTGCAGTCCAGCCTCTTCCTCTTTTCTTTCTACTTAGAAGCAAGTTGTCAACAGAGAACACTAGTTATTCTTTGCTCTTTTCTGCCTTAAATCTCACAGGAGCAGACCTGTCATGTAAGGAGGTTCTACCCTCCAACCTAGCTTTTTCCAGTAATGAAGGTGATACTATCTTTTATTTGCCATTTCTATTGACTCTTATTTCTCAATTGGTTTAGAAGTGAGTGGGGAAGAGCAGTGTTAATTATTGGGCTCCCTTTGAATTCCCAGTAGTACAGTAGAAAGTACACTGAAGTAGGAGATACCAGGCACAGGTTTGTAATCCTAAATCTGCCACTTAACCAGTTGTGCCCTTGGGCAAATCACTTGCCATTTAAAGCCTTAAATTCTTATCTAATAAATACATCTAAATTATTGGTTATAGCAACAGAAACCGGGTCTGGTTACTTTAAGCCAAAAAGGGGAAATGTGTAATAAGGATACTGATGGCTTACAAAACGATGAGAAGCTAAGATAAAAGGTTTAGACAATAGGCAGAACCAGGGACCTCCCAAGATCTGTCAGTAAGAACAGCTTGATCCACATCACTGCTAATGCTAAAATAAACCTTATGCCAAACATTCTGTCTTTTAATCTGGGTAAGAACAAATGCTAAAATAACCTTCCAAATCACAGAGGTTTTACACAACGGAAGTTTATTTCTGTCTCACACCACAGTCCAGCATGGGTGCTTCTGGTCTAGTGGCTTTCTTGGCAGCTCTCCTCCAGGCAGTGACTCAGGGACCCAGACTCCTTCCGTCTTCTCTTGGAGAGGAAAAGAGAGGGCAAAGATCAAATGTGGGAGGTTTTAATAGGTCAAGCCTTTTCTTTTTTTTTTTTTTTTAAGAGACAGGGCCTCACTTTATCACCCAGGTTGGAGTGCAGTGGTGCCATCATAACTCACTGCAGCCTCAGATTCCTGGGCTCCAGTGGTTCTTCAGCCTCAGTCTCTAGAGTAGCTGGGACTACAGGAATGTGCCACCACATTCAGCTAAGTTTTGTTGTGTTTCCTTTTGTTTTGTTTTAAGAGACAGGGTCTTGCTCTGTCACCCAGGCTAGAGTGCAGTGGCATGATCCTGGCTCACCACAGCCTCAGACTCCTGGGTTCAAGCAATCCTCCCACTTTAGCCTCCCGAGTATCTGGGACCACAAGCACAAACCAATGGCGAATTTTTAAATTTTTTTTAGAGATGGGGTCTCACCATGTTGCCCAGGCTGGTTCTAGAACTCCTGGCCTCAAGCAGTCCTTCCACCACAGCCTCCTAAGTAACTGGGATTACAGGCACAAGCCACTGAACCTAGCTTCTATCTAAATTCTATCGTCCGGAACCCAAGACATAAGGCCGCAGCTAACAACAACAACAAAAAAATGTAGTCCATCTGTATGCCCAAAAAGATAAGGAAATAGGGTTTGCTGAACATTTGACGATCTCTATCACAATATTACGTGAACAAGATTCAAAGTTCTGAGAAGGATCACCTGATTGGACAAGTTTAGGTCACATGCTAACCTACTAGTTCTATCAGGAAAGAAATATAGGAAGGATCTGTCCGTCTTTACTTCCACTGTGAGAGGTGGCACTAAAAGAGAAGGCAGAAGAATTTCCCTCACTGATAATGGAGAATTTCCCTAAAAGGGAGATCAAGGTGTTTACAGATAGGTGGAGAGATAGATGCTAGATAGCCCGAAATGATAGATATCCAGTACATCTGTAATCTGCATGGATTTAAAAAAAGAAAGTTTCAGCCGGGCACAGTGGCTCACGCCTGTAATCCCAGCACTTTGGGAGGCCGAGGCTGGTGGATCACGAGGTCAGGAGTTCAAGACCAGCCTGACCAACCTGGTGAAACCCCATCTCTACTAAAAATATAAAAATCAGCCGGGCGTGATTGTGCACATCTGTAATCCCAGCTACTCAGGAGGCTGAGGCGGGAGAATTGCTTGACCCCAGGAGTTTAAGGCCAGCCTGGGAAACACGGTGAGATCCTGTCTCAAAAAAAAAAAAAAAAAAAAACAAAAAACACTGAAAGGAGAAATAGACAAATCCACAATTATAGTTGGAAACTTCAACACTCCTCTCAAAGTAGTTGATAGAAACAGTAGACAGAAAATGAGCAAGGAAATAGAAAAATTGAATAACATCAAACAATTGGATCTAATTTACATTTATAGGACACTCCACCCAACAACAGTAGAACATACATTCTTTCAAGTACATGAGGAACATTTACCGAAATAGACAATATCCTGGGTTATAAAACCATAACAAATTTAAAATAATTAAGATAATAAACATTTTCCCTGGTCATAAAGAAATTAAATGAGAAATCAATAACAGAAAGATAACAGGAAATCTCCAAACATATGGAAATTAAACAATATATTTCTTTTTTTTTTTTTTTTTTTTTTGAGACAGGGTCTCTGTCGCCCAGGCTGGAGTGCAGTGGCGTGATCTCGGCTCACTGCAAGCTCCACCTCCCGGGTTCACGCCATTCTCCTGCCTCAGCCTCTCCGAGTAGCTGGGACTACAGGCGCCCGCCACCACACCCGGCTAATTTTTTGTATTTTTAGTAGAGGCAGGGTTTCACCGTGGTCTCTATCTCCTGACCTCGTGATCCGCCTGCCTCGGCCTCCCAAAGTGCTGGGCTTACAAGCGTGAGCCACTGCGCCCGGCCTAAACAACGTATTTCTAAAACTTCTAAACACACTGACCATGGATTAAAGAAGACTCAAATAAAATTAGAATATTTTAATTGAACAAAAAAATACAATTTATCGAAATTTGTGGGATACAACTAAAGCAGTACAATTGACCCTTCAACAATATGAGTTTGAACTGCATGGGTCCACTTTTATATGTAGGTTTTCTCCCCGCTGCCACCCCTGAGATAGCTAGACCATTGTCTTCCCTTCCTCCTCCTCCACAACCTACTCTGCCTGAAGATGAGGAGGATGAAGACATTTATGACTGGTTCATTCCCGGCTTTCGGCACCAAAAAAAAAAAATGACTTTTATGACCCATTTACACATAATGAATAATAAATATATATTCCCTTCCTTTTGATTTTTTTAATACCATCTTCTTTTCTCTAGCTTACTTTATTGTAAGAATATAGTATATAATACATACAGAAAATATAGTTAATTGACGTTTATGTTATTGGTAAGGCTTCTGGTCAACAGTAGGCTGTTAGTAATTAGGTTTTGGGGGATTCAAAAGTTACACATGAATCTTCGGCTGTGCAGGGTGGTTGGCCAAGAGTCAACTGTATTTAAAGGGAAATTTATGGCATTAATTCGTTAGAAAAGAAGAATGATCTCAAATAAATAATCTAAGCTTCCATCTTAAGAAGTTAGAAAAAAAAAAGGAAAATAATTCCAAAGCAAGCAGAAGGAAGGAAATAAAGAGCAGAAATCAATGAAATTAAAATAGGGAAAACTGATAAAACCAAAACTTGGCTCTTTGGAAAGATCAGTAAGATGGATAAACCTCTAGCAAGACTGATAAAGAAAAATTAGAGTAACCACAACTTATTAATATCAGGAATGAAAGAGGGGATATTGCTACAGGGCACACAAACATTAAAAGGACAAAAATACCACTAACAACTCTACCCATAAAAATTCAACAATTTAGGTGAAATGGACCAAGAGTTCAGAAAACAAAAACTAGCAAAACCCATCCAAGATAAACCAGATAAGCTGTTCTATACAAATTAAATAAATTGAATTCGTAGTTTAACATTTTCTAAAATAGAAATTTCCAGGCCCAGATGATTTCACAAGGAATCTATAAAAAAAACCTCCTACAACTAATAAATATGTTTAGTAAGGTTGCAAGGTTAACACACAAAAACCAATTGTATTTTTATATACTGGCAATGAACAATTAGAAAATAATTTTTTGGTTTTTTGAGACGGAGTCTCTCTCTTGTTGCCCAGGCTGGAGTGCAGTGGCCTGATCTCGGCTCACTGCAACCTCCAACTCCTGGGTTCAAGCAATTCTCCTGCCTCAGCCTCCCAAGTAGCTGGGATTACAGGCACACGCCACCACGCCCAGCTAATTTTTGCATTTTTAGTAGAGATGGGGTTTCACCATGTTGGCCAGGCTGGTCCTGAACTCCTGATCTCAGGTGATCCACCTGCTTGGGCGTCCCAAAGTGCTGGGATTACAGGCATGAGCCACTGCACCTGGCCAAAAATAAAAATTTTTAAATGGCATTCACAATAGCTCAAAATATGAAATAATTAGATATAAATCTAATAAAACATGTTCTGTGTTGTATGCTGAAAGGAATAATGAAAGAAATTAAAAGAAGATTTAAATAAATGGTGAGCTATAGGTGTTCGTGATTGAAAGACTTAATGTAGTAAAGACACTGATTCTTCCCAAATTGATCCATAAATTTCACACAATCAAAATCTCAGCAAAGGTGGTAATTGCACCTGTTGCACCTATAGTTCCAACTACTGAGGAAGCTAAGGTAGGAGGATCACTGGAGCCCAGGAGTTCAAGGCCAGCCTGGGCAACATAGCAAGACCCCATCTCAAAAAAAAATCTCAGCAGAATTTTTTTGTAAATATAGACAAGCTGATTCTAAAATGTTATGTAAAATCAAGGGAACTAAAATAGTCAAAACAATTTTGAAAAAGATCAAAGTATTTAAATATTTTTATTTACTTATTTAATTATTTTGAGACAGGGGCTCACTCTGTCACCCATGCTGGAGTGCAGTGGTGCAATCTCGGCTCACTGCAACCTCTGCCTCCCGGGTTCAGGTGATTCTCTTGCCTCAGCCTCCTGAGTAGCTGGGATTACAGGCACACGCCACTACGCCTGGCTAATTTTTGTATTTTTAGTAGAGATGGGATTTCACCATGTTGACCAGGTT
Source organism: Homo sapiens (assembly GCF_000001405.40). Taxonomy (NCBI): domain Eukaryota; kingdom Metazoa; phylum Chordata; class Mammalia; order Primates; family Hominidae; genus Homo; species Homo sapiens. Next base: position 35,067,193 of record NC_000001.11, read on the forward strand.
GGTCTTGAACTCCTGACCTCAAGTGATCTGTCCACCTTGGCCTCTCAAAGTGCTGGAATTACAGGCATGAGCCACCGTGCTCAGCCTAAATATTTTTATTTAAATAAAAATAAAGCTCAAGGTCTCCTTCTGTTGCCCAGGCTGGAATGCAGTGGTGTGATCACAGCTCACTGCAACCTCTAACTCCTGTGCTCAAGCAATCCTTCCACTGCAGCCTCCCAAGTAGCTGGGACTACAGGCATGCACCACCATGCCTGGCTAATTTTTTTTTTAATTTTGTAGAGGGGAAGGTTGGCAGTGGGGGTGAGGGATAAAAGACTACAAATAGGGTTGCAGTGTATACTGCTCAGGTGATGGGTTCACCAAAATCTCACAAATCACCACTAAAGAACTTACTCATGGCCGGGTGCAGTGGCTCACTCCTGTGGTCCTGGCATTTTGGGAGGCCGAGGTGGGTGGATCACCTGAAGTCGGGAATTCGAGAGCAGCCTGGCCAATATGGTGAAACCCCATTTCTGCTAGGGATGCAGAAATTAGCCAGGCATGGTGGTGCGCGCCTGTGGTCCCGGCTGCTTGGGAGGCTAGGGAGGGAGAGTAACTTGGATCCGGAAGGCGGAGGTTGCAGTGAGCTGAGGTTGCACCATTGCACTCCAGTCTAGGCGACAAGAGCAAAGTTCTGTCCAAAAAAAACAAAAAAACAAAAAACCTTATTCATGTAACCAAACACCACCTGTACCCCCGATAACCTATGGAAAAATGAAAAAATTTTTTAAATTGTAGAGACAGGGTCTCGCTATTTTGCTAGGCTGGTCTTGGACTCATGGTCTCAAGTGATCCTCCCTGCTTGGCCTCCCAAAGTGCTGGGATTACAGGCGTGAGCCACAGCACTCAGCCTAAAATTTTTAAGACTTACTGTATAACTACTGTAATCAAGAAATTGTGTTGGCCAGGTGCAGTGGCTCATGCCTGTAATCCAAGCACTTTGAGAGACCAAGATGGGAGGATCATTTGAGGCCAGGAGTTCAAGAGCAGCCTGGCAAACATGGCAAAACTCCGTCTCTACTAAAAATACAAAAATTATCCAGGTGTGGTGTCAGGCGCCTGTAGTCCCAGCTACTCAGGAGGCTGAGACACAAGAATTGCTTGAACCCGGGAGGCAGAGGTTGCAGTGAGCCAAGATCACACCGTTGCACTCCAGCCTGGGCAACAGAGTGAAACTCTGCCTCAAAAAAAAAAAAAAAAGAAAAGAAAAAAGAAGAAGAAGAAAAGAAACTGTGGTATTTGCAAAGGGATAGACACATAGATTCATGTAACAGAGGGTAGACAGTCAAGGAGAAATGCAGACGAATATGGCCAATTGATTTTTGACAAAGGTAAAAGGGAAATTCCATGAAGAGACAGCAGACTTTTCAACATATGGTGTTGGAACAACTGGAAATCCATACGCAAAAAAAAAAATATATATATATATATATAAAACTACACCTCTCATCTCACACAAAAATTAGCTCAAAATGGATCCTAGATCTAAATGTAAAATATAAAACTATAAAATTTTTGGAATAAAGAGTATGAGAAAAATCTTCATAACATGGGATTAAGCAAAGAATTCTTAGATGTGACATCAAATGGAAGTCCTTTTTTTCTTTTCTTTTCTTTTTTGAGATGGAGTCTTGCTCTGTCACCCATGCTGGAGGGCAATGGCGTGATGTTGGCTCACTGCAATCTCCGCCTCCTAGGTTCCAGCGATTCTCCTGCCTCAGCCTCCCAAGTAGCTGGGACTACAGGTGCGCCTGGCTAATTTTAGAGACGGGGTTTTTTAGTAGAGATGGGATTTCACCATGTAGGCCAGGCTGATCTCAAACTCCTGACCTCAGGTGATCTGCCTGCCTCAGCCTCCCAAAGTGCTGGGATTACAGGCATGAGCCACCGCACCTGGCCTGGAAGTTCTATTTTTAATATTTTGAGGAACTTCTATCCATTTTTCTATAGTGGCTGTACTAGTTTATAATTTCACCACAGTGTGTAAGTGTTCCCTTTTCTCCATATCCTCATTGACACCTGTCTTTTTGTCTTTTTGATTATAGTCATTCTAACTGAAGTGAGGTGTTATCTCATTGTGATTTTGATTTGCATTTCCCTGATATGTGATGTTGAGTATTTTTTCGTGTACCTGTTGGCCATTTGAATTAATTCTTTTGAGAAATGTCTCTTAAGTTATCTTGTCCATTTTAAAATCAGATTATCTGTTTTTTTGTTGTTGAGTTAACTTCCTTATATATTCTGGATATTAACCTTTTGTCAGATGTATAGTTTGCAAATATTTTCTCCCATTCTATAGATTGTCTTTCTTCACTCTATTGTTTCCTTTGCTGCACAAAAACTTTTTAGTTTGATGTAGTTCCATTTGTCTATTTTTGTTTTTGTTGCCTGTGCTTTTGAGGACTTATTTTTTTAAAAAAATTGCCCAGTCCAATGTTATTAAGCATTTTCCCTGTGTTTTCTTCTAGTAATTTAATGGTTTCAGGTTTTACATTTAAGTCTTTAATTCATTTTGAATTGAATTTTGTATATGGTGAGAGGTAGGAGTCTAGCTTCATTCTTGTGCATATGCATATCCAATTTTCCCAGCATTGTTTATTGAAGAAACTGTCTTTTACCCAATGTGTGCTCTTGGCACCTTTGTTGAAAATCAGTTAGCTGTAGGTGCATGACTTTATTTCTGGGCTTTCTGTTCTGTTCTATTGGTCTATGTGTGTGTGTTTGTGCCAGTACCATGCTGTTTTGGTTACTATAGCTTGATAGTATATTTTGAAGTCTGATAGAATAATGCTTCCAGCTTTGTTCTTTTTGCTCAGGATTGCTTTAGCAATTTGGAGTTGTTTGTGGTTCCATTTGAATTTTTAGATTGTTTTTTATATTTCTGTGAATAATGTCATTGGTATTTTTGTAGAGATTGCATTAAATCTATAGATTGCTTTGGGTAGTGTGGGGATTTCAACAATATCAATTCTTCCAATTTGTGAATATGGGATATCTTTCCATTTATTTGGGTATTTTTCAATTTCTTTCACTAATGTTTTATGGTTTTCCATGTAGAGATCTTTCACCACCTTAATTAAGTTGGTTCCTAGGTATCTTTTTTGTAGCGATTATAAATAGAATTGTTTTCTTGATTTACTTTTCTAATAGTTCACTATTAATATATAGAAACACTGCTGATTTTTCTATGTTGATTTTGTATCCTGCAACTTTACTGAATTTGTTTATTGGTTCTAACAGATTTTTGGTGGAGTCTTTAGATTTTCTATATATAAGATTATGTTGTTTAAAATAAAAACATTATGCTGTCTTCAAACAGAGACAATTTGACTTCCTCCTTTCCAATTTAGATGTTTCTTATTCCTTTCATTTGCTTAATTCTTCTGGCTAGGACTTCCAGTACTATGATGAATAGGAGTGGTGAAAGTGGGCATCCTTGTCTTCTTCCTGTTCTTACAAGAAAAGCTAATATTAGCTGTGGGTTTGTGATATATGATAATGTTAGCAATAGGTTTGTCATATATGGCCTTTATTGTGTTGAGTTACATACCTTCTATGCCTAACTTCTTGAGGGTTTTTTTTTTTTAATCATGAAGCGATGTTGAATTTTGTCAAATCCTTTTTCTGCATATATTGAAATAATGGGTTTTTGGTTTTTGGGTTTTTTTGAGATGGAGTCTCACTCTGTTGCCCAGGTTGGAGTGCAGTGGCATGATCTTGGCTCACTGCAACCTCCACCTCTCAGGTTGAAGCAATTCTCATGCTTCAGCCTCCCAAGTAGCTGAGATTACAGGTGTGCGCCACCACACCCAGCAATTTTTTTAATATTTTTAGTAGAGATGGGGTTTCGCCATGTTGGCCAGGCTGTTCTCAAACTCCTGACCTCAGATGATCCGCCTACCTCAGCCTCCCAAAGTGCTGGGAATACAGGCATGAGCCACTGTGCCCAGCCTTCTATTTGTTAATGTGATATATCATATTGATGTGAATATGTCGAACCATACTTGCATCCCTAGGATGAATCCCACTTGTTCGTGGTGAATGATATTTTTGATGTGCTTTTGAATTTAGTTTGCTGCCATTTATTTATTTATTTATTTATTTATTTTTGGAGTCAGGGTCGGGTCTCACTCTATCACCAAGGCTGGAATGGAATGGCGCAATCATGGCTCACTACAGCTTTGACTTCCCAGGCTCAAGTGATCCTTCCACCTCAGCCTCCTGAGTTGTTGGGACTGCAGGTGCATGCCATCATGCCTGGCTAACTTTTCTAATTTTTTGTAGAGACAAAGTCTCAGTATGTTGCCCAGGCTGATCTCTAACTCCTGGGCCCCAGCAGTCCTCCCACCTCAGCCTCCCAAAATGCTGGAATTATAGTCATGAGCCACTGCACCCAGCCTTCCAGTTTGCTAGTATCTTCTTGAGAATTTTGCATTTATGTTCATCAGGGATATTGAACTGTAGTTTTGTTGTTGTTTTGTCTTTGTATGGTTTGGAATCAAGGTATTGCTGGCATCTTAAAATGAGTTTGGAAGTATTCCTTTCTTTTCAATTTTCAGGAATGGTTTGAGAATAATTGACATTAGTTCTTCTTTAAATGTTTGGTAGAATTCAGCAGTGAAAACTGGGCGCAGTGGCTCATGCCGGTAATCCCAGCACTTTGGGAGGCTAAGGCGGGCAGATCATCTGAGGTCAGGAGTTCGAACCAGCCTGACCAACATGGTGAAACCCTGTCTCTACTAAAACTATCAAATAAGCCAGTGGTGGTGCATGCCTGTAATCCCAGCTACTTGGGAGGCTGAGGCAGGAGAATTCCTTGAACCCAGGAGGTGGAGGTTGCAGTGAGCCGAGATCACGCCATTGCATTCCAGCCTGGGCAATAAGAGAGAAACTCCATGTCAAAAAATAAAATAAAATAAAATTCAGCAGTGAAGCCATTGGGTCCTGGATGTGTTTATGTTTTGGAGTTTTTTTGATGGCAGACTTTTTATTACAGTTTCAATTTCCTCACTCATTTTTGCTCTGTTCAGATTTTCTATTTCTTCATCATATAATCTTGGCAGGTTGTATTTGTCCAGGAATTTAATCTTCTAAAGTTTATTGGCATATAGTTGTTCATGATAGTCTCTTATGGTCCTTTGAATTCCTGTGATATCAGTTGCAGTGTCTTCTTTTTCATCTGTCATTTTATTTATTTGGGTCTTTTCTCTTTTTTGCTTGGTTAGTCTAGCTAAAAGTTTGTTAATTTTTTTTTCAGAAAACCAACTCTTCATTTTATTGATCTTTTGAATTTTTTTTAGCCTCTATGTTTTTATTTCTGCTCTGAGCTTTATTATTTCCTCCCTTCTATCAATTTCAGGTTTAGTTTTTTCTTGTTTTTCTAGTTTCTTGAGGTGCATGGTTAGGTAGTTAATTAGAAATATTTCTTCTTGGCCAGGCGTGGTGGCTCACACCTGTAATCCCAGCTCTTTGGGAGGCCACGGAGGGTAGATCTCTTGAGGCCAGGAGTTCAAGACCAGCCTGGTCAACATAGTGAAACCCCATCTCTACTAAAAATACAAAAAAGGCTGGGAGCAGTGGCTCATGCCTGTAATCCCAGCACTTTGGGAGGCCAAGACAGGTGGATCCCCTGAGGTCAGGATTTCCAGACCAGCCTGGCCAATGTGGTGAAACCCTGTCTCTACTAAAAATACAAAAATTAGCCAGGCATTGTGGTGGGAGCCTATAGTCCCAGCTACTTGGGAGGCTGAGGCAGGAGAATCACTTGAACCTGGGAGGCAGAGGTTGCAATGAGCTGAGATTGCACCACTGTACTCCAGCCTGGGTGACAGAGTGAGATTCCATCTCGAAAAAAAAAATACAAAAAATACGAAAAATTAGCCAGGCATGGTGGCACATGCCTGTAGTCCCAGCTACTCAGGGAGCTAAGGCATGAGAATTGCTGGAGCCTAGGAGGTGGAGGTTGCTGAGATCACGTCACTGCACTCCAGCCTGGGTAACAGAGCAACACTCTGTCAAAAAAAAAAAAAAAAAGGAAAGAAAGAAGGAAGGAAAGGAAAGGAAGAAGGAAGGAAGGAAGAAAAAAAGAAAGGGAGAAAGAAAGAAAGGAAGGAAGGAAGGAAGGAAGGAAGGAAGGAAGGAAAGAAAGGAAAGAAAGGAAGAGAAATATTTCTTCTTTTTTAGCCAGGTATGTTGACACATGCCTGTAGTCCCAGCTACTCAGGAGGCTGAGGCAAGCAGATTGCTCAAGTGAAGGAGTTCCAGGCTGCAGTGAGCTATGATCACACCACTTCACGCCAGCCTAGGTGATAGAGTGAAACAAGAAAGAAAGGAAAGAAAAAAAGAAAAGAAGAAAAGAAAAGAAGGAAAGGAAAGGAAACAACAAAGAAAGGAAATAAAAAAAGAAAAGAAAAGAAAAAAAGGAAAGGAAAGGAGGAAGGAAGAAAGGAAGGAAGGAAAGGAGGGAGGGAGGAAGGAAGGAAGGAAAATCATTTCTCTTTTTTGATCCATTTTTTGGTAGGAACTTCCCTCTTAAAACTGCTTTTCCTGTGTCCCTATGATTTTGTGATGATGTGTTTCCATGTTGTTTGTCGCTCTGTCCCCCAGCCTGGAGTGCAGTGGTGAAATCTTGGCTCACTGCAACTTCCGCCTCCCAGGTTCAAGCGATTCTTCTGCCTCAGCTGGGATTACAAGTGTGCGCTATCATGCCCAGCTAATCTTTTTCTGTATTTTTAGTAGAGATGAGCTTTCACCATATTGGCCAGCCTGGTCTCAAACTCCTGATCTCAAGTGATCCACCCACCTTAGCCTCTCAAAGTGCTGGAATTACAGGTATGAACCACCGTGGCTGCCCTCAAGGAATTTTTTAATTTCCACTTTAATTTCTTCATTGACCAATTGGTCATTCAGGATCATCTTGTTTACTTTCCACACATGTGTAAGATTTCTGAAGTTTTTCTTATTGTTGATTTTATACCATGTGGTCCAAAAAGATACTTGCTATGATCTCTATCTTCTTAAATTTGCTGAGATTTGTTTTGTGGCCTAATATATGGTCTATCCTGGATAATGCTCAGTTGAGAAGAATGTGTATTCTGCAGCTGTTGGATGGAATGTTCTGTAAATGTCTGTTAAGTCATTTGGTCCATGGTGTAGCTAAAGTCTGATGTTTCTTTGTTGATTTTCTTTTTTTTTCTTTTTTTTGAGACTCTGTCACCAGGCTGGAGTGCAGTGGCGCCGTCTTGGCTCACTGCAACCTCCACCTCCTGGGTTCAAGCGATTCTCCTGCCTCAGCCTCCCAAGTAGCTGGGATTACAGGCACACGCCACCATGTCCAGCTAATTTTTGTATTTTTAGTAGACATGGGGTTTCACCATATTGGCCAGGCTGGTCTTGAACTCCTGACCTCGTGATCCACCCGCCTCAGCCTCCCAAAGTGCTGGGATTACAGGCATGAGCCACCGCACCCAGCCCTCTTTGTTGATTTTCTAGCTAAATGATCTATCCATTTTTGAGGGTGGGGTGTTGAAGTCCCGTACTGTTATTGTATGCAGTCTATCTCTTTAGCTCTAGTAATATTAGTTTTATATATTGGGGTGCTCTGGTGTTGGACACATATATATTTTTTTTTTTTTTAATTTTTTTGAGACAGTGTCTCCCTCCATCGCCCAGGCTGGAGTGCAGTGGCGCGATCTCGGCTCACTGCAAGCTCTGCCTCCTGGGTTTACGCCATTCTCCTGCCTCAGCCTCCTGAGTAGCTGGGACTACAGGCGCCCGTCACTGCGCCCAGCTAATTTTTTGTATTTTTAGTAGAGATGGGGTTTCACTGTGTTAGCCAGGATGGTAGCACATATATATTTATAATTGTTATATCCTCTTGTTAAATTGACCCCCTTGTCATACATAATGACCTTGTCTCTTTTTACAGTTTTTGACTTAAGTTCTATTTTATCTGATATAAGTGTGGCTACTCCTGCTTACTTTTGGTTTCTGTTTGCATAGAAAATCTTTTTCCATCCTTTCACTTTGCTTGTGTTTGTCTTTAATGGTGAGGTGAGTCTCTTGTAGGCAGCAATATGTTGGGTCTTGCTTTTTTGTTGTTTTTTGTTTTTTTTGAGTCAGAGTTTCACTCTTATTGCCCAGGATGGAGTGCAATGGCACAATCTCAGCTCATTGCAACCTCTGCCTCCTGGGTTCAAGTGATTCTCCTGCCTTACTTCCACTCACATAAAGGAAGCCCCGGATTGGTTTATAGATGGCAGCCATCAAAAAACCCTCCCCTCCAAGAGGATATGCCATTACTGAGGGATATCATGATGATACCCACTCTCTCCCACCTAGAAGAGTTGTAGAGGCTGCCCCCTTGCCTTTGGGCACATCCTACCAAAAAGCAGAAATTAATTGCCCTAATAAGAGCATTAACCCTAGCAAAAACCACACAAGTTAATATATACACCAATTCCAAATATGCCTATAACATCAACCATTCCAATGCCCAAATGTGGAGCAAGTGGGGCTATCTCATGGTTAAGGGAACAACTATCATTAATGGAAAACCAATCCATCATCTACTAAAGGCAGCTTTACTTCCAGGAAAGGTTGCAGTTATTCATTGCAAAGACATCAATCAGATAAAAGCTACATTTCTTTAGGGAACTGTGAGGCTGACTATTGTGCTCAACCAATCACCCAATTCCCCAATACCTATTTCCCCTCATACAACATATCCCCTCCTTTTATCCAGAACACCAAATACAACAACTAATCATGGCAAGGGCACAATTCAAACCCCCATACTGGTTCATACAAAACAAATTAGTCCTACCTGACCCTGAAAAAGCAACTCTTTCACAGGACATTCACAACCTCTTCCACACTAGCCATTGCCCTCTACATTTCTTAAGTTCCCATATACACATAACCCCAGATATAAAGGAACAGTTAAAAGCCATTCCCCATCAACGCTCTATTTGCCAGAAAACTTCACCCCACTGCAACACTAGACCCCCTTCTTTCCCAACCTGTCAAGCCAGGGGACACCTTCCAGGACAGGACTGGCAAATTGATTTTACCCATATGCCCCCAGTAAAAAAAGGTTCAATTTCTGGCCGGATGTGGTGGCTCACACCTGTAATCCCAGCACTTTGGGAGGCTGAGGTGAGCGGATCACTTGAGGTCAGGAGTTCAAGGCCAGCCTGACCAACATGGAGAAACCCCATCTCTACTAAAAATACAAAATTAGCTGGGCATGGTGGCGCATGCCTGTAATCCCAACTACTCAGGAGGCTGAGGCAGGATAATCACTTGAACCAAGGAGGTGAAGGTTGCGGTGAGCCAAGATTGCGCCATTGCACTCCAGCCTGGCAACAAGAGCGAAGCTCCATCTCAAAAAAAAAAGAAAGGAAAACAAATGAATCAGCCAGGCACGTTGACTCACGCCTGTAATCACAGCACCCAGGGAGGCTGAGGTGGGCAGATCACTTGAGGTCAGGAGTTCAAGACTGGACTGGCCAACATGGCGAAACCCCATCTCTACTAAAAATACAAAATTAGCTGGGCATGATGGGGCACTCCGGTAGTCCCAGCTACTTGAGAGGCTGCAGCAGGAGAATCGCTTGAACCCAGGAGGCAGAGGTTGCAGTGAGCCACCAAGATCACGCCATTGCACTCCAGCCAGGGTGACAAGAGCAAAACTCTGTCTCAAAAAAAAAAAAAAAGAAAAGAAAAGAAAAAGAATGAATCAAGCTTCCTATCTCCCAGAGCTCTCCTCCTATTCCTTAGGACTTAATCTTTCAGCCAGTATAAACTATTGAGACTTCAGGGCAAGAAAGACGCATGAAACTTGTGACCTACATCTACTGCTTGAAATATTGGGCCAAATTTTCAGATCTATCACTGGGGGTGGTTGGAATATCACATCTCAAAATTATCACACATCCTTACAATTTTTTATGATATCATGAATCCTACCATTTTTTCAACTCAACTCCCAAGGAAGTTAGTAATGACGATGAAACCACCATTGCAAGATTATGACTGAGACCATGAAGGAGATCTAACCTAATGGACTCCATCTTGGTTCTAACTTTAAACTGTCCTTGTTCCTTCCTGGGCATAGGCTAAACTAACTTTGGGAGGAATTTAGTTTATAGTTTAAAACAAAGACAATAACAGCCCTTTCCCAAAACAAACCTCCTCCTTGCCTGGGGACTAGACTGCCTTTATAAGATTAACAAATTAGCCACAAGATTAGAAATTATGGTTTAGGAGTCATGCAGCTGGAGGCCAAGATTCTGACCCTCCCTAAACTGCTCCTGAGACCAGTGCTTGAGATATTTTGCAGACCCTGCACTTGATGGATCAGCTGGTACCACCCAGATAGATAAACAGGCTCATCTGATCTTGTGGCCCCCACCAGGGAACTAACTCAGCGCATGAGGACAGACAGCTTCAACTTCCCATTATTTCATCTCCTACCTAACCAATCAGCGCTTCTGGCTCACTGGCTTCCCCCCACCCACCAGTTGTCCTTAAAAACTCTGATTCCCAAATGCTCGAGGAGACTGATTTAAATAATAATAAAATTTCAGTCTCCCGCACAGCTGGCTCTGCGTGAATTACTCTTTCTCTATTGCAATTCCCCGTCTTGATAAATGGACTGTGTTTAGGTAGCGGGCAAGGTGAACCCACGGGGCATTTACAATGACATCACTTGCCTTTGGATGCCCACTGAACCAGGACTCATTTCTGGGTTCCAATCTAATCCCAGTCACTGAGTTGCTGTGTAACTTGGGGCAAATTACCTTTATCCTCTTGCCTTCAGCTTTTCCTTTGGTAGGAAGGGAGCATTAGAGGAGAGATCATTTCAGTAAGGTCCTTTCTAATCCTAACAGTCTAAACAGATTATTATGAATATTAGAAGGTAATAATAAATGTTGGAGAAATTAACTTCAGTTACTCGTATAATATTTCAAATTACCAAAGGGTTTATATTAGATTTGAGGCTAATTCCAAAGGATATTTAAGGACCATAGCAGCAAGGATTAGGAGGCCCTTTTGGTCTGGACCTCACCTTCACAAGGGCCTCAAATTTAGATTTTTGAGAATATCTCCTTTAAAAGTAATTGTCAAATATGATTATAATAAGTTCATCATTCAACCTTATATATATATTTTAGAATCCTCTTATGCCTTTAGGAATAGCACAGTTAGTTCGTCCTATACTTTTTTAGGTGTTGAAAGTATTGTCAAAAAACATTTAAAATATGCCATTATTTTTGACATGCAGTTTGGGGTTATTTTAATTTTTTTTTTTTTTTTTTTTTTTTTTTTTGAGACGCAGTCTCTCTCTGTCGCTCAGGCTGAAGTGCAGTGGTACAATCTCAGCTCACTGCAACCTCTGCCTCCTGGCTTCAAGCGATTCTCCTGCCTCAGACTCCCAAGTAGCTGGGATTACAGGCGCCCGCCTCCATGCCCGGCTAATTTCTGTATTTTTAATAGAGACGGGGTTTCACCATGTTGGTCAGGATGGTCTTGAATTCCTGAACTCAAGCAGTCCACCCGCCTCGGCCTCCCAAAGTGCTGGAATTATAGGTGTGACCCACCACACCCAGCCTGGGGTCATTTTAATTTTAACGTACTAATGAAAGAAGTCTGAACTCCCTCCCTACCTCTGAGGATAATTTCCTTTTACTAGGAATTTACTCTGCAACTGGCACTTTGCTAACATTGCCTGTCATATTTTTTTTTTTTGAGTCCAGCTTCTGCAGAAGCCTGCCTAATGTTTACAAACCTACGATGCAGCCACTACAATTATCCCCATTTCAAGGTCGAAGAAATGGAGATTTATAGAAGTTGTCAAATCGCTTACTAGCACACAGCTAATAAGTAGTAAAGCCATCTCTCAAATCCAGGAAATCTAACTGCCCTGCCTGAGCTCTGAGTCAAGGGTCCTACTTTGGCTGCCAGCCAGCGACGACTTCAAGGGTAAGATCCTATGCGGGCCGTAAGGACTCTTCCCCTCCCCCTCTCCCACTTCTTCTATCCCAAAGTCGCTCTTCCCAATTCAGGGAGCTGGGACCACCCTGAGCCAGCGGCCCTGCGCATGCTCAACCGCAGAGCACGACGGGAGAGGGGCGGGGTCGGCGGGGCCGTTTCGCTTCGAAGATTGTTTCAGAAGCGTTGGGCGGGGCGTCCCTGAGAGAAATTAGTAAGCCTCCTCATGCGGCTCTGGTTTCGGTCTTTACTCCTGCGCCTTACTCGAAAGGGGCAGGGTTTCTGCTGTCGGTCGGAGGGAGGATGACGCGCCGGGTCGGGGTTTTAGAGACGGAGCTTTGAGTGCGGATTCCGCCAGATGGGGGTCGGGAACTCCGGGCCAGGCCCTGACGTGGATTGTGTTTGCCGCCTCCTTTAACCTTGCCCTCATAGACTGGGGGGGTTAGTGCTCCCCGCTTCCAGCGATTCTCGCCGCCTCCTGCTCCTGTGTAGTAACTGGGCCTTCAGACTTTAGTCTCGCTCCGCAGCCTCCGTTTCAGAAGCCCCATCACACCTGTATCTCTCCTTCATTGAGCAGTGATTTTTCAAAAGTTTGACTCCTGGCCGGGCGTGGTGCCTCAAGCCTGTAATCCCGACACTTTGGGAGGCCCAGGCGGGCGGATCTCTTGAGGTCAGAAGTTCGAGACCAGCCTGGCCAACATGGCAAAACCCCGTCTCTACTAAAAGTACAAAAATTAGCTGGGCTTGGTGGCAGGCGCCTGTAATCTCAGCTACTCAGGAGGCTGAGGCAGGAGAATCGCTTGAACCGGGAGGCAGAGGTTGCATTTAGTCGAGATCGTGCCACTGCACTCCAGAGCGAGACCCCGTCTCAAAAAAAAAAATGAAATGTTTGCTGAACCCCAAAAGCACAGTTTGAACGCTGCTGATTTACAAGATTAATTTTAAGGTATTTGGTATCAGGGACCTTCCTGACATGACCCATGTCTACTTTTCAAACTTTCCAGTTCCTTCTACTAGCACTCTTGCACTTGTACTTTATCTGCAACAACAGTCCCACTCCTTCTAGTTCCCATATATTTGTGCTTCTTTTTTTTTTTTTTTTTTTGGAGACTGGGTCTCGCTCTTTGGCCCAGGCTGAGTGCAGTGACACGATCACGGCTCACAAGCAGCCTCAGCCTTCCGAGCTTAAGCGATCCTCCCACCTCAGGTTCCAGAGTAGCTGGAACAACAGGTGCTCCCCACTACGCCCAGCTAATTTTTGTATTTTTTGTAGAGACAGGTTATCTTCATGTTGCCTAGGCTGGTCTCGAACTCCTGAATCGAAGCAATCCACCTGCTTGGGCCTCTCAAAGTGCTGGGATTACAGGCTTGAGCCACTGTGCCCGGCTATTTGTGGTTTTGTACATGCTGTCTCTATACCAGGAATATCCGCCATCATTGGTTGGTAGACACTTTAAAACCCAGCTCAAATTTCACCTCCCAGAAGACTGACCGTCTTCTTTTTTCATTTCTTCTCAGTACCTTGTATATACTTACTGGTTGGGACATCCTACTCATCAGTGTAACCCGGTACCAAGGCACTTCGGAAATGATGGCTCTTCATTGCCTGCAGAATTAACCATGGACATTTTAGTTTGGTTTGAAAAACATATAGCCTTCTGCCTCCAGCCTTCCCATCAGGCTAGTAAAAGACCTTGCAGAACTCAGTTGAATAAAATAATTTTTTTTTTTTGAGACAGCATTTCACTCTTGTCTCCCAGACTGGAGTGCAGTAGCGCGATCTCAGCTCACTGCAACCTCCACCTCCAGTTCAAGTGATTCTCCTGCCTCAGCCTCCCAAGTAGCTGGGATTACACCACACCTGGCTAATTTTTGTTTAGTAGAGACAGGGTTTCACCATGTTGGCCAGGCTGGTCTAGAACTCCGACCTCAGCTGATCCACCCTCTCAAAGTGCTGGGATTGCAGACAGGAGCCACCGTGCCCGGCCGAATAAAATAAATCTTAGCAAAGTGTAATGTATAAAGAAGTGGTATAATGCGAAGAAATAAGGGATAGGAGTATATCTGCTTCCAGACTCTGTTTTGTTTTTGCTTGTGTCCATACCACACTATCTTAATTTACTGTAGCTTTATAAGCCCTTCCAACATTTTTTTTTTTTGATATTGTCTTGGTTATGCTAGGCTCTGTATGCACATTGTATATACATTAGAATTACCTTACAAATTCCACAAAAACCCCTGCTGGGATTTTCATCTACAGCTTAATTAGGAGAAAAATTAATATTGACTCTTTCCATCAATGAGCATTTATTTAGATCTTCCTTAATTTCTCTCAGCAATGTTTTGTTTTCACTGTAGAGTTCTTTAATAGCTTTCATTAGATTTATTCCTATATTTGATATTTATGATGCTGCAGAAAATGGTTATTTTTATATTTTTCTGTTCTAGTATAAAGAAATAAAATTGATTTTTTGTTTGTTTGTTTGAGACGGAGTCGCACTGTGTCACCCAGGCTGGAATGCAGTGGCACAATCTCGGCTCACTGTAGCCTCTGACACCCAGGTTCAAGTGATTCTCCTGTTTCAGCCTCCTGAGTAGCTGGGATTACAGGTGCCCACCACCATGCCCAGCTAATTCTTTTGTATTTTTAGTAGATACGGGTTTCACCATGTTAGGCTGGTCTTGAACTCCTGACCTCAGGTAATTCACCCATCTCTGCCTCCCAAATTGCTAGGATGACAGGCGTGAGCCACTGCACCTGGCCAAAATTTATTTTCGAATGTCTTGCTAAGCTTAATAACTTGGAGATTCTTTTGAATTTTCTTTGTATAGAATCATGTCATCCATGAATAATAACAATTTTAACTGCCTTTTCAAAGTTTGTCTTTTATTTTTTCTTGCTTTATTGATCTAACTAGAACTTCTACTACAATGTTGAAGATAAGTGATAAGAAAAATTCTAAAATGCGGATCTTGTATTATCCTATAATTCTGCTGAATTCACTTATTCTAATAGTTTCTTTTGCGGGGGGTGAGTTGGGGGAGGTTCCTTAGAGTTTTCTATATGCAGTCATGTCTACAAATAAAAAGTTTTCTTCCTTTCCAACTTTTTTTTTTTTTTAAATGGAGTCATGCGCTGTCACCCAGGCTGGAGTGCAGTGGCATGATCTGGGCTCACTGCAACCTCCACCTCCTGGGTTCATGCAGTTCTCCTGCCTCAGCTTCCCGAGTAGCTGGGATTACAGGCGTGCACCACCATACCCAGCTAATTTTTGTATTTTTGGTAGAGATGGGGTTTCACCATGTTGGCCAGGCTGGTCACGAACTCCTGACCTCAAGTGATCCGCCTGCCTCAGCCTCCTAAAGTGTTGGGATTACAGGCGTGAGCCACCACGCCTGGCCTGCTTTCCAACTTTTATGCTAAATTCCCATCTACTATTTTACTTTAGCTTAAAGAATTTCCTTTAGTGGCCGGGCGTGGTGGCTCACCCCTGTAATCCCAGCACTTTGGAAGGCTGAGGCGGGTGGATCACCTGGGGTCAGGAGTTCCAGACCAGCCTGGCCAACATGGTGAAACCCCGTCTCTACTAATAATACAAAAAATTAGCCAGGAGTGGTAGTGCATGCCTGTAATCCTAGCTACTCAGGAGGCTGAGGCAGGAGAATCACTTGAACCCGGGAGGTGGAGGTTGCAGTGACCTGAGATTGTGCCATTGCACTCCAGCCTGGGCAGCAAGAGTAAAACTCTGTCTCCAAAAATAAAAAAAGAATTTCCTGTAGCATTTCTACAGTGTTTTCATTTGTCTGAAAATGTCTTTATTTTGCTCTTAATCTTGAAGGATATTTTTACTGAATATAGAATTTTAAGTAGATTTTTCCCCAGCACTTTAAAGATATTACATTGGCTTCTGGGGTTTTATTGTTTCTTTTCTTTTTTTTTTTTAAGACAGGGTCTCACTGTCCCCCAGACTGGTGTGCAGTGGCTTGATCACAGCTCACTGTAGCCTCACCCTCCCGGCTTAAGCAGTCTTACCACCTCGGCCTCCCGAGTAGCTGGGACTCCAGATGCATACCATCATACCCAGCTAATCTTTTAATTGTTTTTAGAGATGGGGGTCTCACTATGCTGCCAGGGGGTGGCCTCGAACTCCTGGGCTAAGCAGTCCTCTGTCCTCTACCTCCCGACATGTTCAAATTGCAAGTGTGAATCACCACACCCAACCTTAGTGCTTTTAAGATTTTCTTTTTGGTTTTCACCAGTGTAACTATGACATGCCTACTCGCGTTTTTCTTTATATCTTATTTGTGATTCACAGAGCTTGAATTCATGTGGTTTGATGTTTTTCTTCAGTTTTAGGAAATTGTCCTAAAAAATTGTAGGTATTTTTTGTTTTTGTTTTTTTTCGAGACAGTGTCTCAGTCTGTCACCTAGGTTGGTGTGCAGTGGTGCGATCATAGCTCACTGTAACCTGGAACTCTTTCCTGGGCTCAGGTGATCCTCCAGCCTCAGCCTCCCACATAGCCTGTACTACAGGCATCCACCACCATGCCCAGCTAATTTTTCTAATTTCTTTGTAGAGATGAGGGTCTCACTATGTCACCCAGGCTGGTCTCGAACTCCTGGGCTCAAACTCCTGCCTTGGCTTCCCAGAGTTCTGGGATTATAGGCGTGAGCCACCTTGCCTGGTATTTTCTTTCAAATACTGCTTCTTTTGCATTGTCTATTTTCTCTTATCCTAGAACTGAATAAGAGATCCCACGTGGCACATTATTCTAGATTCTTATTCTAGAACTGAATAGGAATCCCACATGGCACATTATTTCAATTTTCCATCCTTTTATCTCTGTGCATCAGTGTACCTTCTAGCTTGTCTTCTTCACTAATTTGATATTCATCGATTGAATTCTTAACTTCCTCACTGTGTTTTCCAATTCTAGATTTTCCATTTAACTTTTTTTTTTTTTTTTGATGGATGCCAGGTCACTACAGAACTTCTCCATCTTTCCTCTGTTTTCTCAAACATAACCAAGTCCTTGCCTGACAAGAACAATATCTGAGTCACCTGTGGGTTTGTTTCTATTGCCATTTTTTTCCAGTCAGTTTTGGGATTTTAAAAATTCCTCTTAGTCCATAAATTATTACTGGATTCTGGAAATTTTGGATGAACATTATTAGCATCCGGATGTACTTCCTTCAAAGCAGACTAAGGTTGCCATTAGGCACGTGGATAGTAGTAGCAGATGACATTGATCCTGTTGAGGGTTGATTATAGGTCTTGTTAAGACTGGTCTATTTCAGTTTGTCCTTTCTTCTTGGAAGTGGTCTCTTTTCCTCCTGGGGCATAGCCATTACTCCTAGGGCAAGGCCCTCCTTGAGTCTCAACCCGAAATCCAGGTCTTTACCAAAACCCCTCTATCTTGCTGGTCTTAAATTTCAACTCTCAACTCAGCATAGCTGCTATAATCTTATTAGCTCTTTGACGTTTAACTGCTGTGTTCTGTTAAGTTTTTGAAGTCTCACTCTGTAAATGTGCAGTTTAGGAGTCCGCCAATGACTTGGAGGAGGGGAGATTTCTATGCATATTATTTTTCTGTAGTTCCCTCCTCTCCCAGATTGTGCCTCTTGAGTTCCAGCTACTTTAGAATCCAGTACTTCTAACTGTCTCCTGCTGTTTTCTGCTTGGGTTTCCACTATTTTGTCATGGAAAGTCCCCTTACCAGTAAAGTCTGTTAAATTTTGTAATTAATTCCAGTGAAAGGATTTAGTATGCTAAAGGCTACTCTGTTATGCCTGGATTTATCCGTTTTTTGTTTTGTTTTGGTTTGGTTTTTTTTTGGAGACAGAGTCTCGCTCTGTCGCCCAGGCTGGAGTGCAGTGGCACTGTCTCAGCTCACTGCAAGCTCCGCCTCCTGGGTTCACGCCCTTCTCCTGCCTCAGCCTCCGAAGTAGCTGGGACTACAGGTGCCCACTACCACGCCTGGCTAATTTTTTGTATTTTTAGTAGAGACAGGGTTTCACCGTGTTAGCCAGGATGATCTCGATCTCCTGACCTTGTGATCCACCCGCCTCGGCCTCCTAAAGTGCTGGGATTACAGGCGTGAGCCACCGCGCCCGGCCCCCATATTATTTTTACTTCATGCTAGTCTGTTAAAATCTGGAGCTCAGTTGGTTTCCAAACTGCATAGGATCTGATTAGGCAGAAATGACTTTGGCAGGAAGGAAAGCAGTATGAGGACAAGTAAAGTGAGGAGGTTAAGGTGCAGCTGATTCTTTGCCTTGACATCTGTCTCCCTTTCCCTCTGGCCCAAAGAGGAGGATAGTGTTTTCTCCTGTGGTTGTTGTAGATCTCCCTTTGGCTGCAGCTGTCCTTTCCTGACCCTGAAACCACCTCCATGACTACATTCCAGCTTCAGGGACAATAGCCTCCTTCCTTGAACAGTCATTCCTAGAGCTCTCTTGGGCCTGCCCTTTCTTGCCTTTGGTGTGGCACATGCCAGCCACCTAGCTCTAATAGGGAATTATTGTTGTTAAATCAGTATTCTGTACCCCTCATTCCCAGCCTAGTTTTGAAATGTACTTGTGGTTGGAGTGCTAGGTTCACACTGGCCCCTAGCATTTGTGGGGTCCTTGCTAAGAGTATGAATGGAAGCCCACATACTCTGTGTCTAAATATTTAAAAGTTATAAATTAAGCTAACACATCGTGGAATAAAATGAGTTCCATCCTCCTGCCGTGACAAATACACCTTTGTAATGACCAAATAGAAAAACACGTGTAAAGCTGTGGTTTTCAGGACTGAAAGTAAGCAAATTTTCAATGATGACAGAATTCAATTTTATGTATTACGTTTAAACATTGTATTTGGGTTACTCATGGTAAATTGTTATCACAGAAAATATTGAAGATTTGAATTTCATTATATAAATCACTGTCATTCATAATGTGGCTTTTTAAAATCATTTCTTCAAGTCATATTTATATTCATACAGAATTTTAAGGTTTTTTCCCAAAATTTTCAATATATACAGAATTTTAAGGTTTTTTCCCAAAATTTTCAATATTGGGTTATTAGTTTATTTTATTTATTTATTCTGAGATGGAATCTTACTCTGTCACACAGGCTGGAGTGTGGTGGCGCAATCATATCTCACTGCAACCTCTGCCTCCCAGGTTCAGGTGATCCTCCTGCCTCAGCCTCCTGAGTAGCTGGGACTACAGTCTGGGCTATTTATAAAAAGCAGAAAATGACTGTTTGTTGCTAAATTTGTTCAACTCTGTCTCCAATCAAGATTGTAACTTAATCTGTAGCAGTAAAAAAAATAGTCTCTATATAAATTAGTTTTGAGATTATATGTCTGTGAATCTTATTCATCGTCATGCAGTTTCCTTTCATTATTGTAACTGCCTTATATTTCATTGAAATCTCATGCAATTTTTTTTTCAATTAAAAAATTCTTTTTTTTTCTTTTGAGATGCAGTTTCGCACTGTCACCCAGGCTTGAGCGACAGTGAGCTTGATCTCAGCTCACTACATCCTCCACCTCCTGGGTTTAAGCAATTCTCTGCCTCAGCCTCCCGAGTAGCAGGGATTACAGGCGCCCACCACCACGCTTGGCTAATTTTTTTTGTATTTTTAGTAGAAACAGGGTTTCACCATCTTGGCCAGGCTGATTTTGAACTCCTGACCCTGTGATCCACCCACCTCAGCCTCCCAAAGTGCTGGGATTACAGGCATGAGCCACCGCACCCAGCCTTTTTTTTTTTTTTTTTTTTTTTTTTGAGATGGAGTCTTGCTCTGTCGTACCCAGGCTGGAGTGCAGTGGCACGATCTCCACTCACAGCAGCCTCCATCTCCCAGGTCAAGAGATTCTCCTGTCTCAGCCTCCCAAGAGCTGGAACTACAGGTGTGTGCCACCACACCTGACTAATTTTTTGAATTTTGAGTAGAGATGGGGTTTTACCATGTTGGCCAGGCTAGTCTCGAACTCCTGACTTCAGGTAATCTGCCTGCCTCAGGCTCCCAAAGTGCTGGGATTACAGAGGTGAGCCACTGTGCCCGCCCAAAAATTCATTTTTTAACAGTAGTTTGAACCATCAGGGTTATATAAATACTATTGTACTAATTTTCCAGGAGGAATCTGGATGATATCCCCTGGAGGTCTATATGTGTATCTGGAAATAACTCTTGAAACTTGCATTTTCTTTTTTTTTTTTGAGATGGAGTTTCGCTCTTCTTGCCCAGGCTGGAGTGCAATGGCGCAGTCTCAGTTCACTGCAACCTCTGCCTCCTGGGTGCAAGTGATTCTCTTGCCTCAGCCTCCCAAATAACTGGGATTACAGGCATGCCCCACCACGCTCGGCTAATTTTTTGTATTTTTAGTAGAGACAGGGTTTCTCCATGTTGGTCAGGCTGGTCTCGAACTCCCAACCTCAGGTGATCAGCCCGCGTTGGCCTCCCAAAGTTCTGGGATTACAGGCGTGAGCCACCACGCCTGGCCTCGAAACTTGCAGTTTCTTTGTGATCTCGTGTTTTACTTTAAGAATGAATATGGGCCGAGGGCAGTGGCTCATGCCTGTAATCCCAGCACTTTGGGAGGCTGAGGCCGGTGGATCATGAGGTCAGTAGTTCAAGACCAGCCTGGCCAAGATGGTGAAACCCGATCTCTACTAAAAATACAAAACTTAGCCAGGCATGCTGGCTGGTGCCTATAATCCCAGCTACTCAGGAGGCTGAGGCAGATAATTGGTTGAACCTGGGAGGCGGAGGTTGCAGTGAGCTGAGATTATGTCACTGCACTCCAGCCTGGGTGACAGAGAGAGATTCCATCTCAAGAAAAAAAAATGAATGTGAATTTTGTTGTCTGCTCTTATCATATTTCTCTCTTTGGTTTAAATTAAAATATTTTATGGCTGGGCGCGGTGGCTCACACCTGTAATCCCAACACTTTGGGTGGCCGAGGCAGGCGGATCACAAGGTCAGGTGATCGAGACCATCCTGGCCAACATGGTGAAAACCCGTCTCTACTAAAAATACAAAAATTAGCTGAGCTTGGTAGCACGTGCCTGTAATCCCAGCTACACAGGATGCTCAGGCAGGAGAATCGCTTGAACCCGGGAGGTGGAGGTTGCAGTGAGCCGTGATCGTACCGCTGCACTCCAGCATGGGCAACAGAGTGAGACTCCATCTCAAAAATGTGTTTATGTGTATATATATATATATATATATGTGTGTGTGTGTGTGTGTGTGTGTGTGTGTGTGTGTGTGTGTGTGTATGTACATATATGTATATATATTTTATATTACTACCAAGTAGTATTGCCCAGCAGGAAGATGTGCAACATTCATCCTTTGACTATTAATACCTGTACTCTTTCATACTATGATTTAGCCCTAGTTTGGAAAGATGAGTAGGGCTATATTAAAAGAAAGTCTGTAGGACTTATTTTACTCTAATGTGCATCTTGTTGGAAAAGGAAGTAATGGATCTGTCACTAATACATGTTTTGCTCTTCTTATAGCCAAACAAATGTTGCATAGCATTTTCCCTTGCCTCAGAAATTTTCAGGATGCTTTCCTTTTTTTTTTTTTTTTTTGTTTTTGAGACAGAGTCTCACACTCTTGCCTGAGCTGGAGTGCAATGGCATGATCTCGGCTCACTGCAACCTCTGCCTCCCAGATTCAAGCAATTCTACTGTCTCAGCCTTCCGAGTAGCTGGGATTACAGGCGCCCACCACCACGCCCGGCTAATTTTTTGTATTTTTTAGTGGAGATGGGGTTTCACTGTGTTGGCCAGGCTGGTCTTGAACTCCCGACCTCCTCATCCACCCACCTCAGCCTCCCAGAGCGCAGGGATTTCAGGCATGAGCCACTGCGCCCAGCCTCCACTATTTTTATGTTTGTATGGTGACACATTTGAAGGAGTTGCAAGATGCCAAAGCTCATAGGTACTTTGTTTTGTTTTATCTTACGAATAACAATAATTGTACCTCACGTAAACCTCATTGGCTGTGATACCGCCACTGCACAAAACTCGGTGCTTTGTTTTTAATTGATGTTTAAGACTTGCATGGCATGTGTACTTTCAGGTGAAGGGAATCTACCTAATGACAAATAGTTAATTTTTAGTGAGTTTTGCTTTACTGTTTGTGTATAATGCTCAAATGGGCTGGACAGAGGCTGTATGAGCTATTTATTGCACTTGACTCTCAGGCCTTATTTAACTTTCTGCATTGGGATAGGAACTTTCAACAAAAGCTGAGCTAAAGATGGAAATGAGGGAAGGTGGTTGAGCCCCAATCACAGAAATAAAAAATAATGGCAGAATTACTTGGGTCTTTCATGTACTAACCCAGAATAAAACCATAGTCCTGGAATTACTCCTGTAAGAGGTTTTTTGTTATTTTTTTCTTTTTTTGAGCCCATTATTCTAAGTGATCCTGTAACAACTTCAACTTCTCCACATTTGTGTTAGTTATCATCTGCCCTCCATAATGATTAGTTGTAAGGCTTTTTTTTTTTTTTTTTTTTTTTTTGAGATGGAGTCTTGTTCTGTCACCCAGACTGGAGTGCAGTGGCATGATCTTGGTTCACTGCAAGGTCTGCCTCCCAGGTTCACGCCATTCTCCTGCCTCAGCCTCCCGAGTAGCTGGGACTACAGGTGCCCGATATAAGGCTCTTTTTTTTTTTTTTTTGAGACAGAGTCTCGCTCTGTCGCCCAGGCTGGAGTGTAGTGGCGCGATCTCGGCTCACTGCAAGCTCCGCCTCCCGGGCTCATGCCATTCTCCTGCCTCAGCCTCCCAGAGTAGCTGGGACTACAGACACCTGCCACCACGCCCGGCTAATTTTTTTGTATTTTTAGTAGAGATGGGGTTTCACCATGTTAGCCAGGATGGCCTCGATCTCCTGACCTCGTGATCCACCCACCTCGGCCTCCCCAAGTGCTGGGATTACAGGCGTGAGCCACCGAGCCTGGCCTATAAGGCTCTTTTTTAAGGATCTAGGAGACAGGAAGACTTGCACTCTGAAGCCAAGCTAGGGTGGCAGGAAGGGAAAGGGTTCCAAAGGATTTAGAATCAGAGGTAACAGCTACCAGATAAGTGGAAAGTAGGCCTCAGTCAAGGAAAAAGGAGAAAAGAAGGAACCAATCTGTCTTTGAAAAAGAGACCTTGCTGGGAGGGATAGCATTAGAAGCTATACCTAATATAGGTGACAGGTTGATGGGTGCAGCAAACCACCATGGCATGTGTATACCTATATAACAAAACTGCACGTTCTGCACATACACCCCAGAACTTTAATGAAAAAAGAAAAAGAGACCTTGCTTTCGTAGTTCCTCAAAAGTTGTAAGATTGACCAAAAAGGAATCTATTGATTTGGATAGTGAGGAGAAGCAGGCAGGCATGTGTGATGGGAAAATAGACTTAAGACTTATTTGACTGGGTGTGGTGGCTCACACCTGTAATCCCAGCACTTTGGGAGGCCGAGGTGGGCGGATCACCTGAGGTTGGGAGTTCGAGACCAGCCTGACCAACATGGAGAAACCCTGTCTCTACTAAAAATACAAAATTAGCCAGGCGTGATGGCACATGCCTGTAATCCCAGCTACTCGGGAGGCTGAGGCAGGAGAATCACTTGAACTTGGGAGGCTGTGGTTGCAGTGAGCTGAGATCGCGCCATTGCACTCCATCCTGGGCAACGAGAGCAAAACTCTTGTCTCAAAAAAAAAAAGACTTAATTAAAAGGTAGATTGATCTAATTTCATAATTAGATTTAGGGAGAAGAAGAATAATTCCAGGTTAATCCTAGATTTCTGGCATGGGAAATTAGGTATATGACACTGCTATTTACCAAAAAAAAGGAATATCTGTAAAACAGGTTTGTGGGGGTAATAAAAGAATATAGTTTTACTGAGGCAAGAGGATTGCTTGAGACCAGAGTTCAAATCCCTTGAGTTTGAGGGACCTGTGGAACATTCAAGTGGAGATATTTATTTATTTATTTATTTATTTTGAGACGGAGTCTCCCAGGCTGGAGTGCAGTGGCGCGATCTCGGCTCACTGCAAGCTCCGTCTCCCGGGTTCACACCATTCTCCTGCCTCAGCCTCCCAGTAGCTGGGTCTACAGGTGCCTGCCACCACGCCTGGCTAATCTTTTTTGTATTTTTAGTAGAGACGGGGTTTCACCGTGTTAGCCAGGATGATCTTGATCTCCTGACCTCATGATCCACCCGCCTCAGCCTCCCAAAGTGCTGGGATTACAGGCGTGAGCCACTGCCCCGGCCAAGTGGAGATATTTAATAGGCAATTAGGTATATGGGCCACAGCTCAGGAATGTTGGGGAAAAACAGCCCATAGGTGATAGTTGAATCTGAGGTTGTGATCATAGGCTGGGAGCAGATGGACACCTGTCGTTGAAGCACTTTGGGAGGCTGAGGTGAGAGGATCACTTGAGCCCAGGAGTTCGAGATCAGTCTGGGCAACATAGGGAAACACCTTCTCTACAAAAAAAAAAAAAAATTACCTGGGCACTGTGGCACATGCCTGTGGTCCCAGCTACGTGGGAGACTAAGGTGGGAGAATTGCTTGATCCCAGGAGGGTGAGGCTGCAGTGAACTGAGATAGTGCCACTGCCTGAGTGACAGAGCGAGATCTTGTCTCAAAAAAAAAAAAAAAAAAAAAAGAGAAAAAGACTTGGTTTTTGTTTGTTTTGTTTTGAGATGGAGTCTCGCTCTGTCTCCCAGGCTGGAGTGCAATGGCACAATCTTGGCTGACTGCAACCTCTGCCTCCCGTTTTCAAGTGATTCTCCTGCCTCAGCCTCCAGAGTAGCTGGGATTACAGGCACCTGCCACCATGCCCAGCTAATTTTTGTATTTTTAGTAGAGACAGGGTTTTGCCATGTTGGCCAGGCTGGTCTCGAACTCCTCACCTCAGGTGATCTACCTGCCTCGGCCTCCCAAAGTGCTGGGATTACAGGCATGAGCCACTGCGCCCGGCCAAAGACTTCGTTTTTTTGTTTGTTTGAGACAGAATCTCGCTCTGTTTCCCAGGCTGGAGTGCAGTGGTGCGATCTCAGTTCACTGCAGCCTCCGCCTCCTGGGTTGAAGTGATTCTCCTGCCTTAGCTTCCTGAGTAGCTGAGATCACAGGCACACACCACCACACTCGGTTGATTTTTTTTTTTTTGTATTTTTAGTAGAGACGGGGTTTCGCCTTGTTTGCCAGGCTAGTCTCAAACTCCTGACCTCAGGTGATCCACCCGTCTTGGCCTCCCAAAGTGCTGGGATTACAGGCATGAACCACTGTGCCCGGCCAACAGGTCTTTTCTTTTCTTTTCTTTTCCTTTTCTTTCTTTCTTTTCTTTCTTTCCTACCTTCCTTTCTTTCTTTCTTTCCTTTCTTTTCCTTTTCTTTTCTTTCTTGACAGAGTCTCGCTCTGTCACCCAGGCTGGAGTGCAATGGCGCGATCTTGGCCCACTGCAACCTCTGCCTCCCGGGTTCAAGCTATTCTCCTGCCTCAGCCTACCGAGTAGCTGGGATTACCAGCGCATGCCACCAAGCCTAATTTTTTGTATTTTTAGTAGAGATGGGATTTCAGCATGTTGACCAGACTGGTCTCAAACTCCTGATCTCACGTGCTCCACCCACCTCAGCCTCCCAGAGTGTTGGGATTACAGGCGTGAGCCACTGTGCCCAGCCAACTTCGTTATTTTTTTAAAGCCAGGAGTTCAAGATCATAGAGCAGGCAAGGAGAGTACTGGGGAATTGTGTTTTTGTGGAACACAAACATTTTAGAAGCAGGTAAAATAAGTATTTGTGAGAAATACTGGCAAAGAGGTAAAAGACCTCGGAGTAAGAAAAATGAAAGAAATTTCAAGAATGGGGAAAGGGGTGGTCAGAGAGAGGGCGGATAGCTTTAGATTCTAGAATGTATTTAAATGCTTATATCCTGGAATCAATAGGAGGGGAAGAGGAACTGAAGAAGCAAATGAGAAGGATAACTGGAGGGCAGAGAGGGGTAGTGAGTACAGATTGGGTTAACCTCAGATAGAAAGCTTTACATTTCTTTTTTGTTTGTTTGTTTGTTTGTTGAGACACAGTCTCACTCTGTCACCCAGGCTGGAGTGCAGTGGCTCAATGTCCATTCACTGCGACCTCCACCTCCCAGGTTCAAGCGATTCTCGTGCCTCAGCCTCCCGAGTAGCTGGGATTACAGGTATGTGCCACCACAACCCGGCTAATTTTTGTATTAGTAGAGATGGGGTTTCACCATGTTGGCCAGGCTGGTCTCAAACTCCTGACCTCAAGTGATCTGCCCGCCTTGGCCTCCCAAAGTGCTGGGTTTACAGGCGTGAGCCACCGACCCTGGCCGAAAGCTTTACATTTTCTCCTATTGAAAAGTTAAAAATAAACTTGTAAGTTTTGGTGGTTTTATGCTGCATTCAGTCTTGGGGGAACAGAAACGGAGACTATTTCCAGAAGAAGGCACAGAGTTGGTAGTAGCTACCAGAGAAGTATAGAGCAAAACTATATTGAAGAATAATGGATGAAAGGAAAGAAGCCAGTGTTCTTTCAATGAAGGAACCTTGATGCCAAGCTGTCTAAAGACCCTTTTGTGGTTCTAGAAAATTACCATATTTAAAAGGACTAATTTTAAAATCAAACTCTTTATCAATATTTTATTTTAGGAATCTGGAAACTGTTCTTCAGGAAGAAACCCATTAGTTTGGAACTGGAGAATTCCTTTGCATCAGATACTAAAATGAAAGAACCACTTTTAGGTGGTGAGTGTGACAAGGCAGTGGCATCACAGCTGGGGCTGCTAGATGAAATTAAGACAGAACCCGACAATGCTCAAGTAAATATTTTCCCTTATTTCCATTATTTCTAGAGCAGCATTTAACTATAAATTTTAGTTACAAAGGTGCTGAAATGATTCATTGAAAAACTCAAATCCTTATCTCCTCCAAAGCAGTTAATTAAATAATACAAGGTATATGGTGTTAAGTGCCACTACAAGTATATGTAAGAAAATTATTTGAGGAAAGATTAGACTGTTTGGAATTGGGTTTTTGCATAGGTAAAAGGATTGTTTAGGGTGTTGTGGGCCTAGCTAAGGTTAACACTTTTTTTCTTTTGCCAGATTCTACTTCCAGAGAAGGTTAACACATTTTGTTTTTGTTTTTCTTAACTTAATACAAATTACATTTTTTAATCTAAATTAATTTATGTAAATTAAAAAAAATTTTTTTAGACATATCACTAAAGAACCTATAAAGGATGAACTGACTTGAACTGTGAGTATTGTTTAAGTAGGGAAAACATTCCTTAGAATGTTTGTATATATGGCCAGGCACAGTGGCTCACACCTGTAATCCCAGAACTTTGGGAGGCCAAGGTGGGAGGATCACCTGAGCCCAAGAGTTTGAGACCAACTGGATGACAAGACCTTGTCTCTATAAAAAATACAAAAATTAGCCAGGCATAGTGGTGCACGCCTGTAGTCTCAGCTACTTCAGAGGCTACAACAGGAGGATCGCTTGAGCCCAGGAATTCAAGGAAGCAATGAGCTATGATTGTGCCATTGCACTCCAGCCTGGGTAACGAAGCGAGACCCTGTCTCTTAAAACAAAAAAAAGGAATGTTTGTATATGAACTGTGAACCAGCTGAAAGTTCTAATGAAAGAAAAAAATCACTAAAAAGGGTAATTTATTTGTAGTATTCTATTTAGAAATAGCCTAAAGTAGATTAATATTAAATAAGGGTATGCTTACCATTGAGTTGTTAACACTGGGGAATGTTACTCATCTAGGAACTATCTATTGCTTCTTCATGCCATGGACATTCAGGCATAGATCAAGTTTAGATATGGTGGCTATGAAATTGCCTCCTGCTCTGAAAAAATTGTCCTTTGTAAGAATCATTCTGCCCAATTAACAATTTCTTGGGTTAAGGTCTTTATGAAGACAATTAGCTGTTAATGATTAGAGCAAGCAGGGAAGGCTGGGTGTGGTGGCTCATTCCTGTAATCCCAGCATTTTGGGAGGGTGAGACAGGCAGATCACTTGAGGCCAGGAGTTCAAGACCATGGGCAACATCTCCACTAAAAATTAAAAAATTAGCCGGGCATGGAGGCATGTGCCTGTAGTCTCAGCTACTTGGGAGGCTGAGGCAGAAGAATCACTTGAACCCAGAAGTAGGTTATAGTGAGACGAGATCGCGTCACTGTACTCCAGCCTGGGTGACAGAGTGAGATCTTGTCTCAAAAAAAAAAGAAAAAAAAAAAAAAACAAGTAGGGAAAATAGTTGTAATTCAATATGTCTGCTCCCTATTGATAGTGAATGGAGGGATTTTGTTGACAAAGATTTTGATGTCACACCTGGATACCATAGAAAATAATGTATTGGGTGATTAGTGTTGTCAGCCAAAGAGCACCAAAAGGGTAGTGCATACCTGTGTATTTTGGTTCAATTCAGTTATACAATTCATTGACCAGACTTGACCACAATTTATCATTTTCTGTTGAATGACTGGTTGTCTTAAATTCATTGTATTCACTATTTTTAATTATTATTTTTTTTTTCTTTTTAGGAGTATTGTCATAGGCAACAGTCCAGAACTCAGGAGAATGAACTGAAAATAAATGCTGTGTTTTCAGAGAGTGGTAATAGAATTATTTAAGTTAGTTATGTTTATTCAGACCAATACGACAGCTGATTCATTCTTTTTTAATGCCTTTGAATATTGCTTTGTTTGTGTTGGGTTTTAAGTCCAGGAGAAGTAACCTGTAAGAAAATGAAAGAGAGGCCGTGCACAGTGGCTCACACCTGTAATCCCAGCACTTTGGGAGGCCGAGGCAGGCGGATCATGAGGTCAGGAATTCGAGACCAGTTTGGCCAACATAGTGAAACCCTGTCTCTACTACAAATACAAAATTAGCCAGGCGTGGTGGCGCATGCCTGTAATCCCAGCTACTCAGGAGGCTGAGGCAGGAGATTTGCTTGAACCTGGGAGGCAGAGGTTGTGGTGAGCCAAGATTGCACCACTGCACTCCAGCCTGGGCAACAGAGCGAGACTCTGTCTAAAAAAAAAAAAAAAGAGAAGAAAATCAAAGAGGCTGGGCATGGTGCCTCATGCCTGTAATCCCAACATTTTGGGAGGCCAAGGTGGAAGGATCAGCTTGAGGGCAGGAGTTTGAGACCAGCCTGGGCAACATAGCGAGATCCTGTCTCTACAGAAAATTTAAAAACCAGGTGTGGTGGTGCATGCCTATAGTCCCAGCTACTTGGGAGGCTGAGGCGGGAGGTTTTTTTTTTTTTTCTGAGATGGAGTTTCCGCTCTTGTTGCCCAGGCTGGAGTGCAATGGCACGATCTTGGCTCACTGCAACCTCTGCCACCCAGGTTCAAGCAGTGCTCCTGCCTCAGCCTCCCAAGTAACTAGGATCACAGGCCCGTGCCACCACACCCAGATAATTTTGTTTGTTTTGAGACGGAGTCTCGCTCTCGCTCTGTTGCCAGGCTGGAGGGCAGTGCATGATCTCGCCTCACTGCAGCCTCCACCTCTCAGGTTCAAGCGATTCTCCTGCCTCAGCCTCCCGAGTAGCTGGGACTACAGGCATGTGTCACCATGCCCAGCTAATTTTTATAGTAGAGACGGGGTTTCACCATATTGCCCGGGATGGTCTCAATCTCTTAAACTCGTGATCCACCCACCTTGCCTCCCAAAATGCTGGGATTACAGGCGTTAGCCACCACACCTGGCTAATTTTGTATTTTTAATTGAGATGGGGTTTCACCATGTTGGCCAAGCTGGTCTTGAACTCTGACCTCAGGTGATCCACCTGCCTTGGCCTCCCAAAGTGCTGGGATTACAGGCGTGAGCCACCGCACCAGGTGGTGAGAGGGTCACTTGAGTACAGGGTGTCAAGGCTGCAGTGAGCCATGATCGTATCACTACACTGCCTAGAGTGCAAAAGAGGGCAACAGAACAAGACCCTGTCTCTAAAAAAAGAAAGAAAGAAAATAAAGGAATGCCTACTTAATTTTGTGTAAATAACAATTTTTTTTTCTCCCTCTTGTGTTTTTATAGCTTCACAGTTGACTGCAGGCATTCAGCTTTCTCTGGCATCATCTGGCGTGAATAAAATGCTTCCTTCAGTTTCAACCACAGCTATTCAGGTTTCCTGTGCTGGTTGTAAAAAAATTCTCCAGAAGGGGCAAACTGCTTATCAGAGGAAAGGATCTGCTCAACTTTTCTGCTCCATACCATGCATCACTGAATACATTTCATCTGCCAGTTCACCAGTTCCTTCTAAGAGAACTTGTTCAAACTGCTCAAAGTATATAATTCTAAATTATGCCCCCTTTTATTTCCCTACCTTGTTCTTGATCATAGTCTTAGTTGTAATTTCTACATTTTCTTTTTTTATTTTTTGAGACTGAGTTTGACTCTTGTTGCCCAGGCTGGAGTGCAGTGGCACGATCTCGGCTCACTGCAACTTCCACCTCCTGGGTTCAAGCGATTCTCCTGCCTCAGCCTCCCAAGTAGCTGGGATTACAGCCATGCACCACCACGCCCGGCTAATTTTGTATTTTTTAGTAGAGATGGGGTTTCGTTCGCCATGTTGGCCACGCTGGTCTTGAACTCCTGACCTCAGGTGATCCGCTTGCCTTGGCCTCCCAAAGTGCTGGGATTACAGGTGTGAGTCACTGCGCCCGGCCATTTTCATTTCTTTTGAAGACGTGTCGTCTTGGTTTAGTAAAAAGAAGTTTTTTCTACTTTTAGTTCCTCTGATGGATTCTGTAGAAATATTTTTTTTTGCAGAAATTAATGTGAAAAGTACTGTTTCTCTTCACCTTTACTCTTTTCATTTGAAATTCTCTGTAAATGGGATTATTGTTTATCCATTCTGTTCTATTTAACTGTATAGGGAGCAACCTACTAAAAAATTAATCCTATGACAGTTAGTTTGGATTTTCCAAGATGTGGAATAATATTATATTTCTTTTATAATGGTAAATGAAGTGATTCTTTTGAAAAATTGATGGCCATAGATAAACCTACATGTCTCTATGTAATCTTTTAAAAATTTATGTGAGAATGTGTGAAGAATCAGTGTCATTTTGGCTTTGAGAGTCCTAAGGCTGTATAATTATGGTTGTTAGCACTTAGGATATGCTAATTTTTAAATGTTCTTGTTCAGAACAAGAAAATCCATAGGCAACCACAGTGCTTCTAAATATAACAAATTTCTTTCAAATAATACTTGTTTTGGACTCAGGTTGCCATAATTTGAATTTTGCTTCTTCTGTTTAGTTATATTTTACTACTCAAAGTTTCATCCCTGAGTTGCTAGATCAGCATCACCCAAGAGTTTGTTAGAAATGCACTTTCTCAGGCTGGGAGCAGTGGCTCACGCCTGTTATCCTAGCACTTAGGGAGGCCGAGGTGGGCAGAATGCCTGAGCTCAGGAGTTTGAGACCAGCCTGGCAACACAGTGAAACCCTGTCTCTACTAAAATACAAAAAAATTAGCTGAGCACTGTGGCATGCACCTGTAATCCCAGCTACTTGGGAGGCTGAAGCAGGACAATTGCTTGAACCCGGGAGGCTAAAGTTGCAGTAAGCTGAGATCAGGCCACTGCACTGACTGTCTCAAAAAGAAAAAAAAAGAAATGCACTTTCTCAGGTCTTACCCAGACCTGCTGATTCAGAACTGCATTTATCGCCATGTGATTCCTATACATGCTAAAGTTGGAGCAGTATTGAGAACTTCTTTGTTACTTAGTATTCGTATCTGTTTTTGATAAATGTACAAAAGAATTATGAGCATTAAATAGTATATTTAAGTGGTCAGAACAATACCAGCATGTAGTAAGAACTCAATAAATGTTAACTATTATTATTCTCTTAACAAACTCACAAACCCTTTTGATGGGTTTGCTTCAGCTCCTCTGGCTGCTGCTTCAGTTATTATCTGTTGCTTCAGGTCTTATTCCATGGCACGTTACTTACCATTCTCTTTTGCTTTTCAACCCTTCAATACTATACTAGTCTTTTGTCTTTTTACTTTTTTGCTATGGGCCATATAGTACTCTCTTCAGCCTGCTTTCTCTCCCTGCAGAGTCATAAAACTGGAAGGGACCTTAGAGACTCACTACACATCTTCAGCAGATGTCCCAGACAGATTGAAAAAGGCTGAAGCAGGAAAGATTTAGTGTGTAAGTTCTCCTAGGCATGGAAATCCAATATGAGTAAAAATCTGAGATAAGTTTTACTTCCTCTAGAATAAAATTTTTTTATAAAAAATATTATATTGTAGTGGGTAGAAAGATGGTAGTAAATTTTAGGCTGGAAAAGGCCATCCATGATTCAGAGTAGGCTGCTTTTTTCAAAACTTAAAAATTCCACATTAATTAGCCTTTTACATAAATTTTAGCTATTCTTCTGGGGTTTTTTTATCTTCCAGTGAAACTATCCTGAACTGAAAATAATTTTCAGTTACTTATTTATTTATTTTTGCAGAGACAGAGTCACTATGTTTCCCAGGCTGATCTTAAACTCCTGAGTTCAAGTGATCCTCCTGCCTTGGTCTCCCAAAGTGCCGGGATTACAGGTGTGAGCCACCGTGCTGATTTTCAGTTTTGTTTGTTTGTTTGTTTTGTTTTGTTTTGTCTGAGACGGAGTCTCGTCTCAATCTGTCACCCAGGCCAGAGTGCAATGGTGCAATCTTGGCTTACTGCAACCTCCACCTCCTGGGTTCAAGCAATTCTCCTGCCTCAGCCTCCCAAGTAGCTGGGATTACAGGCGTGTGCCACTGTGCCCAGCTAGTTTTTTTATTTTCAGTAGAGATGCAGTTTCGCCATGTTGGCCAGGCTGGTCTCGAACTCCGGACCTCAGGTGATCTGCTTTCCTCGGCCTCCCAAAGTGCTGGGATTATAGGTATGAGCCACCACGCCCTGCCTGATTTTTAGTTACTTTTTAAGATTTCTTTTATAGGAATGATTTAATATCTGTTTTGAGTCAATGCACTTTTTATTCTATTTCATGGACCAAATGGAAGATCCCTTTGAAGATGACATTTTAAATCTTATTAGAAAGATGCGATTTGTGGGCCAAGCGAGGTGGTTCACACCTGTAATCCCAGCACTTTGGGAGGCCAAGGCAGGAGAATCACTGGAGGTCAGGAGTTCGAGACCAGTCTAGCCAACACCACAAATCCCTGTCTCTACTAAAAATATAAAAATTAGCCAGGCGTGGTGGTGTGTGCCTGTAAACCCAGCTACACCAGTGACTGAGGCAGGAGAATTGCTTGAACCCAGGAGACGGAGGTTGCAGTGAGCTGAGATTGTACGACTGCACTCCAGCCTGGGCAACGGAGTGAGACCCTGTCTCAAAAAAAAAAAAAAAGATGTGACTTGTTCTTGGGAACTTTGTATTTAAGAAGTGTCATTTCTTCACTTTAGTATCTCAGTTGGAACCAACCGCAAATCCTGAATGCAATCAATAAAGTCCAAAATAGGCCCCTGCACTAAGGTTTGATTTATTTATCGGAAAGTTGTTCCTAATTTGTTGGCGTTTCTTTTTTTTTTTTGAGACAAGGTCCCTGTCTGTCACCCAGGTTGGAGTGCAGTGGCACCATCTTGGCTCACTGCAGCCTCGACCACCTGGGCTTAAGCAATACTCCCACCTTTACCCTCCCAAGTAGCTGGGATTGCAGGCACATGCCACCCTGCCTGTCCAGTTTTTGTATTTTTTTGTAGAGATGATTTCACCATGTTGTCCAGACTGGTCTTGAACTCCTGGGCTCAAGTGATCCTCCTGGCTTGCCCTCCCAAAGTGCTGGCATTATGGGCGTGAGCCACCGTACCCAGCCAACATTCTTTTTTTTTTTTTTTTTGAGGCGGAGTCTCACCGTTTTGCCCAGGCTGGAGTTCAATAGCGGGATCTCAGCTCACTGCAACCTCCGCCTCCCAGGTTCAAGCGATTCTTCTGCCTCAGCCTCCCTAGTAACTGGGATTACAGGTGCCTATCACCATGCCCCGTTAATTTTTGTATTTTTAGTAGAGATGGGGTTTCACCGTGTTGGCCAGGCTGGTCTCCCAACTCCTGACCTCAGGTATCTGCCTGCCCCAGCCTCCCAGGATTACACATGTGAGCCACCGTGCCTGGCCAACATTCATTTTTCAATTTTTTATAAAGCTTTAGTAGATTCTTAGAAGCCAGCAATCTAGTATGCTGATAGCAATAAAAACTAAGAAGCATTTTCAGACTTCCATGCGTCGCTGATGTAGTTTCTTCTTCCTCCCTTCCCATCTGGCTGGTATCTTTATTCTGTCTGAAAGGTATGCCTCAAATATCTTTACCTTTTGTCTATTCCCACACCATTCCTCACTCTCCTCTTACAACCGCCCACCCCCCAAATTAATTCTTCTGTGGTCTGTGATTTTACAGTGTCGTGTTCATAACTCCCAAAACATTGATCACAAAATACTAATGTTTTTAAATATTTTTAGTAGAGACGGGGTTGGCCAGGCTAGTCTCGAACTCCTGACCTCAAGTGATCTGCCCACCTTGGCCTCCCAAGATTAAAGGTGTGAGCCACCGCGCCTGCTATTAGGTGTATTGATATTTTCTATAGTGGCTGTTCTCAAACTTTCTGGTCTCAGGACTTCTTGTACCCTTAAAAATTATTGAACACCCAAAGAGCTTTAGTTATGTAGATTATGAATATTAACTGTATCAAAAATTAAATGACATTTTAAATGAAAAATACCCATATTTTTAAAAATTGATAAGTATTGTTTTATCAGTTTTGCAAATCACTTTACATCTAGCTGGATTTTTGTATCTGTTTCTGCCTTCACTTTATTGCAAAGTGTTGTTTTGGTTGAAGTCTGAAGAAAACCTGGCCTCATAAATAGGTGATTGGAAAAGGGGGGAGTGTTTTAGTAGCCTTTTAGATCGTTGTGGGTGTTCTTTGATACTACAACCAAAAATCAAGTGGTAGTTTCTTAAAGGCTAGTTGCAATGTGGGATCAAACTTTTTGTACCATGTGGATCAGTGAACTTTTTGCACTCTGTTATGTTAGAATTCGTTAATCTATCTTGTACTTTGAATGGATCTTTTACCCGTGAATGATTTTTGTAATATGCTATTGTAGTTTGGAAAATACTGGTTCACTGAGTTCTGCAGATCTTCTAGATGTTCTCATTTTATTATGCAGTATTTTAAAAATCACCACTAATCTCAGAAAAGTTTTTAAGTTTTGGGTATCGATCAAGTTGAAGTTGGAAGATACAAGTTTTCCAAAATTCTAATTATCACTTGAAAGACAAAATTTTATTGTTGGCGATAAATACTGTCGTTTTACTTGAAGTGACAGTCTCATTTTTTTCATTTTCAAGAAAATATCTGCAGATACCCACTTCTGGATAATAGTTTGTCTTTATTTACAGTAAACTGTTTACAGTACTTTCAAGTAAAAATGTTTTCCATGAAAAAAGTGGCTAATTCATTTATAACTCAACATTTCCATATGGGCTTTTCCTTGAGACAACCATCATCCTTTGGTGTACAGAAGTACTTTATGCTTATGTCCTGTGTTGTCACACGGAATTTTTTTTTCTCACCCTACCACTTGGCCAAGACAGAATATTTTTTAAATGTACTTAAGGATGAAGTTTAAATAATTTAAAATATTTTGCTGTTTCATTGAGTACTTCCTTAAGTGAAACTGATACTTTAAAAAGAATTTTTTTTGGCAGTGAATGTATAGCAGGGAATAACATGAATATTAGCACATTTTGGTGCCACTGCCTTGATTTCTGCTAAGGCTCTGACGGTTTTACCCACCATTGCCTTTTTTCTTTTCCAAATTCATTGAAGTGAAATTTGTATACCAAGAAATTAACCATTTCATTGGCATTTAGTATATTCATAATGTTGTGTGACCATCCCCTCTATCTTGTTCCAAAACATTTCCATCACTTCAAAGTAAAACACCTTAAACACTAAGCAGTTTCTCCTAATTTCCCTCTCCCCCCAGTGCCTGTCAACCACCAGTATGCATTATATCTATAGATTTTATCTATCCTGAATATCTCATGTAAATGGAATCATATATGACCTTTTTGTGACAGGGTATTATTACTCTGTTGCTCAGGCTAGAGTGCAGTGACTTTTTGTGTCTGGTTCTTTCCCTTAGCATAATATTTTCAAGGTTTGTCCATGTTGTA
This sequence comes from Homo sapiens, assembly GCF_000001405.40. NCBI lineage: Eukaryota > Metazoa > Chordata > Mammalia > Primates > Hominidae > Homo > Homo sapiens. The sequence goes on from NC_000001.11 coordinate 35,103,466, forward strand.
ACATGTATCAGTACTTTATTCTTTTTGTTAATAGGCGAATAATATTCCACTGTATGTATGTAACACAATGTGCTTATTCATTCATTCACTTACTGATGAACATTTGGGCTGTTTTCATCTTTTGACCATTGTGAATAGTGCTGTTATGAATATGCACGTACATGTGCTTGTTTGAGTACCTGTTTTCAGTTTTTTTGGGTGTTTACCAAGGAGTGGGATTGCAGGGTCCTACCATTAGCTTTGCAACATCAGTTGCAAAGTGATGTTGCAAACATCAACACGGTGAAAAAGCAAATAACATCTTACTATGAAAATAGTTTTGATCTTGGGGACTCCCCCAGGGATTTGAAGACCATATTTTAAGATTCTCTGTCCTATAGATTCTAGAGTTGCTCATGTGAATATGTGATCTCTCATCATCCCTCGGTTTTCACTAGCACCACCTAATAATACAGGCTGGCTAGTCTCCAAAACTACATCTTCAAAGTCAGGCATGGTGGGATTATGTGCCTGTAATCCTAGCTATGTGGGAGATTGAGGTGGGAGAATCTCTTGAGCCCAGGAATTTGAGGCCAGCTTGGGCAACACAGCAAGACCCTATCTCTTAAAAAACAAAACTGCACTATTAGATGTGCTTTATAATCTGTAATGTATAGATGAGAAAATTAAAATTTAGGGAGTATAAATGTGACAGAACTGGGTACCAAATTCAGGTTTTCTTATTTCAAGGCTAATGTTCTTACTCTAATTTGAGAGGTCATTTCATTTATAAAGAGAAGTTATAATTGTGTTTAAACTGTTTAATGATGTCCTTGTTATTTATTCTTAGAGACATTTTAAATCCAAAGGATGTGATTAGTGTCCAGCTGGAAGACACTACCTCTTGCAAAACTTTTTGCAGCCTATCTTGTCTTTCATCATATGAAGAAAAAAGAAAACCATTTGTTACCATATGTACTAATAGCATTTTGACCAAGTGCAGCATGTGCCAGAAGACTGCTATTGTAAGTTCCAATTATAACCTTTACAGGGATTCTGATGATTCTGCTTAAATATCAGAGTTTTTACTGAATCTTTTTATTAAATCCTAGATTCAGTATGAAGTAAAATACCAAAATGTGAAACATAATCTTTGCAGTAATGCCTGCCTTTCAAAGTTTCACTCTGCTAACAACTTCATCATGAACTGCTGTGAGAACTGTGGCACTTACTGTTACACCAGCTCTAGTCTGTCCCACATACTTCAGATGGAAGGACAGTCTCATTACTTTAATAGTTCAAAGAGTATTACAGCATATAAGCAGGTATGAATAAAGACCTATTGTTTCTTCTATTAACTGGCCTATGAATGGTTTCACTCTAGGAAAATGTGGGAAGTAGTTTTTGGTACCCTTTGGAATAATGTCGATAAGTTGATGAAGATGAAATAGAAGGCTTTTAACGGTTTCTTCTTGCATAAGAATTCATGATAAATGCTATATGGAGATTTTCCTAAATAATCTCAGATCGATTATCTCACCTTAAAGAAAAGGCAGGCAGGCTGGAGCCGGTTTATAAACTAGAAATAAGTATAGCAAAAATAACAATAGTCTGCTGGTCAATAAAACCCAAACACAAAAGTATTTTTGTTTTTATTTTTATGTATTTATTTTATTTCTTTCTTTTTTTTTTTTTTTTTTTTTTTGGTGAGATGGAGTCTTCCTCTGTCACCCAGGCTGGAGTGCGGTGGCGCGATCTCGGCTCACTGCAAGTTCTGCCTCGCGGGTTCATGCCATTCTCCTGCCTCGGCCTCCCAAGTAGCTGGGACTACAAGCACCCGCCACCACCACGCCTGGCTAATTTTTTGTATTTTAAGTAGAGATGGGGTTTCACTGTGTTAGCCAGGATGGTCTCAATCTCCTGACCTCGTGATCCACCTGCCTTGGCCTCCCAAAGTGCTGGGATTACAGGCATGAACCACCACACCTGACCTTATTTATTTTTTTTGAGACGGAGTCTCGCTGTCTTGCCCAGGCTGGAGTGCAGTGGCACAATCTTGGCTCACTGCAACCTCCGCCTCCCAGGTTCAAGCAATTCTCCTGCCTCAGCCTCCCAAGGAACTGGGATTACAGGCGTAAGCCACTGTGCCCAGCTATTTATTTTTTTTATTTATTTTGATTTTTTTGAGACGAGGTCTTTGTCAGCCAGCTTGGAGTGCAGTGGCAATCATGGCTCACTGTAGCCTTGACCTCCTTAGCTCAAGTGATCCTCCCACCTCAGCGTCCCGAGTAGCTGGAACTACAGGCACACACCACCACACCTGGCTAATTTTTAATTTTTTTGTAGAGACAAGCTCTTACTATGTTGCCCAAGCTTGTCTTACAACTCCTGAACTCAGCTGATCCTCCTGCCTTGGTCTCCTAAGGTGCTGGGATTACAGATGTGAGCCTAGCCATGTTTTTGTTTTTAATTCCACGTGTTTAACTCTTACACCAAACAATGCAAAGATGAATCAAGAATGTCACATGTGGACAGTCATGGTGGCTTACACCTGTTATCTCAGCACTTTGGGAGACCAAGGCGGGAGGTTCAGTTGAGCCAGGAGTTCAGAACCAGCCTGAGCAACATAGCAAGAACCTGTCTTTAAAAAAACAAACAAAAAATATCACATGCTTTCTCTGAGTCAGTCATAGGAGGAAATAATCCAGTGAGATTAGTATTATTTGTCCCTATTTCTGATAGACAAGCTCTGGGTGGGTGCTTCTGAGAGCAGAGAAAGAGCAAATGAGATGAGGTGGGACTTCTTAGATATGTTGCTTGTTCATATCATATTTTGAGACCCAACTCTATCCCTATACAGACTTCCTTAAAAACAAGCAGTTGGCCGGGTGCAGTGGCTGATGCCTATAATCCCAGCACTTTGGGAGGCCGAGGCTGGCCGATCACCTGAGGTCAGGAGTTGGAGACCAGCCTGGCCAACATGGCGAAAACCCGCCTCTACTAAGAATACCAAAATTAGCTGGGCATGGTGGCAGGCGCCTATAATCCCAACTACTTGGGAGGCTGAGGCAGGAAAATCTCTTGAACCCGGGAGGTGGAGGTTGCAGTGAGCCGAGATGGCACCATTGCACTCCAGCCTAGGCGACAGAGTGAGACTCCGTCTCAAAAAAAAAAAAAAAAAAAAAAAGCAGTTGAAGATGGGAGTCAAAACAAGCCATAATTCAAATAGATCATTTGTGACTCACATCTTTTCTATGGCCCCCATCTTGAGAGTATCCTGCCTTGGGACCAGAACGGAAAGCACAGAAGACTTCTCCCAAAGGCAGGAAATAATATTCCTTTTTTTTTCTTTCTTTCTTTTTGACACTCAATAGGCCTTGTTCTGGGTTGTTTTTTGTTGTTGTTGTTGTTGTTGTTTGTTTTTTGAGACGGAGTCTCGCTCTGTCGCCCAGGCTGGAGTGCAGTGGCGCAATCTCAGCTCACTGCAAGCTCCGCCTCGCGGGTTCACGCCATTCTCGTATCTCAGCCTCGCGAGCAGCTGGGACTACAGGTGCCCACCACCACGTCTGGCTAATTTTTTGTATTTTTAGTAGAGACAGGGTTTCACCGTGTTAGCCAGGATGGTCTCAATCTCCTGACCTCGTGATCCGCCCGCCTCGGCCTCCCAAAGTGCTGGGATTACAGGTGTGAGCCACCGCGCCTGGCCGGCCTTGTTCTGTTTTTAAAAGCCTATATGCCGGGCACGGTGGGTCACGCCTGTAATCCCAGCACTTTGGGAGGCTGAGGCGGGTGGATCACGAGGTCAGGAGATCGAGACCATCCTGGCTAACATGGTGAAACCCCATCGTTACTAAAAATACAAAAAAAAAAAAAAATTAGCGGGGTGTGGTGGCGGGCGCCTGTAGTCCCAGCTACTCTGGAGGCTGAGGCAGGAGAATGGCATGAACCCGGGAGGCGGAGCTTGCAGTGAGCCGAGATCGTGCCACTGCACTCCAGCCTGGGCGACAGAGCGAGACTCTGTCTCAGAAAAAAAAAAAAAAACCTGTATTGAGTACCCAGTTGTTCAGCTTATGTGATGGGGCAAGACTGATTTGGGTAAACGAGTTAGTTAACAAGCACAGCCTAACACTTTCCCCTTGCATCTGAATGTAAGACATCATGTGACAGTGATAATGGAGTAAATCTACAATGTTAGTGAACTATAATCCAGAATTAGAAAAATGTCCAAATATGTGAATCTAAAAATGGGGTAGCTTTTTATTTTTAAAAAGTGGATTATTAGATGTAATTGTAATTATTTTGGCCATATGTTAATAGAATATATTAAGTTAGCCTTCCCTTATGAATATTAAACTAACTTAATTATAAATGATACCACTATTGGGCCAGGTGCGGTGGCTCACGCCTGTAATCCCAGCACTTTGGGAGGCCAAACGGGAGGATCACTTGAGGTCAGGAGTTCAAGACCAGCCTGGCCAACATGGTGAAACTCCATCTCTACTAAAAATACAAAAATTAGCCGGGCATAGTGGCACACACCTAATAATCCCAGCTACCCGGGAGGCTGAGGCAGGAGAATTGCTTGAACCTGGGGAAGGTAAAGGTTGTAGTGAGCCGAGATCATACCACTGCACTCCAGCCTGGACAACAGAGCAAGACTCTGTCTCAAAAATAAATAAATAAATAAAAATAAATTATGCCACTATTGTTGCTTAACGTTAAAGATTAGTGAATTGTTAAGATTTCTCAAAATATAAAAGTTGTTCATACTAATAAAGGATAAAAATAGAAATTTTCGAAATTATCCTTTTTGTTTTGTTGTGCCTTTGCCAATATCCTGTTCTCTCACAGAAAAATAAAACGTATATGTATTTTTTTGTCTTTGTACTTTGGTGGGTTTTGTTTTGTTTTGTTTTTGTTTTTTTGAGACACAGTCTTGCTCTGTTGCCCAGGCTGGCGTGCAATGGCACGATCTCAGCTCACTGCAACCTCCGCCTCCCAGGTTCAAGCAATTCTTCCATCTCAGCCTCCCAAGTAGCTGGGGTTACTTGGGCGCACACCACCACACCCAGCTAATTTTTGTATTTTTGTAGAGACGGGGTTCCACCATGTTGGCCAGGCTGGTCTTGAACTCCTGACCTCAGATGATCTGCCCGCCTCGGCCTGCCAAAGTGCTGGGATTACAGGTGTGAGTCACCGTGCCCAGCCTGTCTGTGTACTTTGCATCTCCAAAAGCAGTTTTGTTCCATCGGTGATTTTTTTTTTTTTTTTTTTTTTTTAGACTGAGTCTTGCTTTTCCACCCAGGATGGAGGCTGGAGTGCATGGTGTGAGCAAAGCTCACTGGAGGCCCAACCTCAGGTGTTCAAGCAATCCTCCTGCCTCAGCCTCCCATGTAGCTGGGACCACAGGCATGCGCCACCACACCTGGTTAATGTTTGTGTTTTTTGTAGAGATGGGTCTCACTTTGCTGCCTAGGCTGGTCTCGAACTCCTGGGCTCAAGTGATCTTCCTGCCTTAGCCTCCCAAAGTGCTGGGATTACGGGCAAGAGCCACCACACTGAGCCTGATGTATTATTTTTTCTTTCTTTTTTTGAGACAGAGTCTTACTCTGTCACCCAGGCTGGAGTGCAATGGCATGATCTCGGCTCACTGCAACCTCTGTCTTCCTGGGCTCAAGTGATCCTTCCCACCTCAGCCTCACAAGTAAATGGGACTACAGGCGCACGCCACCACACTAGGCTAATTTTTTATTTTTATTTATTTATTTATTAGAGATGAGGTATCACTATTTTACCAGTCTGGTCTCAAACTCCTGGGTTCAAGTGATCCCCCCGCCTCAACCTCTGAAAGTTGAGATTACAGGCGTGAGCCACTGTGCCTAGGCTCTGACATATTCTGAAATCCAGGAATATTGGTTCCTGTTTGACTAGAAAGAATAGGTGGTGAGCATAATCTTTACAGTAATGCCTGCCTTTCAAAGTTTATATCCTTTCTTTTGCATGGTTACTACTTACTGAACTCACAGTACTCTATACTTTCTATTGCTTGTATGCTGCTTTCTTACAATATGCTTGTAATTTTTACCATGAAGTTAGCCTAGAAAAACAGTGATTCCCACAGTATCTTGTAAGGTATTTAAGTTAAGCACTCCTTCCTGGCTCCTCCTCAGCATCGGTAGACATCTTCCCAAGTTAATTCCCAAGCTACCATTGAGGACAGATCTATAACTATATAAGGCCTTTGTTTATCCAGTAGGCTTTGACTGCCTGAAATGAACTTCTGTGACCACTTTCTTCATTGCTTTTTTTTTTTTCCCTTGAAAAGGAGTTTCACTCTTGTTGCCCAGGCTGGAGTGCAGTGTCACAATCTCAGCTCACTGCAACCTCTGCCACCCAGGTTCAAGTGATTCTCCTGCCTCAGCCTCCTGAGTAACTGTGATTACAGGCGCTCGCCACTACACCTAGCTAATTTTTTGTATTTTTAGTAGAGACGGGATTTCACTATGTTGGCCAGGCTGGTCTCGAACTCCTGACCTCAGGTGATCTGCCTGCTTTGGCCTCCCAAAGTGCTGGGATTACATGCATGAGCCACTGCACCTGGCCTTACTGCTTTCATAGGTATTATTATTATTGCTGTTAAATATATCTGATAAATAATAAAAATCATTTTCAGATTTGCCAATATTCTTTTAGTTATTGCAATCTGTAGTGTCTTTTTAAGAAAATGTAAAAACTGTCTTAATTGTTATTCTTTTTAATATTCCAACTAAAAGCAGTGGTAATAGGTTCTTCTTCATTAACAACATATCATATACCAGGAATATGAATATTATTTTAATCTCTAAACAGAAACCTGCCAAACCACTTATATCTGTTCCTTGCAAACCATTGAAGCCCTCAGATGAAATGATTGAGACTACGAGTGATTTGGGGAAGACAGAGCTTTTCTGCTCTATTAATTGTTTCTCTGCATACAGTAAAGCTAAGATGGAATCTTCTTCAGGTAATGTTTGTTTAGCAATTGTAGGGGTTTAGTAATTATTAATAAATAATATTATTTGACTTTAATTTATAACCTTGATTCATTTTCAAATTAAACCGACTTTTAAAAGTCAAAACAATCTAAACTTGTTGCAAAGAACTGTTTTTCAGTATTTTTGTATAAAAGGAAGGCTACTTTACCACCAGAGATTTAATATTTGTAGGCCAAGCACGGTGGCTCATGCCTGTATTCCCAGCACTTTGGGAGGCCAAAGTGGGCAGATCGCCTGAGGTCAGGAGTTTGAGACCAGCCTGGGCAACATGTTGAAACCCCGTCTCTACTAAAAATACAAAAAAAATTAGCTGGGCGTGTTGGTGGGTCCCTGTAGTCCCAGCTACTTAGGAGGCTGAGACAGGAGAATCATTTGAACCTGGGTGGTGGAGGTTGCAGTGAGCCGAGATCGCACCATTGCACTCCAGTCTGGGTGACAGAGTGAGACTCCATCTCAAAAATAATAATAATAAAAATTAAAAGATACATGTCTTTTTTTAGATTATTTAGTAAATGAATATATGTATGTTTACATCAATATATATTGAGCACCTACTGCAAAACATGGTACATAGGAGGCACTTGGTCAATATAGAGTTTAATACATTTACAAGACTGCTTTTATTAGAATATAGAATGTTTTACTTAGCCCTGTTTTGTAAAAACAAGTTTTCATTACATTTTTCACATGAAATAGAAGTGATTGTAAATGCTTTAAGACTCAATAATAAAAAAGCACAAATAATCTGAGCCAACTAAGTATTCCATCAAAAAGCCTCATGTAGGACCAGTGGTGCTATTTACATAGACCATAGAGTGACTAATGCCTCTGGGATTTGTAAGTCATACAAACTGGCTTGTTACAGAAATTTCTGCAATAGTGGCTTGGGCACCAACCTAGCGCTCCATTGATGTTAAGGTTTATGAATCCTGGAAGAGTTTGAAATAGATGCCCATTAGGAGATTCAATCAGAATCTCTTTTCTTCATGAGTAATTTCACAGAAAAATTTGCTCATAATTTTAAACAAATTCTTTAAAAGGACTGGGAAATTGTGTACAAAGGTAAAAGACATAAAATGTTGGAGAAGTGTAAATTTTCAGTGTAATGTTGTAATTATAAATACGATACTAAAGAACCTGGCTATTCCTAAGCCCTAATAAAAATTACTTCAGTACCTACCAATTCCTTAAGCTATTAGATGCTTGCATTATTTCTTTAAACAGTATTACTAAACAGTACTTTCTGATGATTGATTTTGCCTTGTTTATAAGAAATCTTTTTATTGTTGTCAGTAAGTGTTGTTTCTGTGGTGCATGATACTTCAACAGAGCTTCTTTCTCCAAAGAAAGATACGACTCCAGTTATAAGCAATATAGTGTCATTGGCAGACACCGATGTTGCCTTGCCCATCATGAACACTGATGTCTTACAAGGTAAAAGTTGATGTTAAGATATTTGACATAAATATTGTTTTGTCATACTTGATAAATCTGTCTATATGCTAAATTTTCTTTTTGTTTCTTATATGAAATAAGCAAATATAGTTTATGATGCTATTTTATAGGTTATAGTATATAAGATCTTGAATTTATGCTCTATTTTAACAGATACAGTTTCTTCAGTAACAGCAACAGCAGATGTCATTGTGGATGTAAGTTTTAACTTTTTTTACCACTGTCTTTTTTTAATAAGCAGATTTTTGTTGTTGTTGTTGTTGAGACAGAGTCTCGCTCTGCCACCCAAGCTGGAGTGCAGTGGCGTGATCTCAGCTCACTGCAACCTTTGCCTCCTGGGTTCAAGCGATTCTCCTGCCTCAGCCTCCTGAGTAGCTGGGATTACCAGCGCCTGCTACCATGCCCAGTTAATTTTTGTATTTTTAGTAGAGAAGGGGTTTCACCATGTTGGCCAACCTGGTCTCGAACTGCTGGCCTCAGGTGATCCGCCCACCTTGGCCTCCCAAAGTGCTGGGATTACAGGCATGAGCCACCACACCTGGCCCAGATTTTTTATATATATATATAATATATACTATAATATATAAAAATATAAATATATAATATAAATATATTATAATATATTGTATATAATATAAATATATTATAATGTATATTTATTATATATTATATTTATATATTTAATATATATTTTATGTATTATGTATTCATATATGGGGTGTGTGTGTATGTTTGTAGATTGTTTAAACAGAAGTATTTTTTTCCTCTGGGTTCTTCTTTTAAAAAAATACTACACAATTTGAGTCATCTGAGCAATAAAAATTATTTTTATGACAATTACATACCAAAAGGTCCTTCAAACATTTAATGCTGAATCTAGATTGCAAATAAATAAGTTATACGTAATTGTTAACGTTTCCCCCTAGTGGAGCTCATACTGTAACTCAGCCATTTATTTTACTATGTTATTAGAGTAGATATATTTGATATTTTAATTAATTTTTGAAAACTGTTAAATGTTCTTTTCTCATTTTCTCCCAAAGCTTTCTAAGAGTTCACCTAGTGAACCCAGTAATGCTGTTGCTAGTAGTAGTACGGAACAGCCAAGCGTTTCACCATCTTCATCAGTATTCAGTCAGCATGCAATTGGTTCCAGTACAGAAGTACAAAAAGACAATATGAAATCTATGAAAATAAGTGATGAACTATGTCACCCAAAATGTACATCCAAAGTACAAAAAGTTAAAGGTAAATCACGAAGTATTAAAAAATCTTGTTGTGCAGATTTTGAGTGTTTGGAAAACAGTAAAAAAGATGTGGCATTCTGTTATTCATGCCAGTTGTTCTGCCAAAAATATTTTAGCTGTGGAAGAGAGTCATTTGCAACCCACGGAACTTCTAATTGGAAAAAAACCCTGGAAAAATTCAGAAAGCATGAAAAAAGTGAAATGCATTTGAAGTCATTGGAATTTTGGAGAGAATACCAATTTTGTGATGGAGCTGTCAGTGACGATTTATCTATTCATTCGAAACAGATTGAGGGAAATAAAAAGTACCTAAAGCTTATAATTGAAAATATTTTATTTCTTGGAAAGCAGTGTTTACCCTTAAGAGGAAACGACCAGTCAGTTTCATCTGTGAATAAAGGCAATTTTTTAGAATTGTTAGAAATGAGAGCAAAAGATAAAGGAGAAGAAACATTTCGACTTATGAATTCACAAGTTGACTTCTATAACAGTACACAAATTCAAAGTGATATTATCGAAATAATAAAGACTGAAATGTTGCAGGATATTGTGAATGAGATCAATGACTCCTCAGCATTTTCAATCATATGTGATGAGACAATCAATAGTGCCATGAAAGAACAGCTTTCAATTTGTGTAAGATACCCACAAAAATCATCAAAGGCTATCTTAATTAAGGAAAGATTCTTGGGTTTTGTTGATACTGAGGAGATGACTGGGACCCACTTACATAGGACTATCAAAACTTATCTGCAGCAAATTGGAGTTGATATGGATAAAATACATGGCCAGGCCTATGATAGCACCACTAATTTGAAGATAAAATTTAATAAAATAGCAGCAGAATTCAAGAAAGAAGAACCAAGAGCTTTATACATACATTGTTATGCACACTTTTTGGATTTATCAATAATTAGGTTTTGTAAAGAAGTAAAAGAACTCCGAAGTGCTCTAAAAACTCTCAGTTCTTTGTTCAACACTATTTGTATGTCTGGGGAAATGTTGGCAAATTTTCGAAACATTTATAGGCTAAGTCAAAACAAAACATGCAAGAAACATATATCACAATCATGTTGGACAGTCCATGATCGTACATTACTATCTGTGATTGACAGTCTTCCAGAGATTATTGAAACATTGGAAGTTATAGCAAGCCATTCTTCAAATACAAGTTTCGCCGATGAATTGAGTCATTTGCTGACATTGGTTTCCAAATTTGAATTTGTCTTTTGTTTGAAATTCCTGTATCGAGTGCTGAGTGTTACAGGAATTCTTTCCAAAGAGCTTCAAAATAAAACCATAGACATTTTTTCTTTGTCTTCAAAAATAGAAGCAATTTTGGAATGTTTATCATCTGAAAGAAATGACGTATACTTTAAAACAATCTGGGATGGAACAGAGGAAATATGTCAAAAAATAACCTGTAAAGGTTTTAAAGTTGAAAAACCTTCTCTTCAGAAAAGAAGAAAAATTCAGAAATCAGTAGATCTTGGCAATTCAGATAATATGTTTTTTCCTACTTCAACAGAAGAACAATATAAAATTAATATCTATTACCAAGGATTAGATACTATATTACAAAATTTAAAGTTATGTTTTTCGGAGTTTGATTATTGCAAAATAAAGCAAATTTCAGAACTGTTATTTAAATGGAATGAACCATTAAATGAAACAACAGCAAAACATGTTCAGGAATTTTATAAACTTGATGAGGACATTATCCCAGAACTTAGATTTTATCGACATTATGCAAAGCTTAACTTTGTCATAGATGATAGTTGCATAAACTTCGTCAGTCTCGGCTGTTTGTTTATTCAGCATGGTCTTCACAGTAATATTCCTTGTCTCTCAAAGCTATTATATATTGCTTTGTCTTGGCCAATTACTTCAGCAAGTACTGAGAACTCATTTTCTACCCTGCCTCGTCTTAAGACATATTTATGTAATACCATGGGACAAGAGAAGCTTACTGGCCCAGCCCTAATGGCTGTTGAGCAGGAGTTGGTAAATAAACTAATGGAGCCTGAAAGACTCAATGAAATTGTGGAAAAGTTTATCAGTCAGATGAAAGAAATATAATACATGCTCATTTGAACTTACCTAAAAGACTTGTATTTCCATTGGGATGTTTTCATTTCAAAATTGTTCAAAATTCAAAAGACACAGAACGATAAACAGTGAAGTCTCCTTCCCTCCTTTAGAACTCATTTTCTCTTCCCAAAAAGTGTTATCTTTTCCTTAAATATCCCTCTAGAGGTATTTTTCCTAAGTGGTATTGTACGGTGTATACTGTTCTTCAGCTTGTCTTCTCTGTGTAACATATTTTTGAGATTGTCCCATGTCGTTACATGAAGAGTTTCTTGATTCTTGGTCTATAATTGCAGATGTTATTGTATGAATGTACCATAATATATTTGAGCAGTCCCTGCTGACATTTTTTTCCTAACCTTTTGCTATTATAAATAATGATTCATTTTATAACCTTTTATATAGGTCACATTGCACATGAGTGAGTTTACTGTAAGCTGGAAATCTAAAGTTAGAATTACTAGGTTAAGATATGTGCATTTTTACTTTTGATAGATATTGGCAAGTTGCCATCTATAAGGATTGTGCCAGTTTACAGTCCCACCCACAATGCATGAGAGTGCCTATTAAATCTTTGTAAGTGTTATCAAATGTTTTGATCTTTCCTAATCTCTTACTTTAAAAATGGCGTTTTAATCTCAGTAGAATTTTGTATATTCACTTAAGAATAAGGTTGGGGACTGGGCGTGGTGGTTCACACCTATAATCTCAGCCCTTTGAGGGCCTACACAGGAAGGAAGATCGCTTGAGGCCACGAGTTCAAGATGAGGTTGGCAACATAGTAAGACCTCATCACTACAATTTTTTTTTTTTTAAATTAGTGAAGTGTGGTACTGCACACCCGAAGTCCCAGCTACTTGGGAGGCTGAGGCAGGAGGATTGCTTAAGCCCAGAAATTTGAGGCTGCAGTGAGCCATGATTGCACCACTATGCTCCAGAGTCTAGGCAACAGAGTGAGACCTTATCTCTTTAAAACAAACAAGAATGAAGTTAGGTATCTGTTTATTTGTTTGAGCCATTTGTATTTCCTTTTTTGTAGACTGTCCTGTTTAAACGTTAAAATCACTGCTGTGGTTTTGATTTATACATCTCAGCTGGATGGCACAATAAATTATTAAGCCATGTTATGAAAATATAACTATATTTAAGTAACCTGCAAAGAAAAGACTATTTCTTTATACTTCAAAAAAGTTTTGTTTTTGTTTTGAGATGGAGTTTTGCTCTTGTTGCCCAGACTGGAGTGCAATGGTATGATCTCGGCTCACTGCAACCTCCGCCTCCCAGGTTCAAGTGATTGTCCTGCCTCAGCCTCCCAAGTAGCTGGGATGACAGGCGCACGCCACCACGCCTGGCTAATTTTTGTATTTTTAGTAGAGATGGGGTTTCACCATGTTAGCCAGGCTGGTCTTGAACTCCTGACGTCAGGTAATACGCCCACCTGGGCCTCCCAAAGTGCTGGGATTATGGCATAAGCCACCACGCCCAGCCAGAAAAGTTTAAATAACAAAGAAAATGTGATATTCAAAGATTTGAAAGAATTAAGTGGTATATATATCTAGGCCTGGAATTTTTTTTTTTTTTTTTTTTTTTTTTGAGACGGAGTCTCGCTCTGTCGCCCAGGCGGGAGTGCTGTGGCGCGATCTCCGCTCACTGCAAGCTCCGCCTTCCGGGTTCACGCCATTCTCCTGCCTCAGCCTCCCGAGTAGCTGGGACTACAGGCGCCCGCCACTGTGCCCGGCTAATTTTTTGTATTTTTAGTAGAGACGGGGTTTCACCGTGGTCTCGATCTCCTGACCTCGTGATCCGCCCGCCTCGGCCTCCCAAAGTGCTGGGATTACAGGCGTGAGCCACCGCGCCCGGCCTTTTTTTTTTTTTTAAAGACTATTTCTCTGGCACTTTTCTCCAGCTGTTTCTCCCTTACCCTCTCATCAATTTTGATAACTTGTACTTTTTCTAGGAGAACATCTATTTCATTGAGGCTTTCTTTCAAATGCATTTGCCTAGAGTTGTAGAAAATATTCTCAGTATCTTCTATATACCTGTTTTACTTTCTTTCTTTCATTTTTTAAGACGGAGTCTCGCTCTGTTGCCCAGGCTGGAGTGTACGGTGGCGTGATATTGGCTCACTGCAACCTCCACCTCGCGGGTTCAAGTGATTCTCCTGCCTCAGCTTCCCAAGTATATGGGATTACAGGTGCCCACCACCACGCCTGGCTCATTTTTTTGTATTTTTAGTAGAGATGGGGTTTCACCATGTTGGCCAGGCTGGTCTCGAACTCCTGACCTCAGGTGATCCACCCACCTTGGCCTCCCAAAGTGCTGGGATTACAGGCATAAGCCACCATGCCCGGCCCTAATTTATTGATTTCCACCTTAAAAAAGAGAAAACAGGCCTGGCGCAGTGGCTCACACTTGTAATCACAGTACTTTGGGAGGCCGAGGCGGGCAGATCACTTGAGGTCGGGAGTTCAAGACCAGCCTGACTAACATGGAGAAACCCCGTCTCTACTAAAACTATAAAATTAGCCGGGCGTGGTGGCACATGCCTGTAATACCAGCTACTCGGGAGGCTGAGACGGGAGAATAGCTTGAACCCCAAAGGCTGTGGTTGCAGTGAGCTGAGATCGTGCAATTGCACTCTAGTCTGGGCAACAAGAGAGAAACTCCGTTTCAAAAAAGAGAGAAAATAGGCTGGGGACGGTAGCTCACGCCTATAATCCCAACACTTTGGGAGGCTAAGGCAGGCGGATCACAAGGTCAAGAATTCAAGACCAGCCTGGCCAACATGGTGAAACCCCATCTCTACTAAAAATACAAAAAAAATGAGCCAGGTGTGGTGGTGGGTGCCTGTAATTCCAGCTACTCAGGAGGCTAAGGCAGGAGAATCACTTGAACCCAGGAGGCAGAGGTTGCAGTGAGCCAAGATCGTGCCATTGCACTCCAGCCTGGGCGACAAGAGTGAAACTCCGTCTCAAAAAAAAAAAAAAAAAAGAAAATAGAAGTTAACTCTAGTATTGAATGTGTGTTGCATATATTTTCATTCTTTTAATGGAAGTGCTTAAGGCTATGAACTTTCCTCTAAAGTCAGCTTGGTCAACCATGTGTTTTTTCATTTTCATCATTTTCTAGCTGTTTTTAGTTGTAGTTTCTATCTTGTCATAAAATCAAGAAGTTGGGCCAGGCATGGTGGCTCACGCCTGTAATCCCAGCACTTTGGGAGGCCGAGGTGGGCGGATCACGAGGTCAGGAGATCGAGACCATGGTGAAACCCCGTCTCTACTAAAAAAAATTAGCCAGGCGCAGTGGTGGGTGCCTGTAGTCCCAGCTACTGGGGAGGCTGAGGCAGGAGAATGGCGTGAACCCGGGAGGCGGAGCTTGCAGTGAGCCGGGATCGCACCACAGCACTCCAGCCTGGGCCACAGAGCAAGACTCCATCTCAAAAAAAAAATCGAGGTTGGTGTTCTTGTTTTCATTTTCAAGTGTTTGTTTTCTATTCTTGTAGTCTATTATACAGCCAATAATGTAAAAAATAAACTTACATTAAGTATAACAGCTATCTTGGTTGAATGCCTATTAGCCTATTAAGTAACCTAGTACTTCCCTCAGTGTTTTACATATATTATTTCATTTAGTTCTCATAACAACCTATTATTTTACAGAAGAAACTAAAAAAACACATTATGGATTACACAACTAATAGGGGTGAAACTGGATTTGTACCCAGGTAGTCTGACTCCAAAGCCCATGCTGTCAATCACCATGCTCTACTACCTCTTAGACAACCATTATCACTTATAAATATTCCTAAATAAAAGATTATCAGAAGTCCATTAAAAAATAGATGGCTGGGCATGGTGGCTCACACCTGTAATCCCAATACTTTGGGAGGCCGAGGCAGGTGGATCACCTGAGGCCACGAGTTCAAGACCAGTCTGACCAATATGGTGAGACCCCATCTCTACTAAAAATACAAAAAAATGAGCCAGGCATGGTGGTGCACACCTGTATTCCCAGCTACTTGGGAGGCTGAGACGGGAATCGCTTGAACGTGAGAGGCAGAGGTTGCAGTGAGCCAAGATTGCGCTACTGCACTCCAGCCTAGGCAACAGAGTGAGACTCTGTCACAGAAAAAAAAAAAAGTCAGAAATAGTTGTGTCATTTTTGTTAATCTCCCCAAATCCCTTCATAAAAACAGCAACTAGGAGAGTTAAAGCAGAAATCCATGCACAGCATCTACTGCTAATCTTTGTGACAAGGTATCTCCACAATCCCAAAATATGATCAGATAGTGACAAAAGCAGCTATAAGATCTGCTTGGGACATCTGTGTGGAAAGCCGTGGAGGAAAGGCAATGGGACATCTGATGGCATTAAGAATAGGAGAGCCCTCAAGTCAACATGTTTTCACTGGAAAGCATGGTAGGCCAAAAATAAAATTTAAAAAATTGGAACCAGGTGTGGTACCTCACGCCTGTAATCCCAACTGTTTGGGAGGCAGAGACAGTGAATCACCTGAGGTCAGGAGTTTGAAACCAGCCAGGCCAACTGGTGAAACCCCATCTCTACTAATAATACAAAAATGAGCCAGGCGTGGTGGTGGCAGGCACCTGTAATCCAAGTTACTTGGGAGGCTGAGGCAGGAGAATCGCTTGAACCCAGGAGGTGAAGGTTGGAGTGAGCTGAGATCCTGCCACTGCACTCCAGCCTGGGCAACAGAACCAATGAGACTCCCATCTCAAAAAAAAAAAAAAAAATTCTAGCAACAGTCAAAACACAGAAGGTTTCTATAGACTCCAATTTGCCCGTGAGTTTGTGGGGATGGTGCTAAGTTCTGAAGATGTAGTGGTCTAGGTTCTCATGAACTCTTGAAACTAACAAATTTGAGCTTCATTCCAAAACAAAACCCCTCTGAGGTTGTAGATTCCAAATTGAGCAGGACAGTGACAATAAGAGGTAAAAGAAAGAAAAGGTATAGACAGAAGTGAGAGAGAAGCAGAGGAAACATCTCAAAGTATTAGGCTATTTTAGTCACTTTCTGAAAATAATAGAACTTCATGAGCCTTGAGGCTAGAAAAGCTATTCTGTCGTGTCTCTCCCAATAAGTACAGGAAAATGCATTTCACGTGAAAGTAAGCAACAGAAAAAGATTATGAAATATAATACAAAATTGCATAGAAAACAGCAAAGTAAATCCCTACCAAACAGGTGAAAATTAACATGATGTTTCAAAACAAGCTAAAAGCGCCTGGGCAACATAGTGAGACCCCGTCTCTGCAAAAAATAAAAAAAGCTGGACGTGGTGGCTCGCACCTGTAGTCCCAGCTACTTAGAAGGCAAACGTGGGAGGATTGCTTGAGCCCAGGAGGTCGAGGCTGTAGTGAGCTGTGACTGTACCACTGCACTCCAGCCTGGATGATAGAGTAAGACACTGTCTCAATAAATAAATTTTTAAAAATATGGGGCCGGAGCGATGGCCTGGGTCTGGAGCCCGCGGCCTCCACCGCCCACAATAACAACAACGTGTAGGGAGCAGCCGCGGCCAGAGCCGGAGCAGGGGCCAGAGTTGCGGCTAGAGTAGGGCCTGCGCGTTTGAGTGACTGAGAGTTGCCCCTGCCTGAGACCTCAAACTCCAGGCGGAAGCGCTATCGGTTGGCTGAGCAGCCGTAGCCCGCCGCACGGCGACCCCCAGGCCCAGACAGCGGGGCGGAGGTCTCGTAGGCGCGGGACTGGCTTCTCTCAGGATGAGCCCTTAGAGCCGGGCTCCGGATCTTTCTCAGCCTCGGGCCCCTTTCACTTTCAGGACAGAGGCCAGAGAACGGTGATCATCACACACCCCAGCCGGCTTCCTGGCCTGGGCATTTTCTCCGCGGCCAAGCAGTGTTGGGGTTGTAGCTGCTGGGAGCTCCCTCCTGCCGCCACCTCTTCTGCTAGGAAGGGACTGACGCGTTCCCACGTTCTTGCTCTGCACCTCCCCACTCTTCCCACTCAAGAATAAGTTTCTCGGCCGGGCGCGGTGGCTCACACCTGTAATCCCAGCACTTTGGGAGGCCGAGGCAGGCGAATCACGAGGTCAGGAGATCGAGACCATACTGGCCAACACAGTGAAACCCCGTCTCTACTAAAAATACAAAAACATTAGCCGGGCGTGGTGGCAGGCGCCTGTAGTCCCAGCTACTCAGGAGGCTGAGGCAGGAGAATGGTGTGAACCAGGGAGGCGGAGCTTGCAGTGAGTGGAGATCGTGCCACTGCACTCCAGCCTGGGCGACAGAGCGAGACTCCGTCTCAAAGAAAAAATAAATAAATAAATAAATAAATAAGTTTCTCTTCCCTCTCCATTGAAAATTCTGCCCCGGAGGTCCAAAACATCTATTTTGTGTGCCCTTCCCCAGCTCCTGGAGCAGCACCCTTAGAAGTATTGCCTACTCATCAGGGCTGAGAATCCTTCATTTTTGACTTGGCTTTTTTCGCCCTTTGGGAGATAAAGGTCCCTTTCCACCCTCTTTACTAACGCTCTGCCCACCAGCCCTTATCCTTGGGGTCATCAGCTCCTTGGCCATTTCTATGTGACTTCCCCCACCCATCTGAGTTCCAGCTTCCTCTGGGCTCCAATCTCCAGTCCCTGGCGGAGTGACTAGGGGGCTCTGGCCCAGGATCCCCAACCCTGGAAGGCAGCTCTAACGCAGGAAGAGAATTGGGCGTCGGGTGCGCACCTGGCAGCTCAGGAGTCGGGGCTCCACTCACCCCACACAAGAAGATGAAAATGCCCAAAGAGCTCAATGTATTGATTGGTTTGGCTGGGGACAGCCAGAGAAAGAAGCCCAAGCAGTCACCGCCTGCTTCGCCCTGAGCCTCCTGACTTAGACTCTGAGTCCAGCTCCAAGGAGGAAGAGGAATTCGGTGTGGTTGGAAATCGCTCTCGCTTTGCCAAGGGAGGCTATTGACGATGCTGCAAGATCTGCTATCCGCTCTGTGGTTTTGTCACCCTCTCTGCCTGTGTTGTGGCCTGTGTTGGCTTGGTGTGGATGCAGGTTGCTCTCAAGGAGGATCTGGATGCCCTCAAGGAAAAATTTCGAACAATGGAATCTAATCAGAAAAGCTCATTCCAGGAAATCCCCAAACTTAATGAAGAACTATTCAGCAAGCAAAAAAAACTTGAGAAGATTGAATCTGGAGAGATGAGTTTGAACAAAGTCTGGATAAACATCACGGAAATGAATAAGCAGTGCAGGGTCGGGTCATGAGTGGCCAGAGCCTATCCTGGCAGCGTAGAGTGCAAAGCGGGAACCAATCCTGGACAGGAAGCCATCCCATCGCAGGGCTTACTCATACACACGCTCACACTCAGACTGGGACCATTTACGCATGCCAACTAACCAAACATGCACAGTTTTGTGATGTGGGAGTACCTGGAGAAAACCCACGCCAACATGGGGAGAACATGCAAACAGACAGTGGCCCGGCCAGGAGTCAGATTTTTTTCTCCTCAATGTTATAACCAAATGACGTTGAACAAAACATTATTCAAGGACCTGCTGTAAATAGGAAAGTTTACTTCTGTCCTAGGGCTTCATCTATGAAGCTGGAAGAGATTGCACTGAAACCCTTTCCATTTCAGCATCAACATGCCTTCAAAGATTCTGGGACTGACTTATGAAGCCAGCCTGATAACAGAGGACTTCTCTGCGAGCACAGGTCCAGAAGCATGGGTGGTGGGAAAGCAGAAACTTGTGTTGTTTCCTAAGGGAGCTCTCTGAGTGGTTTTCTAAAATTAATGTTACACATCTCTGATGGTCTATTCAAGTCAGAGGCATCTGTCCTAAACCAAAATAGGTAGAAAAATAAAAGTATCTGGGCATGGTGGCTCACGCCTGTAATCCCAGCACTTTGGCAGGCCGAGGTGGGCAGATCACCCAAGGTCAGGAGTTTGAGACCAGCCTGGCCAACAGGGCAAAACCCTCATCTACTAAAAATAAAAAAAATTAGCCAGGCCTGGTGGCATGTACCTGTAATCCCAGATACTCCAGAGGCTGAGGCACGAGAATTGCTTGAACCCAGCGGCAGAGTTCGGCAGTGAGCCGAGATCACGCCACTGCACTCCAGCCTGGGTGACAGAGCAAGACTCCATCTCAATTTAAAAAAATTAATTCATTAATTAAAACATAAAAGTAATATTTAACCATAAAAAAAAAATTTTTTAAATTGTCCATTTCTCCATCTCAAAAAAATAAAAAATTCTAATTTTCCTTTTGATTCCTCCTTTATGAGTTATTTAAATGTATATTGATTATGAAGGGATACTGAAATCTCCAAACTTAATTATGAACTTCTCTATTTTTCCTGCAGTTCTAGCAGTTTTGGCTTTGTGTATTTTGAATCTTTATTAAGTGTGCAGTGTTTAGAACAGGTATGTCTTTTTGTTTATTTGTTTTTTGAGATGGAGTCTCACTCTATCGCCCACGCTGGAGTGCAGTGGCACAATCTTGGCTCACTGCAACCTCCACCTCCTGGGTTCAAGCGATTCTCCTGCCTCAGCTTCCTGAGTAGCTGGGATTACAGGCACGCACCGTCACGCCCAGCTAAATTTTGTATTTTTAGTAGAGATGGGGTTTCACCATGTTGGCTAGGTTGGTCTCGAACTCCTGACCTCAGGTGATCCACCCACCCACCTCAGCCTCCCAAATGCTGGGATAACAGGCGTGAGCCACTGCGCCCAGCCAACATTATTATTATTATTTGGAGACAGGGTCTTGCTCTATCACCCATCCTGGAGTACAGAGGCATGATCATGGCTCACTGCAGCCTCAACCTTCTGGACTCAAGTGATCCTCCCTTCTCAGCCTCCTATCTAGGTCTATAGGCATGTGCCACCATGCCTGGCTAATTTTTAAACTTTTGTAAAGACGGGGTCTCACTGGGTTGCATCGGCTAGCCTCAAAGTCCTGGCCTCACGTAATCCTCCCACCTTGGCCTCCCAAAACATGGGATTATAGGTATGAGCCACTGTCCCCTATTATAAGGGTACACACCTAATTATTATATTATCAAAATATAAGCCTATTTTAATTTATGTCTATTTTTATATTTAAGGTGGCCTTTATGTAGGTGGCATATGATTGGGTCTTTTTTTATTCAGTATGATCTGACAATCTTTGGTTTTTCATTGGGGTATTTAGACCATTTATATCTAATGTGGCCAGGCATGGTGGCTCATGCCTGTAATCCCAGGACTTCAGGAGGCCAAGGTGGGCAGATCCCTTGAGCTCAGGAGTTCAAGACTGTCCTGGGCAACATAGTGAGATCTAGTCTCTGCAAAAAAAATAAGCAAAAAATTATCTGGGTGTGGTGGCATGCACTGTAGTCCCACCTACTTGGGAGGCTAAGGTGGGAGGGTCGCTTGAGCTTGGGAGGTCAAGGCTGCAGTGAGCCAAGATTGTGTCACTGCACTCCAGCCTGGGTGACAGAGCAAGATGCTGTCCCAAAAAAAAAAATGTGGTTATTAATATGATCAAGTTCAAATCTACCATCTTTTTTTTTTTGAGACGGAGTTTCACTCTTATCACCCAAGCTGGAGTGCAATGGTGTGGTCTCGGCTCACTGCAACCTCTGCCTCAGCCTCCTGAGTAGCTGGGATTATAGGCATGCACCACAAATCCCAGCTAATTTTGTGGTTTTTTAGTAGAGATGGGGTTTCACTATGTTGGCCAGTCTGGACTTGAACTCCTGACCTCAGGTGATCTGCCTGCCTCAGCCTCCCAAAGTGCGAGATTACAGGCGTAAGCCACTGCACCTGGCTCAAATCTACCATTTTACTATTTGTTTTCTATTCGACCAATGTGTCTTTGTTCCCCTTTCTCTCTCTCTCTCTCTCTCTCTTTTTTTTTTTTTTTCCTTTCTGGCCGGGCACGATGGCTCAAGCCTGTAATCCCAGCACTTTCGGAGGCTGAGGCGGGTGGATCATGAGGTCAAGAGATCAAGACCATCCTGGCCAACATGGTGAAACCCCCCGTCTCTACTAAAACTACAAAAAATTAGCTGGGCGTGGTGGCGTGTGCCTGTAGTCCCAGCTACTTGGGAGGCTGAGGCAGGAGAATCACTTGAACCCGGGAGACGGAGGTTGCAGTGAGCTGAGATTGTGGCACTGTACTCCAGCCTAGTGACAGAGCGAGACTCCATCTCCAAAAATAAATAAATATATTTATCGCCTTTCTTATCATTAGTATAACACTTCATTTTGTTTGTTTGTTTGTTTTATAAGTGGTTGCTTTCAGGTATGTAGTATACATATTCACCTTCAATTGATATTACACTACTTCACGTATAGGATGAGACTCCTGTACCAATATACTTCCACTTCTGCCGTCCCAACTTTTGAACTCATCATACAATACTTCTACATATGTTATAACTCCCATAACTCATTTTTTTTGCTTTAAGCAATTATCTTTTAAAGACATGTAAATAATTTTTTAAATAGTCTTTTATGTTAACCCTCATAGTTACTTTTTTTTTTAAATTGAGACAGTCTCACTCTGTTCCCCAGGCTGGAGTGCAGTGGCTCAATCTCGGCTCACTGCAACCTCCATTTCCTGGGCTCAAGTGATCCTCCTGCCTCAGCCTCCCAAGTAGCTGGGACTATAGGCATGTGCCACCATGCTGGGCTAATTTTTTTTTTTTTTGAGACGGAGTCCCACTCTGTCACCAGGCTGCAGTGCAGTGGCGTGATCTCAGCTCACTGCAACCTCTGCCTCCCAGATTCAAGCAATTCTCCTGCCTCAGCCTCCTGAGTAACTAGGATTACAATCATGAGCTACCACGCTCAGCTACTTTGTGTATTTTTAGTAGAGACAGAGTTTTGCCATATTGGTCAGGCTGGTCTTGAACTCCTGACCTCAGGTTATCTGCCCGCCTCGGCCTCCCAAAGTGCTAGGAATACAGGCTTGAGCCACTGCAAATGGCCTGCATTTTGTTTTGAAAGATATTTTTGCTGGGTATAGAATTAGAGGTTAATAGTTGTTTTCTTTTCTTTCAGTACTTTGAAGGAGTTTACTACCTCTGCTTGCATTATTTTCTTTAAGAACTTGGCTGTCATTCTTATCTTTATTCTCTACATGCTGTGCCTTTTTTCTCTGTCTGCTTTTTCTATTTCTTTTTTTTTTTGGAAACGGAGCTTTGCTCTTATCGCCCAGGCTAGAGTACAATAGCACGATATCGGCTCACTGCAACCTCTGCCTCCCAGGTTCAAGCGATTCTCCTGCCTCAGCCTCCCAAGTAGCTGGGATGACAGGTGCTAGCCACCACACCTGGCTAATTTTGTATTTTTAGTAGAGACAGGGTTTCACCATGTTGGCCAGACTGGTCTTGAGCTCCTGACCTCAGATGATCCATCTGGCTGCTTATTAAAAAAATACCGTTTCCATTCACAGTATGTAAAAGAAGAACTGAAATGTCCTGGGGAAGTAGATGCTTCAAATCTCCCTGTCCACTGGTTCCAGGGCCTGGGGAAGTTCTTTCTTTGTTTAAATCTCAGCTCTTCCTGTTGCCTATGATATTCCTTATTGTTCAGTCCTCTAAGGAGGCTGTACAGCAGTTCTGTATCCCCTTTTCTTTGTTTAATATAATATCCTTTCAGAGATAAAATGACAATTCCATTTCCCCCCAACCTGTTTTTGGAGACAGAGTCTTGCTCTGTCACCCAGGCTGGAGTGCCGTGGTGCAATCTTGGCTTATTGCAACCTCTGCCTCCCAAGCTCAAGCAATTCTCATGCCTCAGCCTCCCAAGTAGCTGGGACTATAGGCTCATGCCACAACACCTGGCTAATTTTTATATTTTTAGTAGAGACAGGGTTTTGCCATGTTGCTTAGGCTGGTCTTGAACTCCTGACCTCAAGTGATCCACCCTGCTAGACCTCCCAAAGTGCTGGGATTACAGGCATGAGCCACTGCACCTGGCCAGAAAGCTCATTTTTAGAAGGTTGTGAAGTCTCATGTCCTATAAAGACAAAATAGAGGAGGAAGGGAGAAAACAACAAACAAAGAACAATCCTGAAAAATCAATATAGGCCACAATACTCTGAAGTCAATACATCAGTAGGCAGGTATGAAAGCTGCTTATCTATGTAAATAGGTTGTTGTTATTTTCTTCTGAAATTTAAGTTGTCTAGCTTCAGTTCGCAGGGCTTTAAGAAAGCACAGCTTAGGCCAGGCTCAGTGACTCACGTCTGTAATCCTAGCACTTTGGGAGGTTGAGGTGGGCAGATCACCTAAGGTTGGGAGTTCACAACCAGCCTGACAAACATGGAGAAACTCCATCTCTACTAAAAATACAAAATTAGCTGGGCATGGTGGTGCATGCCTGTAATCCCAGTTACTCGGGAGGCTAAGGCAGGAGAATCGTTTGAACTTGGGAGGCGGAGGTTGCGGTGAGCCGAGATCGTGCCATTGCACTCCAGCCTGGGCAACAAGAGCGAAACTCTCTCAAAAAAGAAAAGAAAAGAAAGCACAGCTTGATTTTCAGTGACTCCAAATTAGGGAAAATGGAGAAAAAGGAGGAGAAAAAAAATTAAAAATAATATTTTGCAGGCTCGTAGCCAAGACAATTAGAATTCGGTCCAAAGTGTAGAAAAAAATAAAAATTGGTAAACATTAGGCAAGACTAGAATCTAACAACAGGTGTACTAAAGTTTTTGAAACATAATTTTTCTCTCTCCAGTTTCCCATTTTTACTAAAGACAAATCATGGTAGGACTGATTTGCTTTATTATACTTGGCCTGATTATTTGTATACACTGCAGCAAGAACAATTATTTTTTTCCATAGGCTTTTAAAGTGGCTTTGATGGAACTTTGTTCAGTAGAAGGAATCTCAGATAAGACTTTTTTAAAGGTGAGCCCAGCCATGCATTTGTATCATCAAATACCTACGAGTTGGGTGAATTCGTCTCCTCTGAGGTTCCAAGATATATCTGGGGCTCCTGGGCCTGTCAGAAAGTGACATTCTTTACTTACCACAGGTCAGGAACCCTGTACAGGGACTGTGTAGATGAAAGTATGAGGCCAGTTTTTTCCAAGGGGCTTTTATTGGCTACATAAGTCACGTTCAATTCCTTAAAGGAAAGCACACCATTCAAGTCAAAGCCTTGGTAAAATATCCAGTTTCTCCAACTGTGTCCTGTTACAAATGAAAACAGATTTTTTTTTTTTTTGAGATGGAGTCTTGCACTGTCGCCCAGGCTGGAGTGCAGTGGCACGATCTCGGCTCACTGCAAGCTCCACCTCCCCGGTTCATGCCATCCTCCTGCCTCAGCCTCCCAAGTAGCTGGGACTACAGTCACCCGCCACTGCACCTGGCTAATTTTTTGTATTTTTAGTAGAGACAGGGTTTCACCATAGCCAGGATGGTCTCGATCTTCTGACCTCATGATTTGCCCGCCTCAGCCTCCCAAAGTGCTGGGATTACAGGCATGAGCCACCACACCCAGTCAAAAACAGATTCTTATTGCACTTATGCAAACAATTGTATTGTCATAAGTTAAGAATACTCACAAATAGTTTCCAAATTCTGTAGAAATCAGGTAGAGAGAGACAAATATGCTCCTAATTTTGTTCATAGGAGTATACTTTACTCGATTGTTAAAAGCTGTAAATAGCTTAAAAGAAAAATTTTACTACTATGAAAAAAAAAAGAATCAGCAACGTTTTTTGTTTGGTTGGTTTTTTTTGTTTTTTGTTTTTTGTTTTTGAGGTGAAGTTTTGCTCTTATTGCCCAGGCTAGAGTGCAGTGGCACAATCTCGGCTCACTGCAACCTCCACCTTCCAGTTTCAAGAGATTCTCCTGCTGGGATTACAGGTGTGAGCCAATGCACCCAGCCATCACACACACATCTTGGATGTTAGCTTTTAATTAAGCTGACTTTTAACCATTGAGCTCCTTTAAAAAAAATTTTTTTTAACCTCATTACCATATTTCAGCTAGGACAACTTGCTGCTATTTCAGAAGTACAGCTATTGCTCTTTCAGTTTGGCCTGGCTGGCAAAAACATGACCTTGTTATGTAAATAAACCCCTTAGTAGTCAAAATAAAAAAATCTTTCCTCTTTTTTTTTTTCCTTTTGCTGGCTGTTTTTTCTCCCCCACCATACCACCTTTGTGTGGGGGGGTTGGGGGGAGAATTTAACCATTTCAGGGCCTTGTTCCCCATAATTTGGAACTTTCCTTTGGATTTGATCAAGTCAGATAAAGTTGGTCAAACCCAATGGGAAAAGGACCAAAGCACCAACAAAAATGGACACAAACAACAACAAAAAACAGTTAAGCAAAACAAACAACCCCACAACTTATATGGATTACTGAGTGCTCTAATAGTAAAGAGAAATTAAGACCAGCTGGTTGTTAACTTTAGCCTAGACAAAATCCCAATTCAGCTACTTACTTAGGGATGGGTCTCAGGCTGAAGACTGCTCTCTACCATCCTAGAAGCAGGAAAACAAAAAAAAAAACTCACCTTCCCTATTGGAAGCAAGCTCAAACCCGGCAAAGGAGTTAACCTGTTTTCCATCATCATGGAAGCTGGAAAATTTGCCTTCCTTGTTGGAAGCAAGTGAAACTGAAAAAAAAAAAAAAAAAAAAAAGGAAGTTGTACAGCAAAATCAACTTTAGATCTCAACCAAATCTTGGGAAATCAGGGATTCTCTGGAGGAGGTGATCCAGGCCTCAGCAAGTTGTCCTATTTGTTTGAGCCATAAAGATAGCTCAAGCTGGTACCAAGCACTGATAGGAGGTTTGTCAAGGTCAGGGGCACCTCCACTCAGAATCCCTTCATGGTTACCAAAACGTGAACCCTGAAAATCTGAGACAGATCTCAGTTAATTTTGAAAGTTTATTTTGCCAAAGTTGAGGACGCATGCCTGTGACACAGCCTCAGAAAGTCCTGATGACATGTGCCCAAGGTGGTCAGAGCACAGCTTGGTTTTATACATTTTAGAGAGACATGAGACAGCAATCAACATATGTAAAATGAATATTGGTTTGGGTCAGAAAGGTGCGACAACTCGAAGCAAAAGCAGGACAACTCGATGTGGGGAGGGGCCTTCCAGGTCATAGGTAGATAAGAGACAAATGGTTGCATTCCTTTGAGTTTCTGATCAGCCTCTCCAAAAGAGGCAGTTAGATATGCATTTATCTCAGTGAGCAGAGGGGTGACTTTGAATAGAATGGGAGGCAGGTTTGCCCTCAGCAGCTCCCAGCTTGACTTTTCCCTGTAGCTCAGTGATTTTGGGGACCCAAGATATTTTCCTTCCACACCCTGTTAACACTGAGCTGAGAGAGGTTCCGGCACCCACCATGGTTATTCCAAATTCCCAACACCCACAAACATATGAGCTCTCTCCTATAACTCTTCACACTCTGTATACATCACAATTATAACATTAGCACGTTGTATTGTAATTATTTGCATGTATGCCTGCCCTCTAATCTCCTTAAGGTGTTGGGGGAGCTCTTCTTTTATTGAGTGTTTTTTTTTTTTAACTTGCCACTTTAACCATTTGAAGTATACAGTTCAGTGGCATTAATTACATTCACAATATTATCCAACCATCACTTCAATCCATTTACACATTTTTTTATCACCCCAAACAGAAATCTCCCATTCATACCTACCGCAACATCTGATAATGTCTTGTCTTTCTGTCTCTATGAATTTGTCTGTAGCAGGACGAGCCGCAAACAAAACTCCTCAGACACCGAGTTAAAGAAGGAAGGGGTTTATTCGGCCAGGGGCATCAGCAAGACTCCTGTATCAAGAGACAAGCTCCCCAAGTGAGCAATTCCTGTCCCTTTTAAGAGCTCACAACTCTAAGGGGGTGCATGTGAGAGGGTCGTGATCGATTGAGCAAGCAGGGGGTACAAGACTGGGGGCTGCATGCACCAGTAATTAGATGGGAACAAAACAGGATAGGGATTTTCACAGTGCTTTTCTATACAATGTAATCTATAGATAACATAACCGATTAGGTCAGGGGTCGATCTTTAACTACCAAGCCCAGGGTTTGGCGCCGGGCTGTCTGCTTGTGGATTTCATTTCTGCCTTTTAGTTTTTACTTTTTCTTTCTTTGGAGGCAGAAATTGGGCATAAGACAATATGAGGGGTGGTCTCCTCCCTTATTTCCCCCCTTTGAGACTCTCACTCAACAGTGGGAGTTCTCACTTTCATTTTTACTACCTATGTCTTCTTGCAAGACAGATTGATAGTGATTCATATAGTACACTTGTGCTGAAGCATTTTGGTGAACTAAGGTAGCAATGAAGCTTTTTATCATTTGAAGAAGTACAGGTAGCAAACAAGGGAGCAGTAAGCAGGTTTCTATTACTATTATAACTCTTTTTTATAAGAGTTTAAAATTTTTTTTTAGCGCTGGGAACCATTTTCTAAACTTGGCCCTAGGATCAAATCCATGCCACACTTGCACGGGCACATGAGCCAGTCTTGTCATCTCTCTAACTATGTCTTCAACTACTTGCCTTTGATTATCTATGTGTAGGCAGCAATTAGTAAGGTTATATTTCCTACAGACCTCTCCTTCAGCTGCTAACAAGTAGTTGAGAGCTAATCTATTTTGATAGATAGCGTTTCTCATCTGAGTTTCTTGCAGGGCCAGAATAGTCAAGGCTCTGCCGGTTTTATTAGTGATTATTTTTAAGACAGCTTGTAACTGTCAGGCCTCTGAGCCCAAGCTAAGCCATCGTATCCCCTGTGATATGATCGTGGTAAAGTGTTGGGATGACAAAAATTTTTGGGGGTTGTATGGAGAGATAATGGGCAATGTTTCTCAGGGCTGCTTCGAGCAGGATTAGGGGCAGAGTGGGAACTTAGAGTGGGAGAGATTAAGCTGAAGGAAGATTTTGTGGTAAAGGGTGATATTGTGGGACTGTTAGAAGAAACATTTGTCATTTAGAATTATTGGTGATGGCCTGGATATGGTTTTGTATGAACTGAAAAACTAAACACAATAAGAGAAGAAGAAAAACAGGTATTAAAGGTCTAAGAATTGGGAGGACCCAGGACATCTAATTAGAGTGCCTAAGGAGATTCAGCATAGTCCTGCCAGCAAAGATTATTTATTTACTTCAAGATTTAAGAGTGGCAGTTTGGGGATAGCACCAGGAGATATCAGCTGTGATGGCTTGGAGAAATAGTGTAAACCGGCAGTGTAAACAAGAGCAGGGCATGTATGAGTAGTTGAGAAGAGTGAATAGGAATATGACTAGACAGAAGATAGTAGGGATGACAAGTTTTTGGGGGCACAGTCCAAGTTGGTCTGGTGTCTGGAATGAGACTGGGGCTTAATAAAAAGGAGCGTCTATACAGGAACTCAAATGGGCTGTACCCTGTAGCATTCCAAGGACAGGCCTGAATTCTGAGAAGGGAAAGTGGTAAAAGTATTGTCCAGTCCTTTTTAAGTTGGTGGCTGAGCTTGGTGAGGTGTGTTTTTAAAAGACCATTAGTCCGTTCTACCTTCCCTGAAGACTGAAGACCGTAAGGGATATAAAGGTTTCACTGAATACTAAGAGCCTGAAAAAATGCTTGGCTGATTTGACTAATAAAGGCCGGTCTGCTATCAGACTGTATAGAGGTGGGAAGGCCAAACCGAGGAATTATGTCTGACAGAAGGGAAGAAATGACTGCGGTGGTCTTCTTAGACCCTGTAGGAAAGGCCTCTACCCATCCAGTGAAAGTGTCTACCCAGACTAAGAGGTATTTTAGTTTTCTGACTCGAGGCATGTGAGTAAAGTCAATATGCCAGTCCTGGGCAGGGGCAAATCCCAGAGCTTGATGTGTAGGAAAGGGAGGAGGCCTGAACAATCCCTGAGGGGTAGTAGAATAGCAAATGGCACACTGAGAAGTGATTTCCTTGAGGATAGATTTCCAGGATGGAAAGGAAATGAGAGGTTCTAAGAGATGGGCTAGCGGCTCATAACCTACATGGAAGAGGTTATGAAATGGTAACAGAATAGAATGGGACTGTGAGGCTGGAAGGAGATATTTTCCTTGGTCTAAGAACCATTTGCCTTGTGTGGGAAGAGACTGATAGGTGGAAGTTTCAGCGGGGGAGTAGGTGGGAGTGACTGAGGTGAAGGAGAAAAACTGGCGTGAGGGACAGAAGTTGGAAAGCTAGCTGCTTGTCTAGCCACCTTACCAGCATAAGCGTTGTCTAGAGCAATGGGATCTGATGCCTTTTGATGGCCTTTGCAGTGAATGACTCCAGCTTCCTTTGGAAGTAAAGCGGCCTTGAGCAGAGTTTTTATTAAAGAGGCATTAATGATGGAGGACCCTTGAGTAGTGAGGAAACCTCTTTCAGCCTATATAACAGCATGCTGGTGCAGAATATGAAAGACATATTTAGAATCACTATAAATATTGACGCGTAGTCCTTTTGCAAGAGTGAGGGCTTGAGTTAAGGCAACTAGTTCGGCTTGCTGAGAGGTAGTGGAGGGGGGCAGAGTGGTAGCCTCAATGATAGATGTGGAAGATACTATAGCATAGCCTGCCTTTGCTGGTGAGTGGCGATTAGGCCTAGCAGAACTGCCATCAATAAACTAAATGTGATCAGGGTGAGGAACAGGAAAGAAGGAAATATGGGGAAATGGGGTGAATGTCAGGTGGATCAGAGAGATACAGTCATGAGACAGTCATGAGGGTCAGGTGTGGTATCCAGAATAATGTGGGAGGCCGGATTGAAGTCCAGGCCAGGAACAATGGTAATTGTGAGAGACTCAACAAAGAGTGAGTACAGCTGAAGGAGCCAGGGAGCAGAAAGTATATGTGTCAGGTGTGAGGAAGAAAATAGATTTTGGGAGTTATGAGAACTGTAGAGAATGAGTTGAGCATAGTTTGTGATTTTGAGGGCCTCTAAAAGTATTAGGGCAGCAGCAGCTGATGCACGGAGACATGATGGCCAGCCTAAAACAGTAGGGTCAAGTTGTTTGGACAAAAAGGCTACAGGACGCGATCCCGGTCCTTGTGTAAGAATTCCGACTGCACAGCCCTGCACTTCAGCTGTGTGTAATGAAAAGGGTTGGGATGAGTCAGGGAGAGCTAGGGTGGGGCCAGTCTCTAAAGCTGTCTTCATGGAATGGAAAGAGGAGTGGGAAAAGGATTTAGGATCTATGGGGTCAGCTAGGTTTCCTTTTGTGAGTTTATATAATGGTTTTGTTAGGATGGCAAAACCAGGTGTCCAAAGGTGAAAGTATCCAACCATGCCCAGGAAGGAAAGGAGTTGTTGTTTTGTAGAAGGGGTTGGGGTTTGAGAGATCAGTTGGACATGATCAGCAGGGAGAGCACGTGTGTTTTTATGAGAATTATGCCAAGATAGGTAACAGATGAGGAAGAAATTTGGGCTTGACTGAAGTAATGGGGGCTGTCTGTGAGGACTTGCGGCAGTACAGCCCAGGTAATTTGCTGAACCTGATGGGTGTCAGGGTCAGTCCAAGTGAAAGCAAAGAAAGGCTGGGATGAGGGGTGTAGGGGAATAGTGAAAAAAGCATCTTTAAGATCAAGAACAGAATAGTGAGTAGTGGAGGAAGGTATTGAGGACAAAAGTGTGTACGGGTTGGGCACCACAGGGTAGATAGGCAAAACAATTTGGTTGATAAGGCACAGATCCTGAACTAATCTGTAAGACTTGTCCGGTTTTTGGACAGGTAAAATAGGGGAATTGTAAGGAGAGTTTATAGGTTTTAGAAGCCCATGCTGTAGCAGGCGAGTGATAACAGGCTTTAATCCTTTTAAAGCGTGCTGTGGGATGGGATATTGGCATTGAGCGAGGTAAGCATGATTAGGTTTTAATGGGATGGTAAGGGGTGCATGATCAGTTGCTAAGGAGGGAGTAGAGATGTCTTATACTTGTGGGTTAAGGTGGGGAGATACAAGGGGAGGATGTGAAGGAGGCTTTGAACTGGGGGAAAAGGCGGCAATGAGGTGTGGCTGTAGCCTAGGAACAGTCAGGGAAGCAGATAATTTAGTTAAAGTGTCTCGGCCTAATAAGGGAACTGGGCAGGTGGGGATAATTAAAAGGAGTGCTTAAAAGAGTATTGTCTAAGTTGGCACCAGAGTTGGAGAGTTTTAAGAGGTTTAGAAGCCTGGCCATCAATACCCACAACAGTTATGGAGGCAAGAGAAACAGGCCCTTGAAAAGAAGGTAATGTGGAGTGGGTAGCTTCCGTATTGATTAAGAAGGGGACGGACTTACCCTCCATGTGAGAGTTACCCGAAACTCGGCGTCCGTGCTGGTTTAGGGGGCTTCTGAGGAAATCAGGCAGTGTCAGTCTTCAGCTGCTAAGCCGAGAAGATCTGGGAAGGAGTCAGTCAGAGAGCCTTGGGCCAGAGTTCCAGGGGCTCTGGGAGTGGCTGACAGGTGAGTTGAACAGTCTGATTTTCAGTGGGGTCCCACACAGATGGGACGTGGCTTAGGAGGAATCCCGGGCTGCGGGCATTCCTTGGCCTGGTGGCCAGATTTCTGGCACTTCTAGCAAGCTCCTGGGGGAGGAGGTTCTGGAGGAATGCCTGGCTGCTGCGGTTCAGGTGTTTGGAAGTTCTTGTGTGCTGGAGATGTGGCTGGGGTTTGTCTCACAGTGGAGGCAAGGAATTGCAACTTTTTTCTATTATTGTACAACTTGAAGGCGAGGTTAATTAAGTCCTGTCGTGGGGTTTGAGGGCTGGAATTTAATTTTTGGAGCTTTATTTAAAGTCGGGAGTGGATTGGGTAATAAAATGTATATTGAGGATAAGACGGCCTTTTGACCTTTTAGGGTCTAGGGCTGTAAAGCGTCTCAGGGTTGCTGCCAAACGAGCCATGAACTGGGCTGGGCTTTTCATACTTGATGAAAAAGGGCCTAAACGCTAACTGATTTTCGGAGAGGTTGGATAAAGAAAAAGGAGCATTAACCTTGAGTATGCCTTTAGCTCCAGCCACCTTTTTAAGAAGAAATTGCTGGGCAGGTGGGAGAAGGCTAGTTGAGGAACGAAACTGTAAGCCGGACCAGGTGTGAGGAGGGGAGGTGATAAAAGGATTATAGGGTGGAGGAGCGGAGGCTGAGGAAGAATTGGGACGTGGCTCGGCCTGGCGAGGAGGGGAGAGGTCAGATGGGTCTGTAGAAAAGGAAGATTAGAAAGACTCAGCAATGCTTGGGGTTGGGACTGAGGGGACAGGCGGGAGGGAAAGAAGGAGGATTTGGGATGAGTCGCATTGGGAACAGTGACTAGGGAGGGAACAATGTGTAAAAGAATGCCTGGATGTCAGGGACCTCAGACCGTTTGCCCATTTTATGATAAGAATTATCTAGATCTTTAGGATGGAAAAATCGAAAGTGCTGTTTTCTGGCTATTTGGAACTACTGTCAAGTTTGTATTGGGGTCAAGCGGGATTGTAGAAGAAAATAAGGCATTTAGGTTTTAGGTCAGGTGTGAGTTGAAGAGGTTTTAAGTTCTTGAGAACACAGGCGAAGGGAGAAGAGAGAGGAATGGAGGGTGGAAGTTTGCCCATAGTGAAGGAGGCAAGCTGAGAGAAAAGAGAGAGTAGAGACACAGAGGGCAGGGGTTCGGGGGTTCTTATGCTCTAGAAAAGTGGGAAAGGGGTTGGGTCATGGAAATAAGGGGTTGGAGCACAGAGATAAGAGGTTGGGGTGTGGAAATAAGGGATTGGGGCAAAGAGATAAGAGGTTGGGGCATGGAAATAAGGGATTGGGGTGCAGAGATAAGGGGTCAGGGCATGGAAATAAGGGATCAGTGTGCAGAGATAAGGGGTTGGGGGGTTCTTGCCTCCCAGAAAAGTGGAGAAGGGGTAGAGACATGGAGAGGTGTTGGGGGGTCCTTGCCCCCCAGAAAAGCGGTACTTGCCGCTAAGGGTGAAGGACCAAGGCAGGTGTCCCCGCGTGGTCAGACACCTCTGAAACATGAGTGAATAAACAGAGAGGCATCCCTGCAATGATTAAACACCAAGGGAAGGCTGCCTTCCCGAGTCCATGACCGGCGTCGGAGTTTTGGGTCCACAGATAAAACATGTTTCCTTTGTCTGTACCAGAAAATGAAATGAATTGAAATTAAGAGAAGGGAGAGATTGAAGGCTGACACCAAGATTGAAAGGAGAAAATGGTTGAGGGATAGTGAGGGAGGTTGGAGAAGAGAGTAAGAAGAGGCCACTTACCCGATTTAAAATTGGTGAGATGTTCCTTGGGCTGGTGGGTCTGAGGACCCAAGGTCTTAGGTGGATCTTTTTCACGGAGCAAAGAGCAGGAGGACAGGGGATTGTTCTCCCAAGGGAGGTCCCCCGATCCGAGTCACGGCACCAAATTTCATGCACGTCCATGTGAAGAGACTACCAAATAGGATTTGTGTGAGCAATAAAGCTTTTAATCACCTGGGTGCAGGCAGGCTGAGTCTGAAAAGAGAGTCAGTGGAGGGAGATAGGGGTGGGGCTGTTTTATAAGATATGGGTAGGTAAAGGAAAATTACAGTCAAAGGGGGGTTGTTCTCTGGCAGGCAGGAGTGGGGGGGTCACAAGGTGCTCAGTAGGGGAGCTTTTGAGCCAGGATGAGCCAGGAGAAGGAATTTCACAAGATAATGTCATCAGTTAAGGTAGGAACAGGCTATTTTCATTTCTTTTGTGGTGGGATGTCATCATTTAAGGCAGGAACCGGCTATCTGGATGTGTATGTGCAGGTCACAAGGGATATGATGGCTTAGCTTGGGCTCAGAGGCCTGACAGTTACATTGTTCCTTAGTACAGGAAGGGCCTTTTTTTCCTTTCTGAAGGTGGACTGGATCCTTTTCATTTTTTTTTTTAATCTAAGTGGCCTAAATGACACAAAACCAGTATTTACATTTATTTCCACACAGTCCTAATTTATGACAGATGTACTTATTTTCTGCCATATAGCCTCTTTTCTAATTAGGAGAACCACAACTTATTCCTAACTTATTACTATTAATGACAGCACAGGCATCAAATTTTAAGGTGATTTGTTTGGGCACCCCTTTTTCTTCTGTTTTGCCTAACACTTTATTCATATCGTTTTTGAGCCCCCACCAGTCCTCAGTCTTTAATCTTATTTTTAAAACTGTGGTCATGGGAGGCTCAGATGGGTCATAACATCCATCAGGTTGGTCATTTCCTGGGCTACATGCCTTGTATAGAATAACATTATACAAACAAGTTCTTTTCAGAGTTCCAGTACACTTATAATAACCATAATATCATAGGACCATAGCAACCTTTTGTCCTACCTCAGTGACTTGATGTATACACTGGGAACAGTCCTCAGTCTGAGGAAGGTCAGTTGAAGTCCTTACTGTAAAAGTTCAAATTTTAAGGAAAATGAGTCCCGTGATGAGTTTTCTCATGCTTCGGTCGTGCGTCCGGGTGTGACTGGAGCAGGGCTTGTTGTCTTCTTCAGAGTCACTTTGCAGGGGTTGGCGAAGCTGCTCCTGTCCATGTACCACTCACAGTCTACTGATGTTTAAGGATGGTCTCGGAGGTTGGGCCTGCTAGAATAAACTGAGTCCAACACCTCTACACAGTTATGTTCAACTGGGCTCTCTGATACCGGGAGCAAGGTGGTGGGGTTTAGGGTGTTGCAAACTTCAATGGTTATGTGGGGATTTTCACATAGCAAGCTTTGGTACTTGTTAATCTAGCATTTGTTAACCAATGATGTCCTTTGGTAGTCATTAAAGTTACCACAGCATGGGGGACATTTATATTCAGGTTTTGCCTAATGGTTAGTTTATCTGCTTCTTGTGCTTTGTGCTAACAGGGTCACTGCTGCTAGGGCCCTTAGACCTGGGGGCCAGCCTTTGGAAACCTTGTCTGGTTGTTTTGAGAGATAGGCCACTGGCCTTGGCCAGTGCCCCACAGTCTGAGTTAAAACTGCCATTTTTTCTTTTTCTGACATATAGAGTGTAAAGAGTTTTGTCAGGTCAGGTAGCCTCAGGGCTGGGGCCGACGTGAGTTTTTTTTTTAACTCATGAAAATCTCGTTGCTGTTGGTTGTAATAGATGTAGTTTATCTAATCTACATTTTTATTGACTGTCACCTACCAAAATGTTGACTCAAATCTTGCAGCTATTTGATTTCAAGCTTTAAATTGATCTGGTATTCCTCATGGGACTCCAATTGCATCTAAATAGATGTGAGAGTCGAAAGACCCATAAGGGGCTTCTCTCGCTTTACGATGCTTTATTTTTTTCCTTCTGGTTGATGTAATGCCAGGGTGAAAGGGATAGCCAATTGGACTAAAGTACAAGTGCCACTCCAGTTATTTGGCAGAGTGCCCAGTAAAGGTCCACCACAATACCACCACACATCCGCTTGGGGATGAACAAGGGCTGACTGATTGATAATTTCTTGAAAATTCTTAAGCTCACTGCATCCCTTCAGGTCTCCAAGGAATGCTAAATTTCCTCCCTGTCGTGAGAGACACAAAGTGAACTTAGTGTTGGGAGACGGAGGCTGGATGGCCCTCAGGGGCTGACCCACAGGGTGCCGGACTTTGGTATATAGCAGAGAGAGCTTGGCACGACTTATTACTCCAGGCTGTAGAATCCTGGAAAGAGCTACCATGTAGCCCACACCTGGTCAACTGGAAGACCACCTTAGTGGAAAGGGGACAATCTGGGCCTCTGGCCTGCCATGTGCACAAGCAAAACAATTGTTTTTGTTTAACATGCAGATGGAATATTGGATCTATTTTAACCAGGCATTTGCATCTTGGTATCCTGTCTTAATTGCTAAAGTTTAAGTCTTTAACTTCTATGATCCTCTAGTAAAATGAATGTATGGTTTTAGGAAATTACAAAAACCGGTTGGGGCAGTCCATCCTTGCCCTTTAGTGGTCCACAGAATGTTGGACCAACTATGGCATGAAAGCTCTACATCGGGGGGCAAGACTCCTGGTTGGCACTGGGGTCTTTATCGAAATCTCCTCGGATTAAATGGTCCTAGTTTACTAATGCCCAGTCTGAGGAGAGGCAGGAGAGACAGAAGTACCTTTCTGAAGTAGAAAGCTGTCTTTGACTTGGCAAGTCCTCACAGGTTATAACAAGGCAAGCATTAAATGCAATAGTTTGAGGTGAAATTGACTTGGTTATGTTAATAACTAGATGGTCAGCAATAGAATGAGGAAAGAAGAAAGAGTAATAGAATAGATGAAAAGAGTTAAATTTTGCTTAGCTTTAGTTTGGTAGGGTTTTCCCCTGGGACTATGGCCCACGACTCTGGAAGTGATGGTGTTTTCTTGACTCGGGTGTGATGAGTCCATTCTTTTTTTTTTTTTTTTTTTGGCTGTACAAACAGCAGTCTCAGTGGCTAGCAGCACAAGGTAGGGTCCTTCCCAGGCTGGCTCGAGTTTTTCTTCTTTCCACCCTTTGATGAGAATGTGATCTTCAGGCTGGTGCTGGTTTACCGGAAATTCTAGGAGTGGTACATGTGCTAAAAGACTTTTAGTTTTTGAGAGAAAGGAAAGTGGAAGATAAATGAAGTATATAATTTTTAAGAAATTGACCTTTTGGGGCCGGGCGCAGTGGCTCACGCCTGTAATCCCAGCACTTTGGGAGGCTGAGGTGGGCAGATCACCTGAGGTCAGGAGTTCGAGACCAGCCTGACCAACATGGAGAAACCCCATCTCTACTAAACATACAAAGTTAGCTGGGCATAGTGGTGCATGTCTGTAATCTCAGCTACTCAGGAGGCTGAGGCAGGAGAATTGCTTGAACCCGGGAGGCGGAGGTTGCCGTAAGCCAAGATTGCGCCATTGCACTCCAGCCTGGGCAACAAGAGTGAAACTCTGTCTCAAAAAAAAAAAAAAAAAAAAGAAAGAAATTGACCTTTGTTTTAAATGTGGGGACCTTGGCAGTGGACTTTATATTCCTTAGTGCCTTTTTACTGAGAAAAATGTTTATTACTTTTTAAACCAAAGAAAGCCAAATACCATTTTACACTTAACAGTGCTTCTCGTGTGATTTTTATACCAGATAAGCTAAATTTTATTTTTATATTAGTGTGTTATTAATGTTAAACTTAATTTTAATAAAACCTTGTAGACATATTTATCTAATTTTTAATGTTTGACCATAAGGTAAGATTTTATAGACTCTTTTTAACCTTTTATTGTAGCAGGACGAGCCACAGACAAAACTCCTCAGACACTGAATTAAAGAAGGAAGAGGTTTTTATTCGGCCAGGAGCATTGTCAGACTCGTGTCTTAAGAGCCGAGCTCCCCGAAAAAGAAATTCTTGGCCTTTTTAAAGGTTTACAACTTTAAGGGGTCCACGTGTAAGGGTCGTGGTACATCAAGCAAGCATGGGAAACATGACTGGGGGCTATATGCATCAGCTAACAGAACAAAAAGTTTTACAATGCTTTTTTTCATACAGTGTCTGAAATTTACAGACAACACAAGTAGTTTAGGTCAGGGGTTGAGGTTATCATTATTACTTTTTTTAACTCCTAAGGCCGGGTGGTGGTGCCAAGGTTGTCTGGCTGTTTATCTTACTTTTGTTTTTTTTCCAACTTTTTGTTTTTCTCTCCTCCTGTCTTGCGAACTAGGCAAGGTGGGGAGAGGAGGGCAGCAGGAGTAGTAGTGGTCTCCTTCCTTATCTCCCCCTTTGAGAATTTTCACTAATCAGTGGGAGTTCTTTTATTTTTACTTTTTGAGTCTTTTTGTGAGACAGAGTGATAGTATTTTATGTAATATACTTGTGTTGAAGTTTTCTGCTGAACCATGGTAGCTACAAAACCTTTTATCATTTGAAGGAGCAAATATAATATACAGGGGAGCAGCAAGCAAGTTCCTATTACTAGTAATACACTTACAATGAGGGTTTTAAATTTTCTTACAGCTGGAAACTATGTTCTAAATGAACACCTAGGATCAGACCTGTGTTAAACCTGTATATGCACATGTACCAACTTTGTCATGCCTTAAGCAGGTTAGTTCTTTTTACTGTGTCTTAAAAGCTTTTTCCTAGTGAGTAACATGGTATTTTTTAATAATAGAAGTTTTAAGAGCCAGATGCTTGAACTTGTGGCATCTGTTTGGGGAAAGAGCTAGTTAAAGTTATCTTGAGGCATTAACTCTTTTGCTTCTCAAGGCCATTGGTCTCTTATGTTAGCCTTTTTATAAACATAACATGAAGAAACATCTAGGCAGCTAGCAATGTTTTCAGCCAGCTGAGCAAATAGGTTTTTTCTGTTTTTGCTAAAGGAGGAGGTTCTGGTAACTTCTGGTTTATATGTTTAAAGAATGACTGAAAGACTCAGAATTGTTACTGGGCTGGACAGGTCTGGGTTTCCTAAGTAGTATGTGTACAGTGGGGACACCTTATATAGGTGTTTCTTCTAACATGGTTATGGGGGTTAACAACAACAAAACAATGTACAGCATATTCGTATCCAGCAAGGACAAAAGAGGTCCTTACCTGGGAAAAAGGTTGAATACAGCGACCGAACAATAGGAAAACAGTTAGTATTACAGGAAAACTATTAGTCTTAAGATTTTTAACTACATTTACTTGCTCGATGAGTCCTCAAGCTTCGGCCGTGCGTAGACTGGTCAGCCTCCGGAGTGACCAGAGCAGGGCTGTCGTCCTCAGCAGCAGCTTGGTCTCGTCTCAGGATCAGCCAGGTTGGGTGATCTGCATCCTGCTGGCTGGTCCACTTGTCCTGAGCTGCCAGTGTTAGCTGACTGTGATGGATCCAAGACACAACACCTGCAACTTTAACAGCAGTGGGAGTGGACAAGGTTACAGTATAGGGTCCATCCTATATGGGTCCTAGAAAAATTTGATTTTACTTTTTTACTTTAAACAGAGTCACTAGATTTAAAGGGGTGTCAGGCTTATAGGCATTTTTATTTATTTAATTATGAACACTTTGTATGGCTATTTTTAAAGCCTGCATTTGCTTTTTTAAGGTTAATTCCTGTAGTTTCTGGAGGTCACCTTTAATTTGACCTATGATTTGGGGGTGGCCGACTGAACAAAATCTTATAGGGCAAATACCTTGTTTGTTTGGGGGTGCACCTGACTCGGAGGAGGACCATAGGCAAAAACCTGATTTTATCTTACATGAATTTCCTGGCAATATTTTTTTCAGTAGCTGCTCAAGTGTCCAGTTCATGCTTTCCACCTTTTCTTGAACTTTGTGGCTGATGGGTTGTGTTTAACTTCCATTTTATTTTTAACAGCCTTGTTAAATCTTGTACTATTTCAACTACAAATGCTGGCCTATTGTCTGACTTTAAAGTTAGAAGTAGTCTAAACCTGGGGATAATGTCTTTTAACAGTACTTTAGTTACTTCTTGTAATTTTTTTTGTCCTGGTGGGGAAAACTTTAACTTACCCTGAAAAGGTGCAAACAAGCACTAGCATGTACCGATAGCCTCCAGCACGGGGCAGTTCTGTAAAGTCTACAAGCAAGTTCTCACAAGGTATGGCTCTTTCTCCTGTTTAAGTTTCTTAGAGGAGGGGTTCTTCCCCCCTCCACTTTGTAACTCTATCTAGTGCTTAACCTTCAGTGAGAAATTGGAATCCAGATACAGCAGAATCTGCTGCTTTTAACTTTTGTTGTGACCATGGGCTCCTAGGAGCCTAATGAGAAGGTGCCTAGTCTGCCCTAGTCTTTACATTCTTTAGTTCCTGTCAGCCTGATCAGGTCAGTATTTTGTTCCTCCAAGGTGCGGCGGCCCTCGGCCCTCTTTGCCTTGTGGCCTTGGCCATTTCCTTTATTGCCTTTTGAATATTTACCGTTTTAGTGTCCTTTCTTTTTGCATCTCGCACATTAATCTCTCTCTAGCCTTGTCCGGCTCTTGAATCCTTGCCTAACTTGACTTCTTTCACGTCTACATCCACGTCCACATCCTCTCACATTGCTAATTTTTCTTTGTATAAGAGCTGTTGCTAACAGATTGGCTTTTTTACTTAAGTCTTTGTTTTTTTTTTTTCTTTCTGAGTTATCCTACTCCTACGGCCAGCTGGTGGGGCCAGGCAACAGCACGGGCCCTGCCCCTGCGCACTGCGGTCTGTCTCTCCTGTTTCCTTCTGATTCTCTTTTTCACACTTACTCTCAGTCTTTTTTTTTTTTCTTTTGCTCTTTCCTAGTTTTGTTCCTTGGTCACAGTTAACATACACCTTGGTGGCCACTTTTATAGACTAGGTGGTATTCATGCCTGCAGCTTCTGCTTGATGTTACCCTGGGCTTGCTTTACAAATGAAGTATTCACTATATACTGATTTTCAGCGGCCTCAGGGTTAAATGGGGTGTAAAGCCAGAATGCTTTATAGAGTCTCTTATAAAACTGACTTAGGCTCTTGTCAGCTCCTTGAAAAATTTCTGAAATCTTTTTTATATTACTTGCTTTTTTCTACCAACTCTTAGCCTCTGCAGAAGTGCTTCTCAGTACCTCTGCAAACGCTGAAGCTGAGTTGCATTCTCTGGGTTTTTTTCCCCTTTTTCCTAGAGTAACAGGCTCTTTTTTTAATATAATTTTTCATGCACTTAGAGGGTTAAACAGGCATACCGAGAGTCAGTGTAAATGTTTACAGTCTTACCTTCACTGAGTTCTAAGGACTGAATTAAAGCAATCAGCTCAGCTTAACGACAGTGTCCAGGGTTACCACCGCATATTCTGCACATCTCTCTCCTTGTGGGTTGATGAAGCTGTTCCCGTCCACGTATAGCTCCCAGTTTACTGATGCCCAAGGCTGGTCCTGGAGGTCAGGTCTGCTAGAGTAAACTTGAGTCCAACACCTCTACACAGTTATGCTCGACAGGGCTCTAGCTGCCAGGAGCAAGGTGGAGGGTTCAGGGTATTTCCAGTTTAGTAGATCAATGGTTGAAAAGGGCTGATAGATGAAAGTCTGTTGCCCCCCCAGATGTGGGCCTGGTCATTATAATAGACAGGTCCTCGCGTCTCCCTGAGAGGCATTTGCATAGCTCGAGCAAGACCAGATCTGAGAGGGCCCACTTGACTATCTTGACTTCCTTCCTCGGCCTCTCGAGGCTCCGATCCTCCCCTTTGAGGTGAGACCTGGGGCATGTTAGCTCCTGAATCTCATTTCTGAGGGGGCTGTTGGCCTCGGTAAAGGGGGATAGGCTGGGACATATGGAGAAAGAATTTCTATTATCTCTGGCAGCTCCTGCAAAACTGGCTTCTGTTGCTGTTTCTGGGACTCCCTTTTTAACTCCATGTCTGCTGGCGAAGCTGCTCTTACTTTTACTTTTGGCTTTTTTTGCAATAAGCTGTTAAACAGGGCTAAATTTATGCCCATTTTGTCTATATTATATTTAACCATGAGTCAATATAAAGTAATTTGATCTAGGTACACTGGCTGTCCTCCAACCCCTGTCACCACCTTAAATACATGGCCAATTGTTCCCTGTCTATAGTTCCTTCGGTGGGCCATCCAACACCAAAAGAGGGCAATTCTAATTTACACAGAGTTCTTAGCCTCTAGGGGTTAACTTAACTCTATAATCTCCTGCAAAACCCTTCTTAAGGTTCTGTAACCTGCATTTTAATGGAATAAGTTTTGATGATTTGATGACTTTCCTTTTATTTTTCTTTTTGAAAATTTTTTTTAACACAGTTCTTAGTGGAGTAGGCTTACTTTGTGTCTGACCTATTTTTCTCTTGAGACAAAACAACATTCACACTACAAGAAGGAAAGGATAAAAGGTCACTCACTCATCTAATTCACACTAAATCAAAATGAAAACTAAAACCAAAGTGTTGTTAAAGGCACACCTGTTCATCAAGCAATTTAAGCCAAGTCAAAATCAGAACCAAAACCAAAGTGCCAATAAAGGCATGTCTGTTTATCAAGCAATTCAAGTCAAGTCAAAATCAAAACTAAAACCAAAGTATCAAGCAATTCAAGTCAAGTCAAAAACAAAAACCAATGTGCCGGTACAGGCACGCCATGGGTGATCAGGCCACACTTCCACTCAAGAGGAGTGGCAAGTTCCAAAGACCAGTCTTACCAAGTTTCAGATGTCCAGACTTAAAGTGCCAGTTCCTTCCCGGTGTTCAGCCACTGCGTTGATCCTCCGCGGGGGCCTGCTGTGCGCTGCTCTGGTGAGGTGTTCAACCGGGGCAAATGCCTACCCGGGAGCGCTCTTAGGATCCGTGTTGCTCAAGCTGGCCAGAGTCCCCTGCAGGGATGCTCTACAGGGCAGACATAAGCTAACTAAGGGGCTGCCTGGACCATCCCTTAATCACCTCGCTTCCCGGTCAGGGAACCAAGAAATGTAACAGGACGAGCCACAGACAAAACTCCTCAGACACTGGATTAAAGAAGGAAGAGGTTTTTATTTGGCCGGGAGCATCAGCAGACTCGCGTCTTAAGAGCTGAGCTCCCCGAAAAAGAAATTCTTGGCCTTTTTAAAGGCTTACAACTTTAAGGGGTCCACGTGAAAGGGTCGTGATACATCAAGCAAGCG
The DNA here is from genome assembly GCF_000001405.40 of Homo sapiens. NCBI lineage: Eukaryota > Metazoa > Chordata > Mammalia > Primates > Hominidae > Homo > Homo sapiens. The sequence continues at coordinate 35,146,758 of NC_000001.11, forward strand.
TGGAGGCTACATGCATCAGCTAACAGAACAAAAAGTTTTACAATGCTTTTTTTCATACAGTGTCTGGAATTTACAGATCACACAAGTAGTTTAGGTCAGGGGTTGATGTTATTATTACTTTTTTTAACTCCTAGGGTCGGGTGGTGGTTCCAAGGTTGTCTGGCTATTTATCTTACTTTTGTTTTTTTCCAACTTTTTGCTTTTTCTCTCTTCCTGTCTTGTGAACTAGGCAAGGTGGGGAGAGGAGGGCAGCAGGAGTAGTAGTGGTCTCCTTCCTTACAATTTTTGCTAAAGAGCAGGTTGGTGCTTTAAGATAAACCTGTTATGCTTTTACTTTAATGTCCAGTTCACAGAAAAACTGGATGATACTTCTTTAACTTTAGCTAATATGTTTACACACAGAATTTTCTTTACAATTAACATTTTAAAACATGTTTAAACCTTCAAAACAGTAATTTTCTTTTTTTAATGTAGGTAAAAATGTACATTCTTATGCTTCCTTATAATCCTTTTACCAAAGGTATATTTTACTTTTCTTATACACCTTGCACATAAACTGTTTTTTTTTTTAATAGTTTTACATTCAGGAGGCCTAGTTACTTTTAAATTATACAACATTTTTTGCATAAATTCTTTTTTATAACATTTTTCTCTTTCATGACTTTCACAGACAATTCTTCGACATGCCTCAACTTTCTGACTTATTACAAATATTTCTTTCTTTAAACAACCAGTTAACTTATTTCAGGACAAGAATCTACCATATAATACTCTTTTTATATAAATTCCGCCCCCCCTTTTTTTCTTTCTTTCTTTTTTTTTTTCCTTAGGATACTTCTTTTTTTTTTTTTAGATGAAGTTTTGCTCTTGTTGCCCAGGCTGGAGTGCAATGGCATGATCTTGGCTCACCGCAACCTCTGCCTCCTGGGTTCAACGATTCTCCTGCCCCAGCCTCCCAAGTAGCTGGGACTACAGGCGTGCGCCACCATGCCTGGCTAATTTTTGTATTTTTAGTAGCGATGGGGTTTCACCATCTTGGCCAGGCTGGTCCCGAACTCCTGACCTCATGATCCACCCGCCTCAGCCTCCCAAAGTGCTGGGATTATAGGCGTGAGCCACCGCGCTCGGCAAGGATACTTCTGAACTGGTGAGGTATGCTCACAATGAGGTTTCCTCTAAAGGTTATTTTTTTTAATTTTTTGTTGTTAGCAAAGCAGTTGCTGCTACAGATTGAATGCTTCTGGGCCATCCGTGGGTTACCAGGTTAAGGATTTTTGATAGGAAGGCCTCAGTGCTTTTGGGATATGCCCTTGTTTACACTAATAACAAAGTGGTATTGGAGTGTTATAGTGTTATGGAGAATACCTTCAATTATCAATTATAGGTTTTAAATTTACCTTGGCTTTTAAAGGAATAAGGTACACTTTTTTTTTTAAACTACTTCTATCTCTCTCTCTCTCTCTCTCTCTCTTTGACTTTGTCTCTCTTTGACTTTCTTTTTGCCTCTCTTTTTCTCTCTCTCTGCCTCTTTCTCTCTCTCTCTCCTTGACTCCCTCTTTGTCTGTCTCTTCCTCTCTCTCTTTGCCTCTTGTCCTCTCTCTTTCCTTTTTCTCTCTCTGCTGGTCTTTCCTTGCCTCTGCCAGCCACTTATGCTGCTGTTCTCTCAACCACTGTGTGTTGGGGGTGGGGGGTCTAAAACCAGCTGTAACCAAGTGTCTATGTACGGGAACTGGTCTGGGTTCCCTGGCTTACAGGTTACCTTGTGCCATACCTTTGAAACAAGGGACCTGTCCAGGCTTCCTTCTAATGGCCAACCTACCTCTAATGCTAGCCAGTCTATCTTACACAAAGTTTTAAGTTTTCCTAGTGTCATAGTACTCCATAGTCTACTTTAAATTCTTTTTTGAAATGTTTCAACATAGTTTCTAATAGGGTGGGCTTATTTGTGCCTGACCTATCTTCTTCAAGACAAAACACCACGCTCACACCACACGCACACCACAAAACAACGGGTAAAAAGGGCACACACACACTTTTACAGTTTGCACCAAACCAAAATCAGAGTATCCAGAAATCCAAGCCAGGTCAAAACCAAAACCAAAGTATCAAGCAATCCAAGTCAAGTCAAAAACAAAAACCAAAGTGCCGGTACAGGCACACCGTGGGTGATCAGGCCACACTTCCACTCAAATGGAGTGGGCAAGTTTCAAAGACTAGTCTTACCAAGTTTTAGGTGTCCAGACTCCAAGTGCCCATTCCTTCCTGGTGTTCAGCCACTGCGTTGATCCCCCACGGGGACCTGCCACACATTGCTCTGGCGAGGCGTCCCACCAGGGCAAATGCCTACCCAGGAACGCTCTCAGGATCCACGTCGCTTGGGCTGGTCTGGTCGGAGTCCCCCGCAGGGATGTTCCACAGGGCAGGCTTAAGCTGCCTAAGAAGCTGCCTAAGGAGCTGCCTTGACCATCCACCAATCACCTCGCTTCTGGGTCAGGGAACCAAGAAATGTAGCAGGACCAGCCCAGACAAAACTCCTCAGACACCAAGTTAAAGAAGGAAGGGGTTGCGGGGTGCGGTGGCTTACGCCTGTAATCCCAGCACTTTGGGAGGCTGAGGCGGGTGGATCACGAGGTCAGGAGATCAAGACCATCCTGGCTAACACGGTGAAACCCCATCTCTACTAAAAATACAAAAAAATTAGCTGGGCGTGGTGGCAGGCGCCTGTAGTCCCAGCTACTCAGGAGGCTGAGGCAGGAGAATGGCGTGAACCCGGGAGGCAGAGCTTGCAGTGAGCCGAGATCACGCCACTGCACTCCAGCCTGGGCGACAGAGCGAGACTCTGTCTCAAAAAAAAAAAAAAAAAAAGAAGGAGTTTATTCGGCCGGGGGCATCGGCAAGACTCCTGTCTCAAGAGCCAAGCTCCCCAGTGAGCAATCCCTTTTAGGAGCTCACAACTCTAAGGGGGTGCACATGAGAGGGTAATGATTGATTGAGCAAGCAGGGGGTACGTGATTGGGGGCTGCATGCACCGGTAATTAGATCGGAACAAAAGAGGATAGGGATTTTCTTTCTTTTTTTTTTTTTTTGAGATGGAGTCTCACTCTGTCACTCAGGCTGGAGTGCAGTGGCGTGATCTCAGCTCACTGCAACCTCTGCCTGCTGGGTTCAAGCAATTTTCCTGCCTCAGCCTCCCGAGTAGCTGGGACTGCAGGCGCCCACCACCATGCATGGCTAATGCTTTTTATATTTTTATTAGAGACGGGGTTTCACCATGGTGGCCAGACTGGTCTCGAACTCCTGACCTCGTGATCCACCCGCCTTGGCCTCCCAAAGTGCTGGGATTACAGGCATGAGCCACCGCACCTGGCCAGGATAGGGATTTTCACAGTGCTTTTCTATACAATCTCTGTAATCTATAGATAACATAACCGATTAGGTCAGAGGTTGATCTTTACCAGGCCCAGGGTGTGGCACCCGGCTGTCTGCTTGTGGATTTCATTTCTGCATTTTAGTTTTTACTTTTTCCTTCTTTGGAGACAGAAATTGGGCATAAGACAATATGAGGGGTGGTCTCCTCCCTTAGTCTGTCCGAGAGATCTCATGTAAGTGGAGTCATACAATATGTATATTTTTTTGAGACAGAGTCCTGCTCTGTCACTGCAACCTCTGCCTCCCAGGCTCAAGAGATTCTCCTGCCTCAGCTTCCCCAGTAGCTGGGATTACAGGCATGCACCACCATTCCTGCTAATTTTTGTATTTTTAGTAGAGACCGGGTTTCACCATGTTGGCCAGGCTGGTGTCAAACTCCTGACTTCGTGATCTGCCTGCCTCAGCCTCCAAAAGTGCTGGGATTACAGGCGTGAGCCACCACACCCAGCCTATACTATATATATATATATATATATATATATATATATTTTTTTTTTTTTTTTTTTTTTTTTTTTGAGAGGAGTCTCACTGTTGCCCAGGCTGGAGTGCAGTGGTGTGATCTCAGCTCACTGCAACCTCTGCCTCCTGAGTTCAAGTGATTCTCCACCTCAGCCTCCCAAGTAGCTTGGATTACAGGCACCCACCACCATGCCTGGCTAATTTTTTTTTTTTTTTTTTTTTGGTATTTTTAGTAGTGACGGGGTTTCACCGTGTTGCCCAGGCTGGTCTCAAACTCCTGACCTCAGGTGATCCACCCACCTCGGCCTCCCAAAGTGCAGAGGTTACAAGCGTGAGCCACCATTCCTAGACCAATATTTGTTCTTTTTTTTTTTCCCCCAGTCTCGCTCTGTCGCCCAGGTTGGAGCGCACTGGCACAATCTTGGCTCACTGCAACCTCTGCCTCCCAGGTTCAAATGATTTTCCTGCCTCAGCCTCCTGAGTAACTGGGACTACAGGCACCCGCCACCACACCCAACTAATTTTTCATATTTTTAGTAGAGGCGGTGTTTCACCATGTTGGCCAGGATGGTCTCAATCTCCTGACCTTGTGATCTGCCCGCCTCGGCCTCCCAAAGTGGTGGGATTACAGGCATGAGCCAAAGCGCCCGGCCTCCAATATTTGTTCTTTTGTGCCTGCTTATTTCATTTCATTTAGTTTTTTCAAAGTTCATCCTATATCAAAACTTAATTTCTTTTCATGGCTGAATAATATTCCATCATATGGATATACCACATTTTGTTTATTCATTCATCAGTTGATAGACACTTCGGTTGTTGCCCTTTGGTTATTGTGATTAATGCTTTGATGAACATTGGGTTATAATTCTTTTGAACAATTTGTCTACTAATTCTAACATCTGTGTCTGTTCAGGATTAGTTTTGATTTTTTTTTTTAAAATGGGTCATGTTTCCCTCTTACTTTGCATGTCTGACAATCATTAATTGAATGGTAGAAATGAATTTTACCTTGTTGCTTACTTGATTTTTTTTTTTAGATGGAGTCTTGCTCCATCTTGCCCAGGCTGGAGTGCAGTGGTGCGATATTGGCTCACTACAGACTCCACCTCCTGGGTTCAAGCAATTCTCCTGGCTCAGCCTCCTGAATGGCTGGAACTTCAAGTGTGCATCACCACACCCAGCTAATCTTGTATTTTTAGTAGAGACAGGGTTTCACCATGTTAGCCAGGCTGGTCTCAAATTCCTGACCTCAGGTGGTCCACCTGCCTTGGCCTCCCAAAATGCTGGGATTACAGGTGTGAGCCACCGTGCCTGGCCCAATATTTTCTATTCTTATGCAACTTCTTGTTCTTTGTTCTGAGATTCAGTTAACTTATGTGGAAACAGTTTGATCATTTTTGTTACTACTTTTGTCATTTGTCCAGCAGGTCTGAAGTAGTGCTCAAGCTGGGGCTAATTAGACGAAGCAAGCCCTACCTGAGTATTTTCCCAGTGCCTGGTGAATTATGAGTTTTTCTAGTCTAGCTGGTGAGAACAGGCACTATTCCCAGTCATGTATGAGTGCCAGGCACTGTTCTCCAATCCATTCTAATGGTTTTATCTCAGCTTCAGGAAGTTTCTCTCACACATGCACTGATCAGCACTCTGCTGAGTATTTGAGGGAGGCCCTCTGCAGATACCTGGACATTTGGTACAAATTTAAAGACCTTGATGTTGAAGGAGTGAGGGACGTGCCATCCCAAAAGATGCTGGATTGGTATATTGATTATTTCTAGCTGAAAACATTGGTGAGGCCAGAAGTGGTGGCTCACGTCTGCAATCCCAACACTTTGGGAGGCAGAGGTGGGCTGATGGCTTGAGGCCAGGGGTTCGAGACCAGCCTGGCCAACATGGTGAAACCCTGACTCTACAAAAAGTACAAAATTTAGCTGGGGATGGTGGCACCTATAATCCCAGCTGCTTGGGTGGCTGAGGCACGAGAATTGCTTGAACCCAGGGAGGTGGAGGTTGCAGTGAGCCAAGATTAAACCACTACACTCCAGCCTGGGCCACAGAGGGAGACTGAAAACAAAAACAAAACAAAATGTTGGCGAAATTGTAGTTTCGGGAAAAACTAGCTAACCTGTGCCTTCCAGCAGGCAGCAAGCCATAAGGATTCCTCTAGGAGGAGTACCCTCCCCATACCAGGGTGAGAAAATAGCCCTCATTATCAGAGACACACTGGGGGGGGCTGCCATGGACCTGAATAAACATACTTAACCAAGTAACTCTTGTCTTCTATTAGTTTTACACCCTCCCCTACATCGCCTAATGACTCCCCTAGAAATTTACTGCCCCTCGCCAGATTTTCTTTGTCCTGTCATTTCTTCTCAAATTCATCATCCTTTGTCTAAAATGTATAAACACAGCCAGGCACAGTGGCTCATGCCTGTAATCCAGCACTTTGGGAGGCCGAGGCGGGAAGATCACTTGAGGTCAGGAGCTCGAGACCAGCCTGGCCAACATGGTGAAACCGCGTCTCTACTTAAAGTACAAAAATTAGCCAGGCGTGGTGATGGCTGCCTGTAGTCCCAGCTACTTGGGAGGCTAAGGCAGGAGAATTGCATGAACTGGGAGACAGAGGTTGCAGTGAGCCGAGATTGGTCCACTGCCCTCCAGCCTGGGCAACAGAGTGAGACTCTGTCTTAAAAAAAAAAAAAAAGTATAAACGCATCTTGCATCTTGCTTTGACCACTTGTTCAGACTTCACCATCTTGTGAAGATCCCCATGCACATGTAAAACCAATACAATTTGTATGCTTTTATCTTGTTAATCTGTCTGGTATCAATTTGGTTTCCAGATCCAGCCAAAGAGCCCACATAATAGCTAAAGAGGTGCTGGAGGTGATCTCTGGTTCCCCTACAAAGTCATCATTTCTTTCCTCACCACAAGAAAAAGCTGAAAAAACTGAAAAGCAATAACTCTTCTTAAAGCCATAAGAAAATTGAGGTCACAGGACAAATTGTTGCCCCCCCAAACTGGAGAGACAAATGAGCCGATACAGAAAAACACAGCCTACTGGGGGCAGAAGCCCAGGATGAGAAGCCTGCAGCTGAAGGCAGTAGTAGTAGGGACACTTTAAACCTAATTAACAAATCCCTGGAGGCTCCATGTGGCCAAGAGTTAAAAACTGCGGATGGCCAGGTGCGGTGCCTCATGTCTGCAATCCCAGTGATTTGGGAGGCTGTAGGTGGGAGAATCACTTGAAGCCAGAAGTTTGAGACCAGCCTGGGCAACATAGGGAGACCCCCATCTCCACAAAAAAAAAAAAATTTTTAATCAGCCATATAAACCGGGCGCGATGGCTCATGCCTGTAATCCCAGCATTTTGGGAGGCCAAGGTGGGCAGATCATTTGAGGTCAGCAGTTCGAGACCAACCTGGTCAACATGATGAGACCCCATCTGTACTAAAACTATAAAAATTATCCAGGCATGGGCTGGGTGCCGTGGCTCATGGGCTGGGTGCCTGTAATCCCAGCACTTTGGGAGGCCGAGGCGGGTGGCTCACAAGGTCAGGAGATCGAGACCATCCTGGCTGACATGGTGAAACCCTGTCTCTACTAAAAATACAAAAAAATTAGCCAGGCCTGGTGGTGTGCACCTGTAGTCCCAGCTACTCGGGAGGCTGAGGCAGAAGAATTGAGTGAACCCAGGAGGCGGAGCATGCCGTGAGCCGAGATCGTGCCACTGCACTCCAGCCTGGGCAACAGAGCGAGAATCCGTCTCAAGAACTAACTAACTAAATAAATAAATATAAAAATTAGCCAGGCATAGTGGTGTGTGCCTGTAGTCCCAGCTACTCAGGAGGCTGAAGCAGGAGAATCGCTTGAACCCGGGAGGCAGAGGTTGTGGTGAACCAAGATCACACCACTGTACTCCAGCTTGGGCAACAAAGCGAGACTTTGTCTCAAAAAAAAAAAATCAGCCATGCGTAGTGGCACAGGCCTATAGTCCCAGCTACTCAAGAGGCTGAGCCAGGAGGATCTCTCAGGCCTAGGAAGTCAAGGCAGCAGTGAGCTATCTTTGCACCACTGCACTCCAACTTGGGTGATAAAGTGAGACCCTGTCTCTAAAAAAATAAAAAAACTAAAAAGTATCAAATTATACAGTTTAAATATATGCATTTTATTGTGTATCACATATCCCTCAATAAATGTTGGTAGAATTAGTGACTCACAGACACTAGGAATTCTATAGAGGCTCAGATATAATATTTCAAGAACAACTGACAAGCAATATAAGAACATCTATATATAGAACATCTTGTTCCATATTCTTGTTTTTATATTCATGTTCAATTACTTTTTAAGTCTCATTTCTTAGAGGCAGAATTCATAGATTTCTTAGGTATTTTTTCCCTAAAGGCAGAGCCTGAGATAAAGACATGGTTGTGGTTGTTTATTTGGGAAGTGACCCCAGGAAGTGGAAGTGAAGGAGTGGAGAATATGATTGAAATAAGAAAGGGGAAAAAATCCAATAAAGGGTGTTACTGAAGTGGTCACCATGCAAAGAACAACTGGGGGTCGATCTTATAGGGACTCTCTAAGGAACCATGTAGACAGTACTTTGGACCGTCCTGAAGAGCAGGGAGGTTGGGGCATTTATCCACCAATTCCCACTGAGAATTCCCCAGGGATATTAATTCCCCCACACTTACAAGCTGTGCCTCCAAATGGCAAGCAGTACCCCCGAAGCAGGAAAAGAGATACTCTAATAGCCTTTGTTTGATGTGGGATGATGATAAGTACATGAGAATTTCCACACAGAGATCAAAGCTGCACTCAAGTGAGCCTCTTAAGTGGATGGAGCAAGACTGTAAAAGTGATTAAAAGCAAGGGTTCTGGAGTCATTCCACACTGGTTCAAATCTCATTTCCATCATTTTGTACTTTGAGCCTGAGCAACTTTTTTTTTTTTTTTTTTTTTTTTTTGAGATGGAGTCTCGCTCTGTCACCAGGTTGGAGTGCAGTGGCGCAATCTCGGTTCGCTGCAACCTCTGCCTCCTGGGTTCAAGCGATTCTCGTGCCTCAGCCTCCCGAGTAGCTGAGACTACAGGCACCCACCATCACACCGGCTACTTTTTGTATTTTCAGTAGAAAGGGGGTTTCGCCATGTTGGCCATGCTGGTCTCAAACTCCTGACCTCAGGTGATCCACCTGCCTCGGCCTCCCAAAGTGCTGGGATTACAGGCGTGAGCCACCGCACCCGGCCGCAGAGATAAATTTAGATAATGCATATCAAGTGCCTAGCACAGTATTTGTCACGTGGTAACAATTCAATTATGTATTTTATTCATCAGAGAAGATTCCAGGTAACTTTACCTCAAAGGGCAAAGTTTCCTCATCACTCAGGATATTCTTACAGAATTAATCATAGGCTTTGAAGGCAAAAGCAAATCAAAGGGTACAAAAATTTTACTGGTACAAAACAGAAAAAGGAGACTGACCAAAGTGGCTAGTCTGAGAGAAAAGTAGGTTCCTGGATAAGGAAATCAAGCTAAGTACTTTTAAGACTAATCGTAATTCTTAAATACTATAAAAGAAACACATCGGCCAGGCTTGGCAGCTCATGCCTGTAATCCCAGCACTTTGGGAGGCCGAGGCAGGAAGATCACCTGATGTCGAGAGTTCAAGACCAGCCTGGCCAACATGGCAAAACCCCATCTCTACTAAAAAATACAAAAATTACCCAGGCATGGTGGCAGGCGCCTGTAATCCCAGCTACTCGGGAGGCTGAGGCAGGGAGAATTGTTTGAACCTGGGAGGTGGAGGTTGCAGTGAGCCGAGATCTCACCACTGCACTACAGACTGGGTGACAGAGCGAGACTCCATCTCAAAAAAAAAAAAAAAAACACATCAAAAATCTTTTTAAAAATTTCTCCTATCTGTTCAATTTCTTGAGACTGAAACAAAATAAAATGTTATTACAAGTAAGATGTTTCCAGCATATTTAAGAACAAAACCATATTTAATTTTCTTTAAAAAAATAGGGGGAAACCACTTTTATATCTAGTTGTACTAAAATACTCCATATTTAATGCCAATATTAAATATATGAAACCTTATACAACCAAGCCTTTCTGGCCAGGCGCAGTGGCTCATGCCTGTAATCCCAGCACTTTGGGAGGCTGAGGCAGGTGGATCACCTGAGGTCAGGAGTTCAAGACCAGCCTGCCAACAGGGTGAAATCCCCTCTCTACTAAAAATACAAACTAATTTGCCAGGTGTGGTGGTGCACGATTGTAGTCCCAGCTACTTGGGAGGTTGAAGCACGAGAATAGCTTTAACCCGGGAGGCAGAGGCTACAGTGAGCTGAGATCATGCAGCTGCACTCTAGCCTGGGAGACAAGAGCAAAACTCTGTCTCAAAAAAAAAAAAAAAAAAAACAGTAACTTTCTTTTTCTTGAGGCTTTGAAAACGACCTGGTCTGGTCTTTGTTAAATAATGAATGATGTTTAAATAGTAGTTGTCTACAGGAACGAGGCATACTAGAATCTTCTACACTATTTTTTTTTTTTTTGAGACGGAATCTCCCTCCATCACCCAGGCTGCAGTGAAGTGGCACCATCTCAGCTCACTGCAACCTCCGTCTCCCAGGTTCAAGCTATTATCTGGCCTCAGCCTCCCAAGTAGCTGGGATTACAGGCATGTGCCACCATGCCCGGCTAATTTTTTTTTTTTTTTTTTTTTTTTAGTAGAGACGGGGTTTCACCGTGTTAGCCAGGATGGTCTCCATCTCCTGACTAGAGACGGGATTTCACCATATTGGCCAGGCTGGTCTCGAACTCCTGACCTTGTGATCTGTCCACCTCGGCCTCCCAAAGTGCTGGGATTACAGGCGTGAGCCACCATACCTGGCCTTCAGATGTTCTTTCAAGTAGCTAGTCACATTATTTAGCCTTGAAGAAAATTGAAGCTTCTAGAATTTTAGAATCTATAAACTCCTCAATTAAAAGGTCTTTATGAGGAAATCTAAGAAGTTTGAAAGCAGAAGTAACATATTATTCTATAAAGTGACATTAATTCAGGAATATGGAAATGTAGAAAATTATACCTAATGCTCTAAGAACTACATACACAGAAATGAAGAAATAGGTCACAGACTTTGGAATTCTGTTTCACTCTGAGCAGCTTGGGCAAATTTTCTTGGTAGAAGGTGGTGACCTGCTAGATGAAATTTGCTCAGTAATCCACAGTATGGAAGAGCTGAAAAGTCCAGTCCTGTAATAAGCAGTGTGCCTAATGAAAGGTAATTTTACAATCAAGGCCAGGCGCGGTGGCTCATGCCTTTGGGAGCATGAGCACTTTGGGAGACCCAGGAGGGCAGGTCACTTGAGCTCAGGAATTCAAGACCAGCCCGGGCAACATGGTGAAACCCCATCTCTACTAAAAAAATAGAAATTAGCCAGAGGTGGCGGTGCACACCTCTGTAGTCCGAGCTACTTGGGAGGATGACGTAGGAGAATTGCTTGCCCCGGGAGGTTGTGGTTGCAGTGAGCAGAGATCAACAATAAGAACCAGAAACTTCAAGAGCTACGGTCAGAGCTTTAAAAAAGCTTTATTCTCACTAGGAGAAAAAACAGCATTAGATAGAACGTGACTATTAAGTATAGTTTCTTTCTTTTATAGAGCTTTTCAGTATTGAAATTTAATATTATGTTGAATATTATAACCAGTGTTTAAATTTTGGACATTGCCAAATTTAAAATTTAAAAATAGCGCCGGGCATGATGGCTCACACCTATAATCCCTGCACTTTGGGAGACTGAGACAGGTGGATCACTTGAGGTCAGGAGTTTGAGACCAGCCTGAACAACATGGTGAAAGCCCATCTCTACTAAAAATACCAAAAATTAGCCTGGTGTGGTGGCAGGCGCCTGTAATCCCAGCTACTTGGGAGGCCAACACACGAGAATCGCTTGAACCCAGGAGGCGGAGGTTACAGTGAGCTCAGATCACGCCACTGCATTCCAGCCTGGGTGACAGGGTGAGACTCGGTCTCAAAAAAAAAAAAAAAGAAAGAAAATTATTAGAATACATTACATTGCGTAGATACAAAAACTAGGTATTTCTTTAGGAGACTGAGGCGGGTGGGTCACTTGAGGCCAAGAGTGCGAGACTAGCCTGGGCAACGTGGTGAAATGCTGTCCCTACTAAAGAAACAAAAATTAGCCGGGTGTGGTGGTGGGCTCCTGTAATCCCAGCTACTCGGGAGGCTGAGACAGGAGAATCGTTTGAACCCGGGAGGCAGAGATTGCAGCGAGCTGAGATTGCACCACTGCACTCCAGCCTGGGTGACAGAGGGAGACTCCATCTCAAAAAAAAAAAAAAAAAAACAAGGAAAAGAAAAAGAAAAGAAATAAAGAAACAAACTACTGATAGGCATGGTGGTTCACACCTATAATCCTAGAACTTTGGGAGGCTGAGGCAGGAAGATTGCTTGAGCTCAGGAGTTCCAGACCAGCCTGGGCAACATAGGAAGACCTCATCTCTGCTAAAAAAAAAAAAAAAAATTTTTTTTTTTTTTGAGACACACTCGTTGCCCAGGCTGGAGTGCAGTGATGTGATTTCAGCTCACTGCAACCTCTGCCTCCTGGGTTCAAGCAATTCGCCTGCTTCAGCCTCCCAAGTAGCTGGGACTACAGGCACGCACCACCATTCCTGGCTAATTTTTTTTTTTTTTTTGTATTTTTAGTAGAGACAGAGTTTCACTATGTTGGCCAGGATGGTCTCGAACTCCTGGCCTTGTGATTGGCCCTGCCTTGGCCTCCCACAGGCTGGGATTACAGGGGTGAACCACCACACCTGGCCTGCAAAATTTTTTTTTAAATTTGCCAGATATGGTAGTGAGCACCTGCGGTCCCAGCTACTTGGGAGGCTGAGGTGGGAGGATCACCTGAGCCTGGGAGGTCGAGGCTGCAGTGAGCTGTGATCATGCCACTGCACTCCAGCCTGGGTAATAGAGTGAGACTGTCTCAGAAAAGAACCCAACAAACTATTGATACACCTAACAATGTGTATGACTCTCAAAATAATGCTGAGTGAAAGAAGCCAAATAAAAAAAAGAGGCCGGGTGCAGCGGCTCATGCTTGTAATCCCAGCACTTTGGGAGGCCAAGGTGGGTGGATCATGAGGTCAGGAGTTCAAGATCAGCCTGGCCAAGATGGTGAAATCCCATCTCTATTAAAAATACAAAAATTAGCTGGGCGTGGTGGCTGGTGTCTGTAATCCCAGCTACTCTGGAGGCTGAGGCAGAGAATTGCTTGAACCCGGGAGGCAGAGGTTGCAGTGAGCTGAGATCGCGCCATTGCATTCCAGCCTGGGCAACAGAGGGAGACTCCATCACACACACACACACACATACACACACACAAAACACATGTCAAAGATTCTATTCATATAAAATTCTGGAAAATGGAAACTAACCTATAGTGGTAAGTAAGCAGATCAGTGGTTGCCTGTAGATTGGTAGAGGCAAAGGAGGGATGTATAGGTACAGGAGTCAAGGATTACTAAGGGACACAAGGAAACTTTTGGGGGTGGCAGCCATTTTATCTTGATTGTAATGTGAAAGTTGTTAGAATTGAGATTTAACACTAGGAGTCACTAGTGTTTAAAAAAAAAAATAGAGCCAGGGAAGGCTTGTATGTCTCATAACAGAAGCTATCACAAAAGACCCTTGAAAAAACACAACCTTGCAAAAAAGCCATCACAAACTTACACAAAAAATTCATCTGCAAAGACATCTACCAAGCAACTGCCTGTCCAACCTCAGCCAGGCAACACCCTTGTTAAGGATTTTTATAGCCAAGGATATCATTTCAAAACAATGATGTAATCCTCTTCATTTTTTCCTTTGAAAACCTTTCTCCTCTGTCTTTTTCCTTTTTCTTTTTTTTTTTTTTTTTTTTGAGACAGAGTCTTGCTCTGTCACCCAGGCTGGAGTGCAGTGGTGTGATCTCAGCTCACTGCAACCTCTGCCTCCTGGGTTTGATTCTCCCGCCTCAGTCTCCCCGGTAGCTGGGATTACAGACATGCACCACCATCCCCGGCTAATTTTTGTATTTTTAGTAGAGACAGGTTTTCGCCATGTTGACCAGGCTCGTCTCGAACTCCTGGCCTCATGTAATCCACCCACTTCAGTCTCCCAAAGTGCTGGGATTGCAGGCATGAACCACCGCATCCAGCCAAAACCTTTGTCTTTCTTTACCTATTCAATACATATACATAGTTTACTGTGGCACACATATTCCCATTGCAATGCGTAACTCCTGAATAAATCTCTTTTTCTTTTAGAGAGCCTCTTTCTCTTTATTATTTAGATTGACAGTGGTAATGATCTTATTGGTGTATACATATGTCAAACTTTATCAAGTTTGTACTTCAAATATGTGCAGTTTATTGTATATCAATTACTTCATTTAAGCTGTTTTTTAAAATGTTCATTACGTTTTCCTGTGTAAAATGGAAATTCGTGTGACTATTTATAACTTTTTCCAACTTGTTCTGTCTCTGTTAAAACAAATCTGTTGTATTCAGCTTCCAGCTCAGACAGAAAACTGGTACCAGATTTCCCTTAGTGCTGTAAACAACTAGAAAACTGCATGAAGTATACAAAACAACTGCTGTTCATACATGGTATATGTGTTTGCTAGAGCTGCCATAACAAAATACCAGACTAGTGGCTTAAAAAACAGAAATAGGGGCCAGGCGCGGTGGCTCACACCTGTAATCCCAGCACTTTGGGAGGCTGAGGCGGGTGGATCACAAGGTCAGGAGATCGAGGCCATCCTGGCTAACATGGTAAAACCCCGTCTCTACTAAAAATACAAAAAATTAGGCGGGCGTGGTGATGGGCGCCTGTAGTCCCACCTACTCAGGAGGCTGAGGCAGGAGAATGGCATGAACCTGGGAGGCGGAGCTTGCAGTGAGCCGAGATCATGCCACTGCACCCCAGCCTGGGCAACAGAGCGAGACTCCGTCTCAAAACAAAACAAAACACAACAAAAAAAAACAGAAATAGGCCGGGTGCAGTGGCTCACGCCTGTAATCCCAGCACTTTGGGAGGCCGAGGAGGAGTCAGATCACTTGAGGTCAGGAGTTCGAGACCAGCCTGGCCAACATGGTGAAACCCTGTCTCTACTAAAAATACAAAAATTAGCTGGGCATGGTGGCAGGCGCCTGTAATCCCAGCTACTCAGGAGTCTGAGGCAGGAGAATCGCTTGAACCTGGGAGGCAGAGGTTGCAGTGAGCTGAGATTGTGCCACTGCACTCCAGCCTAGGCAAAAGAGTGAGACTCCATTTCAGAAAAAAAAAAAAAAAAAAAGCCAGGAGTGTATTTTCTCACAGTTCTTGAGTGTAGAAGATCAAGATGGCAGTGTTGGCAGGTTTAATTTCTTCTGAGGTCTTTCTCCTTGGCTTGCAGAGGGCAGTCTACTTGCTGTGTCCTTTCCTGGTCCTCATGTGGTCCACTCATCCATGGTGATTCTTCCTTTTCTCATAAAGATATTAGCCGTAATGGAGTAAGGCCTCACCCGTATGCCTTCATTTTACCTTAATTATTTCTTGAAAGGCCCTATCTACAAATATAGTCACATTCTGAGATACACTAGGGGTTAAGACTTCAATTGGATTTTTGGGGGACACAATTCAGTCCATAACACATTGCAAAATAGGCTATACAGGATTGTGATTCTTGAAAAAAGGGTAGTAAATGAGGCAAGCACCTCTGCACTCCAGCCTGGGTGAAAGTGAAACTCATGATTGTCACATGCTGTCTGCCTGGAAGCTTTATCTGATCCATGGTGTAGAGAAGAGGACCCAAACAAGAGCGTGGAGTTCTTGCTGCATTGAGGAGACAGAGTTCAGAGTTTTTTTTTTTTTTTTTTTTTAGACAGAGTCTCCAGTTGCCCAGGCTGGACTGCAGTAGCAGCACAATCTCAGCTCACTGCAACCTACACCTTCCAGGTTCAAGTGATTCTCCTGCCTCAGCCTCCTGTGTAACTAGGATTACAGGCACGCGCCAGCACACTTGGCTAATTTTTGTATATTTAGTAGAGACGGAGTTTCACCATGTTGGTCAGACTGGTTTCAAATTCCTGACCTCAGGTGGTCCACCCACCTCGGCCTCCCAAAGTGCTGGGATTACAGGCATGAGCCACTGAGCCCAGCCAGAGATTGGAGTTTGATAAGGCTGAAGCAGCTGGAACTTGTGGAACAAAATACTAAAAAGAAGGGAGCTATACAGAAAAAGAATCTGCATAAAATTTATTTGGAGTTATTGGCAGAATACTAAATTGTGCAAGTATAGAACAAGACTCCACAAGGTCAGAGAAAAAACAACTATTGAAAAAGGAACAACAACTAGAGAGTTTTATGTTGGACAATTCCTAGAGCTTACAAGGGCTGGGGAGACATTCACATTCTGACTATTCTGAATAGAAGAACCTTGTTATACACCTAAGGCATCCAGTGGAAATACTAGAATTAGGCCTAGAGAAAAAGTCACTCCAGACTTGCTCTATCAAATCTAATTGCCTGCCAAAACAAAACTAATTACTCTTAAAAGTAAGACATTCGACAACATGATATTCACAATGTCCAGGATCTAGTGAAAAATTATTAGACATGTCAAGGAGCAGGAAAATGTGAACCACAGCAGTAGAAAAAATCAGCTAATAGAAAAAAAAAAAAAAAGGTCGGGCATGGTGGCTCACACCTATAATCCCAGCACTTTGGGAGGCTGAGGTGGGAGGATCATTTGAGGTCAGGATTTCAAGACCAGAGTGGCCAACATGGCAAAATCCCGTCTCTACTAAAAATACAAAAATTAGCTGGCCGTGGTGGCATGCACCTCTAATCCTAGCTACTAGGGAGGCTGAGGCAGGAGAATCACTTGAACCCAGGAGGCAGAGGTTGCAGTGAGCCAAGATCATGCCACTGCACTCCAGCCTGGGCAACAGAGCAAGACTCCCTCTTGAAAAAAAAATTAAAAAAAAAAAGTTAAAGTTCTAAGTCAAAAAAGAAAAAAGAATACAATATGTGTTTAGTTTTATAAACATAATATAGTAATATATATTAATATAACTATAATAAATGGATTTTAAAATATAAATATATTTTTTAAAGAAAAATAAAAATAAGGCCAGGCACGGTGGCTCATGCCTGTAATCCCAGCTCTTTGGGAGGCTGAGGTGGGTGGATCACCTGAGGTCAGGAGTTCAAGACCAGCCTGACCAACATGGTGAAACCCTGTCTCAACTAAAAATACAAAAATTAGCCGGGTGTGGTGGCAGGAGCCTGTAATCACAGCTACTTGGGGGGCCGAGGCAGGAGAATCGCTTGAATCTGGGAGGTGGAGGTTGCAGTGAGCTGAGATTGCACCATCGCACTCCAGCCTGGGGGACAAGAGCAATACCTGGTTTAAAAAAAAAAAAAGTAAAAATAAATCCAGTAGAGAATGACTGGTTAACAATGAACAGCACAAAACAGAATAATCAGCCAGGTGCAGTGAGGCCAAGCTCTGTTGTCCCAGCTACTTGTACTTGGGAGGCTGAGGTGGGAGGACTGCTTAAGCCCAGGAGTTGGAATCTAGCCCCATCTCTTAAAATTTAAAAACGAATAATCATTTCTATTTGTGTGTATCTGTGTGTGTGTGTGTGTGTGTGTGCACCCCTTAAGCAGGTAAAAATTAGAAAGAACATCAAAAAAACAAAAAACAAGTGGGAGGGGGCAAGGGATGGTGGGAGGTTGGTGACGGATAAAAGACTACAAATAGGCTACAGTGTATACTGCTCGGGTGATGGGTGCACCAAAATCTCACAAATCACCACTAAAGAACTTACCCATGTAACTAAATACCACCTGTACCCCCAATAACTTATGGAAAAATTAAAATTTTTAAAATTAAAATTTTTAAAATTTAAAAATTAAAAAAAAAAAAGAACAACAAAAAACAAAGAGGCCGGGCATGGTGGCTCAAGCCTATAATCTCAGCACTGTTGGAAGCCACGGTGGGTGGATCCCTGGAGTGCAGGAGTTTGAGACCAGCCTAGGCAACACGGAGAGACCCTTGTCTCTACTGAAAATACAAAAAAAAAAAATAGCTGGGTGTGGTGGTGTGCCCCTGTGGTCCCAGCTACTTGGGGGACTGAGGTGGGAGGATGGCTTGAGCCTGAGAGGCAGAGGTTGCAGTGAACTGAGATTAAGCCATTGCACTCCAGCCTCGGCAACAGAGCGAGACTCTGTCAAATAAAAAAGAAAAGAAAAAGAAAACTGAGTATCTTAAAAGTTGGTATTTGCCACTTTTTGGCATCTAATGAGATGACTACATGGTATTTATCTTTCATTCTATTTAAGTGGCATGTCACATTTATTGATTTGCATATGTTGAACCATCCTTGCATTCCAGTGATACATTTCTCAAAAGAAGACATGCAAATGGCTAACAGATAATAAAAAAATGCTCAGCATCACTAATCATTAGAGAAATGCAAATTAAAACCACAATGAGATATCATCTCATACAGTGATCATGACTGTAATCCTAGCACTTTGGGAGGCTGCAGTGGGCATATCAAGAGGTCAGGAGATCGAGACCATCCCAGCCAACATGGTGAAACCCCGTCTCTACTAAAAATACAAAAATTAGTTGGGTGTGCCTGTAATCCCAGCTACTTGGGAGGCTGAGGCAGGAGAATTGCTTGAACCAGGGAGTCAGAGGTTGCAGTGAGCCGAGATCACGCCATTGCACTCCAGCCTGGCAACAAAGCGAGATTCCATCTCAAAAAAAAAAAAAAAAGGAAAACAGTATGGAGATTTAAAAAAAAAAAATCCAAACTAAAAATAGAATTATCATATGATCCAGAAATCCCACTTCTGGGTATTAATGCAAAAGACTTGAAATCAGTTTGTTAAAGGGATATCTGCACTCCTGTGTTCATTGCAGCACTATTTGCAGTAGCCAAGTTATGGATTCAAGCTCTGCCCATCAACAGATGAATGGATTAAAAAAATTATAGTGCATATACATAATGGAATACTATTCAACCTTTAAAAAAAGGGAAATTCTGGGCCAGGCACAGTGGCTCATGCCTGTAATCCCAGCACTTTGGGAGGCCGAGGTGGGTGGATCACGAAGTCAGGAGATCAAGACCATCCTGGCTAACACAGTTAAAACCCTGTCTCTACTAAAAATACAAAAAATTAGCCAGGCGTGGTGGTGGGCACCTGTAGTTCCAGAGACTCGGGAAGCTGAGGCAGGAGAATGGTGTGAACCTGAGAGGTGGATGTTGCAGTGAGCTGAGATCGCACCACTGCACTCCAGCCTGGGTGACAGAGTGAGACTCCATCTCAAAAAAAAAAAAAAAAGAAAAAAAGAAAATTCTGGGCCAGGCGCGGTGGCTTACTCCTGTAATCCTAGTGCTTTGGGAGGCCGAGGTGGGTGGATTGCCTGAGCTCAGGAGTTTGAGACCAGCCTGGGCAACACAGTGAAACCCTGTTTCTACTAAAATACAAAAAATTAGCCGGGCATGGTGGTGTGCGCCTGTAGTCCCAGCTACTCGGGAGGCTTAGACAGGAGAATGGCTTGAACCTGTGAGGTGGAGGTTGCAGTGAACCAAGATCACACCACTGCTCTCCAGCCTGGATGACAGAGCAAGACTCTGTCTCCAAGAAAGAAAAAGGAAATTGTGGCTGGGTGCAGTGGCTCGTGCCTATAATTCCAACGCTTTGGGAGGCCAAAGTGGGCAGATCACTTAAGGTCAGGACTTTGAGACCAGCCTGGGCAACATGGTGAAACCCCGTCTTTACTAAAAGTACAAAAATTAGGCCAGGCGCGGTGGCTCACGCCTGTAATCCCAGCACTTTGGGTGGCCGAGGCAGGCGGATCACAAGGTCAGGAGATTGAGACCATCCTGGCTAACACGGTGAAACCCTATGTCTACTAAAAATACAAAAAAAATTAGCTGGACATGGTGGCAGGCGCCTGTAGTCCCAGCTACTTGGGAGGCTGAGGCAGGAGAATGGCGTGAACTTGGGAGGCAGAACTTGCAGTGAGCCAAGATCGCGTACCACTGCACTCCAGCCTGGGAGACACAGCGAGACTCCATCTCAAAAAAAAAAAAAAGGTACAAAAATTAGCCAGGCATGGTGGTGCACGCCTGTAATCCCAGCTATTCAGAGGCTAAGGCAGGAGAATCGCTTGAACCCAGGAGGCAGAAGTTTCAGAGGGCGAAGATCACGCCGCTGCACTCCAGCCTGGGCGACAGAGTGAGAGTGTATCTCAAACAAAAAAAAAGAAAAAGAAAAAAAAGAGAGAAAGAAATTCTGACATTTGTGACGACATTGATGGAATTGGAGAACATTATGCTCAGTGAAATAAGTCAGGCCCAGAAAGACAAATACCACATGTTCTCATTTATATGTGGAATTTAAAAACTGAACTTATAGAAGCAGAGAGTAGAACAGTAGTGACAGAAGCTGGAGGATGGGGGAAATGGGGAGGTGATGGTCAAAGGGTATACAATTTCTTCGGTTTTTTGTTTGTTTCTTTCTTTCTTTTTGAGAGAGAGTCTTGCTCTGTCATCCAGGCTGGAGTGCAGTGGCACGATCTTGGCTCACTGCAATCTCTACCTCACAGGTTCAAGTGATTCTCCTGCCTCAGCCTCCCTAGTAGCTGGGACTACAGGCATTATACAGGCATGCACCACCACACCCAGCTAATTTTTTTGTGTGTTTGTACTTTTAGCAGAGATGGGATTTCACCATGTTGGCCAGGCTGGTCTTGAACTCGTGACCTCAAGTGATCCACCCACCTCAGCTTCCCAAAGTGCTGGGATTACAGGCATGAGCCACTGTGCCTGGCCCAAAGGGTATACAATTTCAAACAGAGAGAATGTTTTCTCTTTTTATGCGTTCTATTGCACAGCCTGGTGAATATAGTTAATAATAGAGTGTTGAAAATTTCAAAATTGCTAAGTAAATTTCAAGTGTTCTTGCCACAAAAAAATGTTTAGTATTTGAGGTGACGGATATGTTAACTAGCTTGATTTAATTATTTCACATTGCATTCATAAATTGTAACAGCATTTTGTACCCTATAAATGTTTTCCCCACACGACACCCTCTTCACAGAACTCATAAGTCTATACAATTATAAGTTGTCAATTTACAATTTAAAAAAAGAAAAAAGTTGGCATTTGCTATAACAAAAGTACCCTAGAAAATAATATATATATAAAAGTTGGCTTTTGCCAGTCTGACAAATGAAGGGTGAAGCTGCAGCAATATGTAGAGAGGCAAAGAGGAAGAAAACCCAAGATACACTCAGGGAAATAGAGAGTTTGGGCCGGGCGCGGTGGCTCACGCCTATAATCCCAGCACTTTGGGAGGCTGAGGTGGGCGGAACACCAGGTCAGGAGTTTGAAACCAGGCTGGCCAATATGGTGACACCCCGTTTTACTAAAAATACAAAAATTAGCTAGATGTGGTGGCCCATGCCTATAGTCCAAGCTACTCGGGAGGCTGATGCAAAAGAATCTCTTGAACCTGGGAGGCGGAGGTTACAGTGAGCCGAGATCACACCACTGCACTCCAGCCTGGGTGACAGAGCGAGACTCTGTCTCAAAAAAAAGAGAGAGTTTGGTTTACATAGAGCATAGTTTTAATGGCATAATGCAAGATGAACTAAAGAAAGAACCAGATTTGTGTGACCTGATAAGGAGTTTGAACTTTGTTGTACAAGAGAAAGTGATTCCAAGCTGAAGAGAAATGATCAGGTGAGTGTTTTAGGAAGGAAACTATGTCATGAGCAAAAGGTGCAGGAGTGAAGGCAGCTATGGAATCAATCCAAGTGTCCATTGATGGATGAACAGATAAAGAAAATGTAAGATACATACACAGTGGAGTATTATTCAGCCTTTAAAAGAAGGAAATTCTGTCATCTTTGATAACATAGATGAACTTGGAGGACATTACCTGGGCGAAATAAGCTAGGCACAGAAATACAAATGTCTCATGATCTCATTCATATGTGGAATCTAAAAAAGTCAAACTCATAGAAGCAGAGAGTATAATGGTGGTTACCAGGGGATGGAGGGTGAGAAGGAAGATTGGGGAGACAACAAAATTTCAGTTAAGAGGAATACATTCAAGAGTTCTACTATTGTACACCATGGTGACTACAGTTGATAACAATGTATTGCATACTTGCAGATTGCTAAGAGGATGAATGTTAATTGTTCTCATACAAATAAATGATAAGTATGTGAGGTGATGCATATGCTAATTAGCTCAATTTGCCATTCCACAATGTATACATATTTCAAAACATCATGTTGTATGCTATAAATATATATAATTTTTATTTGTCAACAGAGAGAGAGAAAAGGCAGGAAGACTGGGATAAGGGATACTGGTAAAGTCCATTGGGGTTATATAAACTGAGACACTGAATTCAAACTGTGCTGGCAGATACAAAAAATGCTGAAGTTAAAGACTTTTAAGAAATATAAAAGGAGGCCGCCTGCGGTGGCTCACACCTGTACTTCCAGCACTTTGGGAGGCCAAGGCAGGTGGATCACCTGAGGTCAGGAGTTTGAGACCAGCCTGACCAATATGGTGAAACCCTGTCTCTACTAAAATTACAAAAATTAGCCGGGCATGGTGACACACGCCTGTAGTCCCAGCTACTCCGGAGGCTGAGGCAGGAGAATCACTTGAACCTGGGAGGCAGAGGTTGCAGTGAGCCGAGATCGTACCACTGCACTCCAGCCTGGGCGACAGAGCAAGATTCGGTCTCAAAAAAAAAAAAAAAAAAAAGTAAAAGGGCCAGGTGTGGTGGCTCCCACCTGTAATCCCAACACTTTGGGAGGCTGAGGCAGGAGGATAACTTGAGCCCAGGAGTTCGAGACCAGCCTGGGCAGCATAGTGAGGCCCATCTCTACAAAATAAAAAAATTAGCCAGGCATGGTGGTGCATGCCTGTGGGTCCAGCTACTTGGGGGACTAAGGCAGGAAGATCACTTGAGCTGGGGAAGTCGAGGCTGCAGTGAGCTGTGATTGTGCCACTGCACTGCAGCCTGGGCAACAGAGTGAGACCCCTGTCTCAAAAAATAAAAAAAAAGTTTGAAACAGAAAATAAGAAAACAAAATAAACTGGGTGTATATCGTCAGGATCATCTTTAGTTTTTTCCAGTAGTCCTTGTGGTACTACCACCGTTTTGTTAAATTCACCAGCCAAAGGTTTTTATTTTGTCTTAATATTTGATGAAAAGAAACTCCTGGTTCCAAACCAATAGGTAAATGGAGAGTACCTAAGACATAAGATAAAATATTGATAAATTCTCAGATGCAATTCTTCTTCTTCTTTAGGTCTTGCCAAGGGAGAAGTCATCACACAAATGTTTTTTTACTGCTCAGTCCAAAGCCCTCTTCTCAGATACAGACTGGCTTCTTTTGCTCCTCTTTTCTCTTGATGCAAGTCGGCTTTCCAATCCATTGTGATCACTACCACAGAATCTGTCATTCACGTGTCTTTTCCCTCGCCATGCCACAGCCTCAGGGTAGAACCCTGTCCAAAGGCACCTTCCTCACTGTTCTGAAAAACAATCACCAGTCCCTTTTCCTTTAGGAATTGAGACACATCTAATCACTTTAAGGAAAAAGAAAGGATGTAAGTGTTCCAATCATCTCAGCAGAGTTGTCAGACATGTGAGAGAAGTAGCCATCTTGGACTTGGACACCAACAGCCTTCAGAAGACTTCAGACCTGGCCTCCCTCTGACCTGGAGCTGCCTGGCCAAGCCCAGCCAACCCTGAAAACCATAATGAGTTGTTGTCTAAAGCCACTGAGTTTAGGGGTAGTGTGTTAGGAAGCAATAGATAACTGAACTAGAGGTAGTGCTAAGAAACAGACTACAGCACAGCAGAGGGTAAAACCAGTGAGGAAGTGATTTTAATAATCCAGGTGCTCTTGTTCAAGGATTCCCACTGCTCTTCAGATAAAGTTCAAAATACTTAGCATGGCCTACAAGGCCTTTTATGATCTCACCCGTGCCTATAAGACCTTTTTTTTTTTTTAAGATGGAGTCTCACTCTGTTGCCCAGAATGGAGGGCAGTGGCACGATCTTGGCTCACTGTAACCTCCGCCTCCCAGGTTCAAGCAATTCTCCTGCCTCAGCCTCATAAGCAGCTGAAATTACAGGTGTGTGCCACCACGCCTGCTAATTTTTTTGTATTTTTAGTAGAGATGGGGTTTTACCATGTTGGCCAGGCTGGTCTCGAACTCCTGACCTCAGGTGATCTGCGCACCTCAGCCTCCCAAAGTGTTGGGATTACAGGCGTGAGCCACCACGCCCAGCCAAGGCCTCTTCTTACACCACTCCAAGTCTTTTTTCAATAAAGCTTTATTTAAATATAATTCACACATCTAACAGTTGATCCATTTATACAATTCAATGGTTTTCAGTGTATTCACAGATATGTGCATCCATCACCACTCAATTTTAGAATATTTTATTTTATTTTTTTGAGATGGAGTCTCACTCTCTTGCCCAGGCTGGAGTGTAGTGGCTCCATCTTGGCTCACTACAACCTCAACCTCCTGGGTTCAAGTGATTCTCATGCTTCAGCCTCCTAGTAGCTGGGATTATAGGCATGCACCTGGCTAATTTTTGTATTTTTAGTAGAGATGGGGTTTCACCACGTTGGCCAGGCTGGTCTTGAACTCCTGACCTCAGGTGACCCACCCACCTCAGTTTCCCAAAGTGTTGGGATTACAGGCGTGAGCCACTGTGCCTGGCCTAGAATATTTTCATTACCTCAAAAAGAAACCCTGCATCATTCAGCTATGATACACCTATTATTCCCCATCACTCTCTCGGCCACTTCCTCTAATCTACTTTGTCTCTGTAGATTTCCATGTTCTGGCCATTTCATGTGAATACAATATGTGGTCTTTTGTGACTGGCTTCTTTCACTTAGCATGTTTTCAAGCTTTACTCATGCTGTGGCATGTTATCAGTACTTCATTCCTTGTTATGGATTAATAATATTCTTTCGTACAGATATACTACATTTTGCTCATCCATTCATCAGTTGATGGACATTTGCGTTGTTTCTACCTTTTAGTTATTATTATTGAGACAGGGTCTCGCTCTGCCACCTAGGCTGGAATGAGGTGGCACAATCACAGCTCACCACAGCCTCGACTTCCTGGGCTCAGGTGTTCTGGCACAGTGCCACCATGCCTAGCTAATTTTTGTATTTTTTGTAGAGATGGGGTTTCACCATGCTGCCCAGGCTAGCTACTCCCAAACTCTGGGGCTCAAGCAACTCTCCTGCCTTGGCCTCCCAAAGTATTAGGATTACCGATGTGAGCCACCAAACCTGGCGCTTTTGGCTATTATTAATGCTGGTATAAACATCTGCATACAAGTTATTGAGCAAATGTTTTCGTTTCTCTTGGGCATTGGAATTGCTGGGTCACTTGGTGACCCTATGTTTATTTGCCGAATTGCGAGACTGTTTCCCAACATGGCTGCACCAGTTTACATTTCCACCAGTGATGTATGAGGGTTCCCATTTCTGCCCCCCGCCTCCCCCGCCCAAGATGGAGTCTCACTCTGTCACTCAGGCTGGAGTGCAGTGGCACGATCTCAGCTCACTGCAAACTCCACCTCCCAGGTTCAAATGATCCTCCTGCCCCAGCCTCCCAAGCAGCTGGGAGTACAGGCATGCGCCACCACACCTGGCTAATTTTGTATTTTCAGTAGAGTTTTGCCATGTTGGCCAGGCTGGTCTCAAACTCCTGACCTCAAGTGACCCACCCGCCTTGGCCTCCCAAAGTGCTGGTTTTACAAGCGTGAGCTACCAAGCCTGGCCTTGATTCTAGCCTAATGAGTGTAAAGGGTTTTGATTGGATTTCCCTAATGACTAATAATGTCTAGCATCTTTTCAGGAGCTTATTAGCCACTTACTAATCTTCCTTGAGAAATATCTATTCACCTTGCCTTTTTCGAGACGGAGTCTTGCTCTGTCGCCCAGGCTGGAGTGCACAACCTCCACCTCCTGGGTTCAAATGATTCTCCTGTCTCAGCCTCCTGAGTACCTGGGATTACAGGTACCAGCCACCACACCTGGCTAATTTTTTGTATTTTTACTAGAGTCGGGGTTTCACTATGTTAGCCAGGCTGGTCTTGAACTCCTGGCCTCAAGTGATCTGCCTGCCTTGGCCTCTCAAAGTGCTGGGATTACAGGCATCAGTGCCTATGTCTTAAGTGTGTTTACTAAATATTATTTTTTTCATTTTTTTGAGACAGGGTCTTGCTCTGTCACCCAGGCTGGAGTGCAGTGGTGCCATTACAGCTCACTGCAGCCTCAGCCTTCTGGGCTCAAGTGATCCTCCCACCTCAGCCTCCTGAATAGCTGGGAATACAGGCAGGTGCCACCACACCCACCTTATTTTTAAATTTTTTATAGAGTCAGGGTCTTGCCATGCTGTGCAGGATGGTCTTGAATTCCTGGCCTCAAGAGATCCTCCTGCCTCAGCTAGGATTATAGGTATGAGCCACCATGCCCAGCCAGTCCTAAGAATTCTTTATATATTCTACATACAAATCCCTTATCAGCTGCACGATTTGCAAATATTTAGTTTTTGTTCTCATATTTAGGGCTTCAATCCATTTTTTAATTTTTGTATATGGTGTGAGGTGTGGTCTAACTTTTTTTACATGTGGCTACCTAGTTTCCCAGCACCACTTGTTGAAAACACCATTATTTCTCTATCGGATGATTTTGGTACCCTTGTTGAAAATCAGCTGGCCATATGCGTGAGTGTTTATTTCTGGACTCTCAATTCTATTACTCTACATCTATGCTTGTGCTAGTACAACAGCCTTGATTACCATTGCTTTGTAGTAAGTTTTGAAATCAGAAGTGTGAATTCGACTTTGTTCAAGATTTGTTTCCAAGATTGTTTTGGCTATTCTGGGTCTCTTACAATATTCTATGTGAATTTCACAATCAGTTTATCAATTTCAAGAAATTGGCTAGGATTATGCTGAATCTGCAGCCTAGTGAAGTATTACCATGTTAACAATGTTATTATGGAATATTTCCCCAATTATGTGTATTCTTTCCACAATTTCTTTACCTCTGAATCCTTTAGTTATTTCAATAGTGCTGTTTCTTCAAGTCTGTTTAGAACTAAACCTGTTTTAGATACAAAACATTATGTGCCCACTATTTTGTTAAAATGTGGACTTTGCCATGTTTAAGTTCTAGGCTTCTCCACCCTTATTGTTTTAGAACACCTGAGTCAGGTATTGTGTCAAGTACTTAACATACCAACTAATCAACAACTCTGCTATGCAGCAATTCTTGTACTTAATTCTACTTATCATTTGAGGTTAAGTACACTGGCAACAGATGGCCTCTCCTTGGGACTTCCATCCCTTTCAGTACTTAGGCTCTTTCTAATTGTTCCCTATGGACTACATGATCTGCAAGTTAAATTTTCTCCCTGCTATCAAAAAACTGCTAATCAGGCTCTTCTGATTACATGGTATACTAAGGGAAATATCGTTTTTGCCTGTGAACCTTATCACTGGTAGAGACTTGAAAATACCATGTGCTCCTTTTGCATCTTTAGGCACTGCTAAATGTTTTTGCATCACTTTCTATCTCAATGACCCTATGAAAAAGGTGTTTTGCAGATGAGCAAACTACAACTAAACAAACTTACAAGATAACGCAGCCAGGCAAATTGCAGAAATAATGACCTCACATACCCCTAACCACTATAATATACTTTATATTGGTTTTGCCTTGAGAACCACAAGGCTTCAGATCCACAAGAGGGAAAACCAAGTATTAACAGAATTGAGCCAAACAATGACTCCAAGAAGATTCTTGATTTGGGTGTAAGCTGACCTGATTATTTAAAAAACACAGTATGAAAAAAATTGACCAGATCTTGGTCTCATTCCTGGGAGTAACTGTACACAACTTCTCAATACAAATTTCATATTGGCCGGTGCGGTGGCTCACATCTGTAATCCCAGCACTTTGGGAGGGCGAGGCGGGTGGATCACAATGTCAAGAGATCGACACCATCCTGGCTAACATTTTTAGTCTCTACTAAAAATACAAAAAAACTAGCCGGGTGTGCTGGCAGGTGCCTGTAGTCCCAGCTACTCGGGAGGCTGAGGCAGGAGAATGCCATGAACCCGAGGAAGAGCTTGCAGTGAGCCGAGAATGCACCACTGCACTCTAGCCTGGGCGACAGAGCGAGACTCCACCTCAAAAAAAAAAAGAAAAAATATTTCACGGGATGAGTAGATGATGTACCTCAACTCTTTCTTTGTGGCTATTTCAAATAATCTCAAGCAAACCTGAATTTTTTTCTGCTCAATTGAAGCAAAATAATTAACTTCCTGAAATCCTGCAATATTAGTAATGAGGCCCCAAATTAAAGTCCACAGGCAAACACAGCAACACAAATTACCTTTAAGCATGAGCCTCAGATCTCGTCCTGAACCAATGCTTTAGTGAGCGCTTGCTTTGGCAGAACATACTGTAAAACTGGAATGTTTGTGTGAGGCCGGGCGTGGTGGCTCACACCTGTAATCCCAGCACTTTTGGGAGGCCGAGGTGGGCAGTTCACCTGAGGTCAGGAGTTTGAAACCAGCCTGGCCAACGTGGTGAAACCTAGGTGGCATTGAACGTTTTGAGATGGTGCCACCACGCTCCAGTCTGGGCAACAGAGACTCAGTCTCAAAAAATAGTAATAATAATAATTAGTGTGCGAGACTAACAGCTTGGCAAGTTTTAGTATAAGGGCTCCAAGAGTGAAGGGGACAGATAATTTGTGTACAATTTTTACTAACAGCTTTTAAGTCAGTTCCAGATTTTTCCTTACATTTAGATATTCTCAAAAATTACCCATTTCACACTCCATTATCAAATTTTATTTGACTTTGAGAAATTGACAGCCCTTCGTTATTACTCAGACCAATCAAAAACACAGTAGAGTCCTCCCTTGTCTGTGAGGAGATAACATTCCAAGACCCCCCCACAGTGGATGCCCAAAATCACAAATGGTACCAAAGCCTAGCCTAGCCTACATGGCCTTTTTGGATGGCAAATAGCATATACAGCATGTATATGCTGTATCCAACATTCCCATCAGTATTCTGCCCAAGGTGGGAAGGACAGGATGCCTCTCAGAAAAGCACACAATTTAAAAATTAATAACTCTGAGATTGTGGTTAACCATGGTTGCAGATAAGGGGATATTACTATATTGTTATTTGACTATACTTACTTGTGAAGCGATGTGTGACTATCTCATAAACATCATCTTATAATTCGTACATACAGAAGTTGGAAATACAAAATGCTATGTCTGAAATCCAATCAAGATGTAGGTAGTAATTGCTAAATAACATGCTAATTTTAGAAATAAAAATTACAGTGAAGGCAAATATCTAAAATGGACCATAAAAATTGATCAGTAACTGAGACTGAAAGCAGCACTGCCAAGTCACAATAGGATCCTGAATTATACTTAATCTGGTTCTGTGTCTGTAATACAGACCATCTTTTTTTTTTTTTAATGTCACTTTGAATACGTTGAAGTCAGGTAAATTCTAGAAAATAAACGAGTACTAAAAAAACAAAAACAAAACCAAAGGATAATTAGGATAATGCCTTTATTAACGAGAATGAAACGTTCATTCCTCCTTCCACTCCTTCTCGTTGGTTTTCTGGACACAGCTCACCTGATCCTGCTAATTAAAGGGTATGATTACTCCAAAGGATACAAGAATCAGAGTTACCAAATTCTCAAACATAACATTATATAACTGTCAAGTGAACTAATACCAAAGAAATCTTATTAATCGGCCTGGCGCAGTGGCTCACGCCTGCAATCCCAGCACTTTGGGAGGCCAAGGAGGGCGGATCACAGGGTCAGGAGATCAAGACCACCCTGGCTAACATGGTGAAACTCTGTCTCTACTAAAAAATACAAAAAAAAATTAGCCAGGCGTGTGTGGCGGGCGCCTGCAGTCCCAGCTACTCGGGAGGCTGAGGCAGGAGAATGGCGTGAACCCAGGAGGCGGAGCTTGCGGTGAGCCAAGACTGTGCACCACTGCTCCAGCCTGGGCGACAGAGCAAGACTCCGTCTCAAAAAAAAAAAAAAAAATCTTTTAATGAATGAAAGAACATGGCATTAATTGTAATTAACAGGCAGGGCGGAGTGGCTCAAGCCTGTAATCCCAGCACTTTGGGAGGCCAAGGTGGACAGATCACCTGAGGTCAGGAGTTTGAGACCAGCCTGACCAACATGGTCAAACCCTGTCTCTACTAAAAATACAAAATGAGCCGGGCGTGGCAGAACATGCCTGTAATCCCAGCTACTTGGAAGGCTGAGGCAGGAGAATCGCTTGAACCCAGGAGGTGGAGGTTGCAGTGAGTCAAAATCATGCCAGTGCACTACAGCCTGGGCAAAAGGAGCGAAACTCCATCTCAAAAAATAAAAAATTAATGGTTCCCACATTAGTATTGTTATTTTTGTACCACCCAAGGGCCTTTCTGAAGACAGTTTAACAGACTAAGAATCATTTAACTTACCTAGAAACGTTGTCAGTCTGCTTGTGGCTTCCCTCCTTGATTGACTCACGCTGTGTGATGTCTTGAGAAGTATCTATCCACCTGTAACAAAAAATGTTAACTTGCTCACTGCAGCCTCAACCTCCCAGGATCAAGCGATCCCTCCCACCTCAGCCTCCAAGGGAGCTGGGACCACAGGCACACACCACCACACCTGGCTATATTTTTTTCTGTAGAGACATGGTCTCACTATTTTGCCCAGGCTGGGCTCAAGCAATCCTCCCACTTCTGCCTCCCAAAGTGCTAGGAATATAGGTGTAAAGCCACCATGCCTGACCTTCTCCTACATTTTCTTAAGTAAAAAAAGAATCATGGAGTTTTAGATGGAGTCTAAAATTGAATTGAATATTGACAATATGGCCTATTCCCCTTAAGTCAAGTTTTCTTTTCTGTTCTTCTATGACCGTTATATAACCATCCACTTTTTAAAAATTCTATTGTTTGACATTTTTATAATGCCTCTCACTTGCTTTCTCACATACATCCCTAATTTCCAAACAAAAATAAAGGGATATTATCTTAGAAACGGTAAACATCTCAAATATCGAAGTTTCACTCCACATATCTAAATGAAATTATTTAAATCAAACTCAAAAGCCTGTAGGGGTTAAGATTTCTAAAGGAAACTTACTTCATGTGAATGAGCACTCCAATATCAGCCAACATCAATCATTCTTACCTAAAGAATAATAAGAAAAAGTTAATATAAAAGACAAGGGTATAAAATAAAGGTTTGAAAATGCTAGTCAACTTCAAAATTTAAAGAGTAAAAATCCAGAGATAAAGATTGGGGGTAAGTTACAGCATAAAAAAATAGGAAGAAACTTCATGGTGGGGGGGAAATCTAAAATTATTCTTACATAAAATAAGTAGACACCTGAATTAGAATGAAAACTGTATTTTCTTTAAAATGTAAAAGCCTGACTCTCAGTTTCACCAGTCTGAGCACAAGTTTGACTGCAACCCAAAATATACTATCCCTTATGTGAAGGTATGTGACAACGTTGACCTCACCAAATGAGTTTTAACATCAGCTCTTTTTTCATATGAAAGCACATACCCTGCTCCCCATTCAAGTATGTCTTCCATTGTCAGGCAGGCTGACCACCTTCAGCAGGAGTCCTCCAAGAGTGCCCAACTCCCCTTCCCACAGTACACAACGCTGTAGTTGTTGTCCTGCAATCCTTTGTATTTACCTCATTCTTTCCCATCTAAGTCCTCACTGAGTTTTAAAGTTAGGGCTGGAAAAGCTATGCCTTACTGGGACAGCAAGGAACCAATTTTTTTCTGAGGGAGAAGACATTCACCTTCACTATATGCCTGGCAGGGCCACAGTGCACAAAACAAAGATCAGCCTTCATTCAAGTTCCAGGTTTTTCTTCCTCCCTGAATGATTACTGCAAAGGGTATATGAAGTAAGAGTTCCCTGTTGCACATGTACCATCCATAAGGGATACTATATCGTTTTGCATTCTTCC